>NC_000007.14:124381779-125006779 GCF_000001405.40 Homo sapiens | reverse complement strand
CATTATTATTGCTAAAAAAGTCACTGATAAAAATTCATTTTTGTCCATTGACAAGTATAGATACCTAACATTAACAGAGAGGAAAAGAAGACCTAATGAGAAGCATAAAAACTAAAAATAGAATGAATTAATTTGCATACATGATTTTATACTGAAATACCATATTCCAGAACTCATTTTTTGCCCAATTTTTTACCATTCGTTAAGAAAGAATTAGCAGCTAATATGATGTAATTTGCTACAAAAAGTGCTGTTGCATAGTCTTTAATATGTGCTACATCAAATTAGGCCCCCACATGTAATGTACACATGTAATATGTATATGTAGTATGACAAATTGTCATACACACTATAGGCAGTTCTTAACCATCACCCAAATTCTACTCCATAGTACTTCCTTATTTGGTAGTATAATCAATCCCATCCACTTCCTCTAGAAGCCAGTCCTGTTTTTCAGAGTCAGATTCAAAGAGAGAATGATGGCAAGTACAGGTTTGTAATGTGTGCAGCTATAAATTATCTACCTATCTTTGAGATAGTAGCCAGAACAAAAGGATAATTATGGAAGAATAGTAGCAAGTAGTATTCACAATTTTATGTGGGAAAAAAAGGTCCTTGTTATAAGTAAGTGAGTGAATTGGCAGAGTAGTTTTGTAGTTCATGCCCTTCTATGTTAGGACATAAAAATCTATCGAGGTAGCCAGGCGCGGTGGCTCATGCCTGTAATTCCAGCACTTTGGGAGGCCTAGGCAGGTGGACCACCTGAGGTCAGGAGTTTGAGACCAGCCTGGCCAACATGGTAAAACCCTGTCTCTACTAAAAAATAAAATAATAATAATAATACAAAAATTAGCCGGGCATAGTGGTACATGCCTGTACTTGGGAGGCTGAGGCACAAGAATCACTTGGGAGGCTGAGGCACAAGAATCACTTGAACCCGGGAGGCAGAGGTTGCAGTGAGCCAAGATCATGCTACTGCACTCCAGCCTGGGCGACAGAGCGAGACTCTGTCTCAAAAAAAAATTTATGGAGGTACAGGGGACTATTAACAGTAATAAGTTAAGGCTTACAAAACCAGCTTGCATAAAAGATAAGGATATAGAGTGCTGGCAAGGTCAAATACACTTTAAAAATATACAAAATTATTAAAATTTATCTTCCACCAAATCTCAGTATCGAGCATAATAATAGTAAACACAAAGGATTTTGTTGTGCCAAATAAATAAGAAAACCCATGTAATGTGAGCTGCATTCAGCAGATAATAAATGTCCAGGAATGGTGACTATGATGATGAGAATAATTAGGTTAAAACGTCTTACCATATATACATAAGTCTTCAAAAATATCTTTTAGGAGTAAGGTTTATACTCTTTGACCCAACAATTCCCACTTTGAGAATATTTTTCTAAGGAAATAATTAGATATGTGTGCCAAGATATATGTGTAATGATTTTTATAAAAGTTAATTAGAATAAAGATACTGCTAGCAACCTAAGTATAAAACAAAAGGGAATAATTAAATCAACCAGAATTCATCTACACCATGCAAAAATGATAAATGATGTTATAAAATATTATATGACACAGTACATTTTCACAATACATTGTTAAATGATAAAATTTTGTATGTCTAGAATGTTACGTTTTGAATATATGTAAATAAACCGTACCTGATGTTATTTGTATTTTTCATTTATTCACAAATTTTACATATATATTCACACATAGTGAAAAAATATATACCTAAAATGAGCAACTCTATCTAGGTGGTAATTACTTGTGTCTTTTATTCTTTCATTTCCATTTTCTTGTTTTCTGCATATTTCAAATTGTCTATGCAGCTATGCACAATTTTTATAATGTCAATATCAATGACTAGTCTACTAATGGACTTTTTAATAGACACTAATAGAACTAGGAAAGGTATTTAGTGGAGTACATTGATGGGATTTGGTTGAGGTTCTAAAGGATGCTAGAATCATAAATCAGAGATATAGCCAATGCTAGAATGAATACCTCATTCTGATTCTGATAATCTATAGGGTCAACTTTAAGAATTTTTTTGGCCACAATTTCTTTAAGATTCGCACATAGGTCTCCAAGCAGTTTAAGATACTAGTCCACTAAATCAAGCAGGCACTTCTTTGGCAAGTTCATTTTATGAGATGATCTCAATTATTGCTAATGCTTTAAAATTCATAATTAGAGAATGTGGTCCTCCCTTCATGTCCTGAACAACTGAGGGGAAAAGCTAACAAAAAGAGGTTGGTAAATGGGTACGTGATTCCAAGGAGCAGATGGCTCTGGTGGTCTTCAGCAGGTGCTCATTTACATATTTTTGCCATAATCATGCTCTTCCTTCCCCCAGCATGGCAATATGCTCTGGCTTGAATGCACATTTATACCAGAAGCTTTTTGATTTAGTGAAAAATGTACTGACTATAGGGTCTTAGGTTTTGTTTATTGTCCTGTCCCTTAGGCTAAGTACATGTAGTCTTAAACACGTCCCTTAAACCTCGTGAATGTCCCTTATCCTCAACCAGGCTTCCCTGTCATACTATTCATACAAAGATAAAAGGAAACTAAATGGAAAATTGTGCTTGGGAGGGCTTGAATTTCACCCTAAGACACTGATAATTTAAGGGCCCAAATTTTGGAAAGAAGCAGAAATGCGCAGTGGGTAAAGCCACAAAAATTGGAGGTCAGAAGACTCTCGTCCTCTCCTGGTCACTAGTTATACGTAGTAGGACCTTCAAAACATGGAATTTCATTCATTCTCAATTTACCTACGTGCAAAATGTGGGTAGAGGAAAAGGGGAAGAGAAGGTAGAAGTTAAGCTATATTATCTTTAAGGCCTTATTCAACTACAAAATGCTTTAAATTTGTCCTATGGTGTGAGTAATCTGGTGGGGGTTTTTTTGAGAAAAGTAAATTTATTCTAAAATTTTAACTGATTTCATGTGCTAAAGAGAATATATAATAGAACCTCACAGAAACAAAATAATATGTAATGGGACATATTACTGAACAAACACTTCACCATTACACTTTATCTATGATCAGAAAATAATTGATATATCCCTTTCCATACTAGTTAAATATAAGGGTTCTTTCTAACAAATAATATTTTCCCATATTATTGGTAGCATAAATTTTTGTCATTATGATCCTTTCAGACAGTAGAAATATTGTCTAATTTAGTCTTTAGAATACTAACGGAACTTTTGAAATAGTAGAGTAAATAAATTTTACATTTCAAAGAAACTATTGAGACTAGTTCAAAACATGTTTTGTGGAACATAACTAGTTTTTTAAGTATTTGGGATTTATTTTATACCTTCCAGGTATGATCACTTTGCAGTGTGTGTCATAAAATGAAATTAATTATGGAAAAAATCCTGTCCACAAACTAATAGAATCATCTGGGTTTTTAATGATGTAGTAAAATATTTTAATATTATACTACATAAATAAAACTTTAAAAATTAAGAACAAGATTTTACTCAAAGTTCATTCATTTCTTGAACAAGATTTAATTGAGTGTCCGATGTGTTGCAGCATTGCAGTAAGCATCAAAGTCTTTAAATAACATCAGGTGAATATTTGAGAGGCAAATCACTGTAATACCAGTTTCATCACACTGTTTTTTAATCCATATGATATGCTAATCTTTCAACTTGTAATAGCATCCTCTTATCCCTGATAATTTTCAGTTATTTAGAACTTTTGAAAAATATAAATGTATAGACATTTTATATCCAAGAGCCAGCTTCAACAAATATTATTAGAGATCACAGAGTATCCCACCAGTCTAATTATTTTTATTCTAGAAGGCAGAAAAATTGGCAGATTCAAATATAATACAGGTAAATCATTTAGAGAGTGAATTACAACATCTCCTAAAAGGATGATATCTTTTGTTTTGAATTTTCATAGATTTTTGAGAGATGACAATGAATCCTACTCAAAGGTGACAAACCCATAGACTTTTTTATGTCCTGATAGAAATGCATTTCCATCCCTGAAAGAAAATAGTGATGAGATTCTGAAATCTGAACAAGTTATCAAGTTTTCAAGCAAGTATAATAAAACACAATACAAATACTTACAGGAAAAGAAATGTTCAAACTCTTGTGAACAATCTATTTTTCTTACAATAGTTGCTTCAAATCCAAAGAAAATCAAGTGCTTCTCTATTACTGAGCCTTAAATATATTTTGAATAACTGAGTGTCTAAACTTTTCAAAAATCCACTCTCAAGTCAGCAATTTAATTGGATTTTAAGTTTCTAAAATTGACATTGAGAAGGAGAGGACAAATCTGTCATAAGTCATAGCAATTTCAATGATGATATAAAAGTCAATCTAACCTCTTCAGTAAATGACTTAATTGGCTTATGCATAACTGCAAGGAAAGATAAATAATTTAATTATTACATAAATGTAAAATGTTTGTAATTAGCTCTTTTAAAAGTCTAGGGTAACATTAATGCATAGATAATTACATCAAAGGTTGCAAATTAGTTTCCAGTGTTCACCCACAATTCAGTTAAGTGGAACAAATGTCCACATTTGACCACCTCTTACTCTTGTTGACATTTCATGTTTTCTTGTGTATTTTTGTCTCTTTGGTTTTCCAATTCATTCTTACAGGTAGCCAGCTTTTAAAACGTTCTTCCTTCTGAGGCATAAGAAATCAAGCATGAAGAGCACACCATTGCCCCTACCCACATCTAGCTTCTGTCTCTCCTCACTTCCCTCACTAAGTTCTAGGCAAAGTGGCCAAGTTTCACCTCTTTAAAAGTAAAGTCATCCCTCCATATCCACAGAAAATTTGTTCCAGCACTCCCCCTTGAATACCAAAATCTGCCAATGCTGAAGTCCCTTATATAAAATGGTGTAGTATTTGCGTATAACCTATCTACATCCTCCCACATACTTTAAATCATCTCTAGATTACTTATAATATCTAATGCAATGTAAATGCTATGTAAACAGTTTTATGCTGCATTCTTTTAAATTTGTATTATTTTATTGCTGTATTTTTTATATATTTTTAAATATTTTTTATCTTCGGTTGAATTCATAAATGCAGAACCAACAGATATAGATAGTTGACTGTAATAGTTAATAAAAATCATGCAACTGAAAAACAAATTCATATTGAACATTTTATATTCATATATAATTTTAAAGTCCTCATTGATATGATTATAAATCAATAATTTAAGATATATCTTAAATTATTTTGTTTCTAAAAGATAGAGATGTATGTTGAAATTAAGTGAAATTATCCTATGATAATAAGGATTGAGTAGTGTTCAATTGTGTTGGTGAATCTACCTCTTTTTATGCATATTCAAAAAGTGGAATTGAACTGCTAAATAAGTTTACCAATAAAAAATTAAGATTAAATCAATAAACACATATATAAGCCTCAAAATTGGGTAAGGGTATTTTATGAAATCATACATTTGTGTATTCATTGTCAGGAATAAAAGAGACAGAGAAAGAGTGCAGTGAAGCAATTTTCTTCCTTTAGAAATAGCTTGGATTTCATTTTTGTCCTAAAGAAACAGAACTGTAATATGGAACATTTCACATTGACAGATCTATCATCTTAAAAACAAAGACAAAGTGTGACAAGCAGTTTAACAAAAGTGAAGAGGAATTCTGTTTAATTTGGAGCTGTAATAGGAATCATGATGCAAGAACTTAAAACTGCAGGAGAGAACAAATAAGGTATTTGTCCAATAAATATCTTACCAAGAGCATCAGCATCCTCTTGGATGCTCTGTTGCTCAGGCTGGAGTACAGTGCAGTGGCACAATCTCAGCTCACTGCAACCTCTGCCTCCTGGGTTCAAGCAATTCTTGTGCCTCAACCTCCCAAGTAGCTGGTGAGCACTGCCACGCCTGGCTAAGTTTTGTATTTTTAGTAGAGATGGGGTTTCGTCATGTTGGCCGGGTTTAGGCCCTCAAGTCCTCTGCCCGCCTGGGCCTCCCAAAGTGCTGGGATTACAGTCGTGAGCCAATGTGACCGGCCTTCATCCTTTTCTTAAAAACAGATGCCAAATACCATCAGGGAAGCTTAGGACCTAGACAAGAGAATATATTATAGAAAGAAGTGAAGTCAAATCCTCTAAATTTATCTGAAAATTCTATGATGAAAAATAGATGTCTAGATTCAAAACTTTCTCTTTGTTCCTCAATCCACTGTACCATGTTACCTCTCAGAATATCTTGAGGTGAACAATTCTTATTCACAACACTAGAAACAATTGGGAAAACACTAATTCTATTTTAAGCCTGATTGGATGTGTACTGATAGGGAGTTTGGTGAAGTCAGTCACATAATGACTCTTCATAATAAAATGTTTGACAAGCTATCAAAACTCTTTTGGAGAAAGAAATGGTGGATAGAGTTACTCTAAGGAATACATGTCAATTCAGTTATCTTATTCCTATATCACATTTTGATGGCAGCTGAGTGATCTCTGTGGATCTCATACTAGAAATTAGGTTAAAGTAAAAAATGAGTCAGATTGATTTTGAAGAATTTAGTTAATGTTATAAGAACAGTGGTGACACTAGTGCCAAAATTTTTATATATGGTAAGCTTTTTAAAAAACTAAGATTTAAAACAAATTCCTGACGTATACAAATTCAAGTTTATGACTTGACTAAATAATACATTTATGACTTTACCAAATAATTCAATACAGACACTGTAGTTCAGAGGCTCATATTTCAAATGTCAAAAGTTAGAATCTGAAAAGAAAAGCTATCAAGAAATAGGGAAAGAAGGATAACTCTCTGAAAGCAGACCAAAACTCATAATCAGTCATCTGGGTAATGAGACAAAGAAACAGTTGTATTGTAGACATATTGAGGAGAACATGATTTAAAAAAAAATAACTGTATCACCCATGAAAATTTTTTATTGACTTGATGTTTCCTAAGGAATGTCATCCAGCTACTTTAGCTTTGAGACAGGTGTGGTGGTTCATGCATGTAATCCCAGCACTTTGGAAGGTCAAGGAGATAGAATCACTTTAAGTCAGTAGTTTGAGACCAGTCTAGGCAACATAGTGAGACCTCATCTTTACAGAATATTTAAGAATTAGCTGGGCATGTTGATGCATGCCTATAGTCCCAGCTGCCAGGTCCGACCTGCAGACCCTGACCCAGAGATGAATGAAAGACTTACACTGACACAGATATTTCGCCTGTCAGCACAGCTAAGGGTCTCTGCTGCCTGAGTCCACAGTGTGTGCTGATAAGCCGGTGAAGTTTGCATTTATTTAGTATAGATTAAATGACAAAGGCTTTGGGTCAATACACCTGTGGGTAATTAATCTGGTCACCCTCCCCTGGAGAGAGCAGTGTCACCCTCAAATGATCAAAGGTCAGTCTTAGGACCACATGAGTAAACATGCTATTTAGATATACTCCCCTACATTCCTTATATCTACACCCTAAGCTTTTAAGAGAATTCAGCTGCCTTCAGCCAAATCTTTTACTGAAACTATTATAAAACCTTCCAGCCTCCCAAGAAGGTTTGCATCTTTCTACAATTTTTCCCACAACCCTGATTGAACTCCCACACCTACCTACTCAGGAGGCTTGGGTGGGAGGATCTTCTGAACCCAGGAGGTTGAGGCTGCAGTGTGCCATGATTGCCCTACTGCACTCCAGCCTGGGCAACAGAGCAAGACCATGTCTCAAAAAAAAAAAAAAACCTAAACTTTAGCTTTGGCATTCCAGGGTCCTTTATGACCTTGATCTTGACCTCATGTGCCTCTCCTCTCTTATCTCTCTGTTCCCTATACTCTAGCCACACTAGACTGACTACTCACCTGATCAATAGATTTATTGACTAGGGGGCATTGATGAAACTCTCTCTGTAGCTTTGAGGAGCAAAACCTTACCTAAATTGTAAGGCTCAGTTCAATTATTCAAATCCCTTCTCTTCCAAGAAAATTCCTCTGATTACTTACAGAGAATTATGCTCTTATCTGTACATACATATCTTGCTTTGAATCTATAATTGACTCATCACATTCTGCCATAAATTACAGTTGAATGCATATATCTGTCTTTTCCCTATATATAGCCCTAGAGTATAGACAATATATGAGTCTCTTTGTATCACATTTATATCTGGAAGATTTGTAGAATGTAACTAAATGAATAAATAGATTAGGAAATCTTAGATAATGCTATATTTAAATATCCTTTATCCCATTTTATATAAATAGGAAAAATGTTCTCTGGAATCTTCTGCCATATGTCTACTTTGACACTGGAAAATGAGCACTCAAGCATTATTCTAGGGCAGTAATATATCTCTTAAAAATTCTTCTTAAACTCACCCTGTATATTTATTTTCTGATGCTCAACTATAGCAGCCTGTATTCATCCACAATAGCACCACATATTTCCTTTTCATTTGGGATTACAACAGTCTCTGGTAAAAACATCACACTGACTATACTCTCAATGCTGAAAACTAAAGTTAGAGACATGAGAAATTGTTACATGTTTATATATATGTATTTATGTGTGTGTATATATATATGTACATGTAGGTATAGTTTCAGATGCCAGAATAAAATGAGAAGTACTTATTTACTGTACAATAACTGTAGGGTGTTCTACAATGATATTCTGAATTTTCCTATGTAGTTAAAAGGAAAAGTATCTTTGTGTTTACTGATTTTTTAAAAAATGCATTATGTTGAAGTTATAGTCCAACACGAACTCAGGTCTCACCACAGGCTCTTAGCAGTTAACATACTCTAACCAAGGCTTGTAATGTTAATATTTTATGAAGAGACTGGTTTAAGTGATCAATATAAGAAATACCTCTGCCAGAAAATTGTGTGTGCACCCTATTCTGTTGACTCCACAGTAGTCAGCTATTTGTTTTTAGACTCTAGAACATATAGGCCTCTAGGCAAAAGTTATTCACAACTGAAATATCTGAGACAGGAATAAAGGAAGGGAGGGTATAGGGGAGCAAACAGCATCAGCTTCAGGGTTATTCCTTTCCTTTCTTCATTACTCTGACTCTGAGTTTCTATTCTCATGTTACTTTGACTTGCTCCTTAAATGATGAAGAGCTCTGATTCACCCATACTTTTAACCAACCCACATCTTACTTCTGCTTCAATTTTTTTAGTTCACCTGGTTGCTGATTATTTACATGAACCTTAGACTTCATGCCCTGCTTTATCTCTCTTATTTTCCTACCTGGCATTGTATACACCTCTTGCCTGGACATACTACACTTGTCTGTGTTCTACTTTCCTCATGGCTCTTCAGGGGGCTTCTCTCCTCACTGCTGGAAGAGGCAGTCATAAATAATAGTTTCACCTTCTCAACTTTTCTCAAATACCAGTTGCAACCCAGCTTTTTAAAGGCGTTGAATTTAAAACTTTTACTGAGATAAATGGATAATGGAGAACAATGGTGTATCAGAATTCCAGGCTGTGTAACAAATTACTAGAAACTGGAGGACCTCAAAAGCCAAATTTAATCTCTCACAGTTCTGAATCCTGTAAGTCCAAAATTAAGGTGTTGACAGGGTTGGTTTCCCCTGGAGGGAGAGAACTGATTCTGCGCTTTTCTCCTAGCTTCTGGTGGTTGCTGGCTGCTATGGTTTGAATGTTTGTTCCCTCCAAAGCTCACGTCAAAACTTAATCCCCAAGGTGGCAGTATAGAGTTGTGGAGCCTTGAGGAGGTAATTGGTCATAAGGGCTCTGCCCTCATGAATGAATTAATCTGTTCAAGGATTAATGTATTAATGGGTTAATGTATTAATGGATTTTCAAGGAAGTGAAACTGGTGGCATTATAAAAAGAGGAATAGAGACCTGAGCAAACACATTAGCATGTTCGGCCCCCTCACCGTATGATGCCCTGAGCTGTCTTAGGAATCTACAAAGAATCCCCACTAGCAAGAAGACTCTCACAAGATGCAGTCCCCCAATGCTGGGTTTTTTTTTTTTTTTTTTTTGAGACAGAGTCCCCCTCTATCACCCAGACTGCAGTGCAGTGGCCTAATGTCGGCTCACTGCAACCTCCACCTCCTGGGTTCAAGCGATTCCGCTGCCTCAGCCTCTTGAGTATCTGGGATTACAGGTGCGCGCTATCACGCCTGGCTAATTTTTGTAGTTTTAGTAGAGACAAGGTTTCACCACATTGGCCAGGCTGATCTTGAGCTCCCAACCTCAGGTGATCTGCTTGCCTCAGCCTCCCAAAGTGCTGGGATAACAGGCGTAAGCCACAGCACCCAGCCCGGACTTTTTAGCCTTTTTTTTTTTTTTTTTGCTTTAAATTCTGGGGTACACATGCAGAATGTGCAGTTTCATTACATAGGTATACATATGCCATGGTGGTTTGCTGCACCCATCAACCCATCACCTGTATTAGATATTTCTCCTAATGCTAACCCTCTCCTAACACCCCCCACCCGCTGACAGGCCCCAGTGTGTGACGTTCCCCTGCCTGTGTCCATGCGTTCTCATTGTTCAACTCCCACTTATGAGTGAGAACACGTGGTATTTGGTTTTCTGTTCTTGTGATAGTTTACCAAGAATGATGGTTTCCAGCTTCATCCATGTCCCTGCAAGACATGAACTCATCCCTTTTTATGGCTGCATAGTATTCCATGGTGTATATGTGCCACATTTTCTTTATCCAGTCTATCACTGATGGACATTTCGGTTGGTTCCAAGTCTTTGCTATTGTGAATAGTGCAACAATAAACATATGTGTGCATGTGTCTTTATAGTAGAATGATTTATAACCCTTTGGGTATATACCTAGTAATGGAATTGCTGGGTCAAATGGTATTTCTAGTTCTAGATCCTTGAGGAATTGCCACACTGTCTTCCACAATGGTTGAACTGATTTACACTCCCATCAAGAGTGTAAAAGTGTTCTTTTTCTCTGCATCCTCTCCAGCAACTGTTGTTTCCTGACTTATTAATAATAGCCATCTAACTGGTGAGAGATGGTATCTCATTGAGCTTTTGATCTGCATTCCTCTAATGACCAGTGATAATGAGCTTTTATTCATATGTTTGTTGGCTGCATAAATGTCTTCTTTTGAGAAGTGTCTGTTCATATCCTTCACCCACTTTTTGATGGTTTTTTTTTCTTGTAAATGTGTTTAAGTTCTTTGTAGACTCTGATATTAGCCCTTTGTCAGATGAATAGATTGCAAACATTTTCCCCCATTCTGTAGGTTGCCTGTTCATTCTGATGATAGTTTCTTTTGCTGTGCAGAAGCTCTTTAGTTTAATGAGGTCCCATTTGTCAATTTTTGGCTTTTGTTGCCATTGCTTTTGGTGTTTTAGACATGAAGTCTTTGCCCATGCCTATGTCTTGAATGGTATTGCCCAAGTTTTCTTCTAGGATTTTTATGGTTTTAGGTCTTACATTTAAGTCTTTAATCCATCTTGAGTTGATTTTTGTGTAAGGTGTAAGGAAGGGGTCCAGTTTCAGTTTTCTGCATAGGGCTAGCCAGTTTTTCCAACACCATTTATTAAATAGGGAATCTTTTCCCCATTGCTTGTTTGTGTCAGGTTTGTCAAAGATCAGATGGTTGTAGATGTGTGGTGTTATTTCTGAGGGCTCTGTTCTGTTCCATTGGTCTATATATCTGTTTTCGTACCAGAACTATGCTGCTTTGGTTACTGTCGCCTTGTAGTATAGTTTGATGTCAGGTAGTGTGATGCCTGCAGCTTTCTTCTTTTTGCTTAGGACTGTCTTGGCTATGCAGGCTCTTTTTTGGTTCCATATGAAGTTTAAAGTAGTTTTTTCCAAGTCTGTGAAGAAAGTCAGTGGTAGCTTGATGGGGATAGCATTGAATCTATAAATTACTTTGGGCAGTATAAACGGTATTCAAATAGGAAGAGAGGAAGTCAAATTGTCTCTGTTTGCAGATGACATGATTGTATATTTAGAAAACCCTATTGTCTCAGCCCAAAATCTCCTTAAGCTGATAAGCACCCTCAGCAAAGTCTCAGGATACAAAATCAAAGTGCAAAAATAACAAGCATTCCTATACACCAATAACAGACAAACAAAGAGCCAAATCATGAATGAGCTCCCATTCACAATTGCTACTAAGAGAATAAAATACCTAGGAATACAACTTACAAGCAATGTAAAGGGCCTCTTCAAGGAGAACTACAAATCACTGCTCAAGGAAATAAGAGAAGACACAAACAAATGGAAAAACATTCTGTGCTCATGGATAGGAAGAATCAATACTGTGAAAATAGCCTCCCTATTTTTAAGAAATTGAATCCTTTTTTAAAATAAATTATCTAGTTTCTGATATTTTTATAAGCAACAGAAAATGGACTAAGATATTGGCAGCCCTTGATGTTCCTTTGCCTGTAGGTGTGTCACTGCAGTCTCTCCCTCTGTCATTACATGGTGTTATCCCTGTGCATCTCTGTCTCTATGTCTATTCTTTCTTATAAGAACACCAATTATATTAAATTAAGAGCCTGCCTTACTCTAGTGGAACCCAAGCTCAACTTAATTACATCTGCAATAACCCTATTTACAAAAATGTAACATTATGGTACTGAAAATTAAGATTTGACATATCTTTTTGAGGGACACAATTCAACCTATAACAAATTGTTATAGCCTATGCTGGCAAATCTAATTTGCTAGCAAAAATTTACAACAATTAAAAATTATTGCAATTTCTGACCAGATAAATGTACCCCTGCTTCTGCAGGATATAGTTATGATGGCTTTCTCTGCCTTTGTTTTTCATCAAAGAAAACTTCTCAAAGCCTGAATCTCATGCATACTAATGAGATTCAGTTGTTTTGTTTGTTTGCCATAACTGCAAATCGTTTCACATTTGTAAAATTAACAGGCTTATATTTTAACACACACTTATATTCCTATTTATTATAAGATACTGTTTTAGGAAAAATAACAAACTTACATAGTTTGGACAATTGTCCCCTCCATCTCACATCTAAATTGATCCCCGATGTTGAAGGTGGGACCTAGTGTAAGGTGTTTGGGTCATGGGGCAAATCCCTCATGAATGGTTTAGTCCCATCTCAGTGGTAATGAGTGAGTTCTCCTCAGTTCTAATAGTTCCCAGAGATCTAATTGTTTAAAAGTCTGCCACCTCCCTCCCTATTCTTTTTCCTTCTCTCTTACTTTCCACCATGTGATCTCTACATGCCAGCTCCCCTTCAACTTCTATCCTGAGTCGAAGCTTCCAGAAGCCCTCACTAGAAGCAGATGCTGATGCCATCCTTCCTGTACAGCCTGCAGAACTGTAAGCCAAATAAACCTTTTTTCTTCATAAATTACCCAGCCTCAAGTATTCCTTTCTAGCTACACAAACAGGCTAGACCACTAAATTTCAAAGTACTTACTGTAATAAATTGCCAAAAAAACAAAAAGTGCAAATGAAGCATCATAGATTTGAATAGAGGCAAGAATGACAGCAGCTGAAAGAATGAGGAAAGGCTTCCGAGAAAATACAGTTTTAAGTTTAGATCTTAAAGGATAAGAGCAGTAAATGCTTACCAGAAAACTGGATTTGGTGGAAGGTTGTATATCTTCGTCCCCAAAATTTTGAAATTCTGTGATTTCATTTTCTCACAAATATGAAAATAGCTTATAATGGACAAAATTTCAAGCAGAAGAAAATTAAATTATAAACAATTAAAGGACAAGGAGAGTATGTCTCAATGTGGTTGGAGTATGACTAAGGAAACTAACTGAAGATAACACTGGAATGTTGGCCCAGTGTATGACTCAGGCTAGTTCCCAGCAGTCGCAGCCCAAACTCCTGATCTCAGGATCAACCTTGATCAGAAACAGAGAACATATAAACCTTCTTAGCCAACAATCTTGGGTTAAGTTTCAAGTCACCTTTGCAGCAAGTTTCTGGCTGGTCCCTAAGCCCTAGTCATGTCATTTGTGTCAATCTATAAAAATCTAAAAGGGCACTGTGGGGACTGGGTATTCCTATGCATTACTACTGGAAATTTGAATAGTAATGGCACCTTTGAAGAGCAATCTGATGACGCTTATTAGAAATTAAAACATATAAATTATTTAGGCAGAATTAATCTCTTAAGAATCTATCCTAAAAGTGTTAAGGAGAGAGTAGATAAAGATCTCAGTGCAAGGATATTTATCGTAGCATTGTTAACAGTGAAAAAAGAAAAGAGAGAATGACAACAAAGTGAATACCACCATCAATACAGGAACAATCTAAATAAACAATGTTTATAAATAACTTAATTCAGCATGTACCGTGTTGCTATTTCATCCATTTGAGCTAATCTGATCTCATGTTCTCTCTCTAAAGGATTATTCTATCATGATAATTAATAGTGTTCTCTCAGTTTTCCTTTAGAAAAGATATAGAGTACATATATTCCATCATTACTTTTGAGTATTTTGACCAAAGTTCATGGAAACCATTCACTTCCTTCTTTACAAATTTATTTGTTGTAGAAAAATACATTTATTATAGATAATCTAGAAAACGACATGAGCAAAATCTTACCCAGTAATAAATATTATACATCCTTCAATGTATATTCTCCCAGTATTTTTTCCTGTGAAAAACATTTTTAACCAAAATGATATCAGATTGAACAAAATGTGCTGTTGGACGGTGAATTAGTTTCCTATTTTCTCTGTAACAAATCTATTTAGTGGTTTAAGACAAGACAAATTTATAATTTTACAGTTCTGAAGTCAGAAGTCCCAAATAAGTTTCACTCGACTGAAATTAAGTTGTCAGCAGGGCCATGTTCCCTCTGGATCCCTCTAGGGATGACTCTGCTTCCTTGTCTTTTCCATCTTCTAGAGATGGCCTGGATTCCTTAGCTCCTGGCCTCTTCCTCCATCTGCAAAATAAGTAGATTTAACCTGCTCTTGCCACAAAAAAATTAATTAATTAATTGAAGGATAACTATGTGAGATGATGTATATGTTAACTTGCCTCACTATAGTAATGATTTTACTACCTATATGTATCCCATAACATCATGTTGTATACATGTTGTTGTATTTGTTGTATAACAAATAAATACACACAATAAAATTTATTTTAAAAACCAAAACAAGAACCTGGTAGATTAACATCTTTAAATCTCTCTCTGACTCTGACCCCTTCTTCTTTTGCTATATCTACTTTTCTGACTCTGAAACTTCTCTCTCCCTCTAAGAAGAACCCTTATAACTACATTGGGGCCACCAGATAATTCATGATAATATTCACATATCAAGATTCTTAATTTAGTCACATCTGAAAAATCCTTTTTGCCATGTCAGGTAACATATTTACAGGTTTCTGAAATTCAGATGTGGACAACTTTGAGGGGCCATTATTCTGTGTACCACAAATAGGTTCTCTAGAAGTAGATGCTCAGATGGAGTTTGGGATACAAGATGTTTTTCGGGGCTTAATCTGTGGAAGGGAAAGAAAATACACGTTTGGGTAGAGAAAGAAGTCAAACTTTGTCAGGCCTAACAAAGTCTCAGCCAGCCCAACAAGGAGCTCTACAGTGATTGCTACCCTTCAGAGTATCCTAGGTCAGTCCCAAATAGCTAAACATTTATACCCTGACCTGTGTCAATCATTGAGTGATCCAGGGAGTAAAGTCAGGCAAAGCAGCTCTCTCTGCAGCCGAGGCAGACCATGAAGAAAATGACAGCTGGAAGCTGTCTGCTCACCATACTTGCTATAGCTGGGCAGCAAGTCTAATCCTTGAAGAGGGAATGTGTGTGGCACATCATCAGGTCACCTACATAATATATTTATAATGTATCTATAGATTACTCTTTTATAACTTGATTCCTTCATTAAATATACTTTAAACATTTTCTAAATAATTGTGTATTTCTTAATGTCTAACTAATACCAAGGTACCTGTAACAGATACCTTGCAATTGAACATTTGGGGCATTGCCATTTTTTTACTCTATTATAAACAATGTAGCCAGGAACTATAAGTTATATCACTAAACTATATTCACCTAATATTCGTCTTAGATTTGCACTTTCTTATCTATCCAGAGTGATAATCACCTTTTTTCCATTCCCCCATAACAATCAGATCATATTGGAATAAGAAATGGTAAATCTTTTAAATCTAAACTTCTATAATTTATCTTCCAGAAGTTGTACTTTAGGACAGGATATTGTTTTCTGGCATGAAGATCTAAAGTTTTCTTTATTAGTATATTTTATCCTTTTTAATATCAATAGTAAGAAATCTTGTCAAAGTTTGTAAAAGCTACACATCAATTTTAAAAGTAAAAATCTAGAGTAGATATGAAGTTCTTCATTCATGAACAACCAGCCTCCTCATCTCAGGTACACTGGTCCTCTTCCTCTGTCTATCCCATTGTCACATGCTTTCACTTTATTCCCATTGAGATACAAAGGTCTGCTCTCCCAGTTATAGAGCTTTAAGCCAGGACCAGAGGTAATACCTTTAAACAATAACTACTAGCGAGACTTCTACATTCTCTTTACATGAAGCCAATCCTGGGTGCACATTTATGTAAATCAAGAAAAGCCAAGAATTGTCCAAACACAGAGAAAGAACATTGAGAGATAAACAAATCCCATTCCTCTCTGGACCAAAATAGTAGTCATCTTAGTAGTCATTCTTACCTATTTTCCTGGCAAATGTCCACATACACTAAGAGAACTGGGGCATGTTTGGGAACAAATTCATACCAAATAGTGGAAAACTTTGATAGTATTTTAAAATATGAATCTCTTTTTCCACAGATACATTAATAATTTTCCAGAACATGGAAGTAAAATTGCATTGAGAGCAATAACTTTATATATTCTTAAATACATCCCACACATAATTGCTTAGTACAGAATGTTTCTCTTATGCCTGTTCCTTCCACTGTTAAAAGAACAGCAACTTTCAAAATTTAATTGGCTACTAAACTATCATGTCACAGATTAGTCACATGTAAATTTAAAATATCATATAAAGAAATATTCGGGGCAAATAGTTATAGTATTAAATGCCCAGTGAAAATGCATTAAAAATAATTTTGAGTTTGATGGAAAAAAATCTTATATACCTAAAGTATCCTACTTCATTCAGAAAGTCAAAATGAAATATTCCTGCGGACACACAAAAGTTATATGATAAAAATGATTTTTATAGAATCTATAAATGATTATTTATAGAAATAGTTTATTACTAATGTGAGTTCACTTTTTGCCAGAATTTATCAGAAAATTGGTATTTGCATATCTGAGCATGTACTTCTTTTTTCGCTTCCAAGATAAGGAGTATTACACCTGAATATAGAGCAATCACTATGATAAATTATTGATGAAAAAAATGTCAGTAAGCTATTGTTCACTTTTATATAAGGGTGTTGGGTGGAGATTAAATTAATTGAATTAAGTCTGATCTGACAGTTGGATGATAGCGCTGAGCTAATTAGTGTAACACTAAATGAGAGGAAAGGATAATTGGGCACCAAACCAAGATATCTCATGTTAAATAGATTATGTACCTGGTTTTTAAAGTATGTAAAGAAAATAACAAGCTCCATATGATTTCTCACCTACCCCATAAATTGAGACACTAGCAGTGAAGAGAGTTAAAAGAACCACAAACAGCAGTGAGACTGTGGATCTCTTAGCACTGCTATTCAGATGTGATGGTTAATATTGAGTGTTGACTTGATTAGATTGAAGGATGCAAAATATTGTTCCTGGGTGTGTCCCCTCCCCTACCCTCTCCTTTCCTTCCCTTTCCATCATGTCATGGTCCCTCCAAATATATTTTTAATTTTTTTTTTTAGCTCTTCCTGTTCTACATGGTGTTACTTCTGAAGTTGTAGAAGACTTGGCCTTCTGTGATACTTACCTCTTACCCTCTGACTCCCTTTACCTCTGGCCATAATAGGAAAATAATAAGAGTCAGAGTAAAAAAAACCAAAGAAGTTGCAGGCAGAAAAATGCTTTTAAACAAATAAGACTCACAGGGAAATAAAGGATGTAAAGTCAAAAGGGTGAAAAATGAAAGATTAGGGACAAATTAGAATGTAGTGGATGTAATGGTTAATATTTGCTCTCAAAGACAGTTCCCAAGAACAGTGCAAGGATGTTCATGACCATTTATGTCAAGTGCCAACTGTGCTTTAGAAGGGAACCAGGCAGCTTAAAAGGATCCTTTCCCTTGGAATGCCCTTGTCCAGTGTAACCCCATTTGCCTGAACAACTCCTATACAGCCCTCAACTCCTTCCAGTTGCCTCTCTCATATCACCTACTTATCTCTTTGATAACAGTTGCCACCATCTGTAATTACTGTATTTTATTTATTTGTGACATGTTTATTGTCTTTTTTTCTTAATAGAATGTATTCTACATGATGCTAGGAGCCTCTGATTTTTACAACTTATGGCTAGTACTGAGCATGGTACATAGCAAAAAACTGAATGAATTCAATATATAATTCAAGCACCATATCTTTTGTCAAGTGTTTGTTTTATACCTTAATTTCTTTCTCATTATAATAATGGCACCTTCTATATACAATTGTATTTTATTCTACATTAATAAACTCATTTGTTTTCTTTTCACGTCTAACAGAACATGAGCCCCTTGAAGGTTGGGTCATGTCTTATTCCTCTTTGGAAATGCAGACCACTTAGTATACAGTTCTGTGAATGGATGAACATTTTGAGAAAGCATGATTAGCCTCCCAAAATCATCTTGAGCAAATGAGAAAATTTATATTTCACAAGTTATTAAATATGAAAAATACACTTCTTTATAATTCAGAGAGCAGAAAGGTTTTTATAATTTGCTTATGGAAATAGATTATAATTTAAATATGCATGTTCTCTTCACCTGTACATTCCATAGTCTATTTTAACCACTTCATTGGCTAAAAATTAGCCGTTAAATATAGAAAATGCAAAGCTATGATACCTTTTTGGAGTATCGCTTTAGGAATTGCTGATTGGCTTCACCACTCCTTCATTTCCTTCAACTCATCCGATAATTCAGTACCTATTAAGAATTGTGACTTTCTCTATGATACTTAAAATTTCAGAAAGATCAGAGACTGCTCAATGACAAATATGAATTTGAAGAAAAAGTCATTTTCTACCTTTTTGCAAATTTTTAACTTGATGAGATGTCCTATATTCAATTGAAGTTGAAAGAGATACTTAGGCTACATAAAAGTAGACATTTTCTTTTCTAATAGAAATACAGGATTCTGACTAAGAAAAGTTAATATTTTTCTTCATTGTGGCTACTTTTTGCCTTTTGGTTGAACATTTTCTTAGATGTAATTTGCTATAAAAGATATAAAATATATATGCTTTAGATGTCTTAAAAGAAGAGTGATATTATTGGGCAACCAACAAACCAGCTTGCCTAGGACTGAGGGTTTTCCTGGGATATAGGGCATTCACTGCTAAAACCAGGCAAACCAGAATGGTTGTTTACCCTAAGCCGATACAACATCATTTTTTTTCTTTTTAAACTTAAACTGTATACTTGTTAGAAAAGTTTCTAGAATTTTATAAGATGCATCTCTAAGGTAAAGTTAAAGAGAGGAAGATAACTCATTTTCGTTTGAACGGTTGACATTTTTATGTTTTACTTTCATCCCAAGATGATGATGATGATTTATTTATAATAGTTGTAAGGGTACATGGCACTTTAAAACACATAAAAGACAAAGCTCCTGTGGGGGTTCCCATTTAACCCAATATGCAATACAACACATAATAGCAAAAGAGGAGGTTATAAAAGGGGTGGAAAAAAATCGATACTGGAAGGCTTAGTGAGAGAAATGTGTTCTAAACTTCCAAGGAGAGATGTCAAAGAATAAAAGGAAGTGTGTTTCAGTAAGACTAATTTGGTTTTAAACGTTTTAAGAATTAAACATGCATAAGTAATAGGAAAATGAATTTCTTATCTGTTCTCTTGTTATATTGTATCTCCCTTGAGTTTTTTTCATATTTGCCATTAAGCAATGACCCTCTTTATCCTTAATACTGTAATGTTTTCTGCTTAAACAGTTCTCACTGAGAGTTATATACTTACTCGAGCTTCTTGTTGTTAATATTTGTCAGGTACATCATTTTTCTTCTGTTACTTTCAAATCGAACATGTCACTGTGTTTTAGATGTGCCTTTTAAAACTGCATATAGCTGAAAATTTGTAATCCAATGATAGAATTTCCATGTTTTAATTGTTAAGTTGATTCTATTTTCTCTTACTATGATTCTTAGTATTTTATTTCTGCCACCTTACTTTTAGGTTTTACATTCTTTTGTTTTTGCTACCGTCTATTGAACTCAAATGTCTTTATTCTATTTTTTCCCCTCTAAATTATTGGAAGTTTCACATTATATTTCTAGCTTTTTTTAGTGGTTTCCTGAAATTTCTAATATGTATAATCAAACCTGACAATGTCTAATATTCATCAATATCTTTATACCCCTACTCCATAGAAGGAAAGTAACTTAGAAACCTCTTCAATGTAATTCATTTCTAATACTAAAATTGTTTTGTTTTCAAACCATGCACGGTCATTATTTGTAATTTCACTTCATGTTTACCACATATTTACCAATACTCATTCTTACCACCCATTTATGGATCCTGATCCTACCTTCTGAGTACAGTTTTCTTCTTCCTACATTAAATCCTTGATTGTAATTTAAGTGACTTTTTAAAATCCGAGAAACAAAAAGCCCTATTTGAATATATCTTCTCTTCCCCCTCACTCTTGAAGAATTATTTAACAGTGTATAGAACTCTTGATCTCCTACTTTCTCTAAGCATTTTGAGTGTATAATTTATTCTTTATTTTCTGACTTTTCTTGTTGATTTTGAGATATCTGCTGCAGTCCAAATATTATTTCTCTGTAGTTAATCTCTCTCTCTCTCCACTTCTCCTTCTCTCTCTGCCTTTTCCTCCTTCTATCCCTTTCTCACTCCCTTTCTCTCTCCTCCTTTTTCCCTTTCTCCTGGCTAAATTCTCCCTCTTATTTGTCTTTAAGATAAACAAAAAAACCTGTTGTCAGTTTTAATTAAATATGATTGGTATAAATTTATTTTTAATTATCTTGATTGGAAATTATTTTGCTTATAGGCTATAAGAATTGTTATTTTTCATCAATCTGGAAAAGCTTTCAATTATTATAATTTCAAATATTGTCCCTTTCCTATGCTACATTGGTAACTTCTATTAATATGTATATTGGAGTGGGGGGAAGAGCCAAGATGGCCGAATAGGAACAGCTCCGGTCTACAGCTCCCAGCGTGAGTGACGCAGAAGATGGCTGATTTCTGCATTTCCATCTGAGGAACCGAGTTCATCTCACTAGGGAGTGCCAGACAGTGGGCGCAGGCCAGTGGGTGCACGCACTGTGTGCGAGCCGAAGCAGGGCGAGGCATTGCCTCACTCGGGAAGCGCAAGGAGTCAGGGAGTTCCCTTTCCTAGTCAAAGAAAGGGGTGACAGACGGCACCTGGAAAATCAGGTCACTCCCACCTGAATACTGCGCTTTTCCGATGGGCTTAAAAAACGGCGCACCAGGAGATTATATCCCGCACCTGGCTCAGAGGGTCCTACGCCCATGGAGTCTCGCTGATTGCTGGCACAGCAGTCTGAGATCAAACTGCAAGGCGGCAGCGAGGCTGGGGGAGGGGCGCCCGCCATTGCTCAGGCTTGCTTAGGTAAACAAAGCAGCTGGGAAGCTCCAACTGGGTGGAGCCCACCACAGCTCAAGGAGGCCTGCCTGCCTCTGTGGGCTCCACCTCTGGGGGCAGGGCACAGACAAACAAAAAGACAGCAGTAACCTCTGCAGACTTAAATATCCCTGTCTGACAGCTTTCAAGAGAGCAGTGGTTCTCCCAGCATGCAGCTGGAGATCTGAGAATGGGCAGACTGCCTCTTCAAGTGGGTCCCTGACCCCTGACCCCCGAGCAGCCTAACTGGGAGGCAGCCCCCAGCAGGGGCACACTGACACCTCACACGGCCGGGTACTCCCAACAGACCTGCAGCTGAGGGTCCTGTCTGTTAGAAGGAAAACTAACAAACAGAAAGGACATCCACACCGAAAACCCATCTGTACATCACCATCATCAAAGACCAAAAGTAGATAAAACCACAAAGATGGGGAAAAAACAGAGTAGAAAAACTGGAAACTCTAAAAAGCAGAGCGCCTCTCCTCCTCCAAAGGAATGCGGTTCCTCACCAGCAACGGAACAAAGCTGGATGGAGAATGATTTTGACGAGCTGAGAGAAGAAGGCTTCAGACGATCAAATTACTCCGAGCTATGGGAGGACATTCAAACCAAAGGCAAAGCAGTTGAAAACTTTGAAAAAAAATTAGAAGAATGTATAACTAGAGTAACCAATACAGAGAAGTGCTTAAAGGAGCTGATGGAGCTGAAAATCAAGGCTCGAGAACTACGTGAAGAATGCAGAGGCCTCAGGAGCCAATGTGATCAACTGGAAGAAAGGGTATCAGCGATGGAAGATGAAATGAATGAAATGAAGTGAGAAGGGAAGTTTAGAGAAAAAAGAATAAAAAGAAACGAGCAAAGCCTCCAAGAAATATGGGACTATGTGAAAAGACCAAATCTATGTCTGACTGGTGTACCTGAAAGTGACGGGGAGAATGGAACCAAGTTGGAAAACACTCTGCAGGATATTATCCAGGAGAACTTCCCCAATCTAGCAAGGCAGGCCAACATTCAGATTCAGGAAGTACAGAGAACGCCACAAAGATACTCCTCGAGAACAGCAACTCCAAGACACAATTGTCAGATTCACCAAAGTTGAAATGAAGGAAAAAATGTTAAGGGCAGCCAGAGAGAAAGGTCGGGTTACCCTCAAAGGGAAGCCCATCAGACTAACAGTGGATCTCTCGGCAGAAACCCTACAAGCCAGAAGAGAGTGGGGGCCAATATTCAACATTCTTAAAGAAAAGAATTTGCAACCCAGAATTTCATATCCAGCCAAACTAAGCTTCATAAGTGAAGGAGAAATAAAATACTTTACAGACAAGCAAATGCTGAGAGATTTTGTCACCACCAGGCCTGCCCTACAAGAGCTCCTGAAGGAAGCGCTAAACATGGAAAGGAACAACTGGTACCAGCCGCTGCAAAATCATGCCAAAATGTAAAGACCATCGAGACTAGGAAGAAACTGCATCAACTAACAAGCAAAATAACCAGCTAACATCATAATGACAGGATCAAATTCACACATAATAATATTAACTTTAAATGTAAATGGACTAAATGCTCCAATTAAAAGACATAGACTGGCAAATTGGATAAAGAGTCAAGACCCATCAGTGTGCTGTCTTCAGGAAACCCATCTCATGGGCAGAGACACACATAGGCTCAAAATAAAAGGATGGAGGAAGATCTATCAAGCAAATGGAAAACAAAAAAAGGCAGGGGTTGCAATCCTAGTCTCTGATAAAACAGACTTTAAACCAACAAAGATCAAAAGAGACAAAGAAGGCCATTACTTACTGGTAAAGGGATCAATTCAACAAGAAGAGCTAACTATCCTAAATATATATGCACCCAATACAGGAGCACCCAGATTCATAAAGCAAGTCCTGAGTGACCTACAAAGAGACTTAGACTCCCACACATTAATAATGGGAGACTTTAACACCCCACTGTCAACATTAGACAGATCAACGAGACAGAAAGTCAACAAGGATACCCAGGAATTGAACTCAGCTCTGCACCAAGCAGACCTAATAGACATCTACAGAACTCTGCACCCCAAATCAACAGAATATACATTTTTTTCAGCACCACACCACACCTATTCCAAAATTGACCACAAAGTTGGAAGTAAAGCTCTCCTCAGCAAATGTAAAAGACAAGAAATTATAACAAACTATCTCTCAGACCACATTGCAATCAAACTAGAACTCAGGATTAAGAATCTCACTCAAAACCGCTCAACTACATGGAAACTGAACAACCTGCTCCTGAATGACTACTGGGTACATAACAAAATGAAGGCAGAAATAAAGATGTTCTTTGAAACCAATGAGAACAAACACACAACATACCAGAATCTCTGGGACACATTCAAAGCAGTGTGTAGAGGGCAATTTATAGCACTAAATGCCCACAAGAGAAAGCAGGAAAGATCCAAAATTGACACCCTAACATCACAATTAAAAGAACTAGAAAAGCAAGAGCAAACACATTCAAAAGCTAGCAGGAGGCAAGAAATAACTAAAATCAGAGCAGAACTGAAGGAAATAGAGACACAAAAAACCCTTCAAAAAATTAATGAATCCAGGAGCTGGTTTTTTGAAAGGATCAACAAAATTGACAGACCGCTAGCAAGACTAATAAAGAGAAAAAGAAGAATCAAATAGACACAATAAAAAATGATAAAGGGGATATCAACACCGATCCCACAGAAATACAAACTACCATCAGAGAATACTACAAACACCTCTACACAAATAAACTAGAAAATCTAGAAGAAATGGATAAATTCCTCGACACATACACTCTCCCAAGACTAAACCAGGAAGAATTTGAATCTCTGAATAGACCAATAACAGGAGCTGAAATTGTGGCAATAATCAATAGCTTACCAACCAAAAAGAGTCCAGGACCAGATGGATTCACAGCCGAATTCTACCAGAGGTCCAAGGAGGAACTGGTGCCATTCCTTCTGAAACTATTCCAATCAATAGAGAAAGAGGGAATCCTCCCTAACTCATTTTATGAGGCCAGCATCATCCTGATACCAAAGCCGGGCAGAGACACAACCAAAAAAGAGAATTTTAGACCAATATCCTTGATGAACATTGATGCAAAAATCCTCAATAAAATGCTGGCAAACCGAATCCAGCAGCACATCAAAAAGCTTATCCACCATGATCAAGTGGGCTTCATCCCTGGGAGGCATGGTTCAATATACGCAAATCAATAAATGTAATCCAGCATATAAACAGAACCAAAGACAAAAACCACATGATTATCTCAATAGATGCAGAAAAGGCCTTTGACAAAATTCAACAACCCTTCATGCTAAAAACTCTCAATAAATTAGGTATTGATGGGACATATCTCAAAACAATAAGAGCTATTTATGACAAACCCACAGCCGATATTATACTGAATGGGCAAAAACTGGAAGCATTCCCTTTGAAAACTGGCACAAGACAGGGATGCCCTCTCTCACCACTCCTATTCAACATAGTGTTGGAAGTTCTGGCCAGGGCAATCAGGCAGGAGAAGGAAATAAAGGGTATTCAATTAGGAAAAGAGGAAGTCAAATTGTCCCTGTTTGCAGACGACATGATTGTATATCTAGAAAACCCCATTGTCTCAGCCCAAAATCTCTTTAAGCTGATAAGCAACTTCAGCAAACTCTCAGGATACAAAATCAATGTACAAAAATCACAAGCATTCTTATACACCAACAACAGACAAACAGAGAGCCAAATCATGAATGAACTCCCATTCACAATTGCTTCAAAGAGAATAAAATACCTAGGAATCCAACTTACAAGGGATGCGAAGGACTTCTTCATGGAGAACTACAAACCGCTGCTCAAGGAAATAAAAGAGGATACAAACAAATGGAAGAACATTCCATGCTCATGGGTAGGAAGAATCAGTATCGTGAAAATGGCCATACTGCCCAAGGTAATTTACAGATTCAATACCATCCCCATCAAGCTACCAATGACTTTCTTCACAGAATTGGAAAGAACTACTTTAAAGTTCATATGGAACGAAAAAAGAGCCCACATCGCCAAGTCAATCCTGAGCCAAAAGAACAAAGCTGGAGGCATCACACTACCTGACTTCAAACTATACTACAAGGCTACAGTAACCAAAACAGCATGGTACTGGTACCAAAACAGAGATATAGATCAATGGAACAGAACAGAGCCCTCAGAAATAACGCCGCCTATCTACAACTATCTGATCTTTGACAAACCTGAGAAAAACAAGCAATGGGGAAAGGATTCCCTATTTAATAAATGGTGCTGGGAAAACTGGCTAGCCATATGTAAAAAGCTGAAACTGGATCCCTTCCTTACACCTTATACAAAAATCAATTCAAGATGGATTAAAGACTTAAACGTTAGACCTAAAACCATAAAAACCCTAGAAGAAAACCTAGGCATTACCATTCAGGACATAGGCACGGGCAAGGACTTCATGTCTAAAACACCAAAGCAATGGCAACAAAAGACAAAATTGACAAATGGGATCTAATTAAACTAAAGAGCTTCTGCACAGGAAAAGAAACTACCATCAGAGTGAACAGGCAGCCTACAAAATGGGAGAAAATGTTCGCAACCTACTCATCTGACAAAGGGCTAATTTCCAGAATCTACAACGAACTCAAACAAATTTACAAGAAAAAAACAAACAACTCCATCAAAAAGTGGGCAAAGGACATGAACAGACACTTCTCAAAAGAAGACATTTATGCAGCCAAAAAACACATGAAAAAATGCTCACCATCACTGGCCATCAGAGAAATGCAAATCAAAACCACAATGAGATACCATTTCACACCAGTTAGAATGGCAACCACTAAAAAGTCAGGAAACAACAGGTGCTGGAGAGGATGTGGAGAAATAGGAACACTTTTACACTGTTGGTGGGACTGTGAACTAGTTCAACCATTGTGGAAGTCAGTGTGGTGATTCCTCAGGGATCTAGAACTAGAAATACCACTTGACCCAGCCATCCCATTACTGTATATATACCCAAAGGACTATAAATCATGGTGCTATAAAGACACATGCACACGTATGTTTATTGCGGCATTATTCACAATAGCAAAGACTTGGAACCAACCCAAATGTCCAACAATGATAGATTGGATTAAGAAAATGTGGCACATATACACCATGGAATACTATGCAGCCATAAAAAATGATGAGTTCATGTCCTTTGTAGGGACATGGATAAAATTGGAAATCATCATTCTCAGTAAACTATCACAAGAACAAAAAACCAAACACTGCATATTCTCACTCATAGGTGGGAATTGAACAATGAGAACACATGGACACAGGAAGGGGAACATCACACTCTGGGGACTGTTGTGGGGTGGGAGGAGGAGGGAGGGATAGCATTGGGAGATATACCTAATGCTAGATGACGAGTTAGTGGGTGCAGCGCACCAGCATGGCACATGTATACATATGTAACTAACCTGCACATTGTGCACATGTACCCTAAAACTTAAAGTATAATAAATAAATAAATAAATAAATAAATAAATAAATAAATAAAAATATGTATATTGGATTTTCTCTTCTATCTTCCATATGCCTTAGTGTCTCTTTCATATATTTAATCTTCATATCTCTCAGGACTACATTCCGGGAAATTTCACCAGCCAACCAATTCAACATTCTCTCTTCAGCTTTACTTTTTTTTTCTCTTTTTTTTTTTTGAGAGAGAGTCTCACTCTGTTGCCCAGGCTGAGTGCAGTGGCATGATCCCAGCTCACTGCAAGCTCCGCCTCCCGGGTTCATGCCATTCTCCTCAGAGAATGATTTCTCTGTGGGCAGTTAGTGCTATAAATTTCCCTCTACACACTGCTTTAAATGTGTCCCAGAGATTCTGGTATGTTGTATGTTTGTTCTCATTGGTTTCAAAGAACATCTTTATTTCTGCTTTCATTTTGTTATGTACCCAGTAGTCATACCCTCCCGAGTAGCTGGGACCACAGGCACCTGCCACCACGCCCAGCTAATTTTTTGTATTTTTGGTAGAGATGGGGTTTCACTGCATTAGCCAAGATGGTCTCGATCTCCTGACTTCATGATCCGCCCACCTCGGCCTTCCAAAGTGCTGGGATTACAGGCGTGAGCCACCGTGCCTGGCCCAGCTTTACTTTTATCTTAAGAATCATACAGTAAGTGTGATGTGGTGCTGAGAAGAATGTATATTCTGTTGATATGGGGTGGAGGGTTCTGTAGATGTCTATTAGGTCCACTTGGTGCAGAGCTGAGTTTAAGGCCTGGATATCATTGTTAACATTCTGTCTCATTGATCTGTCTAATATTGACAGTGGGGTGTTAAAGTCTCCCGTTGTTATTGTGTGGGAGTCTAAGTCTCTTTGTAGGTCTCTAAGGACTTGCTTTATGAATCTGGGTGCTCTTGTATTGGGTGCACACATATTTAGGATAGTTAGCTCTTCATGTTGAATTGATCCCTTTACCATTATGTAATGGCCTTCTTTGTCTCTTTTGATCTTTGTTGGTTTAAAGTCTGTTTTATCAGAGACTAGGATTGCAACCCCTGCTTTTTTTTTTTTTTTTTTTTTTTTTGCGTTCTATTTGCTTGGTAGATGTTCCTCCATTCCTTTATTTTGAGCCTATGTGTGTTTTTGCACGTGAGATGGGTCTCCTGAATACAGCACACTGATGGGTCTTGATTC
This sequence comes from Homo sapiens, assembly GCF_000001405.40. Lineage (NCBI taxonomy): Eukaryota > Metazoa > Chordata > Mammalia > Primates > Hominidae > Homo > Homo sapiens. Next base: position 124,978,288 of record NC_000007.14, on the reverse strand, counting down.
TTTTTCCAATTTGCCAGTCTGTGTCTTAATTGAGGCATTTTTCCCATTTACATTTAAGGTTAATATTGTTATGTGTGAATTCGATCCTGTCATTATGATGTTAGCTGGTTATTTTGCCCGTTACTTGATGCAGTTTCTTCACAGCATCGATGGTCTTTACAATTCGGCATGGTTTTGCAGTGGTTGGTACTGGTTGCTCTTTCCCATGTTTAGTGCTTCCTTCAGGAGCTCTTGTAAGGCAGGCCTGGTGGTGACAAAATCTCTCAGCATTTGCTTGTCTGTAAAGGATTTTATTTCCCCTTCACTTATGCAACTTAGCTTGGCTGGATATGAAACTCTGGGTTGAAAATTCTTTTCTTTAAGAATAATGAATATTGGCTCCCTCTCTCCTCTGGCTTGTAGAGTTTCTGCCGAGAGTTCTAAAATTGACCACATAATTGGAAGTAAAGCACTCCTCAGCAAATGTAAAAGAACAGAAATCACAACAAACTGTCTCTCAGACCACAGTACAATCAAATTCGAATTCAGGGTTAAGAAACACACTCAAAACCACTCAGCTACATGGAAACTGAACAACCTGCTCCTGAATGACTACTGGGTACATAACGAAATGAAGGCAGAAATAAAGATGTTCTTTGAAACCAATGAGAACAAACATACAACATACCAGAATCTCTGGGACACATTTAAAGCAGTGTGTAGAGGGAAATTTATAGCACTAACTGCCCACAAGAGAAATTAGGAAAGATCTAAAGTCAACATCCTAACATCACAATTAAAAGAACTGGAGAAGCAAGAGCAAACAAATTCAAAAGCTAGCAGAAGGCAAGAAATAAATAGGATCAGAGCAGAACTGAAGGAGATAGAGATACAAAAATCCCTTCAAAAAATCAATGAATCCAGGAGATGGTTGTTTGAAAAGATGAACAAAATTGATGTACTGCTAGCAAGACTAATAAAGAAGAAAAGAGAGAAGAATCAAAGAGATTCAATAAAAAATGGTAAAGGGGATATCATCACCGATCCCACAGAAATACAAACTACCATTAGAGAATACTATAAACATCTCTACACAAATAAACTAGAAAATCTAGAAGAAATGGATAAATTCCTGGACACATACCCTCCAAAGACTAAACCAGGAAGAAGTTGAATCTCTGAATAGACCAATAACAAGCTCTGATATTGAGGCAATAATTTATAGCCTGTCAACCAAAAAAGTCCAGGACCAGATAGATTCACAACCAAATTCTACCAGAGGTACAAAGAGGAGCTGGTACCATTCCTTCTGAAACTATTCCAATCAATAGAAAAAGAGGGAATTTTCCTTAACTCATTTTATGAGGCCAGTATCAGATATACAATAAAAAAAGAGAATTTTAGACCAATATCCCTGATGAATATCAATGCGAAAATCGTCAATAAAATACTGGCAAACCGAATCCAGCAGCACATCAAAAACCTTATCTACCACAATCAAGTCAGCTTCATCCCTGGGATGCAAGCCTGGTTCAACATATGCAAATCAATAAATGTAATCCATCACATAAACAGAAACAATGACAAAAATCACATGATTATCTCAATAGATAGAGAAAAGACCTTCAACAAAATTCAGTAGCCCTTCATGCTAAAAACTCTCAATAAACTAGGTATTGATGGAATGTATCTCAAAATAATAAGAGCTATTTATGACAAACCCACAGCCAGTATCATACTGAATGGGCAAAAACTGGAAGCATTCCCTTTGAAAACCAGCACAAGACAAGGATGCCTTCTGTCACCACTCCTATTCAACATAATGCTGGAAGTTCTGGCCAGGGCACTCAGGCAAGAGAAAGAAATAAAGGGTATTCAAGTAGGAAAAGAGGAAGGCAAATTGTCCCTGTTTGCAGATGACATGATTGTATACTTAGAAAACCCCATCGTCTTAGCCCAAAATCTCCTTAAGCTGATAAGAAACTTCAGCAAAGTCTCAGGATACAAAATCAATGGGTAAAAATCGCAAGCATTCCTATACACCAGTAACAGACAAACAGAGAGCCAAATCATGAGTGAACTCCCATTCATAATTGCTACAAAGAGAATAAAATATCTAGGAATCCAACTTACAAAGGATGTGAAGGACCCCTTCAAGAAGAACTACAAACCACTGCTCAACGAAATAAAAGAGGACACAGACAAATGGAACAACATTCCATGCTCATGGATAGGAAGAATCAATCTCATGAAATTGGCCATACTGCCCAAAGTAATTTATAGATTCAATGCCATTCCCATCAAGCTACCAATGACTTTCTTCACAGAATTGGAAAAAACTACTTTAAATTTCATATGGAACCAAAAAAGAGCCCGCATAGCCAAGACAATCCTAAGCAAAAAGAACAAAGCTGGAGGCATCACACTACCTGACTTCAAACTATCTGATCTTTGACAAACCTGACAAAAATAAGAAACGGGGAAAGGATTCCCTATTTAATAAATGGTGCTGGGAAAACTGGCTAGCCATATGTAAAAAGCTGAAACTGGATCCCTTCCTTACACCCTATATAAAAAGTAATTCAAGATGAATTAAAGACTTACATGTTAGACCTAAAACCATAAAAACCCTAGAAGAAAACCTAGGCAATACCTATGTTCAGCACATAGACATGGGCAAATACTTCATGTCTAAAACACCAAAAGCAATGACAACAAAAGCCAAAAGAGATAAATGGGATCTAATTAAACTAAAAAGCTTCTGCACAGCAAAAGTAAATACCATCAGAGTGAAGAGGCAACCTACAGAATGGGAGAAAATTTTTGCAATCTATCCATCTGACAAAGGGCTAATATCCAGAATCTACAATGAACTCAAACAAATTTACAAGAAAAAAAAAACAACCCCATCAAAAAGTTGGCAAAGGATACGAACAGACATTTCTCAAAAGAAGACATTTATGCAACCAACAGACACATGAAAAAATACTCGTCATCACTGGTCACCAGAGAAATGCAAATCAAAACCACAATGAGATACCATATCATGCCAGTTAGAATGGTGATCATTAAAAAGTCAGAAAATAACAGATGCTGGAGAGGATGTGGAGAAATAGGAACGCTTTTACACTGTTGGTGGGAATGTAAATTAGTTCAAACATTGTGGAAGACAGTGTGGCTATTCCTCAAGGATCTAGAACTAGAAATACCATTTGACACAGCAATCCCATTACTGGGTATATACCCAAAGGATTATAAATTATGCTACTATAAAGATACATGCACATGTATGTATGTAGGTTTACTGCAGCACTATTCACAATAGCCAAGACTTGGAACCAACTCAAATGTCCGTCAATCATAGACTGAATTAAGAAAATGTGGCACATATACACCATGGAATTCTATGCAGCCATAAAAAAGGATGAGTTCATGTCCTTTGCAGGGACATGGATGAAGCTGGAAACCATCATTCTCAGCAAACTATAAGGACAGAAAACCAAACACCACATGTTCTCACTCATAGGTGGGAATTGAACAATGAGAACACTTGGACACAGGGAGGGGAACATCACACACTGGGGCCTGTTAGGGTGTGGGGGGCTGGGGGAGGGATAGCATTAGGAGAAATACCTAATATAAATGACAAGTTGATGGGTTCAGCAAACCAACATGGCACATGTATACCTATGTAACAAACCTGCATGTTGGGCATGTGTACCTTAGAACTTAAAGTATAATAATAAAAAAAGAAAAAGGAAATAATAATAATAATAAAGAATCATAATTTAATGTCTGAAATTTATACAGGATGATTTTTCAAATCAGCTTGGTTTCTTTTTATAATGTCTAATTATTTCCTTATGGATTCTGCTCATATGTGGCTCTAACTATATTAAGTATACCTATTTTGTTTTCTGTCTCAGATTTTTCTATTATCTTTTTCATATTTGCTCATTGCACTTTTGTTAAATCATTTCCTTATAGTTGTTTTTATATTTCATAATAATCTTACCTTCCAAAGCAATTATTTACTCCATATGCATTTTGTGCAGCACAGATAATGGAAACATGTCTCTAGTAGTTTTACATTTATTTTTCAAAGTTTCTCAGGAGTACCACTGTCCCAGGAACAATTTTTTTAACATCTTTATTGAGATTTAGATTAGGTACTGTACAATTTTCTGATTTAAGTTGTGCAATTCTATGGCTTTAGTATATTCATAGAATTCTGTAACCATCACTACAATCTAAGTTTAGAACAGTTTATCACTCCAAAAAGGAAACCTGTGTCGTGAAGTTACTCTTCACTCCATCCCTTCCTCCAAACAACCAATAATCTACTTTCTGTCGCTGTGGATTTGCTTTATCTGAACATTTTATATAAACAACATCATGAAATATGTGGTTTTTTGTGACTGACTTATTTCACTTAGCATAATATTTTAAGGCTTATCTGTGTTGGAGCATGCATCATTACTTTATTTCTTTTTATTATCAAATAATATTTCATTGTATAAATGTACCACATTTTGTTTATTCCTTCATCAGTTGACGAACATCTGGGTTTTTTCTAATTTTTGACTGTTATGAATAATGCTGATATGGACGTTCATGTACAGGTTTTTATGTGGATGTACATTTTCATATATATTTTAGCATACACCCAGGGGTGGAACTACCACACCATTTGGTAACTCTGTGCTTAGCAGCATAGCATTTTGAGGAACTGACTGTTTTTCAGTTTGTAGCATTTTACATTCTCACCAGCTGTGTCTGAGAGTTCCAGTTTCTCCGCTTCCTCATAAACACTTGTTATGGTCTATATTTTTTATTTTAGCAGTTCTAGTGTGTGTGAAGTGGTATTTCATTATGATTTTGATTTGTATTTCCCTAATGGATAATGATGTTGAACATTTTTTATGTGCTTATTGGTCTTCTTTATATCTTTTCTGGAGACATGTCTATTCAGGTCCTTTACCCATTTTTAAAACATGTGATTTCTCTTTTAATTATTGAATTGTAGGAATTTATATTCTGGCTACCAGTCCTTCATCAGATAAATTATTGATTTGCAAAGATTTTCTCCCAGCCAATGGGCTGCCTTTCACTTTCTTCATGGTATCATTTGTAGCAACTTTTTAAAAAGTTTTGATGTCCAATTTACCTATAAATTTCTTTTGTCACTGTGCTTTTGGTATCAGATCTAATAAACCATTACCTAGACCAAGTTCATGAAGATTTATTCCTATTTTTTTCTAGGATTTTTACATTTTCAGCTCTTAAATTAGCTCTAGGATCCACTTTGTGTTCACTTTTTGTGTATGGTTTAAGGAAGGAGTCCGACCTCATTTTTTTTGCCTGTGGGTATTCAGCTTTTACAGCAATATTTGGTGTAAAAACAACCTTTGCTTCTTGTCTTGATACCTGTGTTGGTTAATTTTTTTGTGTCAACTTGGCTGGGCCACAGTGCCCAGATATTTGGTGAAATATTATTCTGTATGTGCTTTGTGAAGGCTTTTTTTTTTTTGGATGAGATTAACATTTAAACTGGCAGACTTTGAGTAAAGGAGATTACCCCCTATAATGTGGATGGGTTCCATAATGTGGGTGGGCCTCATGCAAGCAATTGCAGGCCTTAGTAGAACAAAGACTGACCTCTGAGCAAGAAGGAATCCTGGCAGCAGACTGCCTTTGGCTTGAACTTTTACTCTTCCTTGGGTCAATAGTCTGCCAGCCTACTCTACATATTTCGGGCTTGCCAAGTCTCCACAATTACATGAGCCAATTCCTTAAAATAAATCTCTCCCTCTTTCTCTCTCACTGTGTGTGTGTGTGTGTGTGAGAGAGAGAGAGAGAGAGAGACAGAGAGAGGCAGACTGGTATCCGTCATTCCACATATACACATACATACACGCATCTTGTTTGGTCTGTTTCTCTGGAGAACTCTGACTAATACAGTACCATTGTCCAAAATAATTTGACTTTAGTTATAAGGGTTTAATTCTGGACTTTCAATTCCATTCCACTTACCTATATGTCTATCTTTATGACTCCAGTACCAATTTTAATGCTTCCATTTCATGATTCACTTATCTTATACAAGATTCACATATATACAAGATTCACATATATAAACAAGTTTGGATCAGACTTCAAACCTATGTATGGCACACTCTTCATTTTGAACTCTCATGCGATATTTCTATTTCTACCAAGAACTGAGCAGAGATATGACAACTCGACTCATATTAGGTCATTGTAATTTTTTTTTTTATCATCACCAAAGGTGGAAAGTCAGAAGATGCTAACTTTGTGTAGCTGCCTTAGTTCCAACTTTGTGTTTAATTTCTCCTGAAGTCTCATCTTTTGTCTCTGCATGGACATTATGGCTCAAATTCTTGGGCATTATAGTTTGTTTCTGAATTTGATAATCACCTCCTAGATAAGCAATATCAACTTGTGCTCTTAAATGCTCCTTCTTCATTTTTGACACTACACACACACACACACACACACACACACCTCACTTTTAGTTACAATTTATTCATCATTTCTAAGTATGAGAGTAAAGATTTTGGCCATAATCTTCGTTAGAAACAGAATTTAAATACATTTGTTTGTTTTTGTTTGACAATTTCAAAAGTCTGTATTAAAATTCAATTTTAAAAGTTCAATATTAAATATATATAGTCAAGAAAATAGGATATGAGTACTCAAATTTTATTGATATGAATACTCTAAATTTCTTATATATTGAATGTATAAACCTATTCCACGATTAAATGACGTAGTCTTTTTTTGGCGGGGGAGAGGGAAGGGTCTCACTCTGTTGTCTGGGCTGGAGTGCAGTGGAGTGATCTCGACTCACTGCCACCTCTGCCTCCCCGGGCCCAAGCGATCCTCCAAGTAGCTGGAACTACAAGCGTGTGCGACCACTCCCAGCTAATTTTCGTATTTTTTGTAGAGATAGGGTTTTGCTATTTTACCCAGGCTGGTCTCGAACTACTGAGCTCAAGAGATCCACCCGCCTCTGCCTCCCAAAGTGCTGGGATTACAGGCACGAGCAACCGCACGAGGCCTAAATGACGTAGTCTTAACACGGATTTTAGTGATTAAAATAAGTCACTGACCACTTAATAAATTAAACTATTGTATTTAATTTTATTGTTCAGCTACACATTGGATTATATATATGTATTGTTAACCTTAGGAGTTACTTAAAACTTACTATTTCTTTTTCCATAAAAGAAAATATATTCTGAATTCTAAATAACTATTGCCAACAGTATTTTGAAATTTTTAAAAAACTCATGTCTGTTATTCTATATTATATTTAGGGCTCTACCTACTTGAAGACAAAGCCATTTAGACAAACATAAAGGCAGGTTATATTGTAATAAGGGAAGCATGCAATTTCTAAACTTTTTATCTTCCTTACTGCAACAAAAAATTCATAGACATTTTTCAAGTCTCAAAACAAAAGTTCCAGAGAAAGTATTAACAAGTTTATTTCCAAAATAATCAGCTATAAACTCCTCAACTTCAGTTATTAATGCATAGAAATGACACAACAAACCACAGTAATCTTAAGAAACTTTAATTCTTGAGGTGGACCATCCACTCCCCATTTCCTAATGAAATGGCAGTAAAATAAACATTTATTTCCCATACTTCCACTTTAAAAGTAAATGGTTTTTTTGAAATATTTCTTTGAAAATATTTGTTGTTAAAATACTAATTAAGAAAACTAAATTTAGTGTTCTTGTCAAAATGTCATTTTGCTTTTGGCAAGCTTTTCCTATGTTGTATGCTGTTCAATACATTTTGAGAAGCAATAAATTAGTATTTTAACAACAAATCTTTTCAAAGAAATACTTCAACATAACATTTACTATGAATTAGGGGCTTTCTTACAATATGTTAATGATTTCACATTGCCCAAAACTATCTTCCAGCCATATAGCTTTGATTATCTTCACTTTATCTGTTTCTAGAGCTAGCAAGTTGAGTATCCATAATGAATGTCTATGGTGTTTGTTCAGGGAAGAAGACAGGCAAAAATAAAGATACACAATGTGCTTAGCATGTATGAATTTTGTAAATATGATTTACTCTATCAATTAAAACAATTGGTAAGCCATACACCTCATAATTGTAGGTACCATGTTGTATATAACCCTATTTTTCTTAGTTTTGACAGGAAAGTTTCCCAAGAGTGGACAGCTATCACTACAGGAATATAAAACTTTTAGAAATTTTATACAACATGTTGAAATTATTCTACACATTTTTGAACTTGTATTTTGGGTGAAAATTGATTTAATTTTAACATACTTCTAACTTATTAAAACATATATTTGGTTTTGAACAATTCAATAGGTTTGATGTTGTAGATTGAAGCTTTAAACAGGTACCTTCTCAACAAGATTAACAGCTAATATGGCCTCCCTCAGATGTGTGAGTTTGTTTCATAAAGAATTATTTATCCAGTTTCATTTCCCAGTTGATACGAATCTCATTTTTCATAATTTAATATTTTAACATTTTTATATGTGATGTTAAAATTATTATGTTGATTAACTTTCAAAGAACTTTTTTCTGTAGAAATAATCTATTCAGCCTTCTTTTTTTTTTGAGACGGAATCTCACTCTGTTGCCCAGGCTGGAGTGCAGTGGCGCAATCTTGGCTCACTGCAAGCTCTGCCTCCTGGGTTCGCACCATTCTCCCGCCTCAGCCTCCTGAGTAGCTGGGACTACAGGTGCCCGCCACCACGCCCGGCTAATTTTTTGTATTTTTAGTAGAGACTGGGTTTCACCGCGTTAGCCAGGATGGTCTCCCTCTCCTAACCTTGTGATCTGTCTGCCTCGGCCTTCCATTCAATTTTATATCTAGGTGAAAGTATGAGATTTTTATTTTTAGCATATCTGTTTCAGTAGCCATTCACTTTTGTATCATCGATTATTTAAGAATTGCCTTTCAATTGTTTGATGTCAAATAACGATGGCGCCCGAAAATAAATGTAAGGGCTTCTTACTAAAGATATATAAGATCCAATCATTTCTCAATTAGTCACTGATAAATAAAAAATGGCATTCTCCCCAAAATGACAGGTAAAACCCAAATCTCGTGTATTTATATCAAACCTTTTCTGTAAGATAAAGGGGAAAGATATGAATGTCTCTGTTTTTTTATATTCAAGAGATGAAAAGTCACAGTGAAAAGTCAAATTTCTAGCCCAGTCCAGTAGAGATTTTGAAAATGATGACTTCATTTCTGGGCATCAAGAATTAGAAATTAGTCCTAAAATAATACTTAAATATTTAAAAATAAATTATCAGGACTGCAAGAACAATGTCAAGTACAAATGCAAGATATAAGTTTTGTCACTTATTATATTTAAATTTGCTTTTTTAAGAGGAATAAAACCATCTCTTTTTTTTATCATTTCAACTTTTATTTTTCTTTCTTTTTTTCTTTTTTTTTTTTTTTTTTTGAGACGGAGTCTTGCTCTGTTGCCCAGGCTGGAGTGCAGTGGTGCAATCTCAGCTCACTGCAAGCTCCATCTCCCGGGTTCACGCAATTCTCCAGCCTCAGCCTCCCGAGTAGCTGGGACTACAGGTGCCCGCCACCATGCCTGGCTAATTTTTTGTATTTTTTTTAGTAGAGACGGGGTTTCACAGTGTTGGCCAGGATGGTCTCGATCTCCTGACCTCGTGATCCACCTGCCTTGGCCTCCCAAAGTCCTGGGATTACAGGCTCAACTTTTATTTTAGACTCGGGGTACACATGGATATGCTGTGTGATGTTGAGGTTTGGGGTACAGATCCCATTGCCCAGATCACTATCTCACTAAGTGCCCAACTCACTAAGCACGGTACCTAGTAGGTAGTTTTTCAACCCACACCTCCCTTTTTTCCCTGCCTCCACAGTGTCTGTTGTTCCCATTTTTATGTCCGTTTCTACAGACATCCTCATTTGTGTTAGTTTACCTAGCAGTTTTTCTAATATATGTGTGTTAACAAAAACACTTTGAAAATCAGTCTGAGATAATGGCTGAACACAGAAAATGAGAGTAAATGTGACTCCATTTTCATCTTAAAATATCTTTATTTTTCAGATGATTTACTTTAAATTTTACATGAGCTCTGTATGTGAACAACAGATTGTGAGGGCATGTTCTTCTCACTAAAGATTTTACTGTGTTTTTACAATCTAAGATTCCAGTTACCAAATAATAGAACAGCTAGCTTCTGTGGTTGCAAAGATAGCCTTCACGCTATAAATCAATTCACTAGCTTCTTGTAAACTGCTGTGAAGCCAGACAGCCTGAACAATTTAATACCAAGAGAGGTGTGAATTCCCTCTATCTTAATAAATGATTAAGCTCAAAATATTTAAGTGCTTACAGTTTTATTCCAAAATAAAAAGGCTCAAATCCAGTTATGGAAATTAAATCATTTTTCATTTCACAATGTCTTGCTTATGCTCTGCTATTTAACTACTACTATTTTAAAAATGGGTTTTCTAGGACTAATGACAATATTTGACAAACTAAATTTTTGAACATGAACATAAAAAGCATTTAATCATACTTCCAAAGGTTTTATCAATACTAACAATAACATTGACTTGTCTATCATTACTAACAGTAATATTGAATTTGTAATAAAAGTGTGGTGTTGCTGCAGAGTTATACATTGACATGGAATGGAGATCGAGCTTGGTTACATAGCACTTGTCTGGAGTGAGAATTTCTAGGTTCCGATCCTGGCTCTGCTATTTATTATCTAAGACAAATTTTGGACAAATTTTGTAACCACTTTCTGCCTCAGTTTAGTCATCTGTAAATGGGAATAATAATGGCGTTACCTCATAGGGCTATGATAAAAGTTAACTGGGCTAGTATTTCTATTTAGAGCAGTGCCTGGCATATGTAAATAATATACATATGAGTTGAAAAAATACTTTAATATAAATAATATACATATTAATTTAAAAAATAATTTACCTAATAATATACTATAATAATATCATGTATTGAATAACATTTTGAATTTTGTAATGCCTGCTTTCTTTCTGAATAGTGGATTGTTCTGGAGAATAGCGAATGAAAGTCAATGTCTCATCCCGAGGAAAGATAAAAGACATACTTATTAAATTTGTTAATAATACAGAATTGAGAGCACAGCTGATAGTTTCAATAACATTGATATTCAAAAAGTTCTGCTAGAAATAATAAGCTGATTCTAGCCAAATAAAAGTGAATATGAAAAAATAAAATTCTAATGTTTAGATTTTTTTAATTGCCAGGTCTAGAATGGAAGAATTTAGTTTAACAAAGGTTCCATGTTCTATGAAATGGCAAGTTCAAAATTAACCAACCATATTACAGTTGCCCCAAGTAACTATTAACTTTGCCTGAATCAATAAATATTTAATGTCAGTTATTTTTTTCTAAAGAGTTAGAATGTAATCTGGACAGGTCTTAATATTACTAGAATATTAGAAAAGACCAGAGAGCATTTTTAATATGGGTATTGACTAGCTGAAGTATGTGTGGAAGGTGTCAGGAAAACTGAAGAATAGAAACCTCAGCAAAAGCAGAACTGAAGTGAATTATATGGTTTAGTCTAAACAAGAGAACACAAAGGTACAGGATAACTGTCTTCAATAAGCTCTATAAAATTCTTGAAAGGAATTCTACCTCATTCCTGTTAAGCTTGAAAACAGAAGTACTTTCAAAATGCTTAAATACCCACTACTTTAACAAAATTTTCGTCTACAAAAACTTTCTACTTGACATACAAGTGACAGATTTCTCTGTTCTCCTCATTCTCATCCTCTTTACAGAAGTAACTAAAACTAACAACTATCTGAAACTGTTGTGTCTTGAAGACCTTTCTCCACTAACCTGCACCTTCAAGGTTTTTTTCTTCCTTTGTTTCCTCTTTGTCAGGCTCTCCTTCCTTCTTCCATTTCCTTAACTAGGAGTTCAGCGAGATTTTTTTTCTCTATATTACTCTCTCAATCATAACAACCTTCTCTATATACCTGCAAATAATACAACTGGAACTGCACTTAAGCTCTCTTAGGCAATATCTATTGATTATTTCCAAAGGACTACCTTATTAACTTCCTCAGCTCTGTCTTGGCATACCCATCTACAGCCTGGTAACCCAGAGTTTCTGTTACCGTCCAAGCCATCTAGAAATACTACTTTCAGGGAAAGGTAGTGTTGGGGAAGAATAATTAAAAACAAAATCCTCTCCCAACCCAGAAAACCACTCCACAAAGAGGAGAAAAAAAAAAACCAAAAAACAGTTTTATTTATTATTGAATAAGCATTAAACCAGAAAGTGGTATGCATCCCAGGCAATCTGCTAAGAGATTGCAGACAGAAAGGAGTCTCACCAACATTTATAGAGCCATGCAGTTTCAACCCATTATATATGTGGTCCTAAGATAAACAATTAGTTCTCAGGTAAGAGAACTTGACAGCACCGTTTGTCGCACATAGTTTTGTCAGAGGCATTTGAACCACAGCAACTCCATCTTGAATAGGGGCTAGGTAAAATAAGGCCTGTTGGGCTGCATTCCCAGACAGTTAAGGCATTCTGAAGTCACCGATGAGATAGGAGGTCAGCACAAGCTACAGGTCATAAAGACCTTGCTGATAAAACAGTTGGCTGTAAAGAAGCAGGCTAAAACCAACCAAAACCAAGATGCCGACAAGAGTGACCTCTTGTTGTTCTCACTGTTACACTCCGCAACATGACAGTTTACAAATGCCATGGTAACATCAAAAATTTACTCTATATGGTCTAAAAGGGGGAGGCATAAATCATCAATCCCTTGTTTAGCATGTAATCAAGAAATAACCATAAAAATGGGCAAGCAGCAGCCCTCGCGGTTGCTCTTTGGAGTAGCCATTCTCTTATTCCTTCACTTTCCTAATAAACTTGCTCTTGCTTTACTCTATGGCCTCAGCCTGAATTCTTTCTTGCACAAGATCCACCTCTCTTGGGGTCTGGCTCCGGACCCCTTTCTGTCACAGTTTATTCTAAATTTACGTAGTAATTGGGGTGACCATTTGTGTTACTTAATTGGCTTTATCCAAAGGAATAACAAACTTCCCATATCATTATGACAGAATATAGTCATAAGGTACAAACACCCATTCAAGTTAGGCTCTAGCTCTCCCACAGAAATTGAGACATAGGGATGCTATCTTCCTTGATGGTTACATTTCCAAGATATGGCTCTCAGGTTTTTGAAAGAGATCTTCCTGGGTCATGAAGGTAGCAAGAGACTTATTTAGCTTTTAAAAGTATTTTTGTACATTTCAAAGTCACAGAGAGTTTACAAGTTTCTAAAGTGAATTTTCTTTAAAAAAAAGGGATAGAGGGAGTTTCTTCCCTATTTTCAACGCGGAGAATTAAGCCTCTTATTTATCTGTATTTCCCCTTCAGGAGAAGGGAGGAATTGAAAATGACAAAGGAAAAGGCAAAGAGTCTTTGCCATGCATCAGCATTCAAATGCAGAAAATACAAGTGGCTAAAGAGAGAAATCAAGGATATTTGTTTTATAACTGCTTATAAATGAGTGATGATGGCAAGGCAATCATCTCTCCTTTTATTAAAAAAGGAAATAGAGTATATGTCATGATTTAATTTAAAATTATAATATCACTTATATCTAATGTAAGTTCAGCCCAATACAATTAGACTTACAAATGAATGTGGGGAAAAAACCACAAATATCTTGATATTTGCCCAGGATCCATTATTTATTGCTCCAGAAGGGTAATTAAGAAACTAAAAAGAATTGCACTGGGAACAATTTGCATGAACACATTTTCCGGAATGTGCTCCAAGAAAAAGAAGAATGCATGGTAGAATATAAGAAAAATTACATTTGCCTCCCAGGATTAGAGGTTTATGGGACACATTCCCATGTTAAAGCCTCTGTGAAGTCCAGCATTTAAGAGACCTGTTTAACTGCTGTGAAAATAACAAAGACCATCTAAATGAGAAGAAACAGAGACTATTTGGATCTTGGTATAGCAAGAGAGTCAGCCATCATCACTTGTATTTAGCAGAGATTTAAAGGCAGGCAGGGGAATTTGAAAGCTGAATCATAGTGAAAAAGAGGAAGGCTTTCAGGTAGGCTCTAATTGGAAGATGTTGGCATGGAAAAGATGAAGGTGTGACAACTAGAAGTGGAGAATCTCATGTGATTGGATCCCAGAATGTATTTGGCTTTTTTGGTTTGTCCTGAGTTGGTAACAGGGGAAAAATGGAGAAGCTGGCAGTCATTGACTTGAGCTGAACAAGTCCTGACCACTCTGGTCCAAGGCTCTCTGACTGACTCCTTTCCAGATCTTCTCGGATTAGCAGCTGAAGACTGATGCTTCCCGATCACCTTGGAAGCCCCCTGGACCATCAAGGATGCCGAGCTTCGGGTAACTCTTACAGTGGAGGGTAAGTCCATCCCCTTCTTAATCAATACGGAGACTACCCACTCCACGTTACCTTTTTTTCAAGGGCCTATTTCCTTTGCCTCCATAACTGTTGTGGGTATTGATGGCCAGGCTTTTAGACCCCTTAAAACTTCCCAACTCTGGTGCCAACTTAGACAATGTGCTTTTAAGCACTCCTTTTTAGTTATCCCCACCTGCCCAGCTCCCTTATTAAGCCGAGACATTTTAACTAAATTATATGCTTCCCTGACTATTCCTAGGCTACAGCCACACCTCATTGCTGCCCTTTTCCCCAGTTCAAAGCCCCTTCACATCCTCCCCTTGGATCTCCCCATCTTAATTCACAAGTATAGGACACTTCTACTCCCTCCTTAGTGACCAATCATGCAGCCCTTACCATCCCATAGAAACCTAATCACCCTTACCCTGCTCAATGCCAATATCCCATCCCGCAGCACGCTTTAAAAGGATTAAAGCCTGTTATCACTTGCCTGTTACAGCATGGCCTTTTAAAGCCTATAAACTCTTACAATTCCCCCATTTTACCTGTCCAAAAACCGGACAAGTCTTACAGGTTAGTTCAGGATCTGCGCTTTATCAACCAAATTGTCTTGCCTATCCACCCCGTGGTGCCAAAGCCACATACTCTCCTATCCTCAATACCTCCTTCCACAACCCCTCTGTAACCCATTATTCTGTTCTGGATTTCAAACATGCTTTCTTTACTATTCCTTTGCACCCTTCATCCCAGCCTCTCCGCTTTCACTTGGACTGACCCTGACACCCATCAGGCTCAGCAAATTACCTGGGCTGTACTGCCGCAAGGCTTTGCAGACAGCCCCCATTACTTCAGTCAAGCCCAAATTTCTTCCTCATCTGTTACCTATCTCGGCATAATTCTTCGTGAAAACACACGTGCTCTCCCTGCTGATCGTGTCCGGCTAATCTCCCAAACCCCAACTCCTTCTACAAAACAACAACTCCTTTCCTTCCTAGGCATGGTTAGGTACTTCCACCTTTGGATGCCTAGTTTTATCATCCTGACCAAACCATTATAGAAACTCACAAAAGTAAACCTAGCTTACCCCATAGATCCTAAATCCTCTCGCCACTCCTCTTTCTGTTCCTTAAAAACAGCCCTAGAAGCTGTCCCACACTAGCTCTCCCTAACTCATCCCAACCCTTTTCATTACACACAGCTGAAGTGCAGGGCTGTGCAGTCGGAATTCTTACACAAGGACCGGGACCGCACCGTGTAGCCTTTTTGTCCAAACAACTTGACCTTACTGTTTTAGGCTGGCCATGATGTCTCTGTCCGGCGGCTGCCACCACCCTAATACTTTTAGAGGCTCTCAAAATCACAAACTATGCTCAAATCACTCCCTACAGTTCTCATAACTTCCAAAATATATTTTCTTCCTCACACACCTGACACATATACTTTCTGCTCCACGGCTCCTTCAGCTGTACTCACTCTTTGTTGAGTCTCCCACTGTTACCATTGTTCCTGACCCGGACTTTAATCCGGCTTCCCACATTATTCCTGATACCACACCTGACCCCCATGACTGTATCTCTCTGATCCACCTGACATTCACTCCATTTCCCTATATTTCCTTCATTCTTGTTCCTCACCCTGATCACACTTGGTTTATTGATGGCAGTGCCACCAGGCCTAATCGCCACACACCAGAAAAGGCAGGCTATGCTATAGTACAAGCCACTAGCCTGCCTCTTAGAACGTCTCATTTCCTTTCCATCGTGGAAATCTATCCTCAAGGAAATCACTTCTCAGTGTTCCATCCGCTATTCTACTACTCCTCAGGGAGTGTTCAGGCCCCCTCCCTTCCCTACACACCAAGCTCAGGGATTTGCCCCTGCCCAGGACTGGCAAATTGACTTTACTCACATGCCCCGAGTCAGGAAACTAAAAAACCTCTTGGTCTGGGTAGACAATTTCACTGGATGGGTAGATGCCTTTCCCACAGGGTCTGAGAAGGCCACCACAGTCATTTCTCTTCTGTCACACATAATTCCTCGGTTTGGCCTTCCCACCTCTATACAGTCTGATAACTGACAGTCCTTTACTAGTCAAATCCCCCAAGCAGTTTCTCAGGCTCTTGGTATCCTTCCCACCTCTATACAGTCTGATAACTGACAGTCCTTTACTAGTCAAATCCCCCAAGCAGTTTCTCAGGCTCTTGGTATTCAGTGAAACCTTCATGCCCCTTACCGTCCTCAATCTTCAGGAAAGGTAGAACAGACTAATGGTCTTTTAAAAACCCACCTCAACAAGCTCAGCCTCCAACTTAAAAAGGAGGACTCTGTCAAGGATAGAGCCCCAAAACTCACCAACCAAGCAAGTAATTATGCTGAACTCCCTTGGGCACTCTCTAATTGGATGTCCTGGGTCCTCCCAATTATTAGTCATTTAATACCTGTTTTTCTCCTTCTCTTATTCGGACCTTGTGTCTTTCGTTTAGTTTCTCAATTCATAAAAACCGCATCCAGGCCATCACCAATAATTCTATACGACAAATGCTCCTTCTAACAACCCCACAATATCACCCCTTACCCCAAAATCTTTCTTCAGTTGAATCTCTCCCACTGTAGGTTCCCACGCTGCCCCTAATCCCGCTCAAAGCAGCCCTGAGAAACATCGCCCATTATCTCTCCATACCACCCCCAAAAATTTTGCTGCTCCAACACTTCACCACTATTTTTTTTTTTTTTTGCTTTTCCTATTAATATAAGAAGACAGGAATGTCAGGCCTCTGAGCCCAAGCTAAGCCATCATATCCCCTGTGACCTACACGTATACATCTGGATGGCCTGAAGCAACTGAAGATCCACAAAAGAAGTGAAAACAGCCTTAACTGATGTCATTCTACCATTGTAATTTGTTTCTGCCCCAACCTAAGTGATCAATGTACTTTGTAATCTCCCCCACCCTTAAGAAGGTTCTTTGTAATTCTCCCCACCCTTGAGAATGTACTTTGTGAGATCCACCCCCTGCTGGCAAAACATTGCTTCTAACTCCTCTGCCTATCCCAAAACCCGTAAGAACTAATGATAATCCACCACCCTTTGCTGACTCTCTTTTTGAACTCAGCCCACCTGCACCCAGGTGAAATAAACAGCCTTGCTGCTCACAAAAAAAAAAAAAAAAAGAAAAAGAAAAAGAAAGAAAGAAAGAAAAATACCTAACATAGGAGCTTTGGAGGAGATAATTTGAGAATGAACTCCATCACCCACGTGGCATGGCCGCTCTCATATCTGTTAAACTCTTTCTCTACTATAATGCTGTGGTCTTTCATTTTCCAGCAGGCAGGAAGAACTCCTCAGGTAGTCACAGCCACTTCATTGCAGACTCCCTAATTTGCCTCTCTGTTTTCATGCTTGCCTCCCTTTGGTCTTTTCTCCACACGACATCACATGTGAAATTTTAATATATGTAGCAGATCATGTTATCCCCCTTGTCAAAAGTGTTCAATGGGTTTTACTATCAAGAAATAATTTCTTCATACCATAGCATATAGGTTAGATTAGGTTTCCTAGAAGCAAACTCAGTGACAAAGCTTTATTTGCTAATGGCTTATTGGAGAATGCACTGGGGAAAACATCTATAAAGAAGTGTGGAAAGCAAGATTAAGCAGAGAAATTGTACTGTGACACAATTGCAAAGAAGGTCTGTATTCATTCCATGGGGAGCATTGAAGCTAGACTAGCCCTTCGAAGTCATCCCATGGTTTTTCAAGGGCCTTTGTACAACTACATCAACCATTAATTTGATGCTGTGGCCCTCAGAAATGGGTAGCACTTTGGGTGAGCCATATCCATTCTTCTAAGGGTCATTCATAAGCCATCAGCAGCCAATACTCCTGGCAGCTACAGTAATAAATGAATACTTTGGTCACAGCATTCCCTGGAGCAAATACCACATAAAGAGACTTATTATTGGCCCTTATTTAGACTGGAGACTGCAATTTCCTTTCTGTTCCTATCCACCCTGATGCTCTTACCACACTCTAACCACAGTAGCCTAGTAGTTTCCCCTCAATGCCTTGGCATTAGCTGTACCTTTCATCTGGAAATGTCTTCCAGGGAAGCTTTGGGTGCCTTGCTTTCTCATTGCATTCGGCTCTATACTGTGGTATCACTTTTGTGAAAAAAAATAAAATAAAATCTTGGGACCACACCTCACTATGCCAGTAGGAAAAAAAAAATAAGCTAAAAGCTGAGGCTTGCAAGAAACTGCCTTTCCTTTTGTTCCTAAACAATAGAATTTACCCAATATGGTCTGAAAGGGGGAGGAATGCCAAATATCTCCACAGGTAGCTATTCAGTGCTCACCTTATCTTATGTGAAATGTTGATTTACTGAGTGGGAGAAAAATACATAATTGACTATTCCTCTACCTGCTTCTCTTGCAGCATGTATTAGTCCATTTTCATACTGCTATGAAGGAATATCCAAGACTGGATAATTTATAAAGAAAACGAGGTTTAATGGACTCACAGTTCCACATGGCTGGGGAGGCCTCACAATCATGGTGGAAGGCAAAGGAGGAACAAAGACACATTTTGCATGGTGGGAGGCAAGAGAGTATGTGCTGGGGAACTGCCCTTTATAAAACCATAAGGTCCTACTATCATGAGAACAACAAAGGAAGCCTCCCCCTCTCCCCATGATATGATTTCCTCTCACTGGGTTCCACCCGTGGCACATGGGGATTATAGGAGCTGCAATTCAAAATGAGATTTGGGTAGAGACACAAACAAACAGTATCATTCTGGCCCGCCCCTTCCCAAATCTCATGGCCTCATATTTCAAAACCAATTACGCCTTCCCAACAATCCCCCCAAAATCTCAACTCATTTCATCATTAACTGAAAAGTCCACAGTCCAAAGTCTCATCTGAGATAATGCAAGTCCCTTCTGCCTATGAGCCTGTAAAATCAAAAGCAAGTTAGCTACTTCCTGCAATGGGGATATAGGTATTGGGTGAATACACCCATTCCAAATGGGAGAAATTGGCCAAAACAAAGGGACCATAGGCCCCATGAAATTCCAGAATCCAGCAGGAGAGAAATGTTCTGAAATGATCTCCTTTGACTCCATGTCTCACATTCAGGTCATGCTGATGCAAGAAAAGGGTTCCCATGATCTTGGGCAGCTCTGCCCCTGTGGCTTTGCAGGGTACAGCCACCCTCATGGCTGTTTTCATGAGTTGGCATTGAGTATCTCTGGCTTTTCCAGGTGCATGGTACAAGCTGTCAGTGGATCTACCATTCTGGGGTCTGGAGGATGGTGGCCCTCTTCTCACACCTCTAATAGGCAGTACTGCCCCAGTGGGGACTCTGTGTGGGGGCTCTGACCCCACATTTCCCTTTCACACTGCCCTAGCAGAGGTTCTTCACAAGGGCTCAACCTCTGAAGCACACCTCTGCCTGGACATACAGGCTTTTCCATACATGCTCTGAAATCTAGGCAGAGGTTACCACACCTCAGTTCCTCTGTCCACCCTCAGGCCCAACACCGCATGTAAGTCACCAAGGCTTGGGGCTTGCACCCTCTGAAGCAACAGCCTGAACTGTACATTGAGCCCTTTTAGCCATGGCTGAGATACATATCCCAAGACTGCATAAAGCAGCAAGGCCCTGGGCCTGGCCCACAAAACCATTTTTTCCTCCTAGGCCTCTGGGCTTGTGATGGGAGGGGCTGCCATGAAGACCTCTGACATGCCCTGGAGACATTTTCCCCATTGTCTTGGCAATTAACATTTGGTTCCCCATTACTTATGCAGATTTCTGCAGCAAGCTTGAATTTCTCCTCAGAAAATGGGTTTTTCTTTTCTATCACAGCATCAGGCTGCAAATTTTCCAAACTTTTATGCTTTGCTTCCCTTTTAAACATAAGTTCCAATTCCAAACAATATATTTGTGAATGAATAAAACTGAATGCATTTAAGAGCATCCAAGTCACATATTGAACACTTTGCTGCTTAGAAATTTCTTCTGCCAGATACCCTAAATCATCTCTCTCAAGTTCAAAGTTCCACAGATCTCTAGAGCAGGGCAAAATGCTACCAGTCTCTTTGCTAAAGCATAGCAAGAATCACCTTTGCTCCAGTACTCAGTAAGTTCCTCATCTCCATCTGAGACCACCTCAAGCTGGACTTCATTGTCCATATCACTATCAGCATTTTGGTCAAAACCATTCAACAAGTCTCTAGGAAGCTTCAAACTTTCCCACATCTTCCTGTCTTCTTCTGAGGCCTCCAAACTGTTCCCATCTCTGCCTGTTACCCAGTTCCAAAGTTGCTTCCACATTTTCAGGTATCTTAATAGAGTACCCTAGTCTACTGGTACCAATTTACTGTATTAGTCCATTTTCATACTGCTATGAAGAAATACTCGAAACTGGTTAATTTATAAAGAAAAAGAGGTTTAATGGACTCACAGTTCCACATGGCTGGGGAGGCTTCACAATCATGGTGAAAGGTGAAGGAAGAGCAAAGGCACATCTTACATAGTGGCAGCAAGACAGTGTGTGCATGGGAACTGCCCTTTATAAAACCATAAGATCTTGTGAGACTTATTCACTATCATGAGAATAGCATGGGAAAACCCACCCAAACAATTCAATTATCTCTCCCATTGGGTCCCACCCATGACACCAGGAGATTATGGGATCTACAATTCCATATCATATTTGGGTGGGGACACAGCCAAACTATATCACAACATGTGGACTCAGTAATGTGACCACAGCTCCCTCCTTCCCCTCCAGCCATCTTTTGCCCTTTAAATACTGAAGCCCTCAAAATCAGCTTTGGAAAAAACGCAGAGACCACAGTCTGTTTCTATGACTTTGTGTTCCTTTTTTCCAGCCATGTCTTTAACCTTAGCAAAATAAATCTCTGAATAGATTGAGATCTGTCTCGGATACTTTTTGGTTTACACTTTCTTATTTGAGTACTTTATCTAAAAATTCTCCCCCATCCTCTATCTCAATCACTTTCTTGTCTCTTATTGTTATTTATTTTTCTTTATGCTATTTAATATTTTCACAAAATACATAATGTATTTGGTTACTTATTATTTATCTATGGCTCACAAGATATGAGATCTATGAGATCAGAGATGGATCATATGTATGGGTTTTTCAGTACTTTATCTACACTGTCCCCAGGAAATAAAAAATGAGTGAATGAATTCTTAGTAGTACAGTTTCTCATGGCAAAATGTTCTGAGATAGAAGTTCTGCAGGACTGGTTTCACAAGACACAGGTAACAAAGATTCCACTGATAAAATAAGATGTGGTAAAGAAGCCAGCCAAAACCCATCAAAACCAAGATTGCAATAAAAACAACCTCCTGTGGTCCTCACTGCTCATTATACGCTAATTATCATGCATTAGCATGTTAAAAGACACTCACTAGTGCCATGACAGTTTACAAATGCCATGGCAACATCCAGAAACTACCTAATGTAGTCTGAAAGGGGGAGGAACCCTCAGTTCCAGGAATTCCCCACCCTTTTCTGGAAAACTTATGAATAATCTACCCCATATTTAGAGTATGATCAAGAAATAACCATAAAAGTAACCAATCAGCACCCCTCAGGGCAGTTCTGACTATGGAATAGCCACCCTTTTATTCCTTTACTTTCTTAATAAACTTGCTTTCACTTTATCCTGTCAGCTAGCTCTTCAATTCCTTTCTGCAAGAAATCAAGAAGCCACATGGCCTCCAGGGCTGAACCCCAGTTTTGTGATTTGCCCTGTGATAGTTCTTCCTGTGTCTTCTAATTTCTATTTTATGTTTGGCTTCTTATTTGAAATGTTTTTATGAGTTTCTTCCCAGCTTTACTGATGTATAATCAATAAATAAAAATTACATTTATTTAAGGTATACAGTGATTATTTGATATATGTATACATTGTGAAATTATTACAGTAATTAAGTTAATTGACACACCTATAACCTCACATAGTGATCTTGTGTGTGGGGGGAGGGTGAGAATATTTACAATCTACTCTCTAGCAAATTTAAGATATATAATACAGTATTATCAACTATAATCACCATCCTTGTACATTAGACTCCCAGAACTTATCCTGCCTAACTAAAACTTTTTTTTTTTTTTTTTTTTTTTTTTGAGACAGAGTCTCCCTCTATCTCCCAGACTGGAGTGGAGTGGCATGATCTCGGCTCACTGCAACCTCCGCCTCCTAGGTTCAAGCGATTCTCCTGCCTCAGCCTCCTGAGTAGCTGGGATTACAGGCTCCCACCACCACACCCGAGTAATTTTTGTATTTTTAGTAGAGACGGGGTTTTGCCATGTTGACAAGGCTGGTCTTGAACTCCTGACTTCAGATGATCTGCCTGCCTTGGCCTCCCAGAGTGCTGGGATTACAGGCATGAGCCACCGCGCCCAGTCTAACTAAAACTTTTTACCCTGTAATCAACATCTCTTAATCCTGACTCCACTTGAGCCCCTCACATTCTCTTTGATTCTGTAAGTTTGACTTTAAATTCTACATATCAGTGAGATCATACAGTAATTCTCTCTGTCTGGCTTATTTCATTAAGCATAATGTACTCCGGATTTATCTATGACGTAGCAAATGACAGAATTTTATTCTCTTTTAAGGCTAAAATTTCTTTGTGTGTGTTTGTGCATATATCTCTTTGAAATACTGATTTAATTTCCTTTGGAGACATACACAGTAGTGAAATTTCTAGGTCATATGATAGTTCTATTTTTAATTTTCTGAGGAACATCCATAATAGCTTTTCCATAATAGCTCTGCCAATTTGCATTCCCACTAATAGTATGCAAGAATTCTTTTTCTCCCACACTTCCTATCCCTTAGTCATTTTGATAATAGCCATCCTAACAGTTGTGAGATGCTTCAAATGTTTTTATTCTTTAGTATGAAATATGTGTTTTCTGATGCTCTTTCTGTAAGTGCTTATGTGGTTTACTTCTGAGAAGAGTGAGTTTTTATGGTCACAACTTTTTATAACAATCTTAATTTCCTTTTATTATACAATATTTATTGACTTACCACTATAAGCAATTAGAATATCAGCTTACTTCACTCCCTCTGACTCTAGTTCCTTCCATTTACCACCTAATTTACATGAGTTATTTTATTGTTTTTCTAGTAATTATTTTTACCTCATATATTCTTATGCCACTACTACCTGGTTTAATCAGCATTTTGGTGTCTGCAAACTTTACCACTACATTTTAAAACTATGAAATCAGGATTTTTATACACCTCCCTTCTTTTTCCCTCTATCATTTAACATTTGATATTAATAGTGTTATTTCTGCCTTGTCACAGAACTTGTTCTGTAACCACAGTTTTCCTAGATATGAAAGTCTTACTTCAACATTTAAATGACATTAGGCTTAACCACAGTCTTCGTGTTTATTTCTAGGTTGGTTGAAATGCATCCTCTAGTAATTTCTTAAAGAAGAGTTTTTAGAAATTATCTTGCCCGAATTCTTACCTGGCTGAAAATATCTGCTACCTTTAGAGATACTAAAAAATGTAGAATGGTACAAAAAGTTTGAGTCACACTTTCTCTACTTGGTCTTCCGAGAATTGCTTTACTTCCTTATTACATTGACAAACGCTGTAGAGAAAGTTAAAATAGACCTAACAAGTAACTCTTAAGGTGAGATAATATTTTATTTTATATCGTTTTGGTAGTTTCTATGCCATAAAAATCTTGCTTTACTTTTAATCATAGGAAATTTATGTGAAAAGGTCTTAGTATTAATGAATTGGAGGCAATTTTAAATGGAATACAATATCCATTGAATTGAACCAAGTATTCTTTTATTTCAAGAATCTTTTTCATGGCTATGTCTTTAAATATAATTTCTGTTCTATTTGTTCTATTCTCCTCTACATGAACCCCAAGAAAGAATGTAGTGGATCTATTCTGGCAAACTTCCACATCTACCTCTTTCTCTCCAATTACTTAAATGCTTTTATTATTTTCTATTACATTTAATTCAATATTCTGAAAACTCCTCTGCATTTAAATAGATTTGTTTTCAGTTGTATAAATGCTTCAATTGTTTTTTTTTTTTTAATTGCACTATGTTCTTTAACTTTGTTGCACACCCTTGAATATGAGAAGTTCTTTCTGGCCCCAGTTATTTACAGAATTTAATGTGGAAAGAGACCAGGTGAATACTTTAGGCTAACATAAAGAAGAGGGTGGTAAGCTGCCTTGTTACAAAAATTGAATACATATAGTTTTATTTTCTTCAATCCCAACTCCCTTGCCACTACAAGAGGAAAAAGAGGGCTTCTTCAGTCATGCTACACACTAGACCTTGAATGTCTAACACAAGATTAGTTAAATTTCCACTGGATGGTACTAATCACTTTGGACATCTACCACAATGACAGATCTGCTCATTATCTGTAGTGGGTGATGATCTCTTTCTGTCTTCTCTATCAAATTGGTCCAATATTTAATGGACTTGGTATCCTTTATAAAGTCTGAAATTATTGCTGCTAATATCATCTAAGATAAAATTCCCATTTCTATTTCTCATTTTCTTTGTTAGGAGTAGGCAGATTTTGTTCTTCCTCCAGCTTAAAACTGCATGTCTGCATGGTTCCATTTTTTAAAGAGTAGGTCTTTTACTGTCTTTTCCACTGTGTCTATTCTCATTAATTCCTATTTTCTATTACTCTAGAGCCAATACAGGTAATTTATATTTTCCTAGAAAATTATCTATTTCATTTAGCCTTTAATTTTATTGACATAAATTTTTACACAGCATTAGTTTATACTTGTTTAACATTCTATATTTGTAATAAGTCCCTTTATTTCTAATATTTTTGTAATATTTTGGCTCACTCTGAAGATACTAATTATATTCATCTAAGAGTCTTCTGTTTATTTTCTAAAATACTGGGATTAACTTCTTGTCAAATTGATGACTTCTGTTAATAAACCATATTTTCCTCACATTTTGGTGATTTTATTTTGCTAGCTTCTCATATTTTTTATTATTTCTGCTTGCCTGGATGCGGATGTATGTTCTGACATCAGAGCTGGCCTCAGGAGATAGTGGGGAAAAAAAATTGCTGGTAGATTGTGCCAGAAATTTCTGTCTGATTATGTCTGGCTTCAGTGATCTAGGAACTCTCCCTCGCAATGTTACTCTGAGCGCAAATGAAGCGGATGCACAGGGAAGGAAAGAACTCTGTCCACCTATTCCACAGGCACTCACCCAAAAAATCCTTTCTCTGGGGCTCTCCCCAACTGTTTGTCTGTGTTGACTCTGGGCTTGAAGCATCCTTTGGTACCATTCCACATCTGTCTCAGAATCCTCTTCAGTATATCTTTTTGGCTGTGGTTTAGATGAAACTTTTTTCTCTGTTTTCTGTATTTAGTGAATTTCTCAAATTACATGGTTAATAGATAAAATAGATATTCTAGGTTTTCAGTACCACTTGAGATTTATTATTTTGTAAAATATATATGGCCATTTCAAAGAGAATTTGCACTGGAGAGGATGACAATGTTTTCAGTCAGACAACTTTATCCAGTATCCACGTTTGGCACATTCTATGATAATTTGATTTGTAGCCTGTATTTTACTCTGACCTGTATTATCTGAGTAGATTTCTCTTTTCTAGAAATTTGAGCATTTATTTGTTTAAGAGGCATTTTTTGCAAGGGACACTTTCCCTTGCAGAATGTTTTCTCCATATGTGCTTAAGGAAGGAAACAGATTCTAAAAGTTGTAATAGTAGAAAAAAAATGGTTTAGTTATGGCTGACACATTAAAATACAATAATCCGTGGTACAAAGATCAGAATAATATCATTACATATTTTGTTATCTAATGATACTAATTGAAATTAGTTAAAAAATACTTGTGGATTAGTTTATGTGGAGGTTAAATGCTTATATTTTTAAAACCTGTGTTTTTCATCTTTGTGGCAGTCATCATCATAAAATGGAAATAATGGGGTGCAGACAGAGCACAAATTAATCTATGCAAAAATGTAAGTATTTGCACTCAGCTAAATGACTCTAACATTCTGTGTTTTATGTCTGTTTTTCTTGAAATATTAGGGGGATCTGTCGACAACATGAAAACTCATATTAAAACTTGGAGCTATATGAATGTAAGTAAACATGCAATTATAATCAAAAAATGCCAAAACCATCATTTTACAAAAATGACTCTAGCTCGAGTATGTATTTTGTTATTTGAGTCTGGAGAAAGCTAGAAAATTGTAAATTTTATATAGGCATATAGAAATTGCCACATATAAAATTTCTGGGAAGAGTCTTATGATTTTAATATTTCATCTTCATATTAATTTTTTATGACTTTTCTCAGGCTTTCTGGGATTTACAAAAGTGTTAAACTAGGATAATGGATAGCTGTATTTACCAAAGGGCCTCTGAGAAACAGGATTTAGATTAACAATTTATCACAGATTGTTTGTCCTGAAAAGTGTCTTTGTCACTGTTTTCTCCACGATTTCTTTTTATCTTCAAAAATAAACATTTTGAACGAGATTAGCATGGCCTTGAGGCACTCACTGTGTGTACTTTCCTTTTAATTCAGTAATTTCTAAGAGATAAGTGCTTTACCTCCTAATTCAGTGTCCTGAAAAATAGTTATAAACTAGTCTTCAAAAAGTGAAATAAAATTCCTGTAAGGTTATGCCATATATCCTTTCCTTGGCCCTCTGTGCCTTCTCAACAGTCTCCTTTGACCTACTTTCTACCAGAAGAGGCTGATATGTATAGATCTCCTCACTGCTACCCCATACCCTTTGGCTTTTTTTTTTTTTTATTTTAAGTTCCGGGGTACATGTGCAGATTTGTTATGTAGGTAAACTCATGTCACAGGAGTTTGTTGTACAGATTATTTTGTTACACAAGTACTAAGCCTATAATCCATTAGTTGTTTTTTTCTGATCCTCTTTCTCCTCCCACCCTCCATCCGCAGGTAGGCCTCAGTGTCTATTTCCTTCTATGTGTCCATGTATTCTGATCATTTAGCTTCCATTTATGAGTGGGAACATGCAGTATTTGATTTTCTGTTCCTGTGTTAAATTGCTAAGGATAGTGGCCGCCAGCTCCATCCATATTGCTGCAAAGGACATGATCACAATTTTTATGGCTGCATAGTATTCCGCTGTGTATATGTATCATGTTTTCTTTATCCAGTCTACCACTGATGGGCATTTAGGCTGATTCCATGACTTTGCTATTGCAAATAGTGCAGCAATGAACATACACCTGCATGTGTCTTTATGATAGAATGATTTATATTCCTTTGGGTATACACCCAGTAATGGGATTGCTGGGTCAAATGGTAGTTCTGCTTTTAGGTCTTTGAGAAATAGCCACAGTACTTTACACAATGATTGAACTACTTTACACTCCCACCAACAGTGTATAAGCATCCCTTTTTCTCCACAACGTAGCCAGCATCCATTATTTTTTGACTTTTTAATAATAGCCATTCTGACTAGTGTGAGATGGTATCTCATTGTGGTTTTGATTTGCATTTCTCTAATGATCAGTGACATTGAGCTTTCTTTCATATGCTTATTGGCTGCATATATATCTTCTTTTGAAAAGTATCTGTTTATGTTCTTCACCCACATTTTAATTGGGTTGTTTGTTTTATTCTTGTAAATCTGTTTAAGTTCCTTATAGATGCTGGATATTAGACCTTTATCAGATGCACAGTTAGCAAAAATCTCCCATTCTGTAGGTTGTGTGTTTACTCTGTTGATAGTTTCTTTTGCTGTGCAGAACCTCTTTAGTTTAGATTCCATTTGTCAATTTTTGCTTTTGTTGCAATTGCTTTTGGTGTCTTCATCATGAATTCTTTGCCTGTTCCTATGTCCAGAATGGTATTGCCTAGGTTGTCTCCCAGGATTTTTATAGTTTTGAGTTTTACATTTAAGTCTTTGATTCATCTTCAGTTGATTTTTGTATATGGTGTAAGCAAGGTGTCCGGTTCCAATCTTCTGCATATGGCCAGCCAGTTATCCCAGCACCATTTATCGAATAGAGAGTCCTTTCTTCATTACTTGTTTTTGTCAGCCTTGTCAAAGATCAGACAGTTGTAGGTGTGCAGTTTTATTTCTGGGCTTTCTATTCTGTTCCTTTGTTTTATCTGTCTGTTTTTGTACCCGTACTATGCTGATTTGGATATTGTAGTCCCATAGTATAATTTGAAGTCTGGTAGTTTGATGCCTCCAGCTTTATTCTTTTTGCTTAGGATTGCCTTAGATATTCAGGCGCTTTTTGGTTCCATAAGAATTTTAAAATAGTTTTTTCTAGTTCTGTAAAGAATGTCATTGGTAGTTTGATAGGCATAGCATTGAATCTGTAAATTGTTTTGGGCAGTATGGCCATTTTAACGGTATTGATTCTTCTTATGTATAAGCATGGAATATTTTTCCATTAATTTGTGGCATCTCTGATTTCTTTGAACAGTGTTTTCTAGTTCTCGTTGTAAAGATCTTTCACCTCCCTGGTTAGCTGTATTCCTAGGTGTTTTATTGTTTTTGTGGCCATTGTGAATGGGATTGCATTCCTGATTTGGCTCTTAGCTTGGCTGTTGTTGGTGTACAGGAATTCTAGTGATTTTTGTACGTTGGTTTTGTATCCTGAGATGTTGCTGAAGTTATTAATCAGTTTAAGGAGGTTTTGGGCCAAGACTCTTAGGTTTTCTACATATAGAATCACGTTGTCTGCAAACAAAGATAGTTTGATTTCCTCTCTTTCTATTTCAATGCCTTTTATTTCTTTCTCTTGCCTGATTGCTCTGGCCAGGACTTCCATTACCATGGTGAACAGGAGTGGTGAGAGAGGGAATCCTTGTCTTGTGCCAGTTTTCACGGGGAATGCTTCCAGCTTTTGCCATTCAGTATGATGTTATCTGTGGGTTTGTATAGAATAGATGATTATTCTTATTTTGAGGTTTGCTCCTTCAATATCTAGTTTATTGAGAGTTTTTAACATAAAGGGTGTTAAAATTTGTCAAAAGCAGTTTTTTTGCATCTCTTAAGATAATTATGTGATTTTTGTCTCTAGTTCTGTTTATGTGATGAATCACATTTATTGATGTGCATATGTCAAACCAACCTTATATCCCAGGGGTAAAGCTTACTTGACCATGGTGAATAAGCTTTTTGATGCACTGCTGGATACAGTTTGCCAGTATTTTTGTGAAGATTTTTGCATTGATATTCATCCAGGATATTGGCCTGAAGTTTTCTTTTTTTCTTGTATCTCTGCCAGGTTTCGGTATCAGGATGATGCTGGCCTCAGATAATGAGTTAGGGAGGAGTTCCTCCTCCGCAATGTTTTGGAATAGTTTCTGTAGGAATGGTACCAGCTCTCCCTCATACATCTGATAGAATTCAGCTGTGAATCTGCCTGGTCCTGGGCTCTTTTTGGTTTGTAGGCTATTTATTACTGATTCAATTTCAGAACTTGTTATTGGTCTATACAAAGATTCGATTTCTTCCTTGTTCAGTCTTGGAAGAGTGTGTGTCTCCAGGAATTTACTCCTTTCTTCTAGATTTTCTAGTTTGTGTGCATAAAGCTCCTCATAATATTTTCTGATAGGTATTTGTACTTGTGTGGCATCAGTTGTAATATACCCTTTGTCATTTCTAATTGTGTTTATTTGGATTTTCTCTTTTTCTCTTTATTATTCTAGCTAGCAGTCTATCTATCTTATTAACTATTTCAAATAACCAACTCCTGAATTCATTGATCTTTTGAATGGTTTTTCATGTTTCAATCTCCTTCAGTTCAGCTCTGATTTTGGTTATTTCTTGTCTTCTGCTAGTTTTGTGGTTGGTTTGCTCTTGTTCTCTAGTTTTCTTAGTTGTTTTGTTAGGTTGCTAAATTAAAATCTTTCTAACTTGTTGATGTGGGTGTTTAGTGCTATAAATTTTCCTCTTAATATTGCCTTAGCTGTGTCCCAGAGATTCTGGTATGTCATATCCTTGTTCTCATTAGTTTTAAATAACTTCTTGATTTCTGCCTTTATTTCATTATTTACACAAAAGTCATTCAGGAGCAGATTATTTAATTTCCATGTAATTTTGTGGTTTTGAATGATTTTCTTAGTCTAGATTTCTAATTTTATTGTGCCATGGTCTGAGAGAGTGGTTGTCATGATTTCAATCCTTTTGCATTTGGTAAGCATTGTTTCATGTCTTAACTGTGGTTGATGTTAGAGTATGTGCCATGTGGCAATGAGAAGAATGTATATCCTGTTGTGTTTGGATGAAGAGTTCTGTAGATGTCTATCAGATCCATTTGATCCAGTGTTGAGTTCATGTCTTGACTTTCTTTGTTAATTTTCTGCCTCAATGATCTGTCTAATACTGTCAGTGGGGTGTTGAAGTCTCCCACTATTATTGTGTGGGAGTCTAAGTCTCTTTGTAGGTTTCCAAGAACTTGATCTATAAATCTAGATGCTCCTGTGTTGGGTGCATATATATTAGAGATAGTTTGGTCTTCTTGTTGAATTGAATGTTTTACCATTGTGTAATCTCCTTCTATGTCTCTTTTGGTCTTTGATGATTTAAGGTTTTTTTGTTTGTTTGCTTTGCTTTGTTTTGGAAATTAGGATTGCACCTCCTGCTTTTTTCTGTTTTCCATTTGCTTGGTAGATTCTTCTGCATTCCTTATGAGTCTATGGGTTTCACTGCATGTGAGATGGGTCTCTTGAAGACAGAAAACCATTGGTTCTTGGTTCTCTGTCTGGTTTGCTACTCTGCTTTTTAACTGGGGGCATTTAGCCCATGTACATTCAAGGTTAGTATTGATATGTGTGAATTTGATCCTGTCATCATGATGTTAGCTTACTGTTGTGCAGACTTGTTTGTGTGGTTGCTTTATAGTGTCACTGGTCTGCGTACTTAAGTGTGTTTTTGTAGTGGCTGGTAATGGTCTTTTCTTTCCATATTTAGTGGTTTATTCAGGAACTCTTGTAAGGCCAATCTAGTGGTAACAAATTCCCTTGGCGTTTGCTTGTCTGGAAAAAATCTTATTTCTCATTTGCCTAAGAAGCTTATTTTGGCTGGATATGAAATTCTTTGTTGAAATTTCCTTTCCTTTAAGAATGCTGAATATTGGCCCTCAATCTCTTCTGGCTTGTAGGATTTCTGCTGAGAAGTCTACTGCTAGTCTGATGGGCTTCCCGTTGTAGGTGGCTTGACCTTTCTCTCTAGCTACCTGTAACATTTTTTCTTTCATCTCAGCCTTGGAGAATCTGATGGCCATGTGGCTGAGAGATGATTTTCTTGTGAAGTATTTTACTGATGTTCTCTGCATATCCTGAATTTGCATGCTGGTCTCTAGCTAGGTTGGGAAAGGTCTCAGGGATAATTTCCTGAAATGTGTTTTCCATGTTGCTTCCATTCTCCCCATCTCTTTCAAGGACACCAATGAGTCATAGATTTGGTCTGTTTGCATAATCCCATATTTTTCAGAGGTTTTATTCATTCCTTTTCATTTTGTTTGTCCATTCTCGTATGACTGTCTTATTTTAGAAAACCAGTCCTAAAGCTCTGAGAGTCTTTCCTCCACTTGGTCTATTCTGCCATTATTACTGTGATTGCATTATGAAATTCTTGTAGTATGTTTTTCAGCTCTGATTAGTTACATTCCTTTTTTATACTGGCAATTTTGTCCGTCAGTTTCCGTATCATTTTATTGTGATTCTTAGCTTCTTTGGATTGGGTTTCAATATACTCCTGCATTGCCATGATCCATGTTCCTATCCATTTTCTGAATTCTATTTCTGTCATTTTAGCCATTTCAGCCCAATTCAAAACCCTTGCTAGAGAGCTAGTGCCATTGTTTGAAGGAAAGAAAGCACTCTAGGTTTTTAAATTGTCAGCATTTTTGCACTGGTTGATTCTCATCTGTGTGCGCTGATGTTCCTTCAGTCTTTAAAGTTGCTGTCGTTTGGATTTTTTTTTCTTTTATCCTATTTGATGACCTTGAGGGTTTGATTGTGGTATAAGGTAGGTTCAGTCAACTGGCTTTATTTCTGGAAGATTTTATGGGGCCAATGCTCAACTCACAATTCCTAGATTGTGTGCCCTAACTCTGGGGGACTGGTATCGGGCCCTGACTTTGTTCTCTGGCTCCTTGAGGTTAGGAACCCACTGCACTATGGAGGTTGAGTTGCTCTGAAACCACTGTTCATAGCACTCCAATAGGTGGTGCCAGCCAAAGTGTTTCACAGGGTGATGGCAGCAGGATCCATCCTCATTCACATGTGCCCACAGCAGCAACAGTGGCAGTGTGGCAGGATGCACAATCATCCACTGCAGTAGAGTGCCAGCAAGTGCCAGGGTGCCAGCCCTCCTGCAGGTGTTTGCAGCAGCAGCGGAGGCAGCACAGCTTGAGGAAAGTGGGTGCCCTGCTGGTGACTGTGAGCAGTCACACTGGTGATAGTTTTAGCATGTGGGGTGGGGTGTTGGTGGGCAGAGGACTGTGTGCACCCTCTGTGCATTCACACAGGTGGAGGTGGCCACTGAAGGTAGGGAGGGTTTGCTGTCCTCCATGCGTAATTTCACTGCAGTGGCAGTGTTGGCACAGTGGCAGGGCACTGGTGGCAGCAGAGCTGGTGGGCATACGGCCCACCAAGGCTCCAACTACAATGACAGTAAGATGTTGGGGCTGGTAGAGTACACTTTGCTGGCAGCAGTGGGAGGCCAGCTTTCATGCACAAATGCGCTGGTGGGGCAGGAAAGGAAAGATGCCCTCTGGCTTTTGATTGGCCTTGGCCAGTGAGGAACGTTGACAGTGTTACTGAGGGAGTATAGATGTGTAGGGTTTCCTGAGGCTGGCTATATCAGTATATTGAAGGCCACACACCTGCTCAAAGCCGTGCTCTCTATATGACTTTCTCCTTCTGAGATCTATAATCTGCTAGCTCTCCTTGCTATTGATATAAGTGGTCCTACAGCTGACATATTGACATAGATGTTGGCATAGACGGCATCAAGTCTCAAAATGGAAAGATTAATTTCACTAGTAAAGAAAAAGAGATGGCAATAGTTTCAATAGCAGGGTTCACATAATGTAGATAAGATCTATTTTTGGCTCATGGACAATAAGAACTTGCATTAATTATTTCAAGTGAAAGAAACTCATCAAATTTTCATAAGTAAAAATGGATTGACTCTTATAACTGGAAAGTCTAAAAGTAGATAACCGGATTCCAACAGATTGGTGGGGGGTGCGGTTGTAACACTGCCTTTGGACACTTGTGCATATCCCTTCATTCTTATATTCCTCAGCCTCTTTTCTCCAACTTTTCCCTTTACTACTTCTTAGCTCTACTTTTGTTTTAAGGGATTTTATTCTCAGCAAGCTCTATGTTTATCAAAGTTGAACTTACTTACGATCTTACAATATCTTAGTGTTTGGAAAGCCCAATGTAAGGAGAGCTTCTGTTTTTCCAGTTATTACAGCAAAATTCCCTATAGTTACCAAAGTAATTGGCTATGTGATTGTTTCTAAACATTAATTAGTGTGGCTGGGGTAATGGAATTTGTTAACTGACCAGGCTTGCAGCAAATGAATGCCTATGATCATGAGGATGGGGAGTGGGGTTACCCATCAAAATATTTATTCACTCAATCAATTAATATTACAGACTATATCCCTATCACTTAGGAGAGTGTCTATACCCTGTGACACTTTCCTAAGTGATAGGGATATAGTCTGTAATAAAATCTCTGTCAAAATGAAACTTACCTTCTAGTCACAATTATAAATGGTAAAAATAAATAAACTGGAAATATACAGTGTATTAGTCTGTTCTCATGGTGCAATGAAGAAATACCTGAGACTGAGTAAATTATAAGGAAAAGAGGTTTTATTGATTGAGTTCTGCATGGCTAAGGAGGCCTCAGGAAACTTACAATCATGGTGGAAGACACCTCTTCACGGGGCAGCAGAAGAGAGAATGAATGCCAGTGGGGAAAATGTCAGATGCTTATAAAACCATCAGCTCTTGTGAGAAATGACTATCATGAGAACACCATGGGGGAACTGCCCTCCTGATTCAGTAACCTCCCACTGGGTTCCTCCCATTACAATTCCAGATGAGATTTGGGTGGGAACACAGCCAAACCATAACATTCCACTCTGGCCCCTCCCAAATCTCATGTCCTCACACTTCGAAACATAATCATGCCTTCCCAACAGTCCCCCAAAGTCTTAATTCATTCCAGCATTAACCCAAAAGTCAACAGTTTAAAGTCTCATCTGAGATAAGACAAGTTTTCAAAACCAATCATGCCTTCCCAACCATCCCCCAAAGTCTTAACTTATTCCAGCATTAACTCAAAAGCCACATTCCAAAGTCTCATCTGAGACAAGGCAAGTCCCTTCCACCTATAAGCTTGTAAAATCAAAAGTGAATTAGTTACTTCTTAAATATAATGGTGGTATAGACATCAGGTAAATACACCCATTCCAAATGGGAAAAATTGGCCAAAGCAAAGGGGATACAGGCCCCATGCAAGTGCAAAATCCAGTGGGGCAGTCAAATCTTAAAGTTCTAAAATTATCTCCTTTGACTCCATGTCTCACATCCAGGTCACGCTGATCCAAGAGGTGGGCTCCTATGCCCTTGGGCAGCTCTGTCCCTGTGGCTTTGCAGAGTACAGCCCCCCTGCAGGCTGCTTTCACAGGCTGGCATTTAGTGCACATGGCTGTGCAAGTACCTATGGCATTGAGTGCCTATAGCACAGTGCAAGCTGTTGGTGGATCTACCATTCTGGGGTCTGGAGGATGGTGGCCCTTTTCACACCTCTACTAGGCAGTACCCCGGTGGAGACTCTGTGTGGGGGCTCTGACCCCACATTTCCCTTCCATACTGCCCTGGTGGAGGTTATCCATGAGGATTCTGCCCCTGTAGCAAACTTCTTCCTGGACCTCTAGGTATTTCCATACATCCTCTGAAATCTAGGTAGAGGTTCCCAAACCTCAATTCTTGACTTCTGTGAACCTGTAGGTTCAAAACCACGTTGGAGCTACCAAGGTTTGGGGCTTGCACCCTCTGAAGCAATGGCCTGAGCTGTACGTTGGCTCCTTTTAGCCATGACTGGAGTGGATGGGAAGCAGGATGCCAAGTCCCCAGGCTGCATACAGCAGGGGGGCCCTGCGCACAGCCCAGGAAACTATTTTTTCCTACTAGGCCTCTGGGTCTGTGATGGGAGGGGCTGCCAGGAAAGTCTCTGACATGCCTTGGAGACATTTTCCCTATTGTCTTGGTGATTAGCATTTGGCTCCTTATTACTTATGAAAATTTCCGCAGCCCACTTGAATTTCTTCCCAAAAAATAGGATTTTCTTTTCTACTGCATAGTCAGGCTGCAAATTTTCCAAACTTTTATGCTCTGTCACC
The DNA here is from genome assembly GCF_000001405.40 of Homo sapiens. Taxonomy (NCBI): domain Eukaryota; kingdom Metazoa; phylum Chordata; class Mammalia; order Primates; family Hominidae; genus Homo; species Homo sapiens. The sequence continues at coordinate 124,942,353 of NC_000007.14, read as the reverse complement.
TCTTGAGTGTTTGATGCTTAGGAATTTTTACACCGCCTTTGTAAAATTATGACTGAAACAGTGAAAGAGATCTAACTTAACCGATTCCATCTTGTTCTAACCTCCAAGCTGTCTTTGTTTATTCCTGGGCATAGGCTGAACTAACTTTGGGAGAAACTTAGTTTGTTGTTTTTAGTTTAAACAAAGATGGTAATAGCCCTTTCCCAAAGCAGACCTCCTTCTTGCCTGGTGACTACACTAACTTTAGCCACAGGATTAGAAATTATGGTTTAGGAGTTGAACAAGCGAAGTCGCTCACGCCTGTAATCCCAGCACTTCGGGAGGCTGAGGTGGGTGGATCACAAGGTCAGGAATTCGAGACCAACTTGGCCAATATTATGAAACCCCATCTCTACTAAAAATACAAACAAATTATTAGCTGGGCATGATGGTACACGCCTGTAGTCCCAGCTGTGTGGGAGGCTAAGGCAGGATAATCGTTTGAACCCAGGAGGTGGAGGTTGCAGTGAGCTGAGATCGCACCACTGCACTCCAGCCTGGGTGACAGAGCGAGACTCCATCTCAAAAAAAAAAAAAAAAAGGAGTCATGCAACTGGAGGTTATAACATTCTGACCCTCCCTAAACTGCTCCTAAGATCAGTGCTTGAGATATTTTGCAGACCCTGCACTTGATGGATCTGCTGGCACCACCCAGATAGATAAACTGGCTCCTTTGATCTTGTGGCCCCCACTCAGGAACTGACTCAGTGCAAGAAGACAGCTTCTACTCCCTATGATTTCATCTCTGACCAATGAGCACTCCTGGCTCACTGGCTTCCCCGCCACCCACCAAGTTATCCTTAAAAACTGTGCCCCCTGAATGCTCAGGGAGACTGATTTGAGTAATAGTAAAACTCCAGTCTCCCACACAGCCGGCTCTGCGTGAATTACTCTTTCTCTATTGCGATTCCTGTCTTGATGAATCAGCTCTGTCTAGGCCGTGGGCAAGGTGAACTCCTTGGGCGGTTACAATTTCTTTTGCCAGATACCCTAAATCATCTCTCTCAAGTTCAAAGTTCCACAGATCTCTAGGGCAGGGACAAAATGCTACCAGTCTCTTTGCATAGCGAGTGACCTTTACTCCAGTTCATCATCTCCATCTGTGACCACCTCAGCCTGGACTTTATTGTCCATACCACTATCAGCATTTTGGTCAAAGCAACTCAACAAGTCTGTAGGAAGATTGAGAGTTGGACATATCTTCTAGACATCAAGTGGAAATAGTTAATACACAGTTGAAAACACAAGTCTGGAATTTATGAAAAATACAAATTTGGGGTGTATACATCTAGAACTGAAGATATAAAATTGGGAAGTCATAAGCATATAAACTGCACTAAGAGTGGAAAGGGAGTGATTTACCAAAGGAATGTCAAGCTGTTGTTGGATAGTGGAAGGATGAGAAGTTAAGTACAGAACACTTAGGTGCTATACATTTATTTACTGTATTCTTCCACCTGGTACCAGTTTTTACTAAATGCAAAGATTATTGGTGATTTTAGATGTCATATGCCTGTGAATTTCCTGATGTTTGACTGAAAGGAGACTGTTATTTTACTGCCAGTAACAGAAAACCAAAAACTCAAACTGACTTAAAATAATAAGGAAATTTTCTAGTTCCTGTAAGTAGAAATTAAGAGACACATGAGATTTCAGGGTTAGTTCATATAAGGGCTTAACACTACCATGAAAGTTGCATATTTTATTTTATTTTATTTTTTTAATTTACGTGACATTCTGTTCAGTCAACCACAGGATTGGTTTCATTTTAAGTTGGGCTCCCTTTTGGTTGTGGAATGGCTGCCAGTAATAATCGGATTACACATTTCCTCACACAGCATCAGGAAGAGGAGAGGCTGATTTCCCATATTTCTCCAGAGAGAAAGAAAAAAAAAAGTCTTAGAAATTCCAGAAAAAGTATTTCCTTACCTCTCTTTGGCCTGAATTTGTTACATGCTCATTTCTGAATCTGTAGCTATAGCAATGAAGACAGGATTTTTCTGCTCCAGGATAGACGGTTTGATATAAAGGGTATCTGGCCGAAATGGAAAGAAAAGAAGCATTTTTACTATGAGGGAAATTAAGGAGGAGACTGATCAAGATTAATATCATTAGTATTTGGATGTATAATATGGATAGAATTAGCAGATTATCTAGAAGTGGCAGAAAATTATTGATGGTCAGATATAAATAACAAGAAAAAAGGAATACATTTCTTTTTTAATATTTCCTTTCAGTCTAATAGACTTACAAGAGTCTATTAAGCAAACATACCTCTATACTTAGGACTGGTTTACACCATCCTCATGTGAAAATAAGTAAGAGTACCAAAGTATTTCTTTTTCTCCATCTGTTCTGTTCCTTTGGCTGTGCCAGACTCTGACGCCAAGTTCTGGGTTGAATATATCCTAATTAAACTGAAGTTTTTCAAATGTGATTGTATAGTAATCACTTCTATTCTGCTCTAATCATAGAAAAGATATCTTGGAGTAATTTTTTACTATTGAGAATTAGGTAAGAGGGACAACACAAATGAGATTTTATTATCTTATTAATACAGTAGCTGTAAACTTATCCTTCTAACAATACATAGTCTTTGATGGGCAAATTGTGGGGAGGAAAGGTAAACTCACATTTAGCTATAGAATGTCTCAATATTATTGCACATAAGTGAAAAATAAATAAGCTATCCACAATTTTCATCAAGGAGACTACATATTGACTTTCCCATTTCCCATAGAAGTGTATGAATGTAATGAATAGAGGCAAATTTAATTTAAATTAATAAGAAGGTTCGGACAAAGTTACAAAATGTCTTTCTGTGTTAAAAGTGCATTTTCACCCTAAAACAAATGGTTCTCAATTACTTCAAATAAGCATAATGAATCTAAAAAACATGCAAACTCTTAATTAGCTTACTATTATTTAAAACTATTCATTATAAAGTTTCTAAAATTGTGCCAATTTTTGATCATTCAAAAAACAAGAGGAAGACAAAGAAAAATATCAGGCTAACAAATTGCTGTCTGCTTCTGTGCTCTCCAGCTTAGAGCTGGTCCATTATTTTCAAAACAAATTAACTATCAATGCTTTTTTAAAAATCTAAGATTACATAGAAAAGAGGCTGTAGACATGGGCATTATTACAGATTTTCCCAGGACATATCTTCGTGATATAAAATGTAAGATATGTAAATGAAGGGGACATTAAATTCAAGACATAAACCCCTACTTCCACAGTGTAAAGGAGTTGAAAGATCCTCTTTGACTAGTCTACTTTCTGTCTATTAATTTCCAGCAATTTTTTTCTTTTTCTTTTCCTTCATGTGCCTTTTGTGTGTGCTGCCTCAATTAGAAACGCAGCAATCTGACATAAACCAAGCTCCTCACTGGTTTTCTCAAAAATTTCACTCATTCTTAAGCATTCTGTGAGCTCGACAACTTTTCTAAAGATTTTTTCTTTGGATTGAATGTGCATACAGCATAGGCATCAAAGAGTGGCATCTCTTCTGGGAAACATACATACTCTCTTGGTTTTTCTGGTTCAGTTTATTTTCTTTTTCTCTTGCTTCCCCATCTTTACAGAGAAACCTGAAGAACCAATCATTTGTTAGGCAACATAGTTCTTCTCACACATAGGAACCTGGAGGGTCTTGGCTGTTACTATAAGCAGATTTGTCAAAGAATATGTTTCTGAATAAACACTCAGAATTATCACTCAAAATAATTTTCCCAAATGCAGTTTTTTAAAAAAAATTCAATAAATATCTTTCGTGTAATTTAACCAAAACTTATCTCTGTTGAGATAGTCTATTTTAACCTTGTGCCTTTTACACACTGAGTCACCTAGGTGCCACATGGCATGGCTCAAAATTAGAAAATGACCCATTTCTCTCCCCTATGAAAATTTTGCCTCTCCTTGCTTAGTCTGTGCCTTGCTGCATATACTTCGATCCTCTGTTATGCTAATTTGACTTTGAGGCTTTTATGTTCTTTCCAGTCATTCATTTTTCCCTTAGTGCATGGCTTGTCTCAGCATTTCTCAGACAGTACTTTTCATCGTATTTGTTTTCATTCACTCTAAGTCATTACCCTATCAGATGTAGTGAGAAGGGAGCTTAAAAGTAACCCAACCTGATTAAAAAATATCCTCTGTTGCTGAGAGAAAAGATGGCATGAGGGATCTTAATCTCCAAAGAGTGCTGGAGATAGACCTCTTGCTTAAACATTCTAATTAGAAACTATCTAATTTAAAAATCACTTGCCTTTATTAGCCTATGTAAACTTACAAAATTTGAATCTTGACTAATGTATGACATTACATTACACTCAAAGTTTTTTCATTTTACTTGTAATTTACGAAATATGGTCTTTGAACCACTGGTAGGCCATACAGACTCTCCGTGTTATTCATGGAATAAAGATTTATAATGCTCATGTTTATAATGTAGCTTCTCTACTTTTCTGGCATAAATAAGAAATTTGCCTGCTTTTCATCATCATAGACAACCTCACTGGTGTCGATCCAAAATCAGTCTTTCTTCATAGCAATCCTACCGATGATTTCCAAGCGTTGCTATATTGAAGTTAATGAAATGTGTTCTCCATTGGCCTGTGGACCACTGGAGAGAGAACTGGTTAGTGAATCATTAGGCATGGTGTCTTAACCATTCATTACTCAAGTATTTACTGCCTGCAAAACGAACAAAACAGGCTGAAATCCCTACTACTGTGGAGCTTACCTTTTAGTGTGGAACACAATTAAAAGGGTCAGTTTTACAGTATGTTAGAAGATGACTAGTGCTCTAGGGAAAAAGAAAAGGGTAGCAAAACTCTGGAGGGATGTGTGTGCAAATTTAAATACAGTGGTCAGTTTGGCTGCTTTGACAAGGTTATATTTGAGGAAAATTCCTGACGTAACTGGGGGAATTAGTAAGGGAAGAGTATTCTAGCATTCCACTCTAAGACTCCAGAAAAAGAGCAAGGAAGCCAGTCTGTCTCAAGTGAGTGAACATAAGGGGTAAATTCAGAAGGATAGCAGAGGGATTAGATCACTTAAAGGACTTTGACTTTGACCCTGACAGTCCTGCAGAACCCTTGTAGTGTTCTGAGCAGAGGAGCAAATGATCTGACCTGCTGTTCTTGATGAGAATGGAGCAATAATTGTGTGTGGGCAGGAAGTGAAGAGTAAGGAATCAGGGGGACCCTCTAGGATGCTATTGCAGAAATCCAGTCCAGAGGGTATGGTGACTTGGATCACAGTGGTAGTGGTGGAGGTGATATGCATCGGTCTGATTCTGTACACATTTTAAGAAGAAAGCCAATAGAAATTCCTGAGTGTTATCTGTTAAAATGCTATTGGTTGCAAGTAACAGAAATTTAACAAAAACCAATAAATACTGGTGGAATTCGTAAGTATCACATGGCAGCTAGAGTTTTAACTCCTTTTGAGGAACACTGAACTCCTTTTGAAGAACTATGTCAAATATACTAAAGATACTAAGAACCCAGCAAACTACTCCGTCTTTTTCTCTGGGGTTGCATGGTGTCTGGTTTTGCTTCTCTGTATATATCTGATTCATCCTTCTTTGCAGTTTGTTTTTTTCTGCCTCTTCATGCTGTTATGGACAATGGTCACCCTAAACTCCTATTTGCCCTCGCAAATCAAGTGTCAAGGCCAACTCACTTGTACACAAATGACCAAAGTCATTTACTGGATTCTTTTTTATTTTATTTTTTTGAGATGGAGTCTCACTCTGCCGCCAGGCTGGATTGCAGTGGTGCCATCTCGGCTCACTGCAACCTCCGCCTCCCAGCTTCAAGCGATTCTTCTGCCTCAGCCTCTTGAGTAACTGGGACTACAGGCATGCACCACCACGCCCAGCTAATTTTTGTATTTTTAGTAGAGACAGGGGTTTCACCGTGTTGGCCAGGATGGTCTTGATCTCTTGACCTCGTGATCCACCCACCTCGGCCTCCCAAAGTTCTGGCATTACAGGTGTGAGCCATTGTGCCTGGCCCAATTTACTGGGTTCTTAAGAGACAGATTCTAACTGGCTCCATCCAGGTAATAGATTGGCTGCCTCAGGAGTCAAGTGATCAGGTGATTATCTCAGTGCAGCCTATAGTCAGGATGGAACAGGATCAAGTGCATAATATCAACATGGCTACATATACAGACTTCTGTGTTTGGAAGGCAGCTGTTAGTGGAGCGTGAACTGCATAAACATGCAAAATGTTGTATATATGGTTATCAGATAATTTTACCACTAGAGGATGCTTAAATACGAGTCTTTCAAAAAACTTTTGGTTTAGTTATTTTTAGTCATGTGGCTAAGTGATAAAAGTAGTGAAAAAAACCTTTAATTAAAAAAAAAGCAGCTAGTCATTTAAATTATTCATTCAACAATAACCAGTGTGAACATTTTATGAATATCATTTCAGATATCTCTGTATAATACATAGAATCAGAATTAAGCTACTGGCCAGAAAGACAGAATTAATTTAAAATAAAAGAATCATAGATGATATTTTAAATTAAAAGTATTAATTTAAATTTTATTTGAATTAATCAAAAGAGAAAACAGTTTAAGTAAAACTGAAGGGATGATTAAACTTTAGATAAATGATTTTTTTCCCCAACAAAACACATAAATTCTTATAAGAATCCTCTGATCTGGAAGAAAGCGAGCTGGAAGAAGAAAGTGCCCATTCGTGTTATGGCACTGAGATGAGCCATGGCCTTTTATTTATTCTCAGGAAACAGCCAACTCTGAGTCTTGAGGGTGCTCAGGCTGACTTTTAGCAGCAGAACATCTAATTCACTGACAAGCCTTGAAGGCTTACTCTGTGCTTAGAAAGAGGTGAATATATATCTATAAAAATAAAATTATATGCCATAGATTAGAAAATTTAAAGAAAAAGATCCCTGTCTTTTCAGAATCACTAGAGAGATTACAGTGATTATACAGAGTCTTGAATTTTACAAATTGTTAGACAACTAAGGGAAAGAACATGGCATAGCCAAACACTTGTAAATATTACCGGAGCCATAGCTGTAATTTATTTCTAATCCAAATCAAGGCACAGAAAGAAAATAAAAAAGAAAACAGGACACATCTGAAGAAGGTTAATTACATGCCTAGAAAAGAGATCATCTGAGAGGCAAACATTCAGGGGAGATGGTGCCCTGACCACAAATGTGAACATCCACATATATTTCTCCAGTAGACTTGACATGAAACTCACATGACTTGATTATGTTAGGTTGTAGGATCATCCAAAAAATTTTCTATGTTGAAATTCCATGCTTTCCCAACAACCAAGTGTTTATAATTTGGTTCCTCATAAGTACTGATATTAACATAATGCCATATTCCAGATATATAGCTAATAATTTAAAACATTTGGTTGGAATTTAATACATTTGTATTACCAGGTTTTTTTAAAAATATCAATGTGAGTTTGTTTAATGTGAGCCAGTTTCACCAGTCACACTCTATTTTTTTGTGTCTAATATCTGAGCATGATCACATAAAATCATTGCCTGTATGAGGGTTATATCTGTGGCAGTCTAGGGATAGCAAAAGAAGTGATGAGTTTCACCTGAAGAGCAAAATTAAGGCTGAATACAGGGTTTAGAGAGTATTTAAGAAAAAAATATATGTTTTGATTAGCCCATAGTTTTTTAAGCTTGAAGCCATATATTTTTATAGGACTGAAATGTACTACAGGTAACTAAAATTTGCCTTGATTATATTGCTGTATTTTCATCTCTGCTTAATTCTTACTTCTCAGGAAGACCTAATGTGACCTTTCTATCTAGGTCAGCTTCTTCCATTATATACTTTCCTAGCACCATGACTATTCTCTGTATCTCACATCATAATCGAAATTTTGCATTGGTTTATCTGAATTTTAAAAAGATATTCTGTCTCCACTGCAAGATCCAAATCAGCCAGGGCCATGCCTGGTTGTGTTTAACTTATTGTTAGATGGCCCTGCTCAATTTCAGATACTTGGTAAATGTTCCCTGAATATTCATTAAGTTTACATATTGCCTTTTTTTAAACATATTAAAAACATGTTATCAGAAATGGTGGCTCACGTCTGTAATCCCAGCATTTTGGGAGGCCAAGGTGGGAGGGTCACTTGAACCCGAAGTTTGTGACCAGCCTGGGAAGCACAGTGAGACTTCACGTCTGCTAAAAATAATTAGCGGAGCACAGTGTTGCCTGCCTATAGTCCCAGCTACTCAAGAGGCTGAAGTGGGAGGATCGCTTGAGTCTGGGAGACCGAGGATACAGTGAGAGCTAGGATCTTCCTACTGTATGCCAGCCAGGGCAACAGAGTAAGACCCTGTCTCAAAAAAAAAAAAAAAGAAAGAAAGAAAGAAAGAAAGAGAAAATGTTATACATGAGTTATATGAGGAAACATTTATTTATATTTTTTGGGAAGTCATACATTTCTTATAGTCTTTCAACAAGAGAAAGTTCGTATTTGTAATTCATTCATATGGATCAATACAGTATAATATATTGACCTACTTATAGTTTATAATTAAAATTTGAATATAGGTTATTTTTTTCCTTGGACAATTCTTTTTTTTTTTTTTTTTGAGACAGAATCTTGCTCTGTCGGCCAGGCTGGAGTGCAGTGGCACGATCTCGACTCACAGTAACCTCTGCCTCCTGGGCTCAACCAATTTTCCTGCCTCAGCCTCCAGAGTAGCTGGGATTACAGGGGTGTGCCACCAGGCCCAGCTAATTTTTTTCGTATTTTTAGTAGAGATGGGGATTCACCATGTTGGCCAGGCTGGTCTTGAACTCCTGACCTCAGGTAATCCACCCGCCTCGGTCTCCCAAAGTGCTGGGATTATAGGCGAGAGCCACCATACCTGGCCCAACAATTCTTAAAATGAGTAGCAACTGAAGGAAAGACAATTTTTTAACTGATGAGGATTTTTTTTTTTTTTTTTTGAGACGGAGTCTCGCACTGTTTCCCGGGCTGGAGTGCAATGGTGTGATCTCAGCTCACTGCAACCTCCACCTCCTGGGTTCAAGTGATTGTCCTGTCTCAGCCTCCCGAGTAGCTGGGATTACAGGTGCCCGCCACCACACCTGGCTAATTTTTTGTATTTTCTGTAGAGACAGGTTTTCACTATGTTGGCCAGGTTGGTCTCGAACTCCTGATCTTGTGATCTGCCTGGTTCGGCGTCCCAAAGTGCTGGGATTACAGGTGTGAGCCACTGTGCCTGGCCTAGGATATTTTAAATAATAAATTAAAAAGATTTATTATTAAAGTACAAAAGCTTTTGAGAGACCTCTTCAATGGATAATAATGTTTTCTCAATTTGTGGTACCTAATATTATGTTTTAAAAATATCTTTATTTTGCTTCCTAGTATGCACTGAGTGATTACATGCTTTACCATTTAAATTTGTAACTTAAACATACATTTGAGAAAAAATTATGTTTGATTTATCTCCTGGCTCAGCTACATAACAATATAAAAATTTGATGCTTTATTGAAATAGGATTTTACAAATCCATTTAGATGTTCATTAGGATTGGGCAGAAAGAATATTAGACACAAGGAAATGAACTCCAACTAATGTAGCCTAGCTATTATTCCTAGAAAATCTCAGGAGTAAGAAGATGATATTGTCAGGCTCTAGAGATGCAACCTGATGATAACAGCTTGCAGGACAGATGGACTGCAAACAGGAATGGGTTAATCACCCCACAATTAATGCAAAGGAAATGAATTTGAAGTGCTGGACATGTTAGGCAATTCAATTTTACATGTAGACATTAACAAGTAAATAGTAAAGGATAATATGAAAATGCTATGAGAGGGAAGATGTGTCAGAAATTTGCAGACTAATTTCTTTCACGTTTGATTTATTTATGATAACTATACTGAATCCTTATATTTATACATCACTTAAAAATTACCCATTTTGCTTTTAGTCTTCATTATTTATTAATGAAAATTTAATTTTAACTTTTCTTAAAATGAACATTTTTACATTGCAGATTTTATATAAAAACTTTTTTCATTGAACCTTTAAAAGTCATAACTTCTAATAACAATTACATTAATTGTTAGCCTTAGAGTAGCTTTTTTATGCTGCTTCAACAGGCATAGAACAATAGTAATGGATTGTTTTGGCATTAATATGTCTTCATTGCCTTATTCAGTTGATTCAATCTCTTTTTTTCCTCTCTTATTATCTTAAATTGTACTGTATATTCATGAGCAATTTTCTTCATTTGTGGAAATTAATTGCTAATGTGAGGGAAAGCATTACAGGCTCTGGAGCCTCTGCCACTAATTGGGAGATTATGCAGAAGAAATAAGATTGGAAGTTACTTGAACGTGTAGGAAGTGTTGTGTCCCACAGGAACTGAGAACAACCACTTTAACAAAATAAAAGGACTTACGTATACCTCTATTAGACATCTTCATCACATTCTACAGAACATGGATACTTACAGGCTAAACAGATTATGAGAAATTTTAAAAGATTCAGTTGGTAGAAGGTAAGAGGAAAACTAGGACCATGTTGTAGCACAAAGAATGTTTTCAAAAATATGAGACTAAAAATGTCCTTTTGGGTTAGCAATAAAGAGTTCTTCAGTGGTTTTTCTAAGGGCAGTTTAAGTGTAATGGGGTGGTGGGGGGCAGGGGTGGGATGGAGGGGTGGAAGTCAGAAGTAAGATAAACAGTTTTCCTCAGCATTTGTTCATTCAACAAATATTTAGTACCCACAGAGGAGTGTGAGACTGACTGGGCAACATAGTGAGAACTCGTCTCCACAAAATTTTTTTAAAAAATTAGCCGGGTGTGGTGGCCTGTGCCTGTAGTCCCAGCTACTTAGAAGGCTGAGGCCAGAGGATAGCTTGAGCCCAGGAGTTCCAGGCTGCAGCGAGCTATGATCTCGCCACTGCACTTCAGCCTGGGCGACAGAGCAAGAGCCTGGGAGAATGTGTTTAAATGGTGACGGGAAAGAATGAATAAAAGAAGGAAAGCTTAAAATACATTAAGAGAAAATATATTGATGATGATGGAAGGGAGATGAAATTGGTCAGGGTCCAAAGCCCATGTGGAGGGCTTCACATAAAAAGGAGGAATAGTATTTCTCAGCCGGATGCAGCCAGAGATGGAAGGAGGATAGCATCTAAACCTTCCCTATAGTTTTCCTCAAATGGACAGCTCCTGAGTTCATGCACTTGTCACCCCGGCTTCTGCGTGGGATATAACTACAGGGATGGGGAGGGGAAACAGGAGATGGGCTAATACTGAATGCTTCCTGTTGATTAAAAAGGCACTTCAAACATAGCTGGCTGGGCACAGTGGCTCATGTCTGTAATCCCAGCACTTTGGGAGGCCAAGGTGGGCGGATCACAAGGTCAGGAGTTCGAGACCAGCCTGGCCAAAATGGGAAACCCCGTCTCTACTAAACAAATACAAAAATTAGCCAGGCATGGTGGCCTGCGCCTGTAATCCCAGCTACTAGGGAGGCTGAGGCAGAAGAATTGCTTGAACCCGGGAGGTGGGGGTTGCAGTTAGCCGAGATTGCGCCATTGCACTCCAGCCTGGTGACAGAGCGAGATTCCGTCTCAAAAAAAAAAAAAAAGTTAGCTATATCCTCCTGCAAATATGTATATAAAGAAGATATTTTAGTTCAAATTAGCCTTGGAAATATTCATGTAATTCTTTATTACATTTAGTTTCACACTAGGATGATTTCACTTAAATGATTGAAGGCATATATCTGGAATTAGCAGAGAATTCATGTTTAACAATTTATCATTATAAATGATAAATTATAATATTTATCAATTATAAGTTATAATAAATATTAAATAAACTATAATAAACCTATAAAATAAATTATAATAAATATTAATTATACCACAAAATCATGGCCCTATAAAACAATGACAAGGTTAATCAAATCTGTCTGTAAATAGCAAGACTCAATGGTGGCATTATGCCAATGCCCGAAATTACTATAAAAACTCCCAAATAACATTGTTATCCTTGTAAATGCTTCCTTGTAAAGACTGCAGTAGGTGCCTATTTCTTGGAGGAAGAGAACTGGACATTAAAAGAAAGGCTCTGCCTACAGGAGCTTCGAATCTACCAAAGGGAAGCTCAAATCCCGCCCAGCGGACCCGCCCGCTTCCCCTAAGCTTGCCTCCCGCCACGAAAGCTGGAAAGTCACTGGGGGCGGAGCTAAGGGGAGCTGCGAGAATTCCGGGGGATGTGACCGGACTGGGCGGGGCCTGTACCTTGGCCCTGCGCTCCCGTTGACGTCGCATCCTGTCAGTATTTCGCCAAACCTCCAGGCGCCATCAGTGTGTGAACCGTTACGCAGCTGGTCCACCGCGGGCGGAGAACAAGCGACTATGCCCAGGGATCCTGCACGCATGCGTGGAGCTGAACCGTCAGCGTGCGTGTGACGTCACCTGCGCGCCCGCCTAAACTCTTCCTAGGGTTCTTTCTAGAGTACGGGTGAGTGAAATTTGTAAGGTTTGGTGTGTTCATTTGAGTGGGTGCCAGACGTAACGGGCCCGGGATTGAATTAGTTTAGATCAAAATTTGATGTAATTATCGCAGAGAAACGCTTTCTTACGAGTGTTTATCTCGAGCCTGCTGTGTTCAGCATCTTTCTTGGTGTTTTGGGAGAAGCAGACAGGAGTTAAGTCCAAGTCCCCGCCCTCACAGAGCTCAGGTGGCTTGGGGGAAGGTTGGTGCGCAAACATTAAAATTAGATATCGACACTAGTGAGTGTCCCCGTCAAGAGGTCTGTGAAATAAGGTTGAGCCTACGATGCAGAAGTTAATCTCAGTTCAGTAATTTTTGTTTCTTCATTTATTTAGCGGGTGAAGGGAGGGGGCCACAGAAACATGTTGGAGTACGATGCTTTTGGTGCACAGTTTGTCTATACAATATTACAGCTCCCGTGGGGGTTAAAAAAAAACACGATTTTTCAGCCTCCCTCTTCCCCAATAAATTTTACATTTTAAAGCACAATGTTAAAAGCGTTTGTTAGTGACGTTACAGATCTTAAAACTGGCTTTTTGGAGGTACTTTACGCAGCTAAGTAGAAAATGGTTAAGTTTCAGTTCCTTGGAAGAATGTTTTGTATTGATCTTTGCAATAAAATTGTAAAATAATCCATCCTCCTGTCACCCCCCAACCCCGAACCGTGTTAACTATAATAAGGAAAAGCATAACTAAGTCAAAGAGACTTAAAGCAAATTATTGACTTCATTTTGGGTAAAACACTGGTTTTGTATTTTCAGCAGCAAGTTGTCAGATTCCCTAGTTGAATTTGCTTTGGACATCAGTGTGAAGCAGAACTGATATGCCACTTGAATTAATAAAGGAAGTCAATGGGGTGCCTGAAGTTCAGCCGCTGAGTAAATTACATAAAGTAGATTTCGGATCCCTACAGCCAGGTTACAATTATAGCAAGAAATATATTCAGGTAAGAATTTCTATAACTCAGAATGCTTTTTCCTACTAAAAGGAATGCAGTTTTTAAGTGTTGAGTTTATTTATGAGAACTGGTTTAGGTATGGTTTTTATCTTTGTCATAACATTTGAGATTGAATATTTCAATAAGTTATTCTTATTCAGTACTTATTTAGCGAACAATTATCAAATTCGTGTGTGAAACATTGGAGTAAGTTTCTGAGGTACAAAGATGAATAAATATAGTCCCGGAACTAAAGATAATCACATTTCTGTGGGGTCTGACAGATCAATCACCTGATCTCCAATTAAAATTAATAGGTGTGATATTAGCATTGTGATGTGTGAACATGAGAGAGCTTTTGGTTCTGACAGATCACGAAAGTTGAGCTGGAACTTACGGGATAACAGACTGTGCTGTACCTTCCTTTGAGGTAAAAAGCAGTCCTTATGTGCATGTTGAGGAATTTGGATATTACTCTAAAAGCTATGGGAAGTCTTTAGTAGGTTTTAGCAGGAGAAAGACATGATTTACTTTGAGTTCAAAAAACTTTGCTCCTAGGTAGAGAATATATTGGCGAATGCAAGATTAGAGGAAAGATGTTTAGTTAAGAGGCAATTACAGTAATTTAGGTGAGAGTTGATGATGATCTGGGCCAGTGGCAGAGGGGATGATGGGAAGGATATTGAAAAAAGATAGTAATAATAATAACTAAAGTTAACATTCATTGCATTTTTTTCCATGCGTTAGGTAGTTTTTACGTATATTATTTAATCATCACAAAGACCTATGACATAGGTACTGTTATTAAAGACACTGTGTTTCAGAAAGGTTAAGCAATTTGCCTGAGATCATATTGATGATATGAAGTAGAGCAGGAATTTGAATATAGATGATTTCCTTTAGACCTGACAGGATAAAGAAGCAGAATCAGTAGGTCTTAGAGAACAATTAGACTAGAGTGGCAAAGAGAAATTCAGGAAACTTCTGTTTCTAATTCCTAGCCAACAAGGAGAAGAAAATAGGGGGTACATACTTAGGGAGAAACATGATAAGTTCAATTTTGGTCATATTTGAAAGGTCTTTAGAGGTATATAAATAGTAGTGTGCAGTAGGCAAGTGGATTGGGGAGTTTGAAGCCCAAAGGGACTCTCATTTAGATGGGTTTGAGCCAAAGCATAGAAGAGAAGAGAACCATGTTGAAGGAGTCAGTGAAAGAAAGTAGTATGAATAAGTAGCAGAGATGGTCTAGAGAAGGAGGAAGAAACTCAGGAGTCTTTGATACGTAAGAATGCAAGTTTCAATAACACTTGTATAGATTGTTGTCTAGTAGGCACTCTCCTAAATGCTTTGTATATGTAATCTCTTTGTATATGTTCTCTCCTAAGAACTCTAAGTATTATTCTCATTTTATAGCTGGAAAACAAACACAGGTTAAGTGATTTATTCAAGGTCTAATAGCCAGTAAGTGGCTGAGCAGTGATTTGCATTCCCATTGTCTTTGCTACTAAACAGAGCATTATGTTGCTATTAGATGCTCAAAGGTCTGAAAAGTATCTGTTCATTCTAATAACCAAGAAATTATTGATCACTTGGAAAGATTAGTTTTGCTTAAACACTAAGAGCAAATTCATTTTTCAGTAGTTTGAGGATTGAATGTCAGGTGAAAAAATGAAAGCAGAAAATGTCTTTCAAGAAATGAGTTGTGATACTTTTGATAATTTAAACAAAATTTTTAAAATTTATTTTGTAAATAGGTGTGGGAAACAAGTGCAGTTTTGCTATGTTGATATATAGCACTGTGGTAAAGTAAGGGCCTTCAGTGCATCTGTCACTGGAGCAATGCAGCTTGTACCCACCAAGCAACCTCCCATCATCCACTCCACTCCTAATCCCCTACCCCTCCAAGTTTCCATTGTCCATCTCTGTACACTCTGCTTCTGTGTGTACACATTATTTAGTTCACATTTTTGAGTGAGAACATGCAGTATTTCTCTTTCTGTGTCTCAGTTGTTTCATTTAAGATAATGGTCTCCATTTCTATCCATGTTGCTGCAAAAGACATAATTTCATTCTTTTTAATGTCTAAATAGTATTGTGTACATATGTGACTTTTTAAATCCAGTCCTCCATCGATGTACACTTTGGTTGATTGCATATCTTTGTGATTTTGAATACTGCTGTGGTATACATATGAGTGCAGGTCTCTTTTTTATTTAATGATTTCTTTTCCTTTGGGTACATACCCAGTAGTGGGATTGCTGGGTCAAATGGTAGTTCTATTTTTAGTTATTCGAAAACTCATTATACTGTTTTCCATAGAGGTTGTACTAATGTACATTCTCACCGACAGTGTATAACAATTCCTTTTTCTTTGCACCCCAATGTCTGTTTTTTCTTTGTCTTTTTAATACCCATTCTGATTGGTGTAAGGTGATATTTCATTGTGGTTTTAATCTGCATTTTACTGATGATTAGTTATATTGAACATTTTATCATGTGCTTGTTGGCTATTTGTTTATCTTCTTCTGAAAAATGTTCATGTCCTTAGCCCACTTTTTAATGGGCTTATTTGGGGGTTTTTTGGTTGAGTCCCTTGTAAATTCTGGATATTAGTCCTCTGTTGAATGTATAGTTTGCAAATATTTTCTCTCATTCCTGAGATTGTTCATTCTGTTATTTCTTTTGTAGCACAGAAGCTTTTTAGCTTAATTAAGTTTCATTTGTCTATTTGTGTTTTTATTGCCTGTGCTTTTGAGGTCTTAGTCATGAATTGTTTGCCTAAACCAATATCTAGAAGAGTTTTTCCTAGGTTTTCTTCTATATTTTTATAGTTTTGGGTCTTACATTCAAATCTTTAATCCGTCTTAAGTTTATTTTCGTGTATGGTGACATATACGTTCCAGTTTCACTCTTCTGCATGTGGCAATCCCGTTTTCCCAGCACCATTAATTGAAAAGTGTGTCTTCTCCCCAGTGTAGTGTTCTTGCCATCTTTGTCATAGATCAGTTGGCTGTAAGTATTTGACTTTATTTCTGGTTTCTCTATTTTGTTCCATTTATCTGTGTGTCTATTTTTATACTAGTACCATGCTATTTTGGTTGCTGTAGCCTTGTAATACATTTTGAAGTGAGGCAACGTGTACCTCCAGCATTGTTCTTTTTGATTAGGATTGCTTTGGCAATTTGGGTTCTTTTTTGGTTCCATATGAACTTTAGAATTGTTTTTTTCTAATTCTGTGAAGAATGACATCAGTAATTTGATAAGGATTGCATTGAATCTGTAGCTTTGGGAAGTATGTTCATTTTAATAATATTAATTCTTCTGATCCACGAGCATGGGATGTTTTTCCATTTTTTTATGTTGTTTACAATTTATTTCATCCGTCCTTTGTAGTTTTCCTTGCAGAGATCTTTCACCTTGTTAGTTAAATATATTCCTAGGCATTTTATTTTATTTTTGTAGCTGTTGTAAATGGGATTGCATTCTTGATTTGGTACTCAGCTAGATTTTTATTGATGTATAGAAACATTACTGATTTTTGTACATTGATTTTGTATCCTGAAGCTTTACTTAATTTACCAACCTAAGAGATTTTTGGTGGAGTCTTGAGGGCTTTCTGTATACAAGATCATATCATTAGCCAACTATGATAATTTGCTACTTCTTTCCCAATTTGGATGCCTTTTGTTTTTTTCCCTTGCCTCATTGTTCTGGCTAGGACTTGCAGTACTATATTGAGTAAGAGTGGTGAAAGTGGGTATCCTTATCTTGTTCCAATTCTTAGAGGGAATCTTTTCAACTTTTCCCCAATTCAGTATTATGTTGGCTGTGGATTTGTCATACATGACCTTTATTATGTTGAGGGATGTTCCTTCTCTATCTAGTTTGTTGAGGATTTTTGTCATGAATGGAAGATGAATTTTATCAAATGCTTTTTCTTCATCTGTTGGGATGATCATCTGGTTTTTGTCCTTAATTCTGTTTATGTGATGTATAACACTTACTGATTTGCGTATGTTGAACTATTCTTGCGTCCCTGAGATAAATCTCACTTGATCATGGTGTATGATCTTTTTGACATGCTGTTGGATTCAATTTGCTAGTATTTTGTTAATAATTTTGCATCGATGTCATCAGAGATACTAGTCTGTAGTTTTTGTTTTTGTGTTCTTTGTCTGGTTTTGATATCAGGGTGATACCTTGTAGAATGAGTTAGGGAGAATTCCCTCCTCAGTAGTTTTGGAATAGTTTCAGGTGGATTGGTGTTAGTTCTTTTTGTGTTTTGTACATCTAGGCTGTGAATCCATCTGGTCCTGGACTTTCTTTTATTGGGATTTTTTTATTACTGATACAGTCTTGCTGTCATCATTGATCTGTTCAGGAATTCTCTTTCTTCCTGGGTCAGTCTTGGGAGGCTGTATGTTTCCAGCAATTTATCCATTTTCTCTTGGTTTTCTAGTTTATGGGCATATAGTTATACATAGTAGTCTCTAATTACCTT
The DNA here is from genome assembly GCF_000001405.40 of Homo sapiens. NCBI lineage: Eukaryota > Metazoa > Chordata > Mammalia > Primates > Hominidae > Homo > Homo sapiens. The sequence continues at coordinate 124,924,322 of NC_000007.14, read as the reverse complement.
TAGAATTTCTGTGGTATCAGTTGTAATGTCTCTTTTTTCCTCTCTGATTTTATTTGGATCTTTTCTCTCCTTTTCTTGGTTAGTCTAGCTGGTAGTTCATCAATTTTGTTTCTCTCTTTAAATAACCAACTTTTTTTTCATTGATCCTTTGGGTTTTTTTTTTTTTGGATTTTTGTTCATTTAGTTCTGCTCTGATCTTTGTTATTTCTTTGCTTCTGCTAACTCTGACTTTCGTTTGTTCTTGTTTTTCTGGTTTCATTGAGGTGTGATGCTAGTGTGTTAATTTGTGATCTTTCTACTTTTTTTCACTACTGAGTCCCGCGTTGTTTGCTTATCTGGGAAATTTTTTATATCTCTTTTATTTATTAAGCTTATTCTGGCAGGATATAAAATTTTGGCTTACAGTTTTTTTGTTTGTTTGTTTGTTTGTTTGAGCACTTGGAAAATGTTATTCTTTCTCTTCTGGCCTGTAAGATTTCTGCTGAAAAGTCCAGTTAGTTTTATAATGTTTTCTTTATAGGTGACTAGATAGATGCTTTTCTCTTGGTAATTTTAAGATTTTTTTTTTTTTAACTTTGACTTTACACATTCTGAATATAATGTGTATGATGAAGTCCTTTTTGCAGTGTATTTTCCTGGGGATAGCTGGGCCTCCTGTATCTGGATGTCTGATGCTCTTGCTAGACTTAGGAAGTTTTCATTGATTATTTCCTTAAATAGGTTTTTTTAACTTTCTAATCTCTCTTCCCCCTTAGGAATACTGATAATTCATATGTTTGTTTGCTTTATGTAGTCCTGGACATCTCAAATGGCTTTGCTCATTCCTTTTTATGCTTTTTCCTATTTTTGCCTGACCGCATTATTTCAAAATTTCGTTCTGTCTTCAGGTTCTGAGATTCTTTCTTTTGCTTGATCTAATCTGTTATTGAATCTTTTGAATATATTTTGTATTTTCTTCAATTTTTTAATTCATGGTTTCCGTTTTCTTTTCTTTTTTTAAAGATGTCTGTCTCATTGGTAAATCTCTCATTCATAAACAGAATTCATTTTCTGATTTCTTTGTATTGGTTTTCAGATTTCTCTTGAATCTCATTAAACTTCTTTAAAATCACTATTTTGAATTCTTTATCTGGCATTTCGAGGAATTTTTTTTAATTGATATATATTGCTAGATAATTGTTGTGGTCTTTTGGTGATATCATATTTCCCTGCTTTTTCATGTTTCCTGTGCCCTTCCTTTGATATCTGTGCATCTAGTGTAGCAATTGCTTGTTCTATTTTTTTTGAAATTGCATTTGTAGCAAAGAAATGTTTTCTGAAGATGTATGTATGTTGTTGGTTAAGATACTTTGGCTTTGATTTTGGGTGCCTGTGGTAGTGTGGCCCTTATATTGAGTGTATGAACATTTCCTTTCTTTTTCAACTTACTTATGGTTTGGTATTTTAAGTATCTGTTAGCATATAACGGGATCATGCTTTTTTGATCCAGTCTGACAGTCTCACTATTTAATCAGCATAGTCAATTTATGTAAAATAATTATTGATATGGTTTTGTTTGTCTGTCAAACAATTTGAGTTCCCTTTGTTTTGCCTGTTTTTTGTTCTCCTTCCTGAGTTCTTTTGGGTTAAATATTTTTTATTCTATTTTATTTTCACCATTGGCTTTGAGCAACACCCGTTTTGTTCCTTTAGTGGTTATGCTAGTACTAACAATATACATCCTTACTAAGGTATACTTACAGCTACTATTGTACCACTCCCCATGTTACAGTTGTTATTTCTCATGTCCTGCTTTTTCTTCCCCCTTGACAAATATAAGAATCTTATAATAGTGAAATTCCATTTACTCACTCCCCTGTTCATTGAACTGTTATGATCTTTTACATGTACATGTATTATAAACTCTATGTTATATTACTGCTTTTGTTTAAACAATGAGTCATCTTTTAAGGAAATTAAAAGAAGGAAAAAGTATAGTCTTTATATTTACTGACATATTTACCATTTCTGGTGTTCTTCATTTTTACCTGTAGATCCATTTTTATCTGGGCATTATTTCCCTTCATTGTGAAAAATATCTACCATTTCATATATTTCAGCTGGGGATAACTTCTCTTAGCTTTCATTCATTTGAAAATGCCTTTATTTCATGTTTGTTTTCAAGGATATATTTATTGGATATAGAATTCTGTGTTGACTTTTTTTTTCTTTTAGGACTATAGAGATGCCGGTCCACTGCTTTCTGGATTCTGTTGTTTCGTATGTGATTTGCATTTTTTTTCCTGCCACCTTTCTGTTTTATCTTTTAGTTTCAGCAGTTGGACTGGCATGTGCTTAAGTAAGCTTTTTCTTTGAATTTCTCCTCTGTGGGTAACTGAGCTTCTTGGATTCATTCAGTATTTTTCATCAAATTTGGGAAATTATTGTATAATATTTCTTGAAATATTTTTTTTTCCTGCCACATTATTACCCTTTTCTCTTTTTTGGGATGCCAATTACGTGTGTATGTTCATGTATTAGGCTATTTGATACTGTAACACGGATCTCTGAGATTCTGTTCCTTTCTCCTTTATTTTATTGTGTTTTATTTGTGTGGCAGAGAGGATTTTCAGTTGAGTAATTTCTGTTGCTCTCTCTTTGAGTTCACTGAACCTTTTGTCTGCCATATCCAATATTCTGGATGCATTTTTAGTGAGTTTTTAAATTTTAGTTGAGGGGGTGAGGGACAAAATGCATCTGATAATAGAGAGAAATCTACATTTCAGTTTTGCTTGTCTATATTCTTCGTATAGACGTTTGTTACACATTTTACTCACCTATTTATTTCTTTTTAAGTTTTATTTCTATTTATTTTCCTGGAATTTTCTTTCTTATTAAATAAGGTTTTATGAATTACAGCTGGTCTTTTCTACTTAATTGCATTTAAATGATTATCAGATGCTTGTTAGCATTCTCAACTTATTTTACATTTGGTCAGTTAGTGTGATATTTCTTGTATACTTGTATTTATTAATAAAGTGCTATGATTTGATTTCTTTTTGACATATCATTAATACTGATTATTTCCAAGCTGCATCTAGTTTTGACATACTTTTATTGTTTTGTGTGCTTGATATAGAAATGTTAAATACTATGACAGTTTGCTAAGTTCTTATTTTATTTTTGTTCTTACTTATATTAGTGAAATATTTTTTTAAGTTTCAACATTTTCTTATTTGTTTGCTTAAGAGATGGATCTTGCTCTGTCACCCAGGCTAGAGTGCTGGGGTATGATTGTAGCTCATTGTAACCTCAAACTCCTGGGCTCAAGGAATCCTTCTGCCTCAGCCTCCCAAGTAGCTGGGATTATAGGCACATGCCACCACGCCCAGCTAATTAAAAAAATTTTTTTTTTATAGTGGCAGGATCTTTCTGTGTTGCCCAGGCTGGTCTCAAACTCCCAGCCTCAAGCAATCCTCCCACCTTGACCTCTCAAAGTGCTGGGATTACAGGCATGAGCATTGCCCCTGTCCAATTTTAACATTTTTATTAATGAATTCTTTTAGCTATAAGTGAACACATTAGTATCTACTAGGGTTAAAACTAGGAAATAGCTTTTATGTATTTTTCATGGTTAACAGATTGTTATGTAGAATGCTCACTTTTTTAAAAAAAAAGATTGAAGTATTTGTGTTCTTTTACATATCTGAATAATTTTTCAGCTCTCTATTGTGTACTTACCCTTTTCTAACCTGCAGATATCTATGTTTTTTGAATTTTATTAAATGGATTTTAGTGCTACATTCTGTTTTTTGCATACACTTCTGTGAGTTTTGACGAATACGTGCAAATGTGTATGTAACCACAATCACAATCAATTCGTTCATCACCTTCCAAAATTTTATAGTTAGCTGTTTTGCCAACTCTAACCACTCATGACTGCTTACCAATTTCCTGACACTGTTTTTTTGTTTTTCAAGAATGTCATATAAATGGCATTATACAGCATGTAGCCTTTTGCATCTGGCTTCTTTCACTTACTATGATACGTATAACATTCTTTCAGGTTGTTTTTTTCATTAGTATTTCTTTCTTTTGGTGATTAGAATTTTGTTGCAGCCTATTTATCCATTGCCCAGTGTAGGAATATTTGGATTCTTTCCAGTTTTTGTGATGGTGAATAATGCAACTGTAAATATATATGTACAGATTTTTATCTGAACATAGGTTTTTATTTCATTTGAGTAAAGGTCAAATGTTCAAATAGTTCCTAAGCAACAGTATGTGATATAGCTCATAGGTTGGCATGCTACACTTCTCTAGATTCAGCTGTTAAGGAGGCAAGGCACCCAAATAGATTTAGGTAGTATATTACTTATTGGCACAGCAGGGAACATGAACTTTATGTTTGCACTGGTTCTTCTTTCCTCCCCAAGTCCCATGGGGGCAGGGACAGGTACATAACGTGCACACGGAGTTTGTAGCACATCTGAGGGGCACTGAGCTTAGAAAATCCCCAGTTTTTAAAGAGGGTATATTAGTTTGTCAGGTCAGCCATAACAAAGTACCACAGATTGGGTGGCTTAAACATTTATTTTCTCATAGTTCTGAAGGCTAGAAGATCAGTATCAAAGTGGCTGCAGGGTTGGTTTCTTCTGAGGTCTCTCTCCTTGGCTTGCAGATGCTCACCTTCTCGCTGTGTCTTCACCTGGCATTTTCTCTGTACGTGCCTGAGACTCTGTTGTGTTTCTGTGTGTCCCATTTTCTTTTGGGGATACCAGTCAGACTGGTGGCACAAAAGAGGCACATTCTAATGGCCTCTTTTTAACCAAACTACCTATTTAATGGCCCTGTCTCCAAATACAGTCAAATTCAGAGTTGTTGAGGGTTAGAGCTTCAACCTGTAATTTGGGAGAACACAATTAAGTCCATAACAGGATGTGTTACATTTTTTATATCTATACTAATTCATTTTTGTCCTAAAAGCAAACAGGATTTCTAGAATACAGGCAGACTCTTATTACAGTTATGCACCATATACAACATCTCAGTCAACACTGCACTGCATATATATGATGGTGGTCCATCCCATAACATCATAGTATTGTGTTTTTACTCTACCTTTTCTAGGTTTTTATATGTTTAGATACATACATACTTACCATTGTCTTATAATTGCCTACAGTATTCAATACCGTATATGTTGTACAGGTTTATAGCTTAAAAGCAATAAGCTATATTGTATAGCCTCGGTGTATAGTAGGCTGTACAATCTAAGTTGGTTTAGGCATACTCTGATGTTCACACAAAGACGAAATTGCCTGACAACACATTTTTCAGAATGTATCCCTGTTGTTAAGCACCACATAATTATATTATTCTCAGCAATAACTCCCTGCCCATCCTCCCCATTCAGAGTGATGCAGTGAGGGCCAGATGTCTTCCTGCTGTGTGAAGGGGATTTCTTGTACTCTCAGAGAGGAAGGCTGAAATGATGCATCTAGGAGTTTATATAGGGCAGCTATTCAGCTTTACCCCTCCCGAGAGAGGGAGAGAAACCTCATTTCCTTAATGTAAATACGTCATTTGGAATTTAAGGGAATAGCTATAGATTTCATCTGTTGAATTGTAAACATGTAATTCTGGGACATCAGTCTCTCTGGAAGTCTCTCAGTGTCCTTTAATTTTCAAAGCTTGTCTTTTAACTCAGGTTCCAGTTTTCTTTGCTCACTTCAACAAGGGCAGGGACAAATTTCCTACCACCTTTCTAATGGAATAACTTCCATTGTAGGTAAAACTGTTGACATAATGTATAGCATGATCACCCAAAAAGGTCGTTTACTGAAGACTTGAATGTTTCTTATGTTTCTTATTACTACTCCTAGGTGCAAGTCACACTGTTTATTTGGTTAGTTTCTGCCTTTCACACAAGAAACGCAGTCCCAGTGGCACACATGCTACCCCTGAAAACAAACAGTTTATAATTGTTGGTCCCCCCTCTAGGAAGTGTGTATTAATAGATAGGCAGGCAGCATGGGTTGACAGTGCCTCTTGTGTTATTAGTTAGCTAGTAGTCTCCTAAGGCCCCTAGTTTAGTCCCGGTAATTTAGTTTGGTCTGGTTTTCAGAGAGACTGCCTCAGGGCAGTTTGTTAAATTTGTCTTAATTTACTAATCCATTTGTCCTAGTTATGGATGGCATTTGGAAGTAATCAGCATCCAAGCTGCAGGAGCTGGGCCATGCCCTGCTGGCTCATGGTTAGAGCAGTTGGGTGAGACATGGTAGGCAGGCTTAGCAGTTGATTTACTTTCAAATTTCCCAGTAGTTTCTGAGAGTAGCACCAGAATATTTTTCCTTGGGAAAGGAGGTTCCTGGAGTTCTGAAAGACAAAGATGATTAATGCCTCCCCTCCCCTACACCTCCTGGGACCTAAGGGATTCCCTTTCCAAGTTCTAGAGTTTTCTTCTCCAGGTGCTAGGGCCCTTTCGCAGGTGCTAGGAGTGTCTTCCTACATGCTTAGGTGCTTTTTGCTCTCTTTTCATTGTTCTAAAACCAGTGTGGCCCATTCCAATAACTATAACTTTATATTTTTTCTGATTATCCCCTCTACTCTGAGACTTTTCTTCTAGTTGGATCACATACAAGTGAAGCAAAAGCACCTGCTTTGAGTTTAATTTGATTAATGTCTTTTAATCTAATTGATTGTGGTTCTCTTGATTGCTTTGCGTTTTTTCTTGCCTCTTTTGTATGCCTCATATGTTGTTATTGTTCAAAGCTGTACGTCTTGTGGAGGACAGTGGAGACTGGGGTAGTTTTTATTTCTGGGCATGTGTAGGTCTTTCTTTGTGCTAGGCCTTTAGTTTGGTGCATTGAATTAATCTAGTCGGGTTTAGAGTTAGGTTTGGGATTTGTTGTTGTTTTTGGTGCTTCAATGCACTAGAGGCTTCATATTCCTCAGAGTTACTTTGTATGTAGGATCGGAGATGGTTGACGAGAGGATTTTTCTCTTGTCTTCCCCATCCTTAGTTTTAGGTCTTTCCTTTGTGCTTTGCCTCAAATAAGATCTCCTCCCTGCTCAAGAGCTTCTCTTCCAGTAGTAGACCATGTTACTTTTTACTAGGTACTGGTTAGCCTTTAATAGGTAGATGTTCTCTGTTCTGATGAAGCCTGTCTTGGTAGCAGTAGGTCCTGGGTCTTGTGAGTGGGGCCTTCTCAATGATCCTGCTTTGCCTCTAGCTGTATAGGTCTGGGCCTTACACCTATGTACCCGTTCCTGCCCATCCCTAACAGGGATAGAAGGTGTTTTTTTCTGTTCTTGCCTTCCAGCTGCAGTGGGTTTTCACCAATGGTCTTGGATTGACATGTTTTTTTTTGCCCTTCTCCCAGCATTTTAAGTCCTTTGTTCTGAAAGAAAGATAGAGGAGAAAGAGCCAAGCAGAGTTTCCAGCCTTTCGTGCAGTAACTGCTGCTGCCATTGCCCTACTTCTGTCCTGAACCTTGTCAGGTCTGTAGAGAAGCGCATGTAAATGAATGAATTCCCCTGTGTTTGCAGCTTGGGGGCTCCATGTGTTTTCATTGCACCATACTTGGCCTCTAGCAATTCATTAAAGTGTTAGATGAATTTTTCTTACAGATGTCTGGGAACATTTGTCATTTACCTTAGGTAAGCAAGTTGCTATAAAAATTTTATTTGTATCTTGGTGTGATTATAAACTTTGGCTCTTCTTTGTAACTATTTTTTTCTCATTTCAGGGAAATCTTTCACTTTTCTTTAACTTATCATAGAAATAAAACAATTGTTTTATTCTCATTAGAAGTAATGAGAATTACTTGCTTTCCTCAGATTTCTGCTTAGTTGGTTGCCCTGTGACCTCAACTCTCTGATGGGTCAAGAAAGGTTCTGAGATTTACAGATTAACTTTTTATTGTTGACACTTTTTTCAGCTTTCTATCTTTTAAGTGTAACTACTTTTACTTTTGACTATGAATCATGCTTTGTTGATAACCATATTTTTATTTATGTTCCTATAAGTAAAATTGATGTATAAGTAAAATTGAGTCCTATTTTATAAGTAAAATTGATCTATTTTTTATTAGCTATATCAAAGTCTGGAATATTAGCCTGGGAGGCTAATAGGATCTATTTTTAAATTTTATTTACAAAAACCATCCAGATTAAAAACTTTATTTTATCTGATAATCTAAGTAACTTTTTTTAAACTGACAGAGCTGGTTAGTTACAGAAACTGAACAAAGACTAAACTGTACTTGTGTCTTAATCTGTTGATTTGTCCACACTATATGAGATTTCCATTTTGCATTTCTAAATCTTTATTAAGTTTTCATTTCTTTCTAGGAGCAAACATCATTTTATTGTTTTGTAGAGAACAATATTACAGATTAAAACAAAGCTAGGGAAAGTTGATCTAGTTATCTGCAAAATAAGGAACTGATAGTACTTAACTAATAGGATTACTTAGGAAATTATATTATAAACCTTGAAGTATTTGTAGATCTGATTTTTCTCTAGAAAAACAAATTCAACAGTTTCTTGTCTTAAAATAGTTACTTGAACACAGTACTCTGACTTCTTGAAAGAAAACTGTTGCTATAGAAAATTCTAATTTTTATTTCTATCTTGGTTTTATTATAAACTCCTTTGACTCCTCTTTGTAACTATTTTTTTTTCTCATTTCAGGGAAAACTTTCACTTATCTCTTCTTTAACTTATCGTGGAAATAAAACAGCTGTTTTGCAGATTGGACTACAAGGTATATAGTATAAGCAAACTATTTCTACTTATCTTTTTCCCTGTAATATATAAATATGTGACTTCATATATATATGTGTGTGTATTCTACTTCATAGCCCTTTACTCTCATATCTAGACCATTGCAGTAGCTAACTGCTTCTAGTTTCACTTATGTGACTTAAACATCTTAGCAGCTTAACTGTCTTAAAACTTGGCTTTTAACATGTTACATAGATGTACTTGTTACATAGCTGTATTTGTTACCTAGGTGTTGTTCTTACACAGGGAGAATTCTTTCTCCATATAGCCCTCAAGTAATCATGGTAAGCTAGGAAGGGCTACTTTGTAACACTTAGGGACAAAAGTAGATCTCATCTGAAGCCTGTGGTTGGTTAGAACAGTCTGGAGCAGCAAATGGGAAACAAACTACAAAATTCTACAACTACTGACTACTAAGTATATATCAGACACTGTTCTAGGTACTGGGGTTATAAGCTGTGAACAAAACTTAGTTCTTGTCTTATTGAATTTACATTTTAGGGGAATGAGGAAATGCAGTGAATAATTACATAAAGTAATATGAGGTAGAAATGTGGTCTGAAGAAAAAGCAAGTTAAGGTGGTAGAGCATAGGGGAGTTATGAGAAATAAATTAATTTTCTGAATAAATTAAATATAAATACATTTATTAAGTAACAGATACTTGTAGAAAATTGAGTTGCAATTGTTTCTCTGTATATGCATGAGATTAGTTCCAGGAGCCCCCTATGGATATAAAAATCTGTGGATGCTCAAGTCTTATATAAAATGGCAAAATATTTGCATATAACCCATGTGTATTCTCCCTACCATTGACATTAAGTCATCTCTAGATTATTTATAATGCCTAATGCAATGTCCATGCTATCTAAATAGCTAGACTATGTATTTTTAAATTTGTATTATTATTTATTGTTGTAGTATAATTTTTTAAAAAACATTTTTTCTGAATATTTTTCAGTCTGAATTGGTTGAATTTGCAGATGCAAAACTTGCAGATACAGGGCTAACTATATGTCAGAAGAAGGGCTTTTATTCTTTTTTCTTTTTTTGGTACTTTCTGTGGTTAGTGCCTTGTACATAGCAGAAACTTGTGTAGAAAGACTTGATATGTTAAGCTGTCAATACTACCTAAAATGAGCTGCAGATTCAAGACAGTCCCCATCAGAATTATAAAACTTTGCTGCAGAAATGTAAAGACCAATCCCCAAATTTGTATGGAATTTCAAGGGGCTTCAAATTGCGAAAACAACCTTAAAAAAGAACAACAAAGTCTGAGTACTCAGGCTTCCCAGTTTCAAAACTTATCACAGAGCTACAGTAATCAAAACAGTGGTACTGGCATAAGGATAGACAGAGATCAATGGAGTACAATTGAGTCCAGAAATAAACCCATACTCTTTTTTTTTTTTTTTTTTCTGAGACAGAGTCTCGTTCTGTCACCCAGGCTGGAGTGCAGTGGCAGGATCTTGGCTCACTGCAACCTCTGCCTCCTGGGTTCAAGCAGTTCTCCTGCCTCAGCCTCCCGAGTAGCTGGGACTACAGACGCGTACCACCATGTCTTGCTAATTTTTTGTATTTTTAGTAGAGACGGGGTTTCACCATGTTAGCCAGGATGGTCTTGATCTCCTGACCTCGTGATCCACCCACCTCGGCCTCCCAAAGTGCTGGGATTACAGAAAACCCATACTTCTATGGCTAAGTAATTTTTTGACAAGGATCACATGTTCAGTCAATTGCAAAAACAGTTAAATAAGAAGAAGAAATAAAAGACGTTCCAATTAGAAGGGAAGGAATAAAACTATCTCCATTTAAGAATGACCATTTGTCTTTTCAACAAATAATAATGAGACAACTGGATTTCCACATACAAAAGAATGAAATTAGATTCTTACCTTACATTATATACAAAATTTAACTAAAATGGATTAAGCATCTATATATAAGAGCTAAATCCATAAAATCCTTCAGAGATACAGAGGCAAATCTTCATGAGCTTGGATTTGGCAATGGATTGTTAGATATGTTACAAAAGGGATGAGCAATGAAGGAAAAATTGATAAATTAAGCTTCATAAAAATGTAAAAATTTTATGCATCAAAGGACATTATCATGAACATGAAAAGACAGTGTATAGAGTGGGAGAAAATATTTGCAAATCATATATCTAATGAGGATTTGCTATCCAGGATTATATAAAGGACTTCTTAAATTCAACAACAAAAAGATAAGCAATTCAATTAAAAAAATAGGTGATTTGATTTAGTGTATCCTCAAAGAAGAAATACAATACTGATGGTTGTTGATATGGTTTGGCTGTGTCCCCACCCACATCTCATCTTGAATTGTAACTCCCACAATTCCCATGTGTCATGGGAGGAACCTGGTGGGAGGTGATTGAATTATGGAGGCGGGTCTTTCCTTGGCTGTTCTCATGATAGTGAAGGAGTTTCACGGGATCAGATGATTTTAAAAACGAGAGTTTTTCTGCACAAGCTCTCTCTTTGCCTACTGCCATCCACATGAGATGTGACTTGCTCTTCCTTGCCTTCCGCCTTGATTATGAGGCCTCCCCAGCTATGTGGAACTGTAAGGCCAATATACCTCTTTCTTTCGTAAATTGCCCAGTGTCGGGTATGTCTTAGCAGCTTGAAAATGGACTAATACAGTGGTCCTGGCATTCTGGGGAGTATCTTATCTTTTGAGGCTGTGGCCCTCTGTTGGCTTTCTGGAACTGGAGCCTCTGCAGTATACCTTGCTAGTCTTTTGTATTTGAAATATTACTCTGAATACATCTGTGCTTCCTGAAGGAAATAGGAGAATTTGCATGTATTCATTAAGCCATTCACACATTTATTAAACAATATATTGAATACCTATGAGGAGTCAGGCCCTATTCCTAGACACCGATGAGCCAAACAAAGTTGTCCTTATGCAGCATACGTTCTAGGGAAGAAAGACAATAAACCAAAAAAAGTAAATATATACCTTTTCTAGTTGGAAACAGTGCTATGGAGAATGTAAGGCAGAACTGTAAACATGAGAAGGGGAGGGAAGGTATATATTTATCTGGTGGTGAAGAAAAGACTGACAAGTAACATTTGATAAGAGACTTCAAAGAAGTGATGTGAAGTGATCCTTCAGATATTTAAAGTAAGAGTATTCTAGAACAGTCTTAGCAAGTACAAAGGTTCTGCAGTGTGAGTGTATGTTTCATTTATGTCAAGGAGAGGCTCAGGGTATCTAAAACCCAGCAGGTGTGACTTGGAGTTAAAACCCTTAATTCCACTGAGTTTTTTTTTTTTCCCCCAATTTTAAAGATGGAGGTAATGATATCTGCTTTTCTGGATTGTTGAAAGAACTCAAGACAGAATATAGCCACTACTAGCACATAGTGGGAACTCAGTACATAGCAACTATTATTATTGTCATTACTATTATTGTAATTAGATACAGCCTCAGTGAGGAAGAAGAGAGTAGAGGGAAGACATCTGAACCCTGAGCCCAGTAGTTTAGCTTCTAATCTCTGCTTTTCTTCAGTTAATTATTGGCCCTTGAGTAACATTGAATGTTGCCAGATTCAAATTTAATCAAATATAAAATAAGGGTTTTGGATTAGCTGAGAATTCTGAATAGCTATGACATACAGTAGTTGCAGAAATTGTGGTGGTTTAAATAATTCAATGCCCTTGAGAAATGGTACCATTTTTGTAAAACCTGTGGGGTCTGGAATAAAGATCCATTTCAAGCAAGCTGTTAGAACATCTGCTTTTATTTCCTTGTTACAAGAATTTTGTGATACATTGTCAAACTCAGATTTTATCTTTTTTGCTCAAGTTGCTGTGAAGAACTGTTAAATCAGTTAATTTTTTTCTCACTTCTACTTTGAACAAAGAAAAGGAAAATCAGTGTCGTGTTAGTTTTCCATCTGCAATGCTGTTACTAATCAGCGGTATATCTTAAAACCTTGCTTTAGAATTTAGGGAAGTAATGCATTTGCCATACAGTTCATGTCCTAAAGCTCATAGAACAAATCATCGGACCATTTCTCTGAGATTGATTGCTGATAAAATTTTTAAAATATTGATTGAAATATAGTTCTAATCTAGTCGATGTGGCACAAAAATTCTAGAGACAAATATACTACAAAGAAGTCTCTTGACAGTCATCAGGGAAGGACACTAGGAAATAAAACAGAAAAAAGCGTGAGTGCACATACACACAATCATGCCTGCTTGAGGCGATGTCAGATAGGAATTAATTGCTCCAAATGAATCCCTTTGTAAATATCTATTTTGATAAGGTGCTTTTGTTAGTTGGTGGCCCCAGTAAAGGTCTGCTGTCATTACTGTTATTTGTATTATTCTTCCTCTTGAAGGCAAGACTTTATTTCAGCTTAGTTAAAATTATTAATATTTGAGATGACATTTCTAAATTATTAAGAATTCAGTGTTGGTAGCTTATAAAAATTTTGCATTTATGAATGTTAAATAAATGTCAGGTGCAAATATGAATACAAAATCTCATTCACTAAAGAATTTTTGAAACATTTGTTTTAACATAATACAGAAAATAGTGTTGGGGTAAATGTAGGTAGAGTTGCTCTGAGAGAGGTGTGTGTACATTATATTTGTATGAATACATTTAAAAATGTATTTGAGTGTATCAATGTGTTATGCTTTTTCTCATGACTCTTAGGGTGTGTCTGATTGTATACCTGTCTGTATTACACACCTATGTGTGTTTATGTTTGTTGGGAATTCATAACTTAAAGGGTTTTTCTAGTTAACATTTTAGATGTTTTGAGGTATGATGTAAAGAGATGCAAATTCTAATTTCTTGTGAGGTAAGGAGATTAAATAACTTATTTTTCTGTTTCTTTTCCTATCCTTTGTTTATTTTACATAGTTCAATAGCAAATAAGGTCTATATTTAAAGAGCCATTAGATAGTAAAAACCACTGTTTCTTTTTCAAACGTTTATTATAGCCAATTTTTAACATTTAACCAGTTTTTTTCAGAATTAAAATTTAACTAATAATATTATATTTGTATGAAATCTTACAGATTGCAAAGTGTCTTCGTATATGTTTTTCATTTAAGTATTAACTGTTAGCCCTCTGTGATGATGGTGATAAGCACTTTTATTATGAAGATAACCCTCTAAGGCTAACATTTGTTAAAGGACTTAGAATAAGTAGAGAAACCGCTCTATCTCCACACCTTTTTTTTCTTACCTCATGGTAGTATTATGGACTTGACAATCTTGCAAATATTTGTCTGAGAAGATTTTGTTGTTTTTGTGTAGTCATGATTTAAAAACATTCAGACAGTATGGCAGGCTATAAACTGAAAAGCAAAAGTTCCCTCATTCCCACTGAATCCCTTGCCATTTCCTAGTCCCATTCTTCAGGTAAAAAACACTGCTATGCTTTTTTTAGTACCCTTCCAGGTTTTTTATATGTGTGTCTATATATGTGCACATGCTTTTGTGTGTGTCTGTGGGCATGGATAAGCCTGTATGTGCATATTTTTCACCAAGTAACTATCTGTTTTTTGCAAGGTTGCTTTATTTTTACCTAATATATCTTGGATATTTTAGAGATGTGTTTTAAAAATAAATACATGCTATCGAATATCAGAGATCAATTTGTTTATATTTTAAATATATTTCACCTTTATCCTTTAAGATTTTTATATTAAATGTTTATTTGAGAAACAGTATAAAAGGGTTATGCTATGAATTAACAAAACATGTATAGTACATCTACAAAACATGTACATTACATTAGGTATTAGTGTTTTACCTGACATGTGAAGTGTTTTCTGCTATTGAAATACATTTTAAATAGGTATTCATTAAAATAGAATAGAACTACACTAGTTAATTAGTACCTGTCAGATAACAGAGGTTGTTAATAATGGTAAGTCAAGGTTTCTTGCTTTTAAAATATAATGATGTGAAGACTGAGGTCACATTTACTTTAAATTATTTCTGGATTTAAAACCCAGAAATGCTGATTATTTGAGGGTCTAATATACCAATTTATTAAAGTATCAAGGTTGAAGATTGTTCCAACCCAAAGGTAAAACTTTTTGCTTAAAGGAATGAGTTTTCTCCAATTTGATTCTTAAACCCTTCTTTGCCATTTGCTTGTTTGCTTAAGGGTAGCGTTGTATTTGAATACAATAATCCTAAAACACTAAAATGAATTTTAACAAGATTTTAATCCTTGCTTTGGTAGACTAATGTGATATATTTTGCAGAAATACACAAGCTGTAATTAAGCCTTCCTCTGTATGAGACATTTTTTGTTTTAGTTTTCATATTTTAAAGTCAGTTTTAACATTTAATATGTGGACATAAAATATGAGGAAAGACTTTTCCAAAGTATTCTGAAAGTTAAAAAAAATTACCCCAAAACTGTCAAAAATAAAGACACTTATTAATACCTTTTTTCTCCCTGTATCCCTGTTAGAGTTAGTTCTGAAAGAGGAATTAGAGTGGTGCCTGTCTTGAAAGTCAGGAGATTTGGCTTCTTGTCTTGGTTCATAGCTAATTAACTGTATGTGACCTTAGATCATTTATTTATTCTCCCTTATCTGAAAAATGAAGATGTTTGATTACATGGTCTCTAAGGTCCTTTTAAGTTCTAAAATGCTAACAGTCTATGAAGTAAGTTTTGTAGCAGTTGTACAGTTTATTTTATTTTAAGATTCGTGAAGGTATACTATCTATATATGTATGAATGTTAATATCTTTGATTATTTATTTAGTTGTCCAAACATTTGTTAAATGTTTTTGTATTCTATGATAGATGTTGGAGATATAGCAGTGAATAAGACAGTCATGGACCTTGCCCTCATAGAGCATAGTGTCCCCTGGAGAAGAATTAAACAATTATTACATAATTATTTTATCCAGATATGATATGTAACTATGAATATTGAATAGTAGAATGAGAAGAGTAATGGAAAAATGATCACAGGGATACTTGGGTTATAGATTGCAAAGAGAGAATAGCATATACAGAGGCCTTGAGCAAGCATCTTGGAATATTTAATGAATTTTGAGAAGACAGAATACCAGAGTGAGTCACACAATATGTGGCTGATGTGGCTGATGAGGTGGGTAGGGGTCAAATCATACAGTGATTTGTAGGCAATTTAAGAATTTTGGTTTTTAATGCTAATATTATTCACATACATTACTTCCAATTATGACCTTGGTATTACTCAACCCAGTACATGCAAATGCTCATGAAATACATTTTTATAGAGAAACATTTTCTGTCAATCACTGCACTATCAACGCCGTCAGGTCCTTGGTTTCTGCCTGTACCCTTACTCTTGAAAAATGTTTTAAAATATGGTAACCTAACAAGATTTGTAAGGTCAATATAGGAAAATTATTTAATGCTTGTTAAAGTCAAATAAGTGTTTTTCATTTTGGATTATCAGTTATTTTATATTTTCAATGCCCTTTTCTTGCCCACTAAGTGTAATGACTTGAGAATTTCTGAGGTATTATTTGTTAAAAATTAGCAAACTAATACATGAGTCTTGTAGTTTATGCTATTATTTGCCTGTTGATTTGCTTATTTCACCACTGACTGTTTCCTTTATTAGGAGGTACTAACATATAAAAACCATATTTGTTAATATGCAAATAAATAATCTGATATACTTTTTAAAATACATGTTTAAAGCTTTGGTTTTTTAAAAAATACTTTTTAAAAGAAGTTTTAGGTTCACAGCAAAATTGAGAGAAAGTTAGAGAGATTTCCCTCACATTCTCTACCTGCAGTTATGCATAGCCTCTTCTGCTATCAGTGTTCCCTCACCAGAGTGGTATTACAGTTGGTGAACCTGCAATGACATCATTATCACTCAGAGTCCATGGTTTACATTAGGGTTTACTCTCAGTGTTGTACATTCTATGAGTTTTGAAAAATGTATTTTGACATATATCTATCATTATAGTACCTTATAGAGTA
This sequence comes from Homo sapiens, assembly GCF_000001405.40. Classification (NCBI taxonomy): domain Eukaryota; kingdom Metazoa; phylum Chordata; class Mammalia; order Primates; family Hominidae; genus Homo; species Homo sapiens. Next base: position 124,907,558 of record NC_000007.14, on the reverse strand, counting down.
TTTTCCACTGCCCTAAAAATCGTCTGTGCTCTGCCTATTCATCCTTCCCTTTCCCTAACTTCTGGCAACCTCCAGTCTTTTAGGTAGAATCATACAGTATGTGGCCTTAATTTTGTGGGGGGTGAAGCAGTTAAGTTAATTGTTGATTTTTTGAAGAACACTTCTTGTTGTTAAGAAGACCTTTACTGACTTCATTTTTCTTCTCTGAGACTGGTTTGCAGTAAATATTCTATTTGGCTATACTAAACAGGGAATTGTTTAATGACAAGGGAGCTCACTCTTTGTAAGGCAATGTGACAGGGATGACAGGTAGTACAGACACAAAAGGGAAATGACCCATTTGCTAATATTGAAGTATCTTAAATTAGTTTAAAGATTTCAGTGATTCCAAATGTGTTTTTAGTTTTATAACTCGTATATGCATTGATAAAGCCTTCTCACTTTTTGTAGCATAGTATTTTTTTCTCCAGGCTGGTCTCCTAACTTTTTTCACCCAATTGAGTTAAACATCTGTGGTATGTCAGAATATACTCTTGGCACAGATCTAGGTAATTCCAATTCTTGTTTGAATGGCTTCAGTATGCTCTTCTCAGAAGCTTAGAACACCCCATATAAAATCTCATTTTCAATTCGATCTAATGAGTGTTTATACAAACTACTATTATCTGTTATATATTTTTCTTATCCTCTGTGTACTTGAATGTTTTAAAAGCCATTATGATTCATAAATTCATGGAAACTGGATCCTAAGAGCCATTTATTTTTTCTCTTTGTTTAGTTCTGTACTTCAGTTTTTGCCAGTGTTAATTCATTAATTTACCAGATATTTGTTGAACACTATGAACAGAAGCCTCTGGCAGCCATTTATATGAAATATACACATGAATAAGACATTATTTTATTTTATTTTTTATTTTTTATTATACTTTTAAGTTCTAGGGTACATGTGCACACCGTGCAGTTTTGTTACATATGTATACATGTGCCACGTTGGTGTGCTGCACCCATTAACTTGTCATTTACATTAGGTATTTCTCCTAATGCTATCCCTCTCCCCTCCCCCCACCCTACGACAAGCCCCGGTGTGTGATGTTCCCCACCCTGTGTCCAAGTGTTCTCATTGTTCAGTTCCCACCTATGGGTGAGAACATGTGGTGATTGGTTTTCTGTCCTTGCAATAGTTTCCTCAGAATGATGGTTTCCAGCTTCATCCATGTCCTTAGAAAGGACATGAACTTATCATTTTTTACGGTTGCATAGTATTCCATGGTGTATATGTGCCACATTTTCTTAATCCAGTCTATCATTGTTGGACATTTGGGTTACTTCCAAGTCTTTGCTATGGTGAATAGTGGCGCACTAAACATATGTGTGCATGTGTCTTTATAGTAGCATGATTTATAATCCTTTGGCTATATACCCAGTAATGGGATGGCTGGGTCAAATGGTGTTTTCTAGTTCTAGATCTTTGAGGAATCGCGACAGTGTCTTCCCCAATGGTTGAACTAGTTTACAGTCCCACCAACAGTGTAAAAGTGTTCCTATTTCTCCACATCCTCTCCAGCACCTGTTGTTTCCTGGCTTTTTAATGATTGCCATTCTAACTGGTGTGAGATGGTATCTCATTGTGGTTTTGATTTGCATTTCTCTGATGGCCAGTGATAATGAGCATTTCTTCATGTGTCTGTTGGCTGCATAAATGTCTTCTTTTGACAAATGTCAGTTCATATCCTTCGCCCACTTTTTGATGGGGTTGTTTGATTTTTTTCTTGTAAATTTGTTTAAGTTCCGTGTAGATTCTGGATATTAGCCCTTTGTCAGATGAGTAGATTGCAAAAATATTCTCCCATTCTGTAGGTGGCCTGTTGACTCTGATGGTAGTTTCTTTTGCTGTGCAGAAGCTCTTTAGTTTAATTAGATCCCGTTTGTCAATTTTGGCTTTTGTTGCCATTGCTTTTGGTGTTTTAGTCATGAAGTTCTTGCCCATGCCTGTGTTCTGAATCATATTGCCTAGGTTTTCTTCTAGGGTTTTTTTTTTATGGTTTTAGGTCTAACGTTTAAGTCTTTAATCCATCTTTAATTAATTTTTGTATAAGGTGTAAGGAAGGGATCCAGTTTCTGCTTTCTACACATGGCTAGCCAGTTTTCCCAGCACCATTTATTGAATAGGGAATCCTTTCTCCATTTCTTGTTATTGTCAGGTTTGTCAAAGATCAGATGGTTGTAGATGTGTGGTATTATTTCTGAGGGCTCTGTTCTGTTCCATTGGTCTATATCTCTGTTTTGGTACCAGTACCATGCTGTTTTGGTTACTGTAGCCCTGTAGTATAGTTTGGAGTCAGGTAGTGTGATGCGTCCAGCTTTGTTCTTTTTGCTTAAGATTGTCTTGGGAATGAGGGCTCTTTTTTGGTTCCATATGAACTTCCAATTCTGTGAAGAAAGTCATTGGTAGCTTGATGGGGATGGCATTGAATCTATAAATTACCTTGGGCAGTATGGCCATTTTCATGATACTGATTCTTTTCTATCCATGAGCGTGGAATGTTCTTCTATTTGTTTGTGTCCTCTTTTATTTCATTGAGCAGTGATTTGTAGTTCTCCTTGAAGAGGTCCTTCACATCCCTTGTAAGTTGGATTCCTAAGTATTTTATTCTCTTTGAAGCAATTGTGAATGGGAGTTCACTCATGATTTGGCTGTTTGTCTGTTATTGGTATATAGGAATGCTTGTGATTTTTGCACATTGATTTTGTATCCGGAGACTTTGCTGAAGTTGCTTATTAGCTTAAGGAGATTTTGAGCTGAGACCGATGGGGTTTTCTAAACATATAATCATGTCATCTGCAAACAGGGACAATTTGACTTCCTGTTTTTCTACTTGAATACCCTTTATTTCTTTCTCCTGCCTGATTGCCCTGGCCAGAACTTCCAACACTATGTTGACTGGGAGTGGTGAGAGAGGGCATCCCTGTCTTGTGCCAGTTTTCAAAGGGAATGCTTCCAGTTTTTGCCCATTCAGTATGATATTGGCTGTGGGTTTGTCATAAATAGCTCTTATTATTTTGAGATACATCCCATCAATACCTAGTTTATTGAGAGTTTTTAGCATGAAGGGCTGTCGAATTTTGTTGAAGGCCTTTTCTGCGTCTATTGAGATAATCATGTGGTTTTTGTCTTTGTTTCTGTTTATATGATGGATTACGTTTATTGATTTGTGTATGTTGAACCAGCCTTGGATCCCAGGGATGAAGCCAACTTGATTCTGCTGCTGGATTTGGTTTGCCAGTATTTTATTGAGGATTTTCACACTGATGTTCATCAGGGATATTGGTCTAAAATTCTCTTTTTTTGTTATGTCTCTGCCAGGCTTTGTTACAAGGATAATGCTGACCTCATAAAATAAGTTAGGGAGGATTCCCTCTGTTTCTGTTGATTGGAATAGTTTCAGAAGGAATGGTACCAGCTCCTCTTTGTACCTCTGGTAGAATTCAGCTGTGGATCTGTCTGGTCCTGGACTTTTTTTGGTTGTTAGGCTATTAATTATTGCCTTAATTTCAGTACCTGTTATTGGTCTATTCAGGGATTCAACTTCTTCCTGGTTTAGTCTTGGGAGGGTGTGTGTCTAGTAATTTATCCATTTCTTCTAGAGTTTCTAGTTTATTTGCGTAGAAGTGTTCATAGTATTCTCTGATGGCAGTTTGTATTTCTGTGGAATCAGTGGTGATATCCCCTTTATCATTTTTTATTGCATTTGTTTGATTCTTTTCTTCTTTATTAGTCTTGCTAGCAGTCTATCAATTTTGTTGATCTTTTCAAAAAACTAGCTCCTGGATTCATTGATTTTTTGAAGGGTTTTTTGTGTCTCTATCTCCTTCAGTTCTGCTCTGATCTTAGTTTTTTCTTGCCTTCTGCTAGCTTTTGAATTTGTTTGCTCTTGCTTCTCCAGTTCTTTTAATTGTGATGTTAGGGTGTCCATTTTAGATCTTTCTTGCTTTCTCTTGTGGGTATTTAGTGCTATAAATTTCCCTCTACACACTGCTTTAAATGTGTCCCAGAGATGCTGGTATGTTGTGTCTTTGTTCTCATTGGTTTCAAAGAACATCTTTATTTCTGCCTTCATTTTGTTATGTACCCAGTAGTCCATTCAGGAGCAGGTTGTTCAGTTTCCATGTAGTTGTGCAGTTTTGAGCAAGTTTCTTAATCCTGAGTTCTAATTTGATTACACTGTGGTCTGAAAGACAGTTTGTTATAATTTCTGTTCTTTTATATTTGCTGAGGAGTGCTTTACTTCCAACTATGGTCAGTTTTGGAGTAAGTGCGATGTGGTGCTGAGAAGAATGTATATTCTGTTGATTTGGAGTGGAGAGTTCTGTAGATGTCTATTAGGTCCGCTTGGTGCAGAGCCGAGTTCAAGTCCTGGATATCCTTGTTAACTTTCTATCTCTTTGATCTGTCTAATGTTGACAGTGGGGTGTTAAAGTCTCCCATTATTATTGTGTGGGAGTCTAAGTCTCTTTGTAGGTCTCTAAGGACTTGCTTTATGAATCTCGGCGTTCCTGTATTGGGTGCATATATATTTAGGATAGTTAGCTTTTCTTGTGGACTTGATCCCTTTACCATTACTTAATGGCCTTCTGTGTCTCTTCTGATCTTTGTTGGTTTAAAGTCTGTTTTATCAGAGACTAGGATTGCAACTCCTGCTTTTTTTTGTTTCCATTTGCTTGGTAGATCTTCCTCCATCCCTTTAATTTGAGCCTATGTTTGTCTCTGCATGTGAGATGGGTCTCCTGAACACAACACACTGAGGGGTCTTGACGATTTATCCAATTTGCCATTCTGTGTCTTTTAATTGGAGCATTTAGCCCATTTACATTTAAGGTTAATATTGTTATATGTGAATTTGATCCTGCCATTATGATGTTAGCTGGTTATTTTGCTCATTAGTTGATGCAGTTTCTTCCTAGCCTCAATGGTCTTTACAATTTGGCATGTTTTTGCATTGGCTGGTACCAATTGTTCCTTTCCATGTTTAGTGCTTCCTTCGGGAGCTCTTGTAAGGCAGGTCTGGTGGTGACAAAATCTTTCAGCATTTGCTTGTCTGTAAAGGATTTTATTTCTCCTTCACTTAAGAAGCTTAGTTTGGCTGGATATGAAATTCTGGGTTGAAAATTCTTTTTTTAAGAATGTTGAATATTGGCCCCAACTCTCTTCTGGCTTGTAGAGTTTCTCCTGAGAGATCCACTATTAGTCTGATGGGCTTCCCTTTGTGGGTAACCTGACCTTTTTCTCTGGCTGCTCTTAACATTTTTTCCTTCATTTCAGCCTTGGTGAATCTGACAGTTATGTGTCTTGAGGTTGCTCTTCTCGAGGAGCATCTTTGTGGCGTTCTCTGTATTTCCTGAATTTGAATGTTGGCCTGCCTTGCTGGATTGGAGAAGTTCTCCTGGATAATATCCTGGAGAGTGTTTTCCAATTTGGATCTATTCTCCCCATCACTTTTAGGTACACCAATCAAATGTAGATTTGGTCTTTTCTTATAGTCCCATATTTCTTGGAGGCTTTGTTCATTTCTTTTTACTCTTTTTTCTGTAAACTTCTCTTCTCAGTTTATTTCATTCATTTGATCTTCAGTCACTGATACCCTTTCTTCCACTTGATCCAATCAACTACTGAAGCTTGTGCATGCATCATGTAGTTCTTGTGCCATGGTTTTCCACTTCATCAGGTCATTTAAGGTCTTCTCTATTTATTCTAGTTAGCCATTCGTCTAATCTGTTTTCAAGGTTTTTAGCTTATGTGCGATGGGTTCAAACATCCTCCTTTAACTTGGAAAAGTTTATTATTACTGATCTTCTGAAGCCTACTTCTGCCAACTCATCAAAGTTATTCTCTGTCCAGCTTTGTTCCATTGCTGGCGAGGAGCTGTGATCCTTTGGAGGAGAAGAGGTGCTCTGATTTTTAGAATTTTCAGCTTTTCTGCTCTGGTTTCTCCTGACCTTTGTGGTTTTATCTACCTTTGGTCTTTGATGATGGTGACCTACAGATGGGTTTTTGGTGTGGATGTCCTTTTTGTTGATGTTGATGCTATTCCTTTCTGTTTGTTAGTTTTCCTTCTTACAGTCAGGACCCTCGGCTGCAGGTCTGTTGGAATTTGCTGCAGGTCAACTCCAGACCCTGTTTGCCTGGGTATCACCAGCAGAGGCTGCAGAACAGCAAATATTGCAGAACAGCAAATGTTGCTGCCTGATCCTTCCTCTGGAACCTTCGTCTCAGAGGGGCACCCAGCTGTGTGAGGTGTCAGTTGGCCCCTACTGGAAGGTGTCTCCCAGTTAGTCTACTCAGGGGTCAGGGACCCACTTGAGGAGGCAATCTGTCCATTTTCAGATCTCATACTCCATGCTGGGAGAACCACTGCTCTCTTCAAAGCTGTCAGATGGGGACGTTTAAGTCTGCAGAAGTTTCTGCTGCCTCTTCTTCAGCTATGCCCTGCCCCCAGAGGTGGAATCTACAGAGGCAGGCAGGCCTCCTTGAGCTGCAGTGGGCTCCACCCAGTTCAAGCTTCCCAGCCGCTTTGTTTACCTAGTCAAGCCTCAGCAATGGTGGAAGCCCCTCCCCCAGACTCGCTGCAGCCTCACAGTTCAATCTGGGACTGCTGTGCCAGCAATGAGCAAAACTCTGTGGGCATGGGACCTGATGAGCCAGGCATGGGATATAATCTCCTGGTGTGCAGTTTGCTAAGACCGTTGGAAAAGCACAGTATTATGGCAGGAGTGTCCCGATGTTCCAGGTACTGACCGTCATGGCTTCCCTTGGCTAGGAAAGGGAATTCCCCGACCCCTTGCACTTCCCCAGTGAGGCGATGCCCTGCCCTGCTTCAGCTCACACTCCATGGGCTGCACCCACTGTCCAACAAGTCCTAATGAGATGACCCCAGTACCTCAGTTGGAAATGCAGAAATCACCCGTCTTCTGCGTGGCTCACACTGGGAGCTGTAGAGTGGAGCTGTTCCTATTCGGCCATCTTGGAATGATCTCCATTACTTTCAGTCCAAGGAACTTACAGGACTTTAAGGGCTTTAAAGGCATTAAGAAAAGTTTGTAAATAACATACAAAGTGAAAAATGCTAAAACGCTGTATAGGAGAGTTTAGAGGAAGGTAGAATTACTTGTTTCTGAGAGAGAATCTGTGATAGATTCTACCAGGAAGAAGAAGGCTAGACTTTGAAATATAGATTAGGTCAGATATGTACAGATGGGAAACATGTTATTTATTTGTAGCAGTGGCTCAAAATAAATAAAGAATATATGTGGAAAAGCACTATACTTATGAGAGGATCCAATTTGTCTAATATTGAATGGGAAGTATGTGGAAATAAAACAGGCAGAGTTGCTTGGGATGAGATCACTGAAGGGCCTTCAATGCAGTTTTTATATGTATATTCAAATATAAATCCATGTTTATGAATATAATAAATGCATTTCAATTAAAAAAAACTGTGATTGTTATTTCCATGCTGTTGAATATATGCCAGAGGAAGGGTTGTAACTTTTTACTGAATTGTGTGTAGCTACTGTTAAATTCAGAAAAATTTTTCTTATGAATGCTGATGTCCAGCTTTTAGTCATTTATTCTTTTCAAAATTTTTCTTCATGATAAAAGAAATGCATACATACTCAGTCTTTTAAAAAAGTTTAGAATCTACAGGAAAATAGAAAAAAAATGGTCATCTGTACTCTAACATTTGCATTTGGTGTATAATATTTACTTTTGAAAACATTTTTAAGTGGAACAGAGGATAACAAGAGGTAGGTTTTTTTTTCTACTTGGATAATTTAGAACTGATAAACTGTTGGCTTCCCTACTTCTGTTTATCTTCCGGTGTTAGTTTGATAAACAACTTTAAATCTTTGACTAAAATCTCAAGTTTTCATTTAATCAGAATGTATTGGTTTGAGGTCACTTGAAAACAGAGTGTATACTTCAGTTTGTAAAACTGAAAAAAGGTAACTCAGTTGTTATTTTTATTCCAGAAACATGTTCATTTTATTTTTTTAAACTGCATAAAAGGTTTCGGAGAAATATAAAATCTTCAGTAAGAAGAAAAATTTTCTCCCATTGAACTATGAAGAGTTGTGGTAATTTGGCATTATCAGCATACACTCAGTTATGTTTGCAATCTCATGTGAAGAAAAAAACGCAGGAATTGCAGAGCTACAATACCTGGTTAGGGCAAGAGATTTTTAGAAAAGGCAAAATAAGGTCTTTCGTTTGATTCATAGACAGTTTGTTTTGGGAGGGCCTGCTTTGTGCCAAGTCCTGTAAATACAGAGCAGAATTAGAAATGACCACTATCTTCAGTATGCTCTCAGTCCAATTATTAAATCTGAATAGAGGATTGTGAGAATTGACACCAGGCCCTTGTATGTGCAGAGCACACTGTGGTAATGCAGAAGACTTCCACTTGATAGAGTTTTAAATTATTGAAGGAAGATGACCAAAAGCCCAGACATTTTGGTGTATCTTAAGGTTTCGTTGTTAAAATTAAGGGAGTAAGACAATGAAAAATATATATGCAGCAATGCAAAACTCTTTTAGTATTTCTGTTTTAGTATTTGGAAAATAAGAAAAGGAAATTTAAAGAATGAGAGAGGAAGGGATAAATGGAGAATGGCTTCTTACTACTGTTACAAACCTAAGTAGAAAGAAAATATCTTTGTTCTTATTAGTATATAAATGGAAATTTCTTATTATGTCCATGCCCTGTATTTGTATGCACATATATTAGTTTTGTAATATGTGGAGTTTTTGCACTGTCATGCCTTTCTCAATGTAGTTTCTCAACTTTGAGATTTAGTTTCATTTAAATTCCATCCTTATTACTATTGGAACATCTGAGTTTCACTACATAAAACTTTCTTAGTGATTTAGCATTTTCCTGGTCCATGAAGTGGGACGTTATTGTCATCTGTGGCTATATTGTAGCTGTAGATGTTGAAGATGTTTTAGAGGAAGTGGTAGTCTAAATAATGTATTCAGCAAGTGTTAAACAAGTTTAGGTTAACCAGTTTTCTACTTTATAGAGGTAATTTTTATTCTAAACATAATAATATAAATAAGGATTTATATGACATTCCAAATTATACGTATTTTGGTGATTGATTCAAAAACTTTTTTTTTTCTATGTAGGACACCATTGCAGTGGCTAGATTTATTGTTTTTTTAGCTTCTTCATCTACAAGCAGAGATGGTAAACCTTGCATATTTTTGAAAGCATTTGAAGACCTCAAATCAACTGTTTATGTAAGTATGCAGCTTTTATTCTCTAATTACATTGCAGATTTAATGAGCTAAAGTGATGGGATTGAAAGTATTTCTGTAAATCTGCAGATAAACTACTTGGTCTGACTAAATTATTTTAATTGAATATTTTAAGTTTAAAAAATAGAAGTTTTTTTTTCTTGGTTTTATTTTTCGAATGACAAGATAGAATAGGGAATTCCTTTATATTTAATAAATACTTATTAATGAAACTTACAAAACCGCACAGACATTCTAGACTGGATATTCTTTGTGATTATGCCATCAGGCACTTTGTTCTACTTGATTTCACTTTAAATTAATCAACTACCCCTCTTTAGGTAAAACGGATTTTTTCCTTCTCCTACTTTATTCGTTGTGAAGATGGCCTTCCTCTCCTTTCCTCTTTTAACACCCTACCTTCCACACACACACTTGAAAACTGCCTTTTTAGTCAAGGCTATTAGGTAGAATTGGGCTAAGCCAAAAGCCTGCAGGCCAACATCTGCCTTTTTTTTTCTAGTATGCACAAAGGTACTATAAGCACTGGTGGTGGCTCTGCTTGATATTAAAATTAATGAATTAGGCTGGAGATGGGTAAAATTTGCAGTTAGAGTGATCACTGAAGCACTTCCTTATTGATTTTTTTCTTTCTGAAAACATCTAAGGTTCTATGCAGGAAAAATTTTGAATATCAGCTCTGATTTTCCACTTCTATTGGACTGATAGGAGTTGGCATTCTTTTACATTCTATCCTGAGAACTGTCCTGAGAACTGAATATTGCTGTGCTTCAGATTTAATCTGTAAGAACACTAATATTTTAATAAAGTACATTTTCATTTGACCTTATATCTTTGCCTTTTTTTTTTAAGTTTCTGTAGCTTAGACAACTTTGCACATTTCACTTTTAATTTGTAAGCCATAACTTTATGTCATCCTAGTGAATTTGAATATTTTACAAGTAAGTGTGTACTTTTACTACAACTAAAAGCATGTAATCACATTGGAGGTTATCTGTATACAAATAAGTTCTTTCTTTTTTTCCTTCAGGTTTATGTCAAATCTTTAAGAGATTTTTCTACAGAATCAATGTCTTTGGTAAGATGATATTCAGTTTAATTTAGAGTATTACACCTATACCTGTATATGCCACACACATAGATACATGTGTATGTATATTCAGTCCACTTTGTAGTCTGATATTGATATATTATCAATACACTGGAAAAACATAATCTTTACTTTTTTATAGCTGATAATGTTATATTAGAGTTATATATTTTACCTAGTAATCAATATCTGAATATTCTGTTGTCTGGAATATCTGCTGATATTTTGTGTAAGCTATACATACACAAGAAAAATAAAATAAGTTTTTACTGTATGAAGATCCTTAAATTTTTGTTATAAACCATAGGCAAATTCATTTCTTTTTACATTAGCTTGTATTTAACCAGACAATTATGTGCTGAATTATATAATTGAACAAATTATATAATTTTAAGTAGTTTTCTTATACTTATGATACATTTCTTTTTAACCATTTTCCCCACTATTTTATAGCATAGATATAGCTATAGCTTCCTTATAGCAATAGGAAGATGCCCATTCCCATTTTTACAGATAGTCTACTTGTAGCCGAGTGAAACTGGAAAGAAGGTGTTAATAATTTATTGGTATAGTTTAATATGATGTTTATGTTCTACTTATGTTTTTGAACCTTTAGTTTCAAATGGACAGAATTCAGGAACTGTTTCTGGTTGACAATGACTGTAGGACACAGTTACTAAATTCTGAGTATTAGTATAATTAATATTTTTGGGGGAACTGTTACCAATAAAAGAACTGATGTACTTTTTGAAAAATGTGAGTTAGCTCTGGTATTAGTATTTCCCAAAATTGTTATAAATTGTTTAATTTAAAATATTTGATATATCTGCGAACCTGTAAATAAGGCGGGAATAAATGAAAAAGCCTCTGAACTTTGCAAAAATATTTTTTCACAAAGCCTAGGTATTGTAAGTTAAATCAAGCATAGATCTATTTGACTTTATTTTCCTGACTCATCAAAAGATGCTTGTTTTTACATTTCTACATTTTTAAACTGAGCATGGATCTTGCAGTTGATATCAAGAAAACGGAGTTACTGTTTTTGAGTTTCTTGTTTTCCTGAAAAAGTGTATTTTTTTGAGAATATAGTATTAAAAGTGTAGTCTATGAGGACCAGGGTGTTTTTAGAATTTAGAAAATAGAGTATTTGTTTTTCAGTGGTAGAAAGTTTGCTTTTCAAGTGACTCAGGGTAATCATTTGATCTTGTATTGTCTTCAGGATTTAAAAGCTTTACTAGCCCACTTATGTGATCTGAAGGCCCAATATAAACTATCCCCTATATTTTTATTCAACCTAATCTTGTCATTACCTTTGACCAGTACACTCCAGCCATCCAAACCTCCTGGATTTTCAAATATACTGAATGTGTTTTCTCTGCTTGGAACACTGTTGCTTATCTCATTCCCAACTTCTGTACTTCATTTAATTAGTTCTTTCTTTAAATATCTTTTCAAATAGACCTTCTAAGACAATTCTAAGACATCTCTCCGCTTTTATGGTTTGTTCTTCCATTGGTGCAGGGTCTATTTGTGTTTTGTTCACACTTATTTTTAGTGCCCCGTATAGTACATAGCCCATCAATGAATGAATGAAGGAAGGACAGAAATAAATAAAGGAATGAATGAATCGAATTATGCTGCTAGGTGTCTTTCTCTCTTCAGGCTTTTATTGTCTGCTGTGCTTGATTTTTGTCCGCTAGTTAACTTTCTGCATATGCTGTAAATTGCATCTCATTTAACCAGGGCTCACATTTTCCTGACTGATTGATTCCATAATGGGCTGCCCCTTAAGCAGTCAAAAAAAAAAATTGTTCATGTCTGTGTGAAATGTGGATCAAGTGATGTACTTAATGATAATGCTATCAAGTTATCTTTAGTATATCATGAGCCGATGGTTTTCTCATGGACATATGCCTGTGCTGTGCGATAATGAGCAACTAGCTGTGTGTGGCTTTTAAAAATTCAGTTCATGATTTGCACTAGTCATATTTAAATTCCTGAGTAGCCACAATATTGATATAGAATATTTTCATTATCATAGAAGATTATCTTGGATAGTACTGTTCTAGATTATTTAGTGAGCAATAAAAACCCTCAACAAGTATTTTTGTAAGTGCTAGTTTTATTAACCTAGGAGTTGTTAGGATGTCATAAATATTATATGCCTGTTGCTTTAGATATTAGCCATGTGCCTTTTGCACCAGCAGTGTGAAACTATTTTCAGATCCCTGATTACATAATGCTAGTATATGCTATCATTTCTCCTTGTTACTTGTCCTTCAAAATTTAGATTTTGTTGCCACCTTCAGAAAGCCTTTGCTTACCATTCTCCTACTAACTACACTATTTCTCCCGCTAACACATTTGTTCACACTGATTTGGATGTCCCTCTACAGTCCTTTTTTATGGAATACAATACTTTATTGTGTCAGCAAGGGAGGCAAATTGGCTACTAAGATAGGGCTTATTGGGAATCATGTAAATTTAATTACCTTGTTGAAGTGTGAGCTTACTCAATGGTACATTAACCAAACTTGTAAGAATATTAACCCAACTCATTAGAGAATGATTAAGAAGCAAAAAATATCAATTTATGAATTTATAATGAGGTTTATATCTTAGCTGTTGTACACATAAATACTTGCTGATTTGCATGGAAAGCCAAACAAGAAGTTGTTTATTGGTAATGAATTAACAAATGGCGGTTACTTGGTTGATTATAATGGTTAGTGTCATTGAGTTTTGCTGGCCTTTCCCATTCATCTCTCCATGAGATGTTAAGATAGAATATTGAGTGTAAGCTAAGCACATGTTTTCTCCCTACTGTTCAGTATGCTTCTCTTCCATTATTTCTCTTTCCATTCCATTATTCCATCATTCTTTTTTTAATCATTGATGAGCTAGCTTTCTTTATATTGAAGTTTGATTAGATTAGCAAATTCTACTCTTGTTTAAACTGAGAAGCCTCCTTGGAAAAACTAATTTTTTAATTTGAGTTTTAAAATTTTAACTCTCAGAGTGATAGGTATCCTTATTTCCATTTGATGTTGGGATCACTTATACAAAGCCCTTTAAGGCTTTATTTAGTATCACTGTTAATATGCAAACATGTCCTTGTAAACCACTTTCCCTTTTCTTTCCCAACTTATTCACAGTTATTTCAAAAAATTATCTTTTGGTTCTCTTATTATTATAGAACAAAAGGAGCTCGCTACCTGATGTGTTATAAGCCAATACTGTGAAATCAAATTTTTGAGAAAAGAAAAGCTGAAAGTCAACACCTAAGGAGACACGAGCTGAGCTCAAATATGTCTCCCTGCGCTGTCTTTAAGGCAGTAATTTTATTAGAAAAGTTTTAAAGAGTAGATACTGGGATTAGTAAGTCATTAGTTGGATGAAAGGGGAAGTTTGGAAAGTCCTTGGGCAAGCATAGTTATTTCTTCACATTAATGCATGGGTTGCATGTGCAAATTCAGGTGGAGTTAGTATGATGAATGTGATGGAAATTCATACTGTGATATCAGCAGACTCGTTCTCAAATTCCAGTCAGCCATCTTGGTTTCAACTGATTTCAGATAGTTTTTTCCTGCTCTCAAAATCAGTAGGAGTTTCAGTAGTATCTCAGCAAGTTGTTTCTTTTCTTATCTGATATTCTGCAAGCTCAAGAATTTGTGTTAGTTGCTGATTTCAACTTCTCAATAAGTTTTCATTTCTTATCTACTATACTGTAAGCCCAAGAATTTAGGAATTGTTAGTTTTAATTCTTTGGGGTAGGGTTTCATTATTAGCATTTTAAATCTTTTTATACCATTTATGACTCAAAACCTGGCTTGAGTTATGAGTCAAAATTTAGGCCTATGGAAAATCTCTATAATAGCATGGGGGTAAGGGGAAGAGAGAAATTGTACCACAAGTTTCAAAGAGATATTAGTTAAAAAATAGAACCAAAATCTCTTAAATTGCATTTTTTAGAATTTGCTCTCTGTTAACAGTTTGATTTATTGTCCCCCAGCTACAGTTTCTTGACCAAATAAGCTAGGGATATACTAACTTAAAGATAGCTAGGATGATTTAATTACTAAAAGATTCCTTGAGAGTGTCCTTAAAAAAAAAGTTTTCTAAACTTACAAGAGATGTAACTTGTATTGTTAAGACTAGTGTTCTAGTTGCATTTTCAGGGCTTCTAAAAATATCTCTTTATGCCTAGTCATTTACCTTTAATAAAACTCTCTTTTCTTAGACCTTTTACATTGAAGATGTACATATTTAAAAAAAAGTATTTTCTTGTTTTGTGTTATTGCTTCAGTTTTGACATGTATTGCTGTTTTTCACTACAGATGCTCCTTGATTTACAATGAAGTTACATCCAGTGTACCCATCATAAGTCAAAAATTTTATAAATACAAAATGCATTAAATTGCCTAATAGACCCATTCTAAAGTCAGAAGATTGTAAGTTGAACCATCATAAGTCAGGGACTATATGTATATGCTGTTTGCTATGTTTTTATTGAAGAAGTATAATGTTTTAATTAGATTATAGGTTATGCCTTTATGAGCTAGTGTGCAAATTGTACCATTTATAAACAAAGTTCTAAGGAAAACTAGTTGGATAAGCTAAGCTGTGTGCATTGCCTTATTTCAGGTTATAACTTCTTTTAGACACTTAAAAGGATAAAATAGTTACATGGATTTGCTGCTAATATGATTATAACATGATTCTACAATGTAAATACTTTGTATAAATGTATTCACTGTCTTCTCTTTCTTTAGGTTCCAGCAACAAATTATATATATACACCCCTGAATCAACTTAAGGGTGGTACAATTGTCAATGTCTATGGTGTTGTGAAGTTCTTTAAGCCCCCATATCTAAGCAAAGGAACTGGTAGGTATTAAAACTGGTGGAGTTTTTTGGAGTGGAAATGCATTATTGATTTAGGAACACGGTTCCATCTGTACCCTAAGTCCTAGAATAGAAGCTCAGTTCTGACCTATAATTGCCAAACAACACTGATGCATATTCTTTGGCTAGTTTAATTTGTAAAATAAACGTGATCTTTAGATTCTAGAGTCTAGTTAAAGACAGTAAGGACAAAGAATGAAGCAAAGGATGCCAAACAGCAACGTGAAACCATATGAAAATATAAAATTCACTGGAAAAGGTAAATATATAAACAAATGCAGAATACTGCAATTCTGTAACATTGATGCATAAATCACGTTTAATTCTGTTATAGAAGTTGAAAGGCAAATATATAAAAGCTATAACTATAGAAATATGTTAATGGATACATAGTATAAAAAGATGCAAATTATGACGTCAGTAACATGAAGTGTGGTGGGGGGTAGAAGTAAAAGTGTAGAGTTTTTGTATGCAATTAAAGTTAAATTGTCAGGTTAAAGTAGATTGCTATAAATATAAGGTACTTTATGTAAACCCCATGGTAACCACAAAGAAAATACCTATAAAAGATACACAAAAGAAAATGAGAAGGGAATCAAAGCATGTCATTACAAAATAATGAAACACAAAGGAAGATAGCAAGAGAAGAAAATAGGGAATTGAGTGTCACAAGACAGATAGAAAACAGTGAATTAAATGGCAATCGTAAGACCTTCCTAATGAATAACTACTATTATTATAAATGAATTAAATTACCTAATAAAAAATCATAGAGTAGCTGAGTGCATTAAAAAAAACGAGATACAACTATATGCTGTCTACAAAAACTCACCTTAGATTTAAGGACACACATAGGCTAAATGAAAGTGAAGGAATGGAGAAAGATACTTCTTGCCAATGGTAACCAAAAGAGGAGAAGTGGCCATACTTACATCAGACAAAAGAGACTTTAAGTCAAAAACTGTCACAACAGGCAGTTTTTGGATATCACATAATGATAAAAGGGTTAATTCACCAAGAAAATATAACAATTATGTATGCTGCTAACATCAGAGCGCTTAATCCATGAAGCAGACATTTCAGAAGTGAAGGGAGAAATAGACAGCAACACAATTATAGTAGGAGGTTTCATTTCACCACTTCCAATAATGGGGGAGACCATCCAGACAGAGATCAATAAGGAAACAGAAAACTTGAACAACACTGTAGACCAAATGGACCTAACAGACGTATCAGACATATGCAGAATATTCTACCCAGCTACAACAGAGTATACATTTTTCTTAAGTGCACATGGAACATTCTCCAGTATACATAACTCGTTAGGTCACAAAACAAGTGAATAAATTTAAAATAGCAAGATCTTTTCTGACTTCAATAAAATCAAACTAGAAATCAATAGCAGGAGGAAAATTATAAAATTTAGATGTGTGGATATTAAACAATACACTCTTGAGCAATTAAGGAAACTCCATGCTGTTTTTTATAGTGTTTGTACTAGTTTACATTAAAAAATGTATGCACCTTGATGATAAATACAGTATTGCTAAAAAATGCTAAGGATAAGTTGAGCCTTCAGCGAGTTATCATCGTTTTGCTGGTGGAGATGATAGGTTGATTGGTCAGGATGGAGTTTTCTGAAGACTGGTGTAGCTGTGACAGTTTATTAAAATAAGACAATACTGAAGTTTCTCATATCAATTGACTCTTCCTTTTACAAAAGATTTCTTTGTAACATGAGATGCTGTTTGATAGTATTTTATTCACAGTAGAACTTATTTCAAAATTTTAGTCCTTGTCAACCCTGCTGCTGCATTATCAACTAAGTTTATGGAATATTCTAAGTCTTTTGTTGTCATATCAAAAATATTCATAACACCTTTACCAGGAGTAGATTACTTCTTAAGAAACTATCTTTCCTCATCCATAAGAAGCAACTCTTCATCTGTTGAAGTTTTATTATGAGATTGCACCAATTCAGTCACAATTTCAGGCTCCATTTATAATTCTAGTTTTCTTACTGTTTCCACCACATCTGCAGTGACTTAATTCCACCAAAGTCTTGAACCCCTCAAAGTCATCTGTGAGGGTTGGAATTAACTTTTTCCAAACCCCTGTTGATGTTGGATTTTGACCTCACATGAATCATGCATGTTCTTGATGTCATCTAGAATAAATACTTTCTAGGTTTTTAATTTACTTTGCCGCAGTCCATCAGAAGGATTGCTATCTATGGTGGGTATAGCCTTATAAAAGGTATTTTTTTTAAATAATGACACTTAAAAGTAAAAATTATTACTTGATTTGTGGGCTGCAGAATGGATATTGTATTAGCAGGCATGAAAATAACATTGATCTTGAACATCTCCATCAGAGCTCTTGTGTGACTAGGTGCACTGTCAATGAGCAGTAATATTTTGAAAAGAATCTTTTTTGCTGAGCAGTACGTCTCAACGTTGGGCTTAAAGTATTCAGAAAGCCATGCTGTGAGCAATGTCATCCAGGCTTTGTTGTTTCATTAAAGAGCACAGGCAGAGTTGGTTTTGCTAATTTTGAAAGGCCCTAGGATTTTGAGACTAAGTGAGTATTGGCTTCAACTGAAAGTCATCAACTGCATTAGACTCTCACAAGAGAGTGAACCTGTTTTTTGAAGCTTTGAAGGCAGGCATTGACTTCTCCATAGTTGTGAAGGTCCTAGATGGCACCTTGTTCCAAGAGAAGACTGTTTGGTTTACATTGAAAATGTGTTGGTTTGTGTAGCCACCTTCGTTGATGATCTTAGGTCTTCTGGATAACTTGCTCCATCTTCTTCATCAGCACTTGCTACTTGCTGTTTCACCTTGTACTTTATCTTATGAAGATGGCTTCTTTTCTGAAATGCCATGAACCAATGTGATAGCTTCAGATTTGTCTTCTCTAGCCTTCCCACCTCTCTTGGCCTTTAAAGAATTGAAGAGAGTTAGTGCCTCATTCTACTTTAGGCTTTGGCTTAAGGGAATGTTGTACTGGTTTGATCATCTATGCAGACGACTAAAATTTTCTGTGTATCAGCCATAAGGCTCTTTGACTTTCTTCTCATTCATGTGTTCACTAAAGTAGCACCTTTAATTTCCTTCAGGAGCTTTTTCTTTGTATTCACAACTTGGCTAACTGGGCACAAGAGTCCTAGTTTTCAGTGTATCTCAGCTTTGGATATATGCCTTCCTAAGCTTCATCATTTGTAACTTTTGATTTAAAGTGAGAGACATGTGACTCTCTCACTTGAACACTTATAGGCCATTATAGGGTTATCAAGTCATCTAATTTCAATATTGTTGTGTTTCAGAGAATAAGGAGCCTCAGGAGAGGGAGAGGGGAATGACAGGTTGATGGGGGAGTTAGAATACACATATTTATTGGTTAAGTACACTGTCTTATATGGGTGTGATTTGTGCTACCCCAAAACAATTATAATAGTAATGCCAAAGATCACTGATCACAGATCACCATAACAGATACAGTGAAAATGGGAAAGTCTGAAGTATTGTGAGGATTACCAAAATGTAACATAGACGCACATACTGTTGCAAAAATGGTGACAGTAGACTTGCTCAATGCAGAGTTGCCACAACCTTTAATTTATAAAATTGCAGTATTACAAAGTACAACAAAGTAAAGTACAATTACATGAGTTATGCCTTTATTAACATGGTCATACTACTCAGTCATCTCAGATTCAATGTATTCCCTATCAAAATCCAAGTAGCATTTTCTATAGAAAAATAAAAATCAATCTTCAAATTCATATGGAAACACAAAGGACCCTGAATAGCCAAAAGAATCCTGAGAAAGATCAAACCTGGAGGCTTCTCTCTTTCTAATTTCAAAATACGTTAAAAAGTAACAGTATTGCGACAGTATGGTACTGCCATGAAGCCAGACATACTGATTAATGGAATTGAATAGAGCGCCTAGAAATAAGCCCACACGTTTATTATGGTCAACTGATTTTCGACAAGGGTGCAAGAATATATAATGGGGAAAGTATAGTCTCTTCACCAAATGGGGCTGGGAAAACTGTATATCCACATGCAAAGAAATTGGATCCTTAGATCCTACACAAAAAAATCAATTCAATGTGGATTAAAGACTTAAGAGTATGACCTGAAACTGAATGTTCTGGAATAAAACAGGGGAAAGGTTTCCTGGCACTGGCCCTGGCCATGATTTTATATACATATATACATATATATGAACTGATACAGAGGTGTATATATATTTGGATAGTTTTAAAAGTAAAGTAAAAATGTATAACCTATTAATTGCTATATGATAATGTAAGGTTTTAACAAACATGTAAACGAAAACATCAAAAGCCATGAATTTCAGTTTATTGTGAGGTAATAAAGTGAACAGAAACACACACTTCACCTGTGTTTAATTTAATTTTACTAAATTTAACATTGTTTATTGTATTTCATCTATTCTAAAACACCATTATCTGTAAAAGGCTTTATCATTTTATGTATCATTCAGAAGGGAAAAATGCTAATTAAACTATGCTTAACTGTCAATTTTAAGATAGAGCCGTATTTCAGAGATGTTAAATAGTGAAACATGGATGTTGTTGATGAAATGTAGACTTTATCTCCTGCATGCCAGGAGTTGTGATCATGTTGCAAACACAAAGATGTTCTCATTGACTTCATATTACAAAACCATTTTTAAAATAAAGATATACAAATTTTATTGTTGAGGAATGAACTAGGAATCTACTCTTTGGTCAGGTGGATGTGGGAAAATCTTTTTCTTGTGGTCAGCATATTTTATTAACGTATAATGTAAAAAAAACTAGTCTGTGTGTAAATGAACATTGCGAAGACTATTAAATACGGAGATAAGTTTTAAATAAACCTCATACTAAGCCTGAAGACTGCAAAGAATGTTTTGTGGAAAATCCTTTTAATATCTGTTGTTGTAGAGGAAAGGGGAACATTAAAGTTGAAGTAGAGAAATTTGTGCTTGAAGACCTATTTTTCAAATATTCTCATTTCAGCTTATTCCCAGAGTCTTCATTTCCCCACCCCATCATACTGTTCAACATAAACTCACATACTTTTCCCTTAGTAGTTTCCTCTCCCCATCAATTTTCTTCAAATGTTACGTGTGCTGCCCCTTCTGGGAGTTAGCCATAAAGATGTAATCACTATGATCCTCTTCGAATTTGAAGTTTTACCTGGTTGAATTTAATTGGCCCACCAAACTTAGGAATAAGCTACATTGTTGCTAATAATGTATCTATAGAAGATATAATTTAAAAAGTTTTTTTAACAAGTTGATCTGCAAATACATCATTTTAAAAAAAACTTAAAATATGATAATATAGACTAAAATGATAGCTCTGTTAAAACATTGATGACAACATTAATTTTCAGTTGTTATTAGAAAAATCATGTTTTCTCATGATAATGTTATTAAATCTTGCATATAAAATGAAAGCCATGGGGAACAAGAATATGTATTATATTTTCATATGTGTCTTATATCTCTATCAGATATGTTTACTTCAATCACTGCAGTCCCGTAGTAAAAAATTCATGGCTAGTAATGAGCCATCTTTTATTACCAAGATAATATGTTTGTTTCTTCTAAGATACTAAATTAAAATGAATGTCATCAATTTTATCTGAACCTGGTCGTTGAAGCTTTTAAATAAATCTTAAGACATAGCAAGATGTCTTGACTACTAGCCAGACAATAAAGTTTTAAAACTCTCTCTAGTAACTTCAGTTACAGTTATATTAGAGAAATAGCACTGATATTTGTGTTCAGGAAAAGATAACCTTCATTAGTATTACCACAGAGAAGTACAAGAATAGATGTACAGGAACAGTCCACAGCTGTGCCTTTTAAAATATTACCTAAAGCAGTACTTTTTCACAAATACAGGGCTACAATCTAAATAACATCCAGATGTATATAGCTAGTTATGTGGTGGAAAATTACCTTTATGCAGTTCACATTTAGGTAGATGGAAAAAGTGTATTCTGTTACATATCATTAGCTAGAATTTTTCGTGAAAATTCATCTTATAAATGTTCAATTCAGTGTGATAGAAGCAATTAGCAATTTGGCATCTTTACTCCTTGACAGAAATTTTTCTTTGCTCTTATCCTGAATAAAGATTACATATGACCTGTAGCATGCTATCTTATTTCTGGTAGAAATCCTATTCTGGTAGAAATGCTTCTATTCCTAAGTTCATATTCACCTTTGGAGTAAAGTTTTAATTTTTACATAGAGTCTATCAGAACTATCAGAGTTAAAAGAACATATAATGCTATAGATACTAACATTCCTATTCAGTTTTGATAAGATTAATGATGAAAACTGAGAAAGAATTCCTCACATATTTTAGAAGCAACATATATTGAAATGTCCTTTTATCATCAAAATTTATTTTATATGATTTTATTTTTATTTTTATTTATTTATTTATTTTTGAGACGGAGTCTTGCTCTGTCACCCAGGCTGGAGTGCAGTGGCATGATCTTAGCTCACTGCAAGCTCCGCCTCCTGGGTTCACGCCATTCTCCTGCCTCAGCCTCCTGAGTAGCTGGGACTACAGGCACCAGCCACCACGCCTGGCTAATTTTTTGTATTTTCAGTAGAGACAGGGTTTCACTGTGTTAGCCAGGATGGTCTCGATCTCCTGACCTCATGATCCACCTGCCTTGGCCTCCCAAAGTGCTGGGATTACAGGCTTGAGCCACCACACCCGGCCTATTTTTTTAAGAGAGACAGGGTCTTGCTCTGTTGACTAGGCTGCAGTGCACTGCCGAGATCATAGCTCACCTCAGCCTCGACTGCTGGGCTCAAGCAATCCTCCCACCTCAGCCTCCCTAGTAGCTGGAACTAGCAGCATGTGCCACCATGTCCAACTAATCAAAAAACTTTTTTTTTTTTTTTTTTTTTGGAGAGATGGAGGTCTTGCATTGTTGCCCAGGCTGGCCTAAAACTCCTGGTCTCAAGCAGTCCTTCTGCCTCAGCCTCCCAAAGTGCTGGGATTACCGGTGTGAACCACCATACCAAGCCCAAAATTGGTTTTGATAATGACTCATCAATGATACGTACTGTGCTTCTTTCATATAGGAAAACAAAGTCATTGCCTTCTTTAAGACTAGAGATTTTATAGCAATAATTTTCTCTGAAAACCTTACCTATACTTTTGCTTTGGGAGCTGGCTAGATAGTATTAGGTATGCAGTTTTTGCCGTGGACACATACCATTCATCATATTTTCCTAGATAACACATATAAGGGAATTTAATTTTAGCTGTGTTTCAGTTTTTTAGAAATAGCTATTTTTTAAACTTGAGACACATTTACTCTGTTTTTATTATCTGCTCTTACAAAATAAAACAAATGTATTCAGACCATAAAACATTTCCAGACTTGTTAATAGTGTATGGCTCATCCTTGCTTGATCAATATCATAATTCCTACTCACAACGTGAGCAAATAGGAAAAATAGAGGGAACCTTGTTTGTGCTTAATCTCCTAATATTTGAATTTAGAGGAAGGGAGAGGCAAAATATTCATTGTTTGCCTCTCCTTCTTTTTGTTCTTTCCTCAAATTTTGAGTCCTTCTTTCTTTTATTTGCTAGAGATCTCTCATCCTTTTTGTGCCACATAATGTGGTACATCACCTGTGGGCTCACTACCTTACCTCAGGTATGGTCTGTTCCAAAATTACTTGTTTCTCTTACCCTACCTCCCATTAAAACTCATTTTAGAAAAGTAGTTTGTTTAGCAGTCTTGGATGTTACAGTGTTTCTAGAAGCAGATCTTTCTCTCTTCCTGTTCACTGTCTTACAAGGACACCTTCTGTTTTAGCTACTTACTGAGCAGTATAATCAAATTTCTCAGAGTAGCATCCAAAACACTGGATTCTGAGAGCCTCTGTCAGTTTTGTTTGCTTTTAGATTTTGGGATAGGATGCTAGGATATGGGGCCCTAACATTTTTTTCTTTTCCTGTTCTATAAAAACATCCCAGCTAACTCTAGAATGCTGTTTTTTGTTATGTAATATTGATTATTTTCACATCTGAGAAGGACATGTCATGTACATGTAGTGTCATGTAGCATAATTGTTTTAATATTTTGGTTTTGTGTTAGCAATACTGGTTGCACATTAAATGAATATATATTTTGCGTTTTAATTTTTAAAAGTATAACAATGTACTTCCACATATCCGGAATTGACATAGTTGAAAATGTCAACTATGTATTATTGATACACATATTGATATTAATGTATTAATTACTGAGTAATTAATCACTCATTGTTACTTCATAAGACCTAGGAGCCTTCTGATTTATCAGAGAGATGAAAGAATCTAGTATGATGTAAAATTATATGTAATAATTATTTAATCTATTTTTCAATTTTTTTTAATTGAAAATGCACCTTTGGCATTTTAAAACAAAAAAGCCTTTTGCAGTCATACACATGTGATGACAAGTTATAGAACCTATCCTAGAAAAATATACAACACATACACGTATACAGACTTATGCATATATCTATGGTTCATGCTTCTCCCACTTTGAACTCCATGTTGTTAACTCATGACCTGTGATATGTTCATATTCACTTACCTGAATATTTAGATAATATTAGAACCGTAAGGTTGTCCTCTTTGTTTAATGTATGGCGCATAAAATAAATAAATATATAGTTTTGTATTTCGGTTCACTCATTTGTTTGTTCAGCAAACTGCTTATTTATTTTCTATATGCCAGATAATATGACATGGGAAATTCAAAGTTATATATGTCATTGTTTCTGACAAGGGATTAAATTTTGTGAAGACAGATAAATTAATGAATAATTACAATACAATTACTATAACTATTAGTTACATAAACTTTTTTTTAGTCTTTCCCCAATTGGTAAAACTCTACTTTTCTGTTTTTTGGCTATGTAAGATAGAACCTTCATTTGTGAAAGATACCATGCTTTTTGAATATATATTTTCAAATTGAATGATGAGTTACCTGTTACAATGAATGGAGTTGGTGGATCAGACAGACACTGAGTTTTCCATTTCTCAGGAGTCAAAAAATAAATATGTCTAGGTGAGTGAGGGGAGACTCTTCCCAGATGCTTAACTGCCTTTCAGAAATGGACTCATTCAGGTCATGGCAGGTTATCACTTACCTCTTTAAAGATTTGGGTAGTTGAGACAAGCCTCCCCTCTTCAGCTTACTTATACTGTTTTCCAGCTATTCTATCAATTTTCATCTAAAGAATGGAGATGGAGAAAAGACACTTTCCTCTCCCTATCACTTCACTTTGTATTTATTTTTTGCTATTTCTCATTTTCAGGAATGACTTTTTTGATGAGACTTCAGGCTTCCATCTGACTTCTATGAGACGAGCACTAGCTTGTCTTTCATGACTTTTTCCCAAATTATTAGCATACTAATTTAGAGAATTATCCCTGTCTTCATTAGTTTAGAGTTTGAATTGTTTTAATGAATCATAAAATTTAGTACTGTTTTTTTAATTCTTAAAACTTGTGGTACAGTCTTTTACTCATTCAGTTAAAAGACTTTTTCTCTAGTCTTATGTATAGTGTAAAACATGGAAGTAAAACTCCACCAGAATAACGTTTATGAACTCATGCAATGTCTAACATCTATCTAATCTGTGTCACTGTATATATCATAATATTTATTATATCATAACATATATTCTTTCTTCTTTCATCTTCCATGCTGTCATGCTCTTGCAATAGAATGAAAGCACAAGTGGAAATTATGTAAGCTCACACCAGAAAAATAAAGAGTGCTCTTATTTTTGTATTGTACAGTAAGTTTCCTTGTAAAAGAAGTAAGATGACAGCACATAATGTAGCTTGATTCAGTGATTTGCCTTCATAGGTATTACTTGAATGTTTTAATGATATACTTTTCTACCAATGGAATAGTGTTGCTCAAATACTGATTGGTTTAAAAACAGCAGTGTTTTAGTAGATAAAAAGGAGATGAAGCAACTTTCATGGAAGAACTTTTTCTGGATTGTGTAATTTATGCATGCATGCTTCTTTGATTAAAAACCTTGCTAAGATGAACTACCAGCTCTCCCTTATAATAAAACTCCAAGGCAATTTACACTTAATCATACTGAGTCAATTCGTTGAATTGCTCAAGATTGCAAAATAGAAAACTTAATTTATCATTTGTTATCTTTTCCAGATTTATATCAAGCTATGTGAATTATTACCAAAGTGTTAAACTAGTTAAGTACTTTGTCAGCAGTTTAAATATGAAGTATTACTAAAGCATTAAAGACAACACTTTATCAATGGTTTAAAGATATACATTATAAGTACTGTGTACTATTTATTTAAAGTACGAATGCTGATTTATTAAAGGATTTTCTACTCTTTCCACTTTCCCTGTTAATGTTAGCTAACAAGAAGATAGACTTCTAAATTACCTTTAGCTTTGTACCTTCGTTTGGGAAAGAGCAAAAAATAAGGCATGGGGAAAATATTTTTATTTGTGAAGTCATTACTGAAGGATATTTTTGCGTGTGTATTTGGTAAAACACTTCACTTCCTTGGAGCAGTTAAATAAGACATATTTTAGCAGTTTGCATTGTTACTATTTGTTAAAACAAGTAGTGTGGTTCCCTTCATGCCATGAATCTAATGCTAATTGAGGGAACCTGAAAGGTGTTTAACATTTCTTTTAGCTTGCTATTTTTTTCTTATTGTTCTTGATAGATTATTGAATAGATTTTTTAAATGCCACTTGTTCTCTTAACCTGAATTTTGTTTCTTTTAATAAATATGTACTTATTTAAATTAAAAATAAAGTACAGTCATGTGCCACATAACATTTTGATCAACAGTGGACTGCGTGTATGACAGTGGTCTCGTAAGATTATAATGGAGCATGTGTAGAAACCTGATACGTGGCACTTAATATTGGCATAACAGATCAGTTAGGGGAAATGACTGATGTGTAGTAATGATGCTGGGACATTGTGTTTTTTCATATGAAAATATATATATAACTTTAAAAATAAACATCGTCTGGGCTTGTGTAAGTACACTCGGTGATCGCAGAACAATGAAATCGCCTAACTACACATCTCTTAGAACGTATCCCCATCATTAAGCAGTACATGACTGTATATTGAAAGAGTATTTTATTTTGAAACTGCTCATTATTTTATAGATAACCTTAGGAGATTCTAAGAACATGCTAACGTGTAGTTACGTCATTTTAGAGAGCTTGCATTGTAGCAAGTAGATGATATTTTGGAAGTATTGCTACTGTAAGTATATCTGAGCCTACAATTCAGTGATTTAATAGAATTGTGTGTGTGTATGTAGCCAAGGCTGCTGCTCTCTTGGACTCAGTCACGTTCCTCTGTAAAATTGTTTAGGTTTTTGCAGTACTTTTATTTGAGAAAGGAGAGTCTTTTTCTAACTTGCACAAAGATTCTGCAAAAGCAAGAGGTGGCCTTGTAAAGATCTCGATAGTGGGTCTACAATAATGTTTCTCAAAGTGTTACCTAGAGTCTTTTGCAGTCTGTTAGGTCATCTTTTGGAAAGTTGACATCTTCATAGAAAAATCAAAATGTGAAACAATTTTCAGTATTTTAAAATTTAGATTAAATCTAAATTTTTACAAAAATCTCAATAGTTTTCTGTAGTCATTACATTCTTCAATATTATGTAAGTGCTACAGGGACTGAGCTTTGTCAGTTCATCTTGGCTAACATTAAACTATTTAAACATTAAGTTAAACTAACATTAACATTAAATTAAACTATTTAGTATTATTTATGCCTAGTTAAATTCACAGTTTTTTTCCTGTATTGGTCTTATATTCACAGTTTACGAAAGTAGATCAATTTGGAGCATTTAAAGTGAGAGACGTAATACAGAATTACTGCAGCTTAAAATCTGAATTGGATTTTGTCAGACTAGTGAACTCTTTGCCCTTGTGTTTATCACGAAATTTTAAGAAACTTCAAACCTTCAAAATAGTTGTGTTTTATGCAAAGTACATTGTGTGTTTTTTTTTATTGGCAAACCAATCATTTGTTTCACTGTGAAATTGCTTAATTATGTCACATTTGTGGGGAAAAGGGGCATCAAAACTATACAGGCATTATTCACAGTTCTACTTACAGCATAAACAGGTTCAAGTGACACTATTGGGAATATGCTTATGAATCCAGCTGCAAAGTTAATAGCCAGTATAGTGTTTGGGGAAACACTATAAGCTATTACCAAAAAATCCTCTGTGAGAGGGTGTTAGTTGGATGTCACATAACATAAATGATGTACTGTGTGGAAGAACAGTTGTTGTATTGTGTATTGTGGGATTTGTTTTTAGATGAAACCGTTAATGTATGTAGTAGGAATTAACTTTTACATAGGTGAAGTACAAATAGAGAAGTGATAGTGATTTTTTTCTCTTTATCACCAAAATCTTATATTGCTAAAGAATGAATTTTCCCTCTCAGAAAACACTACATTATCCTAATTTCTTTACTTTTTAATCTTGCTATTCAACAGAAAAATATCCTATTGCATTCTTCTTTTCCAAGTATGTCTTAAATAACGGTAGCCCCCTGCTCTTCCATTTTAACTTTAGAGTCAGCATGTCGTTTGCCATTAACGAAAACCAAAACAAAACAAAAACTAAAGAAAACCAAACTAAGAGGATATCTACAGAAATTTCATTGAATGTATTAATGCCAGTTACTCCACAAACTGGCCTATTATTATTTTTCCCTCATTTCCAAACCGTGGCACAGACAGGCAGATTTTCTTCATGATTCCCTATGCTAGCAGGTGGATTTTTTTCCCTAGCTACCGTTTTTTAAGGTCACTGATTTCTGCTGATAGCTCACTTTCAGCTTCTACCTTGCAATAGACCAAGATGTAGTTTCTTTTCTCAGACTTGGTATATAATTTCCAAAACTCTAGATTTCTAGTGAGAGCCCTTTCAGATGTGTTTTAGCTTTTGAATTTGCCTCCCATCTTTGTTCACCTCCTGGATTATTTGTTTTTATCCTGGGATTAACTTATGATTGGAGAAATGATTTTTTAGAAGTGTTACCATGTGGTTGTAATTTATCAAACAATTAGTATTTTCAGAGGAAGAGTTTAGATTATATAAATGTTTTATACTATGGAAAATATAATTCCTTTTAAATTTTTAATCTTTTTTTCTTATTGATTCTCTTTAACTTTAAATAATATATTTGTCTTTCATTTCTTATTCGTCAACTTTATTCAGTGTTGTTGTTTACTTTCTTCTCTAGTCTTCTGTCAGGTATACCTTTACTTATCTTTTGTCATAATTATGAGCATTTATATTCTCTTCTGTAACCATACATATTTCTTCCATTCTTTGGCTATCTCTATGCTACATTTTAGTTTTCTTCATATTTGGATCAGATATTCCTGTATAGCCTTTTATATTTTGTGGGATTTTTAATGCCTTTTCTTTTTTGTTGCTATCATTATTAATAATAAAACTGCGCCTTCACTATGCCCTTAAGTTTATATAAATATGTAGTTGTGTATGGGATTATTTATTGTTTTAATTTAAATTTTTATTTTAAATTGGCAAACAAATACATATTGTGGGGGACAATGTGATGTTTAGATACGTGTATACATTGTGGAATGATTATATAAAGCTAATTAACATATCCATTACATCACATACTTATTTTTTATAGTGAGAACATTTAAAATCTATTTGCAATTTTGAAATATGCAATACATCATTATTAAGTATGGTCACCACACTGTGCAAATCTTGAAAATTTATTCCTCCTGTTGAACTGAAAGTTTGTATATCCTTTGGTGAGCTTCTTCCCCCCACCCCCTGCTTTTTTTGAGACAGAGTTGCTCTGTCACCCAGGCTAGAGTGCAGTGGCATGATCTCAGCTTACTACAACCTCTGCCTCCTGGGTTCAAGTGATTCTTGTGCCTCAGCCTCCTGAATAGCTGGGATTACAGGCACGCACCACCACACCTGGTTAATTTTTTATATTTTTAGTAGAGATGAGATTTCGCCATGTTGGCCAGGCTAGTCTCAAACTCCTGGCCACTAGTGATCCACCCACCTTGGCCTCCTAAAATGCTGGGATTACAGGCATGAGCCACTGTGCCTGGCCAGCATCTCCCCATTTCTCACCACTGCCACCCGCTAGGCATTGATAATCACTTTCTACTTCTGTAAGTTTGACTTTTTTAGATTCCATGTATAAATGAAATTATGTGGAAAAAAGAAGGAAGCTCCGTCACTTGAAACAACATGAAGGAATCTGGAGAACATTATGCTAAGTGATCACTCTTTTTTTTTTTTTTTTTTTTTTTTTTTTTGAGACAGAATCTCTCTCTGTCGCCCAGGCTGGAGTGCTGGAATACAGTGGCACCATCTCAGCTCACTGCAAGCTCTGCCTCCCGGGTTCACGCCACTCTCCTGCCTCAGCCTCACGAGTAGTTGGGACTACAGGCGCCCGCCACCATGCCTGGCTAAATTTTTGTATTTTTTAGTAGAGATGGGGTTTCACTGTGTTAGCCAGGATGGTCTCGATCTCCTGACCTCATGATCTGCCCACCTCGACCTAAGCGGTGGGATTACAGGTGTGAGCCCCCACGACCGGTTGATTACTCTTTTTTTTAATGGACCTCTCCTTTCTTATCAGCTCCCTTTCTTCTGCTCCAATCTAGAGTAGTTGTTTGCTAGGCCTGCTCTCTATCTATCTATCTGGGAGATCCATTACTATTGTCCGTACTCTGCTTTTTTCTGTTTTATGGTTTTTCCCATTGTATTGCTGGAGAATTACCTAAGAAAGATACTGTGGAGGTAAAATATCTGATTGGCCAAAATCTGGAAATGTTCTTCATCTGTCTTTATGCTTGATTGATAGTTTTGTCAGGTTTTATAAAGTTGAAGTATCGAAATTATTCCTTAGACTTTTGAAGCCATTGATTTGTTGTCTTTTTAGTAACCCCAGTCATGTTGATAGAAAAGTCTGATGTTAATCTGCTTCACAGTCTTGCATTGGTAACTTGTTTTATTCTCTACAGAAGTTTTCAGAATTTTAAAAAATATTTGGTGTTCCCTAATTTCACAATTATGTGACTTGGTGTGATCATTTATCCTGTTTGCCTTCAATGGGCCCTTTTAATTGGAAGACTGCATCTTCATTTCTAGTAAATGTTCTTCCTCTATTCTTGAACAATTTACTTTTGGGGCTTCTCTTGGTCAGATATTGTACTAAGGTTGATTTTATGGAATAAGATTGTTAGCTGTTCTTTGGTTCTGACTTTTTTGCCTGGGGTACAGAATTTAACAGAAACAAAGTCTATGTAGAGTAGAACAGTCAGTAGAATATTTTTGTATGGCTTTTCTTTTGCTCCTGTATTTTTTACAGAGTATGTATTTGCTGTGGAATGTCCACAAAAGTGCACAAGTGCTGCAGTTGAGAACAAGGGCCCATTCTTGCCACATGAATTTCCTTTAATATGTATGTTCCAGAAAAATTTACAGAAACAGTCTGTATACTTCAGTAATGGTACATATGTTCAGTGCCCCTGAGTTTTGAACCAAATTGCGTAAGTGAGGATATAACCTCATTGTGGGGAAGCAGGTGCACCATATCCAGATATCCATAAAGAGGATCTCTTTCTCAGAAGGCAGAGTTCAGAAGGCCCAATTCTTTGAGTTTGCTGTCTCATTCATTTTTTTCCTTCTATTTTCTGTCCTTTTGTCATTCTTTTTCCTTTTGCTTTAAGTTCTAGGAGATATCAGTTTTTTGACACCTAAGCATAATAGGAAAAACAATCATTATCTTTTACTATATGAGTCCAGACCTTTTAAAGTTTTTGAATGTTTAAGTCATTTTTCAAATATTATACAGCAGTGCGAATAAAGAGGTAATAAAGTCATTAAAGATTATAAAAAGGATATAAACATAGCAAAGTCATTTTTATTTCATAATCCCATATTTTCCTAGTTTTAAAGATATACAAACAAATGGTTCTAGCTTATTACTGCTTTTGGTTTTTCTTCTTGCACTTGCATCATCAAAATACTTTTGAAAACTTTGTCGACTCAAAAATTTTTTTGGAGAGAGCAGCTGTTTTTGCTCCATAATTACAAAGCAGTTTCTATTTTAGATTTCTGAACATCAATTCAAATGATTAAAGATTGATCTTTCATTTTGATATCACCTATTCTTTCCACTACCTTTATTTATACATTTGCCTACTGCATATCCACTTCCATGCCATTTTATGTAAATTTTGGTATGTAAATATCATGTAAGATGAAAGAATGCCATCACAAGTCATTTTAGCAAAATGGAATGGTCCTCAGTCATGTCCCAGAATAACGTATGGTGAAATCATTTTTGTTGAATGACTTACTGGATAAGAATACCATATTTCCTCTCTGTTTTCAGAAATATTTTGTATTTTCTCCCTATTTTTAGAAACATATTTTCATGCATCAATTTTTGAGCTTGAGAAACTTTATATAGGATATCATCTGGAGATAAATAGCCTGAGATTTCACTTATGTGATCAATTTTATCATCATTAGCTAAAGTGCTGCTGTTTTGCATTTAGCTTCTGATTCATCTAATAATGGTTAAATGACTTCCTCCATCAGTGTTCTCACTGACCATGGGCACAAATTTTAAAATTCTGAATTTTTAACCATGTTTAAATAAAGCTAAAGAAGAAACTCAAAAGATGGTGTCTCCAGACTTCTTTTATGTCTTGCAGTACAAAAACTGAAGAATGATATAATAGTGATTATTTATTTCATTCTTGTATCATCCTTTAGACAATTGCCTCATTTCACATTTTAAAAATTAGTCTTTTTAAGTGTACACAGAAATAATTAATGCATAGTGATGAAATAATTACTCAGATAATGAATATCTATATTTCAAGATATAGGAAAAAAGATCCCATAATGTATGTCAGATATATAAAAGGGTACAATAGAGCCATATGGTAATTGCAAGTAAGAATGTGTTCTCTATTTTGGAAAATAAATAAAATTTATCTTTGGTCTTTGGAAGACCACTAGCAAAGAAAAAATGTCATGAAGTATCAGTCCTTACTAATAGTAAGAAATATTGACAAAGGAAACTTAAAACCTAAAACTGGAGCCAATGGGTCCTCAAGGGATGAGAATATAATATATTTTTACTCTTTCTGAAAGTGCTTATTAAAGGTTTTTCATTTTTAGGGTTTTTTTTTGGTTCCAAGTTATTTCACCCTTCTCACAAATTCAGATTTCTCTTTTTCTACCCTCCTTTCTTTCTTGTCTCCCTTTCCCTTCCCATTCCTCTCTCCCTTTCCTCCCTTCTTTCTCCCCTTTACTCTCTCTCTCCTTTTTTCCTCCCCCTCATTCCCTTCTCTCCTTTGTCTTCCTAACCTCATTTTCTTTCTGTCTTCCTTTTTTTTTTTTTGAGGCAGATCTCACGCTATCATCCAGACTGGAGTGCAGTGGCATGATCTCGGCTCACTGCAACCTCCACTTCCCAGGCTCAAGCGATTCTCCTGCCTCAGCCTCCCAAGTAGCTGGGATTACAGGAGAGCACCACTACCACCCAGCTAATTTTTGTCATTTTTAGTAGAGGTGGGGTTTCACCACGTTGGCCAGGCTGGTCTTTAACTGCGGACCTCAAATGATCCACCCACTCGGCCTCCCAAAGTGCTAGGATTACAGTGTCTTCCATTTTTATTCTAATGTCTGGTAATTTTCTGCTGTCTTTTTATATTTAAAAATGTAGGTATAGTTTATTTTAGGTTTTATATACCTTTCTCCTTTGCTTTGTATGTAAGTAGTTTGTTTCTCTAATACGCCCTCCCCTTGAGTGGGAAACTTGATAGTGACTAATAGTACTTGTTAGGGCATATTGATTGAAATTTTCAGCCTAGGGTGGGTGGGATGAGAACTTCCAACTAGGCTGTAGGTTCCCTAATGTGATGGTGAGGAGGAAATTATTCTAGTTGTTAACACCAACATGAGAAGTCTTACCACTTCCCAGTTAATGAGTGCAGCCCCCTTGGAAAAGAGCCTTTGTTCCTAGAATTTTGCAAAATGGAAAGGTTGTTAAATACAAAGATGCTGCCTGAAGTCATTTTCAGGGAAGCGGAGAATAAGGATGGGTAGTCATTGAAACACTTGTTCTGTGTGTAAACTTCTAATTGATCCCCTGATTTCAGCCCTACTTTTTACTCTCACCCTTAATCCCAGTGGCTCCCATCTTCACTGTAGCCACCTTGTAGTATCTTCTGGATTTTGGCCTCCTCTGTTTATTTTATCCCTTAACCACTTACCTTCCATTTTCCTGAAATATGTTGATATTTTCTTCCACTCTCCTTTCCTTCACTGTTTTGGGGTTTGTTCCTTTCAATCTCTATACCTTCATTACTAGGGGACTAGGAAGGACAGAAAGTCAATGCATTTTCTGAATCATGTATATAGGCAGCATCAAATTGTATCAAACATTCAATGGAGAACTAACACCAATTCTTCTCAGCCTCTTCCAAAAATGGAAGAGAAGGGAATGTTTCCAAACTCATTTCACGAGGCCAGCATCACTCTGATACTGAAGACAGACAAAGACACAATAAAAACTGAACAAGCAAAAAAACTACAGGCCAATACAGATGCAAAAATCCTCAACAGAATACTAGCAAACCAAATTCAACAGCACATTAAAGAGACTATTCACCATGATCAAGTAGGATTTATTCCAGGTATTCAAGGGTGGTTCCACATATGCAAATCAAAATGTTTGTTAGCAGAATGGAGCACAAAAATTATATGATCATTTTAATAAATGCAGAAAAAGTTGAAAGCTTTTTCTCTAAGATCTGTATCAAGACAGATGCCCACTCTATTCAATGTAGTACTATGAACCTACTAGAAGAAAACATAGGGGAAGAGCTCCATGACATTGATCTCACCAAAGATTCTTTGGAAAGGACCTCAAAAGCTCAGGCAGTGAAAGCAAGAATAGACAAATGGGATTGTATCAAACTTAAAAACCTTCTGCACAGCCAACATTAACAGAGTAAAGAATGAGAGAAAATATTTGCAAACTGTATCTGATAATGGGTTAATATCTAAAGTATATGAGGAACTCAACTAGATGGTTAGAAAACAACCCAATTTAAACATGGGCAAAGGACCTGAATAGACATTTCTTTAAAAATGACATACAAATGGCAGACAGGTATGCGAAAAGATGTTCAACATCACTAATCATTAAAACCACAACAAGATATCACTTCACACCTATTAGGATAGCTGTTATCAAAAAGAAGACTAGTATCGAGAGGGTGTGAAGAAAAGATAACATTTGCACGTTGTACGTGGCACAGGTATTGTGGAAAACATATAAATGTTCTTCCAAAAATTAGAACTACCATATGATCCCATAATCTCACTACTGGGTACAGTACTTTTCCTTTGTCCAAAGGGGATATGCTCCAAGACCCCCAGCAGCTGCCCAAAACCGTGGATGGTACTGAACCCTGTATATACTGTTTTCTCCTAAATATACGTATCTGTGATAAAGTTTAAGCACTTATCACTTTGCCTTAGCACTTTGGGGCAATTATTAAGTAAAATAAGGGTCACATGATCACAAGCACTGCGATACCTCGACAGTTGATATGATAGCTGAAACAGCTACTAAGTGACAAACAGGCAGGGAGCGTGGACAGTGTGGATACCCTGCATGAAGAGATGATTCACATTGTTTATTTCTGTAATTTTCCATTAAATATTTATAGATCACAGTTGACTGCAGGAAACTGAAACTGTGGAAAGTGACACTTCAGATAGGGAGTACTACTATGTATATCAAAAGTAAATAATCAGTATGTTGAAGAGATATCTGCACTCCCATGTTCATTGCAGGCTTATTCACAATAGGCATAGAATAAACCTAAGCATCCATTAATGGATGAATAAAGAAAATGTGGTCTGTATACACAGTGGAATACTATTTAGACATACAAAGGAAATTCTGTCATTTACAACAACATGGATGAACCTGGAGGACATTCTTAAGTAAAATAAGCCAGGCACAGAATCTTAAAAAATTGATCTTATAGAAGTAGAGAGTAGAATGGTTGTTGCCAGGGGTCTGTGTGGTTATGGGAAGGTTTTGGGGAGATGTTGGTCAACTGATACAATATTTCAGTTAGGAAGAATAAGTTCAGGGGTTCTATTGTATAACATAGTGACTATAGTGAAAAATATGTTGCATTCTTGAAAAATGCTAAGAAAATGGATGTTAAGTGTTCTCGCTGCAAAAATAACTGTGAGGTAATGTGTGTATTTTCATTAGCTAGATTTGATGATTTCACAATGTATGTGTACTTCAGAACCATGTATAGCACACCATAAATACATACAATCTTTTATATGTTAATTACAAAAAAAAAAAAAAAATTTTAAGGCAGGATCTATTACAGTTTTTACTACCACCAGTGTTTGAAGTTATCGTTTTATAGCAACCCAAATATTAAATTTTTCTACCAGTTTAAATTTTAAAAATACCTCTCTTTTGTTATAATGTATAATTTTTTATAGGTGACTAGCAAGAATTACCATTTTCTCTTTTGAGTTTTTGTTATGACATAGTTTTCTATGTATTGTTTATTCATTTGTACGACATATTTACTGTATCATCCTGATTTTTATGACAGTTTTCATAAATTCTTTATGCAGTATGGATGCAACTCTTCATATCTGCTGTAAATATCTTAGCCTTTGTTTTCATTCTAAATTTAGTTATGTTTATTTTATAAATTGCATTTTTCTTATTTGACTACATTTATGTTTCATGATTTGTAAACCTTGAAGCAATAGAAAAGGTTATTTTCTCTCCAGACAATTTACACTGAATGAGATTTTTATTTTTGTTTTACTAAACTTTCTAAAATTAGTATTTATAGAACACTTCTGCAAAATAATTTTGCAGTGTGTATTGAAAGCCAAGAAAATGTCTCTGTTTTAATCCTCTTAGAAGACTTAATTAAAAGGAAGAATAAGGTTTGGTGTTTTGAAGTAAGCATATTCTTATTTTATCAAATGCTTTAAAATATTGAAAGTCAGGTAAAATATTTTTGTGTTTTCCAGATTATTGCTCAGTTGTAACTATTGTGGACCAGACAAATGTAAAACTAACTTGCCTGCTCTTTAGTGGAAACTATGAAGCCCTTCCAATAATTTATAAAAATGGAGATATTGTTCGCTTTCACAGGCTGAAGGTATAATTCATATTGTCTAGAACTTATATTTATTTGAAGAGAACTCTGTATTGTTCACTGAAACTAGTTAGCACTAATTATATAGTTGCTTTGTTAGAACATGACAGCAAGCTTTTCAGGAGATAAGAAGTAATGTAAATATTATCAGACTTCAAATAATTTACAGTAAGAAACATCTTCATTTGAACAAACCACTGCTTTCATTCCCCAGAAATGTATTACATGCCATGATTAAAACTGGTTCCATTCTGTCTTCTGTTTCTAAATACAGACTAATGCTATAGAAGTTTTATCTGTAGATTTTGATAAAGAACATTTATTTTTTAATGTTTTAAAAAAGAGCTTTAGGTCAACAAGAAAAAATGTATACAAAGATTAGGAGATTATATTATTCTTTCCCATTTCTTGTGTTAATTCAAGTTCAATGAAAACATTGAGATACTAAGTATAAAATCAAATTAAGTTGGTTTTCATTTATAAGAAATAAGATATGAACAGGAACTTTAAAAATTATGCCTGTAGTTAAATAACTAAATGTAAGAAAGCCTTTAATATAGGGTAGAGTTATTAAATAGCACAATTAAAAAAATTTTAGAACTTACAAATACAAAGGATTATTATTTTCTCAAAATTATTATCTTTATTGCTATAATATTTATTTAATTGAGCTTTTTTGTTCAATGCACTTCTGGAATTTTTCTTTGGAAATTACTACATGATGCTTTGGACAGCTTTTAAATATTTTGTATATATTCAGTCCCTTAGATTTTAAATATTTCTGTTTCTTCATCTTTTCCTCTGTTACATGGGTTTCCATGTAACCTCTTCATCATCTTGGTTGTCTTTTTCTTCTAATGCTTGAGTTTAATTCTGTCCTTCATGGTCAGTCTGCTGCTCATAAACGAGGACAGTGTTCAGCTGTGTTCTACTCTTAGGCACTTTTTATGACCTATTAATGCTGTTTCCTTGAGAATAAGAGGATAATAGAGAATGTTTGTGTAAAGATAAAAAGAAATAGAAATATTATCATAGCCAGGCATGGTAGCTCACACCTGTAATCCCAGCACTTTGGGAGGTTGATGCTGGCGGATCACCTGAGGTCAGGAGTTCAAGACCAGCCTGACCAACATGGAGAAACCCTGTCTCTACTAAAAATACAAAATCAGCCGGGCGTGGTGGTAATGCTTGTAATCCCAGCTATTCAGGAGGCTGAGGCAGGAGAATCGCTTGAACCCGGAGGGCGGAGGTTGTGGTGAGCCAAGATTGTGCTACTGCACTCCAGTCTGGGCAACAAGAGAAAACTCTGACTCAAAAATAAATAAATAAATAAAAAGAAATATTATCATCATAGAAATGTAATACATACTTATTTAAACGTCAAAAAATTGCTTACTTTTCACAGTATTGTTTCCTGTATACTGTATTCAAACAATACACTCTTCATAAACATATTTAGTTGTTGTTATTGTTTATGGAAGTTACTATTTAATAGCAAATAGATAAACATCTCATCATTCACAATATAACCATACTCACATAGCTAACACTCTGGAAACTTCCTTCATAACCCCCTCCAGTAAGGTCATTATTGTGTCTCCTGCTACAGGAGTAAAGAGTCTCATGACCTCTAACAGCATATAGTTACCCCTTCAACAACACAGGTTTGAACTACATGGGTACACTTATATGCAGACTTTTTTCAATAAGTATTTTGGAAAATTTTTTGGAGATTTTCAACAATTTGTATACACAAACACTAACAGACCATGCATGGCTCCATTCACAGTCTAGAGAAATGTGAATGAATGTAAAGATGCGGTATTATCACTGTATAAAATTAACTGTACTACTATAATAATTCAGCCACTTCTTTTGTAATATATTCATTTATGACTATAAATTTTTTAAGTACTGCCCTAGTTGTATCCAGCAGTTTTTAATTTGTCATAACTTCATTACCATTCAGTTCAATATATAATTGAATTTTTACATTGATCATAGATTTCATCTCTGATCTGTAAGTTTATAAATAATTCTTAAATAATCCATAAGTCAGAGAGGAAATCAATATGAAAATTCAAAAAAATTGAATTATCATTGAATATATATTGAATTATTATTGAATATAATATATTGAATTATATTGAACATATATTTATATATTGAATTATATTTGAATTATATTCAAATAATCCAAATAATATATATATTGAATTATATTCAATCCAATTCCTTAGGATTATTACTTTTTTATATTTATTTAAATCATTTAATAGTTACCTTTTTTTACTATTGTTTATTGTGGTGGTCAGAAAACATACTCTGAAATGTTTAGTATTTTGAAATCTGTGGATGCTTACTTTATATTCTAACATATGGTCAATATAATTTTTTATTTCTTATCTATTTTATCAGCTATTGAAAACTGTTTTAAAGGCTACTATGATAGAGGATTTGCCTGTTTCCTTTAGCTCTATCGATTTTGCTTAATAATTTAAGGCAATGTTAATGGGGTTTAAGCCTTCTTATTTAATTTTATGTTTTATATATTGTGAGGCTCCTGTATAGATTTAGCATTACTATATTTTTCTATAAAGTTGTTTCTCTATTTTCATGAAATGTTCATATTTACGGCTAGTAGTGCTTCCTTACACTCTTTATGTTGACAGTTCCACTAGCTTTGAATCGCCCTGTTGTCTTTGGTTGAGCAAGGTCATTCTAAGTACAGACATTTGTTTTAGATATCAGAATTTATTTTTTCTTGTTTTTCTTATTGCAATTTGAAGATCATAGTTCATAGCAAAAATATACATTAAAACAAGAGTCAAGATCTACTCTTCTTTTTCCAGCAAATATTTATTTATTTATTTATTGTATAGGCATCTGTTTTAATGCAAAGAAGCAGACAGTATGAAAGTAAGCATATAAATCAAAGTAATTTCAAGTAGTGATAGCTACTATAAAGAAAATAAAGTGGTGGCTCACGCCTATAATCCCAGCACTTTGGGAGGGCTAGGTGGGAAGATTGCAAGGTCAGGAGTTCAAGACCAGCCTGGCCAGTATGGTGAAACCCCGTCTCTACTAAAAATACAAATATTAGCTAGGTGTGGTGGTGGGTGCTTGTAGTCACAGCTTACTCAAGAGGCTGAAGCAGGAGAATTGCTTGAACCCGGGAGGCAGAGGTTGCAGTGAGCCGAGATCGCACCACTGCACTCCAGCCTGGGTGACAGAGCACGACTCCATCCAAAAAAAATAATAAATAAATAAATAAATAAAAATAATAAAGCAAAATCAGGAAAGGCCTTTCTAATGAGGAGACATAAGAATTGAGACCCAAATGATGATAATGAGAAGTCCTGCTGAGATTTGAGGGAAAATGTTTTCCACCAGATGACACTATAGGTGCCAAGGCCCTGTGATAGGAATGAGCATGGTATTGGAGAAACAGAAATAAGACCAGCATGGGCAGCCATGGGGGAGGTGTTGCAAGATGAAATTGTGGTAGGTAAGTTATTTAGATTTTACTCTAGGTATAATGAGAAGTCATTAGAGGGTTTTAAATGTGAACATGAAATTATTGGTTCAAATTTTGAAAAAAATCTCTCTTACTAACGTGGATAACAGATGGGTTGTTGAAGAACAAGCATGAAGGCAAAGATATTCTTTAGAAGGCTATTTCAGTTTTACAGACATGAAATGAGGATGCGTTAGACTACAGTGGTGGTGGAAATAGAAGTAGACTAATTAAGGTATATTTTGAATCTCAAGCAAAGAGGACCTGCTCATAAATGATATGTGAAAGCTACCAACACACCTAAGCTGGAAGATTGTTCTGGTTTACTATGTTAATCAGCAGAGGCAAGCTTTAGTCAACAGTATACACTAGTGAGCATGGAATTGGTGATAAAAATGATGACCACAGAACCAAGAATCAATCAGACATTGGAGTATAAAAGAGAAGCAGCATATACATCAAGTAGAACCCATTTAAAAGTTAGGTAATCGATCAGTTGTAGGCAAGTATAGTTAGAATCTGCAGAGCGAACTTCTGTGTTACGAAAAATTAACTGGTACTAGACTAGCCCTACTACCACGAAGACCCATAAAACGTTATGAGGCAACTGTTTTTTAGGCATCGGACAATGGGTAGCTATGATCAGAGAGTGAAGAGAAACTTATAAAGTGAGCCCCATGATGACCACATCCCTGCCTATAGACATTTTCTCAACCACTGCACAGTAAGCTGAAGTTCAAGCTGTGGTCCTGCTATAGCTAAAGTCAAAGTTCAAGGCAGCTGAAAGCTGGAATTTTCACAACAAGAAACCAGAGAGGAAGGAGTTATACAGAAGGGGATGTCTAAAAGTCCACCAGGGTTGGGGTGGGCTCGAA
This sequence comes from Homo sapiens, assembly GCF_000001405.40. Classification (NCBI taxonomy): domain Eukaryota; kingdom Metazoa; phylum Chordata; class Mammalia; order Primates; family Hominidae; genus Homo; species Homo sapiens. The sequence goes on along the minus strand of NC_000007.14, from coordinate 124,866,521 downwards.
TACTTGGTTGAAAGCCAGGCTGCACAGAGCAGGGTAGAACTACTTAAGGATTACAAAAGCTGCTGTGTGGTTGAACTGTGGTTGAACATGAAATGGATACTGGAGGTCTAGTAATGGGGTGCTGGAAGTCCAAGATAGTCAGGGACAAATAACCTTATTAATACCTCCTTAACAGCTTGGACATTCAGCTGAGGCAGCACAAAGGTTTCACCCCCCAAAAGTAGCTCACCTCACGAAGGACCACATCTTATAGTAAGGCCTATTCTACACATGTTTTATCAAAGCCTGAAACAAGTTCTACGGAGAAGACTTCGCAGAGAGTTTGCAGGGTGAGTCCCATCAAGGTAGAAGACTTTGGGAAACATCATGGGCTTTCCACGTATCACCCTAACAAAGCATAAAAACAAGCATTCATGAGTTTAAGATGACCAGACAACAACTCAGTGGCCAACAAGAACAAAAATCAGTGTTTGTCAGAAGAAGCCAACATAATTCAGAGTCTTTACAGTATAGCATCTATGATGTCTAGTAAAGAAAAAAAGATATATTCTACATGAAAACAACAAAGTGTTACCCTTAGTCAAGAAAAAAGAAAAAATCATACACATTCCAAACCAACTCCATGGTAGCCCAAATGTTGTCTTTATTAAACAAAAACTTTAAAGCACAGATTATATAGACTTTCAAAGAATTAAGTGGAGGTGAGAAGATCCCTTGAGCCCGGGAGGTCAAGGCTGCAGTGAAATATTATTACACCACTGCATTCCAGCCTGAGTGACAGAACGAGATCCGTCTCAAAATAATAATAATAATAATAATTAATAAATAAAATAACTTAAAAAAGGAATTAAGTGAAAATAGATTCAGTGAATTAGAGGAAGATGTTAAATGAATGAAAAGAAATTTCATCAGAGAAGTGGAAACTATTAAAAAAATAGAAATTCAGGAACTGAAAAGAACAAATGAAAAATCTAATGGATGGGCTAAATAGATCAGATATAAGTTAAATTGATGACAAATCATTAGAAGCTACCTAATCTGAAGAACAAGGATTAAATACAAATTAATAGACCCTAAGGACCTATGGAACAATATCAAGGGTTACATGTAATTTAGGATGCAAGAGGAGAGAGGGTGAAGGGAAATAAAATATTTATAGAAATAAGGACCAGAATTTCCCCAAATTTGATGAAAAACAAAGACTTAAATGTACTTTATGCAGGGTATGTGCAAAGAAACGCACATCCAGACAAAACTTTCTCAATGTGAAACCATTGAGAAAGAGAAAAATCTTGAAATCAACTGGAGAAAAAAATGATGCATTGTTGGAGAACAATGATACCAGTCATCTTTCACTTCTTACCAGAGACAGTGACACCCAGAGAACAAAGAAGTAAGTTTTATATGGTGATAGAAAAAAATTTATTCACACAGAATTTTATATCCAGCAAATACATTCTTCAGGAATGAGAGTAAAATAAAAACATTTTATATAAAGGAAAAATGAGATAGTCCATGGCAGCATATCTGCATAGCATTAATGCTAAAGAATGATATTCAGGCCAAAGAGGAATGCTAGCAACTAGAAGCTGGATAGTTAAGAAGTGACAAAAATACAAGAAATGATGGAAAAAAATAGCAAATACGTAAACACAATGTTTTTCTTTCCGTAATTTAATTAAAAGAGAAATGTCTATTTAAAGCAAAACCAATAATATTACATGGTGGAGATTATAAAATATGTAGAAAAAATACTACAACAGTAACACAAAGGATGGATGGGATAAGTAAATGGAATTCTACCATTGAAAAGATATTTGTGAAGTAGAACGCGTAAAATAGGAAGTGGCAAGTATGAAATGGAAAGTAGAAAGTACATAGTGGAACAATATTGATTCCAAGTGGACATTAAGAAGTTAAAGATTTATTCATAGCTAAGAAGAACGAAATGGAGCACTAGTAAGAATTCCAAAAAGAAAACAAGAAAGGAACAATAGGAAAAAAAATGGTTTTAAAAAAGCAAAGAAGCAAAAAAGCAAGAAGTATGAAAAAAAGGAAAACAAATAAGATAGTAGACTCAAATATGGCCATGTTAATAACTGCATTTCTGTGAATGGACTAATTTCCAATTGCAAGGAAAAGATTGACTGAACAAAAATAATCAGGAACCAAATATATGCTACCTATGAGAAATGCACTTTAAATATGAAGACCTAAACAAGTTAGAACTAAAACTGTAGGAAAAAAAATGTGCAAAGTAAACATAAGGGAAATGAAGTAACGATATTACTACGAGAGAGTTTTGGAAGGAGCATTTCATAAGGACAAAGGGGTCACTTCATGAAGATGTAACAATATAAATGTATGTGCCTCTGATAACAGCCCCCAAATTCAGAAAGCAAAAGAGCTTATGGCATATCTCAGTGCTCTCAGTCACTCTGATTAAACTCTAGCCTGAGCTTCATTTTGTTCACTTTATATTCTCATATTTCAAGTGTTCTGGTCTTTTCTATAATATTCATAAGTCACTGTCATTTATGGTCCTTTTTCCTTGTATAAATTACACCTTAATAAAAAAACTAATAAATGTAAAACTGCAAGCTTGATAGGATTAGGGAGACTACCACCTAGCTCTTTAAAAAATGTAAGTGAATTTTGCATGGAGGTTCACAGTTTCCATGATACTTCTGTATCTTGGTGTAGCACCAGCACTTGAGTGTAGAATTTACATGCTAATTAAATGAAAAATAGTTTTTAAAAAATGCCCTCTCTTAATTATGCTGGCAAAATTGATAATCTTTCCAGTTTCTTTGGTTCGTAGGTTGTGCATCAGTAAGCTATTTTATTTGTATCTGTTTTCTACTTTGCCCTACTTTCTTAGATTCAAGTATATAAAAAGGAGACTCAGGGTATCACCAGCTCTGGCTTTGCATCTTTGACGTTTGAGGGAACTTTGGGAGCCCCTATCATACCTCGCACTTCAAGCAAGTATTTTAACTTCACTACTGAGGACCACAAAATGGTAGAAGCCTTACGTGTTTGGGCATCTACTCATATGTCACCGTCTTGGACATTACTAAAATTGTGTGATGTTCAGCCAATGCAGTATTTTGACCTGACTTGTCAGCTCTTGGGCAAAGCAGAAGTGGACGGAGCATCATTTCTTCTAAAGGTACATATTTTTTAATACTGGGAATTATAAGTTAGCACCACTTACATGTCTGTAAAGAGCTTATGTTTCAGCATTCTGATGAGATAAAGCATGCTGTGTATTATACTAGGAACTTAAATTTTAACTATTTTTGACGAGCCTCAATATTCATGCAGCTCTACTCTTGTACCTCTCTAAAATTTTACACTTTCCTTCCAGAGAAATATAGTGTTATTAGATCTACATGTTAAATATAGTATGACTGATGCATTTTTAAAATTTTAGTAGTAATAAGATGTAGACTTGTTTTCTATTATTTCATAGTTTGTAGTCCTATACATGAATATTTCTGTTTCCCTGTCAAGGTCACCTTCCCTCTCATTTATTTACTTTTTTGTCCCGTTGATGTTGGGTTCTCTTCTTATGTCTTTCACTGCCTACTTCATAGTCATACCATGGACAGTTTTGAAGCATTTTGCATTACTGTGTTTTGCTTTTAAATCAGCAAGATAAAAAAATAACTTAAGACCCATCAAATCTCTGTATATACCTATCCCAGTTTAGAGAGTAACTTCTGGAGAAGCTGGATGTTTGATGTTTTTCTTGCCTGGACATCCTATGGAGGATACATTTGAACAAATGCCTCTTCAGGCCTGCTCCTATGGTTATTTCTCTCTATACTATCTTTGGAATAATAGGGCAAGAAATGGAATGCAGTGGCACTTGGACAAGTCATGGAGTTTAGCATTATTATGATTTACACCTTGCCCATATTAAAAAACAGAGAAGTTAGAAATCATTGAATAAAATACAAAGTTCTAGCAGTTGAAAATAGCACACTCATATACACATGGAATATTATGAGAAAGTCGTAAATACATGCCCTGCAGAAAGTTAAATAAGTCAAATATGATAAAGCTGAAGCTAAAGCAATATAAAATCAAACAAACTTAGAGCGAATCTAGGTCAACCAGTCATACTCTGGCAAAAGTGACATTCTTAACAAATGAGCATTTGCTAACAACTGAACACTTCCTATGACAAGGACTCTACTACTATGCACTGAGGCATATTCTATCTTTTGACTGTGTTTTTAGAAAATTCTTAAATTCTAAGATAAAATGTGCCAACTTTTAGCTGAAATAGTTGAGTCTACATTTTCTCTCTGCAGAAACACAGCACATACCTGCATCCCATTGTAACAGATAACTTTTTTGGACAAGTGAAAACCACTGTCACGTAACTGTTAGTTTAAAATACAATATTGAAAAGTCAAAAAAGAGCCCATATAGCCAAGACAATCCTAAGCAAAAAGAACAAAGCTAGAGGCATCATGCTACCTGACTTCAACCTGTACTACAAGGCTACAGTAACCAAAAAAGCATTGTACTGCTACCAAAGCAGATATATGGACCAGTGGAACGGAACAGAGGCCTCAGAAATAACGCCACACATCTACAATCATCTGATCTTTGACAAACCTGACAAAAACAAGCAATGGGGAAAGGATTCCCTATTTAATAAGTGGTGTTGGGAAGACTGGCTAGCCATATGCAGTAAACTGAAAGTAGACCCCTTCCTTACACCTTATACAAAAATTAATTCAAGATAGATTAAAGACTTAAACATAAGCCCTAAAACCATAAAAACCCTAGAAGAAAACCTAGGCAATACCATTCAGGACATAGGCATGGGCAAAGACTTTATGACTAAAACAATAAAAGCAATGGCAACAAAAGCCAAAATTGACAAAAGCCAAAATTGACAAAGTTAAAGAGCTTCTGCACAGCAAGAGAAACTATCATCAGAGTGAACAGGCCAACCTACAGAATGGGAGAAAATTTTTGCAATCTGTCCATCTGACAAAGGGCTAATATCCAGAATCTACAAGAAACTTAAACTAATTTACAAGAAAAAACAACCCCATTAAAATGTGGGCAAAGGATATGAACAGACACTTCTCAAAAGAAGACATTTATGTGGCTAACAGACATATGAAAAGAAGTTCATAATCACTGGTCATTACAGAAATGTAAATCAAAACCACAATGAGATACCATCTCACGCCAGTTAGAATGGCAATCGTTAAAAAGTCAGGAAACAACATGCTGGAGAGGATGTGGAGAAAAAGGAGCGCTTTTACACTGTTGGTGGGAGTGTAAATTAGTTCAGCCATTGTGGAAGACAGTGTGGCGATTCCTGAAGGATCTAAAACCAGAAATACTGTTTAACACTGCAATCCCATTACTGGGTATATACCCAAAGGATTATAAATCATTCTCCTATAAAGACACATGCACACGTATGTTTATTGTGGCACTATTCACATTAGCAAAGACTGGGAACCAACCCAAATGCCCACGAATGGTAGACTGGATTAAGAAAATGTGGCACATATACACCCTGGAATACTATGCAGCCAAAGAAAGGATAAGTTCATATCCTTTGCAAGGACATGGACGAAGCTAGAAACCATCATTCTCAGCCAACTAACACAAGAACGGAAAACCAAACACCGCATGTTCTCACTCATAAGTGGGAGTTGAACAATGAGAACACATGGAGACAGGGAGGGGAACATCACACAATGGGGCCTGTTGTGGGGTAGGGGGCTGGGGGAGAGATAGCGTTAGGAGAAATACCTAACGTAGATGACGGGTTGATGGGTACAGCAAACCACTATGGCACGTGTATACCTATGTAACAAACCTGCACATTCTGCACATGTATCCCAAAACTTCAAGCAAAATTTAAAGAAAAGAATTAGTAAAAGCCTTTCTTACAACAATTTAAGAATAAGCCTCAAAAGTCTTTTTGTACCCTTCAACTCAGCAATTTTATTTTCATTATCTTAAGGAAATAATTTAAAATATTTACAAAGGTGCATTTAAAAGAATATATTTATCTTTCTTACAGTATAAAAAATGAGAATACAGTAGAAAAATTAGAAAAAAACAAATACTAACAATAGAGAATTGTGTACACTATTTATGTAGGATGACCATAAAATAACATTGTAAATGTCACCATAAAATACTTTGTAACCATAAAATGACATTATAGACATACACTTGTTGAGATAGAATTTCATGATGGTCTATTTAGTGATTACTGTAGTTTCATTTACACACTAAAAATGTATATGTACATAGCAAAAATATATTGGGAGGCCTATAAAGCAACATTTTACTGTTTTCAACTCTGGGAAATATGAGTGATTTTTTTTTTCCGGACAGTGATTTTCTTATGTATCAGAAATAATTTTTAAATTATATTTTTTAATAACAGAGGAGCTAGACATTACTCGATATAATGTCTGGTTACATACAAAATAGTATAATCATTTTCCATCTCAACCTGGGCACAATATTAATATTGGTACCTTTTTTACTAACCACAGTGCATTTATTTTAATTTTTCAGTAGCCGTGGTATACCAATCGTTTGCATTAAATATAATTTAATAAATTTGTTGATCTGACATCATTCCATATTTTTCTCTATTCTGTTAATATTATATGTTTTTTTTTTCTGAGCAATACTCTCAAATTGAGTTTTCTCTAAATGTATATATTCTATTTGTTTTAATATCTACAGTATTGGTGCGGCCTTATCTTTTGTGTGTTTTGTTTTATGGTTTTTTTTTTTTATATAAATAACCAGGCGTCATTTATAGCCAGAGCTGGTGGGTAATTTGTATGTCTCACCTGTAATACGGTTTGGAGAAGAAAAAGCATAATGTGAACCAGAAAATCATCATATAAAGGAAATTATTCAAATTTACAACATTTACTTCTTTGTATGGAAACATCAGAATAATGCTTTACAACTAATTTAAGAATGAGACTGAATCTCATAAAAATAATTTGATTAATGTCAAATGTATTACTATTATAATTTTTAGAGCATTCATAATTTTACTAGTTGTATTTATGTGCAAAAATATTTTAATACATATGAGTGTTTTTCAAGATCATTTTGGTTTGTTTTTATTGTATAAAGCACTTGACTCAGGAATATTTAGTCTGAGCTTATGGCAGTGTGACTCTTTTTCTCCTTTACATTCTTCTACATTTTCCACATTACCCATATTTCATATGTAGTTCTTTAACAATCAGAAAATAATGTCATATTTAAAATAGTGCCAATATTCAGAGGCATAAGTTTAATTACTTTTAAATACTGTTTCCAGGAAAAAACTTTTTAGCACAAGCATTTTTTCAAAAGGATCATAAAACTACTCTACTCTCTTATGGCAGGTATGGGATGGCACCAGGACACCATTTCCATCTTGGAGAGTCTTAATACAAGACCTTGTTCTTGAAGGTGATTTAAGTCACATCCATCGGCTACAAAATCTGACAATAGACATTTTAGTCTACGATAACCATGTTCATGTGGCAAGATCTCTGAAGGTGATGTATAGTAGGAAAAAATGTTATTTTATGTTTTTATAAATTATAGTGATTTTTGCTCATGTAAATTTTTTATATATGGTTACATGTATAGGTGATACAGTCTAGAAATTATATTTATTTCTTTGATTTTTAAGTTGTAAAATGTATGTTACAATAAATTATTAAAAGATAAACTTAATGGGTTAGAGCAATTTTTAAAATAATCTTTCTTAAATGTCTTAAAGGTATACATAATTTTACTGTGAAAATAGTATAGAAAAATTTTGTTGTGTGAGATAATACTGCTTTAGAATGAAAAAGGCTATATAAAATATTGCTAACTTAAATGCTAAGCTTGGTAAACTGGTTTGATAGAATGTAGCTGATAACTTTTTGTTCATTAGTTTAACAAATTGTTAAATTACAATTTGTTATAATTGTAATATTTATATTACAAGTTTATATTATAAGTTTATAATATTATAAATTGGGTGTGTGTATACTGTGTAATTTATAGAATTTGCATACTGTCTTCTGAAATACATTAAGGTGCACAGTTTAGATATGGCAGTACTTAACTATTAACAAAAATTGTAGGGAATTTCTTTTCTCTATTATATCTTTTATTTGAAAGTACTTTTTGTAGTAAAGAATGGTATGATAAATAATAATGCAGTAAATAATAAGAGTAACTTTTGCTAGGCACTTTATATGCATTTGGTACTCTCCTATAAGACAGGTGATGGTAGTCATCTCGTTCTACAAATGTGAAATGAGGCACTCAGGTTAAATCAGTGGTTCAAGATTCCACAGCTAGTTGGATTGAAGCAGGGTATTTCCCTGACCCCTTCACGGGCAGGAACTGGAGTGCACAGGTGCTGGAACTAGGCAGCCGCTTCAGTGCTGGCAGGGGAGAGCTCCACTCACTCAGACCACAGGAGTGGGAGCATGCAGGTGAGCAGGTGCAGGAGCCAGGGCAAAGGCTTTTGGGCACGGGCAGAAGCAAACTCTGTACTGGCCCCACAGCAGCATCTGAGAGGGTGCTGGTGACCCCTGAAGCCCCAGAGGAAGTGTTACAGTACTGTTTTAGCTCTGTCATCCATGGACAGCTTAAGTGTTAACAGCTTAGTGCAGGGTAGCTGTGACTGACTCACACCACACTTGTGGCACCCGAGCTCTTGTGTAGCATCCAGGAGGAATGAGGTCTCAAGAATAAAATGAAGATGGTAAATTCAGGGGATTTCATTACTGATGAAAGTGGCTCAGTGGGAAGGGGAAGTGAAAAGAGGATGGAGCAGGAAGGTAGTCTTACCTTGAAGTCTGGCCCTCTCTGGCCAGATTCTTCTCCCAGGTTACACCATCAAGCTGTCCCTCTGAAGTCAAGCTGCTTCTCTCTGACATCCAGCCATAGTGTCTGATGGCCAGCTGCCTCTCTTCCCTCTGCCGGCTGAGCCTGGGGTTTTTATGGGCACAGGATGTCAGGTGGGGTGGGCCATGGATGGTTTTAGAAAAGGCAACATTTGAGCAGGAAAACAGGGATGTAAGTTCTCACTTTGGGCCGTGGTATCAGGCTTTTCAGCTTGAGAGCAGGGTCCTTGCTGGGGACCTGCCCTCTTCTGCGTAGAATTTCCCTGCCTCCTGTCCCTATCTGGATGAAGCCAGTGTTTGAATCCACAATGTCTCTTTGCAGAGCTAATCTTTTAAAGCATTAAATGGAAGTGATCTCCATCACAAATATCTTCTAGCCTACTTATAGGAAATTAAAAGAAAACAGTAAGAGTGAAGATCTGAATTTCAATGCCCAATTTCCCTTTATAAATCAGTGGCCATGGAGTAGCAAATATATCCATTCTACATTGTATCACAAATAAGTTCACCATCAATACTGTTCTGGGTTACAGAAAAAATAGTAATTAGAAAACAAAACAACAACAAACCAAGTAAGTTTACTCAACTCAAATCAATAAATTAGATTAAATCCAGGGTCCAGGAAGATAGTGACTGTACTTTTTTGTCCTCTGTGTGTATATATGTATGCACATACATCTGTGACATATCAGAAAACACTGACTGTTGAAGATATATTTTTGACATTATTTCCCTGAAAGATATTATCTACATTGATTAGTTTATTTCAAAATTAAATATATGATAAGTTCAGTTCTGGAGGTTTTTTCATAGAGTTCTTTCATAAATAAAATGAATTTACATTTTAGATTCACCTCAGTTCCACACTCTGCATACCTTCCTTCGCCATTTTATTCCCTTCTCTTTCCCTATACTGCTTCCAAACAGGTCTTCCAATGTAGGTCTTTCTGTTTCCGCTTTTCCTGCTTTTCTTGTCTTAGTCCTGAACAGCACCTATCGCAGTGCTTTCCCTGTAGTGAGGATGAAGTAAGTAATAGCTGCTGCTGAATGAATGAATCAGTGAATGCTGTGGATTTTTTTTCCAGATTCTTTTCTCCTTTTTTATGTTCTGCTTTATTTTGCCCACTAGAGGGTGATATGAGCACACATAATTAAGAAAATGTATGGCACTGTGTTTTCTGTGAAGATATCAATAGCATTATATTATTTGTCTGCAATGCAATATGAAAATGATTTTTCTCTGTGTAAGTAATATAACTTTAGATTTTTATTTAATACACATTGACATCACATTTATTTGTTTTCTGACAACCTCTGTAACATTTCTTCTTAATTTAGGAACTCTTCACTCACGTGACATTGATATAAATGAATTCTTCTTGGTACTTTCAAGACAACTGTTTAAAATTACGTTTTTGTGTCAAAATACCTGGAACCAGTACGAAAGACTTTTGTTGTATAGAAACAGGAAAAAATGTGTTTTTATTTTAGTAAAGAGGACAGTATAATGCAATTATAGAATATAATATAATCAACATCTACAAGCAATGTATTTTAGAGCCCGAATTGCCCTTAACTATTTTCTGAATCTCACTTTTTGTTATATCATTCCCTTAAACATTTTACACAGACCCAGTCACATAAACTGAGATTTCAAATCTTTTGTCTGGAAACTAAAGCTTTACTTTCTAAATCCCTACTCTTATCCAGACACAATTGTTAATTATAAAATATACGTGGTCATAATTATGTTTTGGCCTTCAATAGTTCAACAGCTGTGATTTGGTTGGCTATTTTGAGACATATTCAGGGAATTAAAAATAATAAACCTAAAGGGAAATTCTTGACCGTTTATGACAAATCGTTTGATTATTTCTAAAGGGATAGTCATTTCTTACTAGCCATATTTACTTTGCTTTTTTTTTTAGTGTTTCTAGTTTTTTTTTAGTATTTAAATAGACTTCTATAGTTGTTTTTTAAACTGTATTTTTATAATTTTTTGGTTGATGTTTCATTTGTATTTTTGGAATCTTAATACTGACAAGATTAACCAATACTTGTTTTTTTATAATAGAGCATCTGGCACATTTCATAGTATTTTTAGTCAAGCTTTTGAAAAAATACAATGCTGCCTCCATAAGGAATTTTTGATAATAACAACTTATCTTTATGTGAATAACTTATATCTTGGCCTCGAAATTTTGTTATGTTAAAAAATACTGTAGTAGACAAGATAGTATAATAAACACCCGTGTGTTCACCTTATTTTTTAAATGTTTTGCCACATTTATTTCAGACACTTTTAAATTTTAGGAAATAAAACTCTACACATCGAACCTTCTTTGAGCTCCTGCCTGCTCTGGTTTTTTTTTTTTTTTTTTTTTTTTTGCTCTCCTCTCTGTGTCTCCATATGTAGGTTTGTACGTATACCTATGTTTATTATCCTTTTTCTTTATGTATTTTTTGATAGGGTAAAGCCCCCCTCTCATATTCTTTAAAATTGATTTGACTGTTCTCTTTCGTATAAGTTTTTGGATTAGCTTTTCAGATTCCATGAAAGCTTCTGGGAATTTTGATTGAATTGCATAAAATTTAAAGTTTAATTTGGAGGAAATTATCATTTTTGTAATATCAAAGCCTTTTGTATGTGAATATCTTTCTCCATGTGTTTAGGCCTTCTTTCAAATCTTTTGTAGATCATACATACATGTGCTATACTAATATATTTATATATACATATACACACACATATTTTAAAAGAATCACAAAATAATCCAGTCAAAAAGAATGAGATAAAACTAGAAAATTTTATGTTTTTTCCAATGTCTCACTTTGAAGACTATGAGGAAAATTATTTTTTTCTTTTTTCTTTTTGTTCTTTTCTTCTTTAACTTTCTTTATACTACTCCCTGGTTATGATATAGATGTAAGTGAAAGAGGTCAAAGGAAAGGCTTGTATTTTGTCTGCTCCTTATAAAACCCTTGATTGGTTGGGAAAAAAGATCCTTGGGAATGAAGGAGTAGCACCTGGGAGTGTGGGTTTTCTCCTTACCTCCTTTGCTTATATCCTCCATCAGAAATAAAGAGTAATGAGGGGAAATATAATTAAGAGAAGCTACAATAAGCAGAATTGGAAAGTTGATTTGCTACTCATCTTTTTTTTTTAAACGTTTCCTTTTATAGGATTGAGCCTCCATAATCTAAAAGTCCAGAATTCTCCTAAATGCAGATCTTTTTGAGTGCCAGTATGCGAGTGAACCCTTTGCTTTCCAATTATTCAGTGTACAAAAATTTTGTGTCATGCACAAAATTATTGAAAATATTATAGAAAATTACTTTCAGGTGATGTGTATAACATATATGTGAAACATAAATGAATTTCGTTTTTAGACTTGGGTCTCATCTCTAAGATAGCTCATTATATATATGCAGATATTCCAAAATCTGTAAATATCTGAAATCTGAAACACTTCTGTTTTCAAGTATTTCAGATAAAGAATATTTAACCTATATAGTTTTTTTGTTATGTAAGATGTCTGTTATTCAATCCTGAACTTGTAGGGGAAAAAAAGTGGTATCCCTATAGTCATCCAGTAGTCAGGAGTGCTATATTTATACAAATGAATTAAATTTCCTTGTTTGTAACTCCTTTTGCTTCTAAATCTTTCTTCATAAATATAAATGTGATTTAGGTTATATAGCTTCTTTTAGGTAGGTGTCAATATCTTTGAATAGCATTCTGCATCTCTCTCATTTGAAATCTCCATTAAAAGAAAAATCTCAGTGGTCTATAATTAAAGACATTTGTAGACTAAGTTTAGCAAAACATCTGAGATTAACTATAGAACATTTAATTCAAAACTCTAATTAGTTAACTCTTACGTTTGAACTCAAGGAGTGTTTCACACTGTGGTGGTACAGGCACAAATGCAGAAGTTTTCTTTCCATAGAACTTGTAAGATGGAAGATGTTTATTATTTTTCGGTAGTACCATATTTAAAATTTCTTCTTAGCATTCTTGTAATGACAGTATCTTCAGGATCATATTTAATTAATCCTTAAACTAGTTAAAGCAAGGCATTTTCAGAAACCTTAGTCAAATAGAGGGCTTGAATTCCGTTTAGGTAATGGGTTTCTTAACCATTATATTTTATTGATGCTAAGACACAATATTTTTTCACATTTTAATAGATCTGAAATGGAAATATCTCTTACAGTTGAATGTGTGTGTATATGTATGTGTGTGCACACACGCATATGCATGCACATGTCCATATATTTAGTTTTGATGTAGTGTCCATGCAGCTGATATTCAACCACACTCGTATAGCATACTTTGCAGATACTTTAGTATATTTCCTGACTGGTCAGTGCCCTCATTGGCCCCATATTGGTTATTAAAGTTTTAAATATCAGAAGTATTTTAATTTTTCCCCACTTTCTAAATAACAAATGATCTATTTTTTAGGTTGGAAGCTTTCTTAGAATCTATAGCCTTCATACCAAACTTCAATCAATGAATTCAGAGAATCAGACAATGTTAAGTTTAGAGTTTCATCTTCATGGAGGTACCAGTTACGGTCGGGGAATCAGGGTCTTGCCAGAAAGTAACTCTGATGTGGATCAACTGAAAAAGTAAGCTTTTAGTATTTAGAAAATGTAAATAAGGTATCGATTAAGCCGATTTCTAAGATAATATTGTTCCTGGGGCTTCTGATAGTTCCCTAGCCTTTTGTGCCATTTGCCATGTTTTTAAATAGATGAGCCAAATGAAACAAATCAAATGATTATAGGCTCATAGAGCTAAGTAGTAGCAGAGCCAGGGTTATAGTTGAAGTTTTCCAACAGTTTGAATCTGGCTTTTACACTCATGCTTCTCTTCTATCATTTACCACACTCTCCAAGTACAGCAACAAACAGGGGAAACTAGACCTTAGCTAAAGTTTGGAAAATTTGATACATATCTAAGATTCCAAAAATATTTAATTCTCTCATGAAAAAAATGTATTTCTGAAGTGCCACTGATTAAATAGATAACACATGTTTTGGTGTATCACTCTCTTTTAAACTTTTTAAAATTTTTACATGTGCCAGAAAGTAAATAGTATCTTAGACCTGCTATATATTTAGATCTGCTTTTCCCAAGGTATTCCTAGTGAGTATTGTGTGCAGAAGCATTTTGGTCAATATTCTAGAAATTTAAAAAATCTTCATATCTTCAAAGAGAAAACATACTGTTCATTAAATTTAAATAACTTTTGTCTACATTTTAATTCATTGGAATTAGTGTGACATTAAATTAGCTTCTGTTTTATTACTTTTATATCAATTTCACTGATTTTTAATATCATATTTAGCTTCTTGAATCTAGAGTTAGATTGTTCTGACTCAGAATGCTATCCATTAAATTCCCAGTTTATTTTTGTTTGTATTATTTCATCATTCTGCTGTTTCACTTGTATCTTTCTAAACTCAGATTTTTAATTTGAACCCCCGGAAAATCTGATGAAAGCAATAGATCCTTTACTGAAGAATGCATATACATACAAAATTTTATATACAATTTCAATGAATTTCTGGATTTTGTGGGTAGAGCTAAATTTACTATATTGACTTTGTTTTATGCAATTTGAAATTGTATTCTTTCAATTATAGGGATTTAGAATCTGCAAATTTGACAGCCAATCAGCATTCAGATGTTATCTGTCAATCAGAACCTGACGACAGCTTTCCAAGTAAGGATAATCTTTAACATTGACAGTTTAGTTCTTGCTAAATAAAATAGTTTTATCAACATAATTCTTTGTAATGTCTTCTCTTTGTCTCTCTTATTAATAATTTCATGTAGTAGAGGAACATACTAAAATCTTTATCTGTGGCCTATGCCAAAAAGTAAACATGGTTTCTTCCTAAATTATATAATTACGTTTTCAAATTGGGTGGTAGTGATTACTTGATTATGATATATACATATCATATGTGTGTATTCACAAGAAAATCTGTATTGATTTCATAGACTATTTTGCTTGTCAGTTTTTAAAGGGAACAAAGATTGTTTTTGCCACTTATTTCGCATAACCCAAATACTTTTTGCTCATAGTTATGTTAGATGTATACATAGTTACTAGTCTTTATTGAATTAATCAGGTATCTAAATACAAAATATTAACAAACAGAGGGATATGTCCTTCTAATATTGTCTGCTTGAATAAGTGACTAGTCAAATCTGAACTTGAAAGCTTTCAGTGTGCATTGTTTTTTCCTTTACCACTTTGTCTTAATTTCTGGGTTTTTGTTTGTTTAAGAGACAGTGTCTTGCTCTGGCGACCAGGCTGGAATGCAGTGATAGGACCATAGCTCACTGCGGCTTCAAACTCCTGGGCTCAAGTGATATCCTCCCTCCTCAGCCTCCTGAGTAGCAAGGACTTGTAGTCCTGCACATGCCAACATGCCTGGCTTTTTTTACTCTTAATTTTTTAATTTTTTATTTTTTGGTAGAAACAGGATCTCACTATATGTTGCCCAGACTGGTCTCGACCTCCTGGTCTCCCGGTCTCAAGCAATCCTCCTGCCTTAGCCTCCCAAAATTCTGGGATTACAGGCTTGAGCCACCACACCTGGCCTGTCTTAATTTCTACTTCTGCATTTTGGGACCTAGAATCTAGGTCATGTTTCTCTGTTGTTGTTGTTTTTTTTTTTTTCTACCTAACTCCTACCCTGCTATGATCCAAAGAATCATTTTATGAGATGTATTCTCTTTCCATCTCAATAATAAGCATGAAAATTAACACACATTTCTTGGTAGGCATGTAAGTGCCTGCAGGCATTATTATTTAATTCTTTTGTTTGTTTGTTTGTTTGTTTTGTTTTTTTTTGAGACAGAGTCTTGCTCTGTCTCCCAGGCTGGAGTGTGGCTAGCGCGATCTCTGCTCACTGCAAGCTCCGCCTCCCGGGTTCAGGGCATTCTCCTGCCTCAGCCTCCCAATAGCTGGGACTACAGGCACCCGCCACCACACCCGGCTAATTTTTTTATATATATTTTTAGTAGAGACGGGGTTTCACTGTGTTAGCCAGTATGGTCTCGATCTCCTGACCTCATGATCCGCCCGCCTCGGGCTCCCAAAGTGCTGGGATTACAGGCACAGGCCATTGCGCCCGTCCGCATTATTATTTAATTCTAACAACACTCCTGTGAGATGAATTATTCTGTCTCCTTTAAACAATGGGAAACTGAGGCTTTGATGGATGGATATCATATAATTTGTCCATAGTTACTTAGCTGTTAACTGATGACAAAGCAAGACAGATTCAAGTGCAGGCTTTTTGAGTTTTTGTACATACTTTACATTTATTTTCTTCATTCTCTCTGTTTTAAAACTCTCCTTATTTTAAAATGCTAACAACTTCGTGATAACGTTTTGGCCTGGTGTATGATTACTTGAACTACTATTAGGAAACCAATTTAGTTCAGATGACAAATCACTTGGAGACAGTATAATTTGTAATTATACTTTATACTTTTTAAATCTCTTTTTCCTTTTAAAATGATTCATTATTTTTAAAGTACACTGTAATATGTGTCATAATATCCAGTTGAATAGCTTTCACTATACCTTTATTCCCTACTCCCTGAGGTAAGATTTAACAGTTTAGTGTGATTCCTTCAATCACTTCATCTTTATACAAACATATATACCTATATATAAACAATATGACTCTTCTCTTTCTCTTAAATTTTTACCAAAATGAAATCACACTATAATAAATAGTTGCTTTCTTCAACAATATATTATAGATCTTTTTTTCTGGGCTAATTCATATGACTCAAATTCATTATAGTTGCATAATAATAATGTTATGCTTTTTTCATTTTTCATTTAATAGATGTTGAGATCGTTACCAGTTTTTTGCTCTTACAAATAATACTTTAATAAACATCCTTGAATATATGTACTTCCATGTTTTTACTTCTCCACAATAAACTAAAAGTGAGGTCGATGTATCTAAGGTTATGCACATTTTTTAATAGATGCTGCCAGATTATTTACCAAAGGTCATAGAAATTTATATCCAAATAGCAGTGTAGGAGAATATACTTTACTCACACCTTCACAGTATTGGAAGTTAACACTATATGTAATTTTTGACAGTTAAGCAGGTGAAAGGTGTTTTCTTACTTAATTTTCCTGGCTACTTGGAAACTTGAAAATCTTACTATATATTTACAAACGTTTTTAATTCCCTCTTCCTCAGATTTTCTGCTCTTACTCTTTATCTGATTTTCTGTTGAATTATATTTTTGTCAGTTTGTGGGCAACCATGTATGTTTTACACATTTTCTTATTTGACTACTTTTATGGTTTCTGCCATTATTTCCATCTCATGTTGTAATGGCCAATATTAATTACTAAATTAGATTTATTGAAATTATACCATGCCAGCTTGAGATGTCCATTCAAGTCCTCTTGACTTGGATTTTTATACCACTTATTAGCAATATTGAGGATATGTTTGTGTATGATGCTTTATAAAATAAATTATAAAAACATAATGTACTGTTATGTATAATAGAATGTAAGCTAAAGTGATTACAAAATACACATTTTTAAAGTCTTAAGTTCTTCTTTTTAGAAAGCATTTTGTAACCTTAATGCTATGACTACTACTTTTGCTTTCTTGTTAGAGTAAAATCCTATTTTTGATGTTCATTTGGTCATTCTATTAAATTTCATAAGTTTACTATTTTATCCATCTCCGCTTTTATTTCCTCTACACTGTATTTTTTCAACATGATAAAAACTTTCATACATGGTAGAATTAAAACAGTTGTACAATGAATACTCAAATAACTACCAGCTAGACTCTCCAATAACTATTTTACTTTGTGTGCTCTGTCACGTGTATTTATTTCTACATATCTCTTTTTTTTTTTTTTTTTTCTTTTGAGATGGAGTCTCGCTTCGTCCTCCAGGCTGGAGTTCAGTGGCACGGTCTCGGCTCATTGCAGCCTCCACCTCCTGAGTTCAAGCTTCTCCTGCCTCAGCCTCCCAAGTAGCTGGGATTACAGGTGCCCACCACCACGCCCAGCTAATTTTTGTATTTTTAGTAGAGACACAGTTTCACCATGTTGGCCAGGCTGGTCTCGAACTCCTGACCTTAGATAATCTGCCCGCCTCGGCCTCCTAAAGTGCTGGGATTACAGGTGCAAGCCACCGTGCCTGGCCTATGTGCCTCTTCATTCATTAATTTATATTTTTTATACATTTCAAAGTAAGTTGCAGACATAAGTACATTTTCTAAACACTGTGGTATGAACATAATTAGCTAGAGTTTAGTAGTTATTTAGAGTTTTTTATTTTTGAGGTAAAATTAGCAGTGAAATGGACAACTTTCCATTTTATGAACCACTCCATGAGTTTTGACTAATACATAAACGTGTAACCCAAATCCCTCTAGATTTGCTGTTCTAGAACTTTGAAAAAATTGAATCATATGTACTCTTTTTGTATATACTATATGTTTTTGAGAGTTAATCACATTGTTGCATATATCATTAGTTTGTTTCCTTTTTAATGCCTAGTCACATGATATGCGGTAGACATTTTTTCTTTAGATAGGAATTTCTAGTTGTTATGACATCATTTGTTTCCTTTTTCCTATTAGATGGCTTCAATGTCTTTGTCAAAAATCAAGCGAGTATAAATGTGGGCTTATGTCTAGGCTTCCCATTCAATGCTTACTAGTATAGTGTGAAGTATGCATTTTCCTCACACTAAATTTTCAGTTATTGCAGCACCATTTGCATTCTCCTTGCATTGCTTTGCTGCTTTAGTAAAAAATCAAAATACAATGTAAATGTGGGTTTATTTCCAGGCTCTCTATTTAATTTAATTCAGTTGATCTATTTTTCAATCCTGATGCCAGTACCGTGTTGTCTTAAATTACTGTAAGTTTATAGTAAGTCTTGAAGTCATGTACATGGTTCTCCAACTTTGTTATTTTTTAAAATGTTATTTAATATTCTAGATTTTCTGCACTTCCACATAAGTGATAGCATCTGCTTTGCAATCTCTACAATAAAGCCTCTGCTATTTGTTTGTTTGTTGTTGTTTTGAGGCAGAGTCTCATTCTGTTGCCCAGGCTGGAGTGCAATGGCACAATCTCAGCTCACTGCAGCCTCCACCTCCTGGGTTCAAGTGATTCTCATGCCTCAGCCTGCTGAGTAGCTGGGATTACAGGCATCTGCACCACACTTGGCTAATTTTTGTATTTGTAGTAGAGATGGGGTTTCACCATTTTGGCCAGGCTGGTCTCTAACTCCTGATCTCAAGTGATCTGCCCACCTCAGTCCTCCGAAGTGTTGGGATTATAGGCGTGAGCCACTGTGCCCACCCCAGCCTCTGCTATTTTCGAAGGATTATGCTGAATTTACAGATTAATTTGGAGAGAATTGATATCTTAACAATATTGAGCCTTCTAAATCATGAATGTGGCATATCTCACCATTTATTTATATTTTCTTCAGTTTCTCTCAGCAACGCTCCATTGTTTTCAGTTCTACAATGAAGTTGTAATGGACTTAATTTTTTTGCCTTTTCCTTTTTATAGGCTCTGGATCAGTATCATTATACGAGGTAGAAAGATGTCAACAGCTATCTGCTACAAGTAAGACTATGTATCATTTTTGAGATGGGCACAGTAATGAGCATAATAAAGTCTGCCTCTACACTTACCAGCTAATCCATTTCTTTCTAATAGTAGAACACATATCCTTTAAAGCTAAAATATGTCCATATTTAACTTTCTTCTTCTACCGTGTCTTGTTGGCATAAAATGGAACCCATAAAGATAACGTGTCTTTACATTGCATATTTTAAGTCATCTATCTCTAACAGACTTAATGTTTAAAACAGATATGTTTTAAACATTAAATACATGATGTATTTGAAGTCATGTATCTCTGTTAGAGTTACATGACTTAAAATGTGCAATGTAAAGACACATATCTTTAAACTATTACATGAAGAGTTATCCTGTCACATGATGCATTTAACAGTGTACCATAAAGGAGCTCCTTGCAATATGCCTCAAAATTTTAATTTAATGTTAGTAATGATAGTGTGTCTATCAAGTACCCTCCTTCTGCTACATCAGCTAAGATTAAAAAAAAATTTTCAGAAAAATATTTTTAACCACAAATTTATTAAATGTGCTATTGTAAAAATTTTAATTTCTCAAATTGGAGAAGGAAGATAACAAATGTGAATGGAAGAAGGATTGATGAAATCTTTTAATGTTGTGTTGTAATTGGAGGTACCATTATGTACTCATGTTTTCTAGGTAAATACAGAAGTCGATGTAGCTGTGTGTATGTATGATACGCATATATTCACACGTGTACACATTTGTTTATATTATAGGGGTGTGTGTGTGTGTGTGTGTGTCAGTATGAATGTGTGTTCATATGTACCCTATCTCTCTCTCCATGAAAAAGCATAGAGGCAGCAGCACTCCAGTTGCCATAAGCACACCTGGTGCTCAGATCTTGGTTTATAAATAATATTTCTCTCTAAAGGAATCAGAGCTCCTTGGTGAAACAGCAGATTTCTGAACTAGAACAAGGGAATTACAAGATTAGTATGGAGTAACCTTGTACTAGAAAGTAAGGGGGTTCTCAGTTAATGATGAAACTCGTCAAATGGCTTAGGATAGAACATGTCTAGGAACATTTGAGCATCAAAACAAATAATACTAATTGAGTAAAGCAGGAATGCATGAGCCCATGTTGATGATGATAAAGGAAAAATAAAATATATGGGGTTAAGTGGAAATATCTTTCTTAAAGTAAAATAACAAATATAAAAGGGATAATGAAATTAGAAAAAAAAAAGCTACCATTTTGTAACCATGATAGTCATTGTTGAGTTAGTTGTGAATCTGTGGATTCTAAACTATCAGGATATTTGATGAAAAATAAGATATTTACATTTTCTCTAGTATATTCTTGTTAAATACAAGGGGGAAACAGTAAGTTTTTAGTAGAGAAGTGATTGGACACTACCTTTACCAGCTGAATAAAGTTTAGGTCTACAGTAATAGAAACACTCACTTTGTATGCCCCTTGATGTGATGCACTGAGAAGCATACAGTATCACTTACGCATTATTCCTGCCAAAAATGCATAAGCTAAATCTGAGCCTGAGGAATAACCAGACAACACCCAAATTGGTGTTTATTCTACAGAATAAATGGCTGTACTCTTCAAATATATCAGTGTTGTGAAAGATAAAGAAAAGCCGAGGACTTATTTTACATTAAAGAAGTCTAAAGAGACATGAGAATTAAATGTGATACATGGTCCAGAATTGGATCTTAGACTTGAAAATAAAATGAATGCTAAGAAGAACATTTTGAGGACAATTGTAGAAATTTGAGTAATGTTTGTTAATTAATTCGATTATAGTAATAAATCAGTTAAATGTTCTAATGTTGAAAATTGCCTGTAATTATGTCAATAAAATGTCTTCTTTTGAAATACATACTGGAGGATTTAGAGGAAAGGAGGCATAATGTCTGGTAGTTATTCTCAAATGATTCAATAATATTTATGTGGTGAGAGACAGATAAAGACAGGCACAGTGACAATGATAAATGTGCAAAAATGTTAACAATTGGTGAATCTTGGTGAATATTATACAGAAGGTCTTTGTATTGTTTTTGCAATTTTCCTTAAGTTTGAAAGCATTTTAAAATGAAAAGTTAAAAACTTTAGGTTAAAATATGAGTTTGAAGCAATTGCTCTTATCACTGTGTAGCAATGTACACTAAATTGATCAGGTCTGCCAATGGCCTTTTTTTTTTTTTTTTTTTTTTTGAGGCGGAGTCTCGCTGTCGCCCAGGCTGGAGTGCAGTGGCACTATCTTGGCTCACTGCAAGCTCTGCCTTCCGGGTTCACGCCATTCTCCTGCCTCAGCCTCCCGAGTAGCTGGGACTACAGGTGCCCGCCACCACACCGGCTAATTTTTTGTATTTTTAGTAGAGACGGGGTTTCACCGTGTTAGCCAGGATGGTCTCGCTCTCTTGACCTCGTGATCTACCCGCCTCGGCCTCCCAAAGTGCTGGGATTACAGGCGTGAGCCACCGCGCCCGGTGCCAATGGCCTTTTTAAAAGCATCACCAGCTGGGTGCAGTGGCTCACGCCCGTAATCCCAGCACTTTGGGAGGCCGAGGCGGGCAGATCACCTGAGGACGGGAGTTCGAAGCCAGCCTGACCAACATGGAGAAACCCCGTTTCTACTAGAAGTACAAAAATTAGCTGGGCGTGGTGGTGCATGCCTGTAATCCCAGCTACTTAGGAGGCTGAGGCAGGAGAATCGCTTGAACCTGGGAGGTAGAGGTTGTGGTGAGCAGAGATCGCACCATTGCACTCCAGCCTGGGCAACAAGAGGGAAACTCCGTCTCCGAAAAAAAAAAAAAAAAACCACAATCGCCACCACAACAAAATGTTCCACTGTAATAAATGTTCCACTCTGATGTAATAAATGTTCCACTCTGATAAAGGCAAGTGAGAAATAATAAATGATGAATATATTTGGGCAGACTCATTTGTCACAGAAGTATCTTAAATATAAACTTTATTAACTGAAATATTTGAAAAGAGGTGTAATTACTTGAAATATCTAATTAAGTGATACAGAGAGCCTTGTTGGTAAACTTCTGTCCTTCTTGGCCATTTGCTCCTTGAAGGAAAACTAATTCAACAAGAATTTCATTGGATTAAAGCTCAGTACTGAAAGGAATTGTCTTCGCCATTGAGGTTAATAAGATTTGTACATCATTTCCCTTTTCTAAAACACATGAAAGTGTTAAGCTAGAATGTATAGCAAGCTGTTGCCTTAAGCTAAGGGTCACCAGCAATTTTATACTTTTTCCCAGTAAAAACTGATCACTACAATCCCAGGCCATCTTTCCACAAGTAGCTGAGGAGACCTATTGTACCTATTTCCCAGGCAATTGCTCCTAATGCTTTTGTCTGAGTTTTTTTTCCAGTTTGACTCAACTTCCTCTTATTTTTCCTCTCCCTCCTCCTCCACTCCCTCCTTCCAACTCCCCAAACTTCCTCTTCTCCACTACTACACCACTCCTGTGACAGTTAGATCACCCTTAATGTCCCTTCCTATTCTTAATCTGATTTTATAATGATGGTTCTGTAAAAAGTAACTGATTTGAAACATCCAAGAGCCTGCAAATAATATTTGCAAATAATATTTTACAAGTGTGTTTTGTTACATTCTTTTGTGGCAGACACCAGTTAGAACTTAAACGGTTGCCTAGCGTAATATTTTCTTAGCTAAATAAACCTTGCTTTTTTGAATGCTTACTAGGCAGTTAAGTTACTTATTTCTTCCCCCAAATTATCCAGCGTTTATTTAGTACACATTTGTTGAGTACCTACTGTGCCTGGCACTATGCTAGTGGGCCTTGGGTATACATCAGGGAATAAAGACATAACCCTTCCTTTCATGGAGTGACACTTAATAGAGCTTAAATTAATTAGATTTTATAGTATATATTTGGTTCAGGAGGATGCATGTCATAAATATGATTCTTGTTATTCTGATTGAATATAAAAATTCTTTACAGTACTTACAGATCATCAGTATTTGGAGAGGACACCACTATGTGCCATTTTGAAACAAAAAGCTCCTCAACAATACCGCATCCGAGCAAAATTGAGGTCATATAAGCCCAGAAGACTATTTCAGTCTGTTAAACTTCATTGCCCTAAATGTCATTTGCTGTGAGTATTTTCCATAATAAAACAAACGTTTTCATATTATTTGTGTGTATATGTACACATATGTATAATTTTGTGTCTTAGGAATAAGTAAATTGTTAATATATATATTATATTTTGCAAGAATGGTAAATTTTTTAGGTAAAGTGCTAAATTCTTAGAGAATAAATTATTCTGATAGTAATAAAAGTGGGTGCTATTTTCAGATCTAAAATTCAGCTTAGTCACTCTGATAAAGGCAAATGAGAAATAATAAATGATGAATATATTTGGGCAGACTCATTTGTCACAGAAGTATCTTCTGAAATATAAACCTTTATTAACTGAAATTTTTGAAAGGAGTTGTAATTACTTGAAATATCTAATTAAGTGATAAAGAGAGCCTTGTTGGTAAACTTCTGTCCTGCTTAATAACTAGAATATAATAAATATAATTTAAATTTTCTTTAGTAATTGAGAATTTCTCAGTGCCTTTACTCTGAACATCAGTGATTATATAAATATGTAATAAATGTATATAACTGTTTTGTAATCCTTTTACTACATAATCGGCTCAAGACATATTCTGAAAATCATTTTTAAAAGCTCCTCATCTTTTTGCAATTTGCCTACTTTTCCTCTGAATATCTAAAATGATGTTTTGGAAAATGTAGATAATTGATGGTTATATGCATTTGGATGCCCTAAATTGAGTCTTCACTAAAATGTGCTACAATGTGTAAATATCTATGTACATCGCCATGTATTTGTGTGCTTATAAATTGTGAGTATCTGTGTTCATTAATATACATATATTTTCCAATCCAAAATTTGGGTTTGTTTGAAGAAATTTTTTATTTTAAAATCTCTTTAAATAAAATGTGAGGGAACTGTTTTTACCCATTTGAGCTTGAAATGGTGGTTGGGATTAAAATGTATATATAAGGATTTTAGATAATTCTTCAAATATTATCAAACTTTGGTTTATTGAATTTTGTAAAATCATACAGCTTTGTAAAATAAAACCACTCTCCGCGATCATTTTTTAAACAAATAAGGATATTATCTCAGAAATTAACGGAAACTGTCTAAAGTTACACAGTTAACTGGCAACAGAACCAGAAGAAAGCCATACACCTTTTGATTCCAAATGATGCCATTTCTGCTACATGGTACCTAACCATATGACTTCTTAAAATTATTAATTATTAAACAGAATTGGAAATATTATTAGTTTAGAAGTGCCCTTCTCCCTAAGTGTGGTAAGTGGATATTTAACTGGAGTGAAGACGGGGCCACTGCATTTTTTTCTCCTACTGGGAAATTTAGCATTCTTTACAGAGGAGAAAAAAATTGATGCTAGAAATAATTATGAGTAACTTTGTATCACAAAACCAGGCATAGAAATCACTGGTAGTTAATGTAAATATGATTTGGATATACTTACCCACAAAATATCAAATAATTATCTATTGAAAAAAAGTTATTTGTTCTGCAAAGTGAATTATCTCCATAATTTACATAATTTAAGAAAAAGTAACTGACTCATCTACATGTAAGAATGATACTTTTTAATTTGATAACTTGTTAAATGGAAATCTTCACGCTTACACCAAAATCGATTTCTATCATTTCATTGCCAATAATTTTAGGCAAGAAGTTCCACATGAGGGCGATTTGGATATAATTTTTCAGGATGGTGCAACTAAAACCCCAGATGTCAAGCTACAAAATACATCATTATATGATTCAAAAATCTGGACCACTAAAAATCAAAAAGGACGAAAAGTAGCAGTTCATTTTGTGAAAAATAATGGTATTCTCCCGCTTTCAAATGAATGTCTACTTTTGATAGAAGGTAAGATATTTAAGTCACTGTTTTGTTAGAATACTCCTTTTGCATATTTTTCCTAATTAATTATTGTTTAATACATTTTACAGACAACCTAGTACATATAAAGTAAAAATAGTATTTAAATTTAACAAAATTGAATATATATGTTAACTAGGTTCAAATATATATAAGCACACGTTCATAAATTTATCTTAATTACATTTGAAATTGTACTTCAGACTCAAGTGTTAACATTTAACTATATTGTTGGATTGCATTTTATTTTGTCAATGCTAAGCTGATTGTCTAGTTAAGTAATAATAAAAGAGGCTGATTGCTTATGTACCATTGCTGTTTTCTTGGCCTCTGGATGTCACTGTTGTTTCATAGAAATAGGGTGAAAGTCATCTATTGTATCAAAATCAAAGAAGAGACCATTGAAACAAGTAAAGATAACTTGACAAGTTTTAAATGAAATTTATCATGTTTGGTTTTTCATTTTCTTTTCATTTTCATCTAATTTTTATCTCATTTATCTAAAATATGTACTGTGAATTTTTTTTCATGGCAAATTTAGAGTTTTTCTTAAGGCTTCTCTTCCCTTGTAACCTTTTCATTGTTTTTCTTAAGGCTTTCCTTCCCTTGAAACCTTTTCATTGTTTTTCTTAAGGCTTTCCTTCCCTTGAAACCTTTTCATTGTTTTTCTGAAGGCTTTTCTTCCCTTGAAACCTTTTGTAATAGAAGAAAAATACCTTCTTTAATTTGCCTTAGAGTAATATTTAACTTTATTTTTAATAAATGAGGGAATTCTATGTAAATTATAGACTTTGGGTGATTATGTGTCAGTATAGGTTCATTTTTAACAAATGTACCACGCTGGTAGAGGATGTTGATACTGGAGGAGGCTAGCATGTATGGTAGAAGGGGATACGGAAAATCTCTGTACCTTCCTCTTAATTTTGCTGTGAACCTAAAACTGCTCCTTAAAAAAAAAAAAAATGAAGTCTTAAAAAGAAAACATAGAATGTACAACACTGAGAGTAAACCCTAATATAGACTGGACTTTGAGTGATAATGGTTTGTTAGTAATGTAAAGTGTGGACTTTGAGTGATAATGGTTTGTTACTAATGTAAACTGTGGACTTTGAGTGATAATGGTTTTTTAAAATAGGTTTCTTGATTGACTAAATTTACCACTCTGGTGCAAGATGTTGATAATGGGGAAGAGGCTAGGGGACATAGGGAAACTTTGTACCTTTTGCTTAATTTTGCAGTGAACCTAAAACTGCTTTTTAAAAAAGGCTTATTTAAAAAAATAATGAGAATGTATGTAAAAGCACTTTGAAATGTAAAAGGAATATAAGAAATGTGAGCTATTTTTATTTTATGTTTCTAAGTATTATAACCTGGACCAAGGGCTAGGATCTTACTGCAGTATGGCACTGCTCTGGTTAGGAAGTAACAAAATCAAAAACTGACCTGGACTTAGAGATGAACCAAAGAAAACGATATAAATACAAAGTCATTCTTAGACTTTAAGGACCTGCAGCAGTATTCACTGATATTCATGCCAAGTTAATGCAGTTGACACTATTTTATTGTGACCATAGTTTACATTAGGGTTCACTCATTCTGCTTTACAGTTCTTTATGTTTTGACAAATGCAGAATACCATGTACCCACCATTAGAGTCTCATATAAAACAGTATCACTTAATTTCTGTAAAAGCTCTAAGATCTGTGTCCAGATTTTTTTTTGCATGCAGATGTCCAGTTTTCCAGTACCATTTCTTAAAAAGACTGTTCCTTCTCCATTGAATTGCCTTTGCTTCTTTGTCAAACCAGTTTGTGTGAATTTGCTTCTGTGTTCTCTATTCTGTTTTAATCTGTCTGTTATTTTCCTAATATCACACCATCCTTATTTCTAAAGCTATATAGTAATTCTTGAAATTGTGTAGTGTTTGTCCTGCAACTTTCTTCTTTTTCTTGAGTATTGTGTTGGCTATTGTAAATCTTTTGCATTTCCATGTAAACTTTATAATCAGTTTGTCAATATCCAAAAATAACTTGCTGGGATTTTTATTAAGATTGCCAGCTGGGCGCAGTGGCTCACTCTGGTAATCTTAGCACTTTGGGAGGCCGAGGCAGGCAGATCACCTGAGGTCGGGAGTTCGAGACCAGCCTGACCAACATGAAGAAACCCTGTCTCTACTAAAAATACAAAATTAGCCAGGCATCATGGTGCATACCTGTAATCCCAACTACTCGGGAGGCTGAGGCAGTAGAATGGCTTGAACCCGGGAGGCGGAGGTTGCGGTGAGCCGAGATCGCGCCATTGCACTCCAGCCTGGGTAACAAGAGCGAAACTTCATCTCAAAAAAAAAAAAGATTGCCATAATCTATAAGTCACGGTGGAGACAGAGAACTAACAACTTGATGTTATTGACGATGAACATGGACTATCTTTCTATGTAGATCTTCTTAGATCCCTTTAACTAGGGTTTTATAGTTTTACTCAGATAAACCTTATAAATCCAACAAAATATAGATCACATTTTGTTAGCTTTATATCTAAGTATTTTCTTTTTTGGTGCTAATTATTTAATGTTAAATTCAAACTTTGATTATTTATTGCTTATGTATAGGGAAGCAATTGATTTTTTTTTTAATTAACCTTGTATCCTCTACCGTTGCTATAATTGCTTGTTATTTCAGGAATTTTTTTGTTGTGATTTCCTGTAAACAAAGACAGCTTATTTCTTCCTTCCTAATATGTATACCTTTTGTTTCCTTTTCTTACTGCATTAGATAGGGCTTCCAGTACAATATTGAATAGGAGCAATGAGAGGGAATGTTCTTGCTTTTATCCCAGTCTTAGGTGGAAAGTGTCACCATTAAATGTAATTTTAGCTGTGGCTATTTTATCGATGTTCTTTATCAAGTTGAAGAAGTTCCCCAATATTCCTAGTTTGCTGAGAATTTTTATTATTAATGATGTTGGATTTTATCAAATGCTTTTTCTATTGCATCTATTAATATGATCATACAATTTTTCTTCTTTAGCCTATTAATGTGATAAATTACATTAATTGATTTTGAGGTGTTTAACCAGCCTTGCCTACCTAAAATAAATCTCATTTGGTCATGGTGAATAATTATTTTCTTTTTTGATTCAATTTTTAAATACTTTCTGAGTATTTTTTTATGTGTTTTCTTAAGAGAAGTTGATCAATAGGTCTTCATTCTTGTAATGTATTTGGTTATGTATTAGAATATTGCTGGCCTCATAAGAGTTAGGAAACATTCCCTCTACTTCCATTTTCTGGAATACATAGTAGAGAATTAGTGTCATTTCAGTGTTTGGGTAGACTTAGCTATTGAAACAATCTGAGCCTGGTGACTTTTTTCAAGATTATTATTATTGATTTAATTTCTCTATAGACATAGACCTATTCAGATTATCTGTTTCTCCTTGTGTGAGTTTTGATAGATTATGCCTTTCAAGAAATGGAACCATTTTATCTAAGGTGTCAAACTTGTGGGTTCGAATTGTTTATAATATTTATTTATTATTAACACTATATTTTAAACTGCATAACATTTAACTTCCTCTGAAACATTTTGTATTGTTTCCAATTGAATTGAATCCAATTTGTATGGAACTCTAATGTCACTGAATCATTTTATCATAATATTTATTATTAATACCTATAATTTACTGAATAGACTATGTGTCAGGCACTGTACTAGTTTAGTATTTTATCTTTAACTCTCATAACAGTTCTTCTGTAAGCTGGATATATCCCCTTTGTAAACAGAAGAGGAAACTGAGACCAAGAGAAAATGGTGAAGTACTCAAGGTTAAAGACTTAATAAATGTCAGAAAAAAATTCAAACTTAGGCCTTTCTGTCTCCATAGTCCATGTTAAATATTTCTACTGATTGCAAATAAATTGCTCTCAGTTAGGATGTCTCCAGATACAAACCTTGAGAAATGTAGTATGCACATATATACATGTAAATGTCTTTCTTTGTTCTTATTCATTTGTTTAGCACATGTTTATTGAATGCCTACTATGTGCCAGACACTGATTTAGGCATTAGTGGCAATGTAGCAAACACAACAAAGTTCTTCCTTTCATGGACTTTACATTAAGAGGAAATCACTAAAATATTGATAGTAATAGTCACTCATGGCTCTAAGTGCTTTACAAATATTAACTCATTTAATCTTTATAATGATCTTACAGAGTAACATTATTCTCAGTTTTGCAAATGGGGAAACTGTTATACCAGAGTTTAAGTAACTTGACCAAGGTTGTCCAGCTTATGTGCCAGAGCCAAACTCGTGTGACTGGCCAGTGTGAATGACTAGATGAGCTCTCACCAGATTCTTTGAAATAGTGTTTTTGGGGAGGAACTCATAGAGAAAAGAGTTAGTGAATGGTCACCTATTGCAGTTTTGAACAGTAGGCAGGAGTCTCTTCAGCAGGGCTAGGTATCAGTCTCCAAAAGATAGACTAACTTTTGGGCTGTGAAACTTTTAAGTAGCATGCTTAGGGAATATTGTTTTGAGTTTTTAAGCATGCATAATGAGAGTTTCTATCTAGCTGCAATATGATATAGCAGAACTCTGGCTTCCAGTAACAAAGAGCTTGGGGGAAGGAGGATGGGAACAGGGCAAGTTAAAATGCCACAGAGCTCACCGTTCTTGCCAAAATTCAGCCCTTTTTCTGGAGCAAACACTCCTTGGATTGTTGAAGGCCTCTGGTAATTTCCAGAATTCTAAAAAAGGTTTTACAGTTTTTGCCAATATTCTTACTGCTGTTATAGTCAAGTGTGTCTTTGGATGTCCTCACTCTGCTATACCAGAAGTGCTTCTCCTTTATAATTGAATGTTGACATTACAAATTCTACCCAAATTTTAGGAAATACACAGAGGTATTTTTTAAATCCTTTTCATTTTGCCTGGAGAGAGGAAGCATTATTAGCTAAGTAAAAAGGACACTGCCTTCTAATAATGGATGCCATTGGACAATACTTCTCAGCCAGCCTGGTCATTTGAATGCTTACTCTGTCATAGAATTAACTGTGATAATTTTCCCAGGAAAAATGAACAAATTTTATATGTGAATTCATATTACATGAACTACTCATATCTATATTTAAATGAAATATTGACCTGAAAATTGAGATTTAAACTCTAAATTTGCCCAGATATTAATTAGTATATAGCAAATTAGTGAGAATCTGATCATAACTTAGCTTTTAATTTATATTCCCTCTTTTGGTTATTTGAACCAAAGTGTTCCTGAAATAAAGAGCAATTTGTTTAAATTTAAGAAGTTGGTTAAAATTTCACAAGCTTTATATTTTACCAAAGTCTCAGCATTTTTGTGCATTGATTTTTTTAATCAATGTATAGGATTGTACATTTACAAATTAATATTTTTTACATACATTCATTGTCTTTTTCTGTCAATTCCTTTAGTCTTTTATTATACCTCACACGTTATTTAATAGGACTGTACTTGTCTACATTTTATTTGCACTACTTGAAGGATTTATTTATTCTCTTAACAGGAGGTACACTCAGTGAAATTTGCAAACTCTCGAACAAGTTTAATAGTGTAATTCCTGTGAGATCTGGCCACGAAGACCTGGAACTTTTGGACCTTTCAGCACCATTTCTTATACAAGGAACAATACATCACTATGGGTATTTTGTTTTGTTTTGTTTTGTTTTGTTTTGTTTATTATACTTTTAAGTTCTGGGGTCATGTGCTGAACATGGAGGTTTGTTACGTAGGTATACACGTGCTATTGTGGTTTGCTGCACCCATCAACCCGTCACCTGCATTAGGCATTTCTCCTAATGCTGTCCTTCCCCTAGCCTCCCACCCCCTGACAGGCCCTGGTGTGTGATGTTCCCCTCCCTGTCTCCATGTGTTCTCATTGTTCAACTCCCACTTATGAGTGAGAACATGCAGTGTTTGGTTTTCTGTTCTGGTGTTAGTTTGCTGAGAATGATGGTTTCCGGCTTTATCCATATGCCTGGCAAGGACATGAACTCATCCTTTTTTTGGCTGCATAGTATTCCATGGTGCGTATGTGCCACATTTTCTTAATCCAGTCTATCACTGATGGACATTTGGTATAGTTCCAGGTCTTTGCTATTGTGAATAGTGCTGCAATAAACGTACATGTGCATGTGTCTTTATAGCAGAATGATTTATAATCCTTTGGGTATATACCCAGTAATGGGATTGCTGGATCAAATGGTATTTCTAGTTCTAGATCCTTGAGGAGTTGCCATACCGTGTTCCACAAAGATTGAACTAATTTACACTCCCACCAACAGTGTAAAAGCATTCCTGTTTCTCCACATTGTCTCAAGCATCTGTTGTTTCCTGACTTTTTAATGATCGCCATTCTAAGTGGCGTGAGATGGTATCTCATTGTGGTTTTGATTTGCATTTCTCTAATGATCAGTGACATTGAGCTTTCTTTCATATGTTTGTTGGCTGTGTAAATGTCTCCTTTTAAGAACTGTCTGTTCATATCCTTCACCCACTTTTTGATGGGGTTGTTTTTTTCTTTTAAATTTAAGTTCTTTGTAGAGTCTAGATATTAGCCCTTTGTCAGATGGATTGCAAAAATTTCCTCCCATTCTGTAGGTTGCCTGTTTACTCTGATGATAGTTTCTTTTGCCGTGCAGAAGCTCTTTAGTTTAATTAGGTCCCATTTGTCAATTTTGGCTTTTATTGCCTTTGCTTTTGGTGTTTTAGACATGAAGTCTTTGCCCATGCCTATGTCCTGAATGGTATTGCCCAGGTTTCCTTCTAGGATTTTTATGGTTTTAGGTCTTACATTTAAGTCTTTAATCCATCTTGAGTTGATTTTTGTATAAGGTGTAAGGGGATCCAGTTTCAGTTTTCTGCATATGGCTAGCCAGTTTTCCCAACATTTATTAAATAGGGAATCCTTTCCCCATTGCTTGTTTTTGTCAGGTTTGTCAAAGATCAGATGGTTGCAGATGTGTGGTGGTGTTTTCAACTGAGAAAACTTTTGGAATTAAAAACTGTTGAAGAGTAATTTTTATTAGTTTATTTCATTGGTTACTATATGTTCAGCATGAACTTACAGTGTATCAACTTATATGTACTAGGTTTTTCTGGCATATATCTGTTCTTTTGATAAGCATATATAGTGAGAGTACACGCAATGTGTGAGGCATAAGGCTGCTGTCTTTTGATTCCTCAGCCAGAGGCTGGTACTCACTTGTTTTCTTTAACAGTGAGGATTTAGATTCCAGTTACAGAGAAAAATTCAGAGCTGCAAACCTAGTAAAAATTAAGTGATTCAATTTCAGAATTTCTGAGCCACTAAATTACAAATTTGCTGCCACTGAAAATTGGAATATAAAAGAATTCATTAGGAGCTATAAACAGATTTCTACATTTAGAAGGAGGGGGTAGGGATAAAATCTCCTCTACTGCTTGATGAAACAATCACCCTGGACACATTCTGATTTGAGAAACCTTGGATTATAACATATGTTTTATCATCCTATTCCTCTTTCTTTCCGACTTCTACATTTGTAGCAATTAGTAGTCATTGTCATAATGTGTAAATCCTGATTGAAAAATTATATACTGGTTGAAAAATATTATACGGTAAGCATGATACCTCCCTAATTGTGTGGTAAAGTCACTGTTAGGCATTGCCCTCTGTCCTTCCAACATATCATAAAATTTTAGCCATAAAGCGAAAGTGTATGCCACTGACTTAAATCTCTGTGTTATAGCTGTTTTTACTGATATACTCAGTGTCTAATTCTCCCTCTCATTAGACTCATGATCTGAGAGTCCATCTTTTTTGAAAATAAAATGATTTTTAATTAAGCCAATTAATTAAAAAATTAAAACTCATAAAATTCAGTTTTTCTTGTATAATAAGTCACTGAGCTTTCTCTTTTTGCATGCTCATCCTCGCTCACTTGCTTTTGTTCTTTCCCCTTTCTCTCTATTTTGCCTTGCCAGTACTGGGCACCGTGACGCGTCTAAACCAGGAAAGGAAATATTCATATTCATTTTAAACTCTGAAATACTACTACTTCTTTTACTAGAAGTCTCAAAAAAATTACCTTAAGGACCCCATTTTTTTTTTTTTTTTTGAGATGAAGTCTTGCTCTATTGCCCAGATAGGAGTGCAGTGGCATGATCTCAGCTCACTGCAACCTCTGCCTCCCCGGTTCAAGCGATTCTCCTGTCTCAACCCCCCCGCCGAGTAGCTGGGACTACAGGCATGCACCACTAACACCCGGCTGATTGTTTCGTATTGTTATTAGAAACGAGGTTTCACCATGTTGGCCAGGCTGGTTTTGACCTCCTGACCTTAGGTGATCTGCCCACCTCGGCCTCCCAAAGTGCTGGGATTACAGGTGTGAGCCACTGTGCCCAACCAAGGCTGTTGACTTTTTACTGGTTGCTTCAAAACTAAGGCAAATGCTGTTCACACTCCAGATTTTAAGACATTTTTACATTTTTTATTACTTGAGTTTCATCATCAAAAGCCAGTATATCTTTTAATTGATTCTTCTTTTTATTTTTGGGTTATGAAATAATTTTAACTTATAGAAAAATTAAAAAAGTAACATCACAACAATTACGTATCCACCATTTAGATTTAACAAATCGTAACGTTTTGACATTATTTCAGACTTTTTTTTTTTTTTTTTTTTTTGGAGACAGTGTCATTCTGATACCCAGGCTGAAGTGGCATGATTTCAGCTCATTGTAGCCTTGACATCCTGGGCTCAAGCAATCCTACTATCTCAGCCTCCCAACTAGCTGGGACTACAGGTGCACACCACCACACCTGGCTAATTTTTGTAGGGATGGGGTTTTGCCATGTTGCCCAGGCTGTTCTTGAACTCTGGAGTTCAAGCAATCTGCCTACCTTGGCCTCCAAACTTTTTTTTTTTTTTTTTTTTTTTATTTTTAAGAAATTAAATGTTACAGAGAAGTAGTATAATGCCATATCAATCCCTTCTCTAACTCTTTTTTCTCAGAGGTAGCTACTTTTCCAAACTTGGATTAAATCCTTCTCATCAATGTTTTTATGCCTTCATTATATGTGTGAACTCTTAAGCAGTATGGCATATTTTTCATTTTTTAAATTTATATAAACTGTTTCGTACTATGCCAAGCCTTTTGCAGCTTGCTTTTTTTGATTCATTAAAATTTTCAAGATTTACCACTATTGACGCATGTAGATTTAGATTATTTAACATCTTTGGAGTATGTTATGAAATATCAGAATTTATTAGCCTATTTTCCTATTAATGGATATGTGTTATTTTTTGTTTCATTTACAGACCATAATGAAGTCACGTTATATGTTTTCTTGTCTATTTCCCTTGTCATAAAATGAGTTCAGTGGGTCATAAACAGTTTTTTTTTAAATTATATGATGTGGTTGTAGTAAAAAATGGAATGAGAGGGAATGGATAATAGAGAACATTTTACACAGTAAGGGTCAGTGTTGTTTCCTAAACTTTCATTTCAATTGTATGTGTATGTATGTATTACTAAGATATGATATTAAATGAATTTCTTACTGTGAGTCCTTAACAAAAATGTTTGAAAGTTACTCCTAAGGTGTTTACCTGAAATTAGAATTACTGGATTATAAGGTGTATATAAGTTTTGCTTTATGGGAAGAAATACCAAATTGTTCTTCCCATGGTTTTAACAATATATGGTCCCATCAGTAATGTATAAAATTTTAGTTTCTACCAAGTTCACTCCAACACTTGGTATTAGTCTATTTCTGTCTGATACTTGGCATTAATTTTGTAATTTTGTCAGGCCAGCGAGCATCAGATGGTATCCATAATGTTTTTATTTGTATTTCCTAGATGTCTAGTGTGTTTAAGCAGCCCCCGTGTTTATCAGCTACATAGGTTTCCTACTCTATGAATTCCATGTTCACATCTTTTGCCTGTTTTTCTATGTGGTTACTGATTTCTTTGTTGGTTCATGTGTGAGCGCACATACATGTAATTGATTGTAAGGTTTCTTTCCGTGTTAGAGATACTAATCTTTGTCAGTTTCATCCATACTTCTAGTGTATTCCATGCCTTTTTAACTTTATGGTTTCTTGTGTTTTATAGGTTTTTTTAAAATTTTTGTTTGGTAATTGCTTTATAGGTTACTCTCATCCCTTTGCTTTCAAGTTTCTGGCATTCTAATTTGTATGTCACTCATAAATAAAAGCTTATGGCTAAATTTTAGTTTTAATAGTGGAGTTTAAATATGTTCTTAAGTTATTGATATATTTAGTTTATGTTTCTAATTTTTTCTGTTTCCCCTTTCACTGCTTTGGAAGTAAGTAGTTCTGTATTTAATTTTGACTTAATATCCTTAATTTTTAATTTTTATACTAACTTTAATAATGTCTAATGCTAATCAATATCGTAGTCTTTTTCTTAGGCAATAATATTCTTTTGTTAAATTGACATCTTTTATTAGAAAAGAAACACCTATATATTTAATAAATAGAAGGGTATAAGATGTAATGTGGTTACCCTCTTGTTTTCCTCAAAGTGCAAATGAAAACAAATTGCATGGACCTTTCGAACTTTTATTTTTATTCAAGTATATCTTTTCAAGTATATTTTCTTATCAACATCTCATAAACATTATGATGATGCATAATAAAAAATAAATTACTCATAGTTAAAATATGTTGGTATTCAAGTAAAGCAAAATAACTGTACTACACAATGCACAACTTTAGTGTATTGTGTAGTCTTAGATTTATATACATTTCAAAAGTTAACTATGGAATTAGGCATCATAAACTACAAACCTCTGGATATGTGCTTACTAAAAATATTAATTATCTAGAATCTTGCATGTTGTGACTGTTTAGTAATTTTTCTCTATTGGCCATATTTATTAACACTTTGAATTTATTAAGATATTACTTACAGAGGCCAGGTATGGTGGCTCACACCTGTAATCCCAGTACTTTGGGAGGCCAAGGCAGGCAGATGGCTTGAGCTCAGGAGTTGAGACCAGCCTGGGCATTGTGGCAAGACCCTGTCTCTATAAAATTACAAAAATCACCCAGGCATGGTGGTGTGCAACTGTGGTTCTAGCTACTTGGAAGGCTGAGGTGGGAGGCTCACTTGAGCCCAGGAGGCAGAGGTGACAGTGCCTGGGTGACAGAGTGAGACCTTGTCTTAAAAAATATATATATATAGATATAGATATAGATATAGATATAGATCATAGAATCAGAGAATTCTTAGAGATGATCATTTTCTTCAACTTTTCATTTTAACAAATAAGGAAATTGAGAGCAAAATTAATTAATGATTTGGACCTGGAACCGAGCACCCTGTTCTCAATTTAGAGTTGTTTATTCTGAATCTTATACTGTCTTTTTTATTGCCCTTATGTAATAAGCTTACTCTTTCATAATTCTCTTGTGAAACAAACAAGCACATTACAATATAGGGGATGCAGTATTCTTCTGTTTAATAATTTATATTTTAAAACTACACATGTTTGAGCAGTAAAAAGTTATAACAAACAAGCTAAATTATTTTTAAATATTTATGGTTCTTTCTTTTATAAATTTCAGATGTAAACAGTGTTCTAGTTTGAGATCCATACAAAATCTAAATTCCCTGGTTGATAAAACATCGTGGATTCCTTCTTCTGTGGCAGAAGGTTAGCTAAATTTCCATGCCCTGCAATTTTAACTGTTTGTTTACAAGGTTATTTCACCTACTTATATTTCAGTATACCTGAAAGTATACCTGTTCCTTCTTTGTATACTTATTCCTTCCTCTGTAAGATAAACAGACTTTGTAAATTTAAAGATATCTGCCAAGCCTTCCTTTAGTCTGTATTTCTTCAAGCAGGCACCGTCACATACTTTCCCCTATGCCTTACTATTTTGTTTTTCCTCCTCAGTAAGCATTCCACTTTACCAGTGCTTTTCTCAGAATTTGGCATTCAGAGCTGGACATTGTGCTGCAGATGTTGTTTGGCCAATTCAGAATAGAGTGAAATTATTATTTACCTGAAACTGGACACTCAGCTTCTACTAGCCTGAAATGTCATTGTATAGCTATTTATTTGTACACTTGGTTTTGTTTTCTTTCCTTTTTGATACAGCCATCTCATGTTTTATTTGTGGTCCAGTGAAATCCTAGGGTCCTGTCACATGAACTTCTTGAACTTGGTCTTCTCATTCTATTCTTAATGTAATTTTTTTTTCTGTCACATGAACTTCTTGAACTTGGTCTCTTCGTTCTATTCTTAATGTAATATCTTTGTTTTTATGGTTCCTGGGAGTAGGTGCTAAGTTCATCTTTCTTAGTTTTAGTTCACAGTTTTAACCTATTGAGACCTTTTGAAGCCTAAAATTCAGTTCCCCTGTATTAATGTCTGTTGTATGCCCTAGTTCATGTCTGTATGTCCTAATTTATTCTTACTTTCCCTGTTAATTAGTTATACTGTTTAAATATGGGTTCCACAGATAAAAGCTAATAAAACATTCTATAAATTGAGTATCTTCCATTTCCAAACAAGAAGATATTTATCTTAACCTGTGAATTTTCATTTTACCCAGTATGTCTAATTTCTTATTTCTTCCTTATCTTACCAAATTATTAAATCTCAGATTCTGACATTCTTGTCCATTCAACCAGATGATATCCCTTTTTTCTTTTTTAAAGTTATAAATTATTCCCCTAGCTTATAATAGAAAGGAGAGAGGCATGCTAAAACGGTATTTAACTGCATGCTATTTTTTAGAATATTCTGTATTTTAATTTTATCTTTCATAAAACTAACATGCAATGAGTTACATTTCATGAATCACTTTTTGTGGTTTCTATGGAGGCTATCAACTGTTTTTTTTATTTATTTATTTTTATTTATTTTGAGACAGAGCCTTACTCTGTCGCCCAGGCTGGAGTGCAGTGGTGCAATCTCGACTCACTGCAACCTCTGCCTCCCAGGTTCAAGCAATTCTCATGCCTCAGCCTCCAGAGGAGCTGGAATTACAGGTGTATGTTACCAAGCCTAGCTATTTTTTTTGGTATTTTTAGTAGAGACAGGGTTTCATCATGTTGGCCAGGCTGGTCTTGAACTCCTCAAGATCCGCCCAGGTGATCTGCCCACCTCAGCCTCCCAAAGTGCTGAGAATACAGGTGTGAGGGTGTCAACTTATTTTAAATACGTTAATATTTAATCAAAAAGATTAAATTGCTTATCATAAGATATTCTCCCTATGTAGGTATAGTGAAATATTCCAAAATGAATCTGCTAAATGAGCTTAATTATAGGTTGAGTATCTGTGGAGTTAAAAACACAAACTGTCCTCTGCTCTGCCACCACAGCAATCAGCGCAGAAGACTTATGTGACCAAATGCATAGGGGTTTTCACCCACACACCAAGCAGGCAATCCCTCAGCAGACGCCAGCTGGGTGTCCTCCAGTTCAATTCTGACACTATCTACCTGGAGATAATGCCAAGTTTTTCTTTGTATCTTGAGTTATTTTAGTAAATAAAATTTACAGGTCTATACTATCATAAAACAATTTTAACTTTACCTTGATAATAAGGAATAGCAGACTCATATGGTTTGATCTTTTTTTCCTTCACTAGCACTGGGTATTGTACCCCTCCAATATGTGTTTGTTATGACCTTTACACTTGATGATGGAACAGGAGTACTAGAAGCCTATCTCATGGATTCTGTAAGTATCAGAGGTAATAAAGATATTTTTAATTAAAAAATAATATTTAAAAAATTGAATACATTTATTCATACCTGCTTTGTTCCTAAAAGGACTTAAGGCACCTTAAAAATATAAGTAAAATATGAGCACATAAATCTTGAATCATCTGTGTATGTATCTCTTTTTTTATTTGACACTAAATCTTAACATTTGAATAGTGAAAAATTAAGGAACAGGGATTTAAAGAGTCATTCCCTATACCATGGCCAAAATGCAGAGATACGGCCACACTATGGAAGCATTATTTGTAGTCAACATTTTATCGTACTTTTGTTTGTTTGTTTGTTTGTTTGTTTGTTTTTTGAGATGGAGTCTTGCTCTGTTGCCCAGGCTGGAGTGCAGTGGCACGATCTCAGCTCACTGCAACCTCCGCCTCCCGGGTTCAAGCAGTTCTCTGCCTCAGCCTCCCAAGTAGCTGGGATTGCAGGTATGCACCACCACGCCCAGCTAATTTTTGTATTTTTGTAGAGACAGGGTTTCACCATCTTGGCCAGGCTGGTCTTGAACTCCTGACCTCATGATCCACCCACCCTTGGCCTCCCAAAGTGCTGAGATTACAGGCGTGAGCCACCGTGCCCAGCCTTGATCATACTTTTTAAACCTCCACATTTCATATTAGAGGAATGAAGTTACTTTAACAGGGAAGATAGATATTATTGTATAAAGTTTTGAGGCAGTCTACAAAACCTTCCTCATTTCTGACACTAATTGCAATTGGAAGTCCTCAAGGCCACTCTTAGATTTGATAATTCACAAGACTCCTAGAACTCACTGAAAACTGTTATACTGACAGTTACAGATTATTACAGCTAAAGGATGTACATTAAAATCAGATAATGAAAGAGATGTATAGGACAGAGTCCAGGAAAGTTCCAGACATGGAACTTATAGTTGTCCTCTCCCCATAGAGTTGTGGACTGTTACTTTCCCTGCAACAGTGTGTAGCAGTATACATAATATATTGCCAGATAGGGAAGCTCTGCTAAAAGATTTTAGTGGGACTCTATCACGTAGGTATGGTTGACTGCCCATATGGCTGATCATAGTCTTCAGCCCCTCTTGAGATCAAGCTGATACCACATGCTCCAAACTTTCCACCCTACATCATATTGTTAAACTATTCATAGTGACCCAGGGCTTCCAGGCAAAAATACTTCTATCAAGTGTGACATAGAAAGGGCTTAGAGATTACGTTCCACAAGCTAAGGTCAAAGCCCAGACCTCTCTTAGGGTAAAGTTAAAATGTTTACTACATGGATTGGAAAAGATCTGAGTTATAGTTGAGAGGAGAATTTTTCTCCCACCTACACAATTCATTTAACCTTTCATTAAATATTTAATGAGCACCTGCTATGTACTAGGTACTATCCTATGTGATGGAGACACAGCGGTGAACAAAGTAAACAAAATTCCTTCCTTCTTGAAACTTATAACATAGTAGGGAAGAGAAAAATTAAATAACTATATAATACATATACTGTATGTTATATTCATTTAAGCTTAGCACAAGATTTTTTTTTCTATGCACAAAGAGAATAGTCAGCCTCATTGTTTTTAAATCATTATTACCATCATCATTATTAAATCAGAGCAATTTACTTGATTACGTGTATCTCAAAGCTATTTTAAGATTAAAGAGTAAATAAGATTTTGGAGTTGAGACCAGCATTCTAGTTTATGAATTCTACAATCTTGATAGAGGGAAACTGTCTAGATTATCTTTTAATTGGACAATATTGAAATATGTGTTAATAATAACATTAAAAAGGATTAATATTATTTCCTTTTTTTTTCTCTCATGAAACATTTTT
The DNA here is from genome assembly GCF_000001405.40 of Homo sapiens. Classification (NCBI taxonomy): domain Eukaryota; kingdom Metazoa; phylum Chordata; class Mammalia; order Primates; family Hominidae; genus Homo; species Homo sapiens. The sequence goes on along the minus strand of NC_000007.14, from coordinate 124,825,360 downwards.
AAGGACAAATTCTTCCAGATTCCAGCATCAGAAGTTCTGATGGATGATGACCTTCAGAAAAGTGTGGATATGATCATGGATATGTTTTGTCCTCCAGGAATAAAAATTGGTAGGCAAGAATATTTTAACAATCCCACACTTCTTTTACTTGAGATAGCACTAACATATATGTACTCTGTGGACTTTTAGAAGTCTGAAAGCTTTGCTTCCAAATGATTTACTAAGTAGTGAGTGATTACTCTATGATCAACCTTTGATGAAGAGAGTGGCAGGGATAAAATAGTTATGAATCATAATTCCTGCAGTCAAAAGATTTTTAAAATATTTTTAAATATAGGAAAGGGAGATAGTTTTGATCACAAGCACATTTGACATTGTCATGCTACAAGCATTTTAGTTGAAATTAGACCAAAAGTGATGAATTGTTGGCAGTAAACATTTTCTGTAACAAACTCCAATTATCCAATTTAATTCATGGATTAATTTTTTTATTTATTGTTAACTAGTTTCAGATTTTACAAGCTTTTGTTTTACCAATTTTTTGTGAGCTTTGTTTTCTGCATAAACATTTGATTAATAAACCAGATCTTCCTCATTTCAAATTGTACTGCTTATACCTGCTGCCACTGAATTTTCCTTCTGTGACTATATTTGTACTTATGTTGAAACTTGCAGATCTAAGTCATATTAAGACAATTTTGATTTTTCTAACAATTTTTTATCGTAGGAAATTTTACCAGCTGCAGATTTAGCAGCTGGTTTAATTTTTATATACTATTTTTAATCAGGCTTTACTCTCCCTGGTCAATCTTTGCATCTTATAATAGTTACATAATGATAGGAATTTGTGTTGATCTCTAACCAAGTTTAACTTGAATACCTTTATTTGTTGTCAGTTTTAATTTGTGTTAACTGTTTGGATTCTTTTGGATAGATTTCTAGAAGTAAGTCTTTATATCCAAAAGCATGGGCCTGGTAGACCCATTGTAACCACTATTTTAGATTTTTAAAATATATACCAACCATTTTGAAACCCAAGATGTACTCACTGTTACCTGCTTGTGGCAAAAAATTCAAATTAGTCACAATTGCTCCAAAACAATAACATGAATCTAGTATGTATTTTGAAGAGAGAATAATGTTAAATTTGGAAGGGACGTTTACTTACTTTTCAAGCCAAAATAAATGTTAATTTTTCTAGCTCAGTGGTAAGCTTAGGTACCTATTTCAGAGTTATTTATTTTGTTTTAATGGTTAAATCGCTTTTTTTGTTTTTGTTTTTGTAGATGCATATCCGTGGTTGGAATGCTTCATCAAGTCATACAATGTCACAAATGGAACAGATAATCAAATTTGCTATCAGATTTTTGACACCACAGTTGCAGAAGATGTAATCTAATATTGCCATCCAATTTAGCATACATAAAATGTTGCCACTCACCTTCCCTGTTTGAGCTTCTTTTCCTGACCTGAGTTTTGTATCAGCAATGTTGATGATGTTAGCATGGGTATGGGATTAGAAAATGTCCTTACCTTAAATCTCTTGGCTTTTACTGGGTGCAAGGTAAATAATGGCTATGGATTTTGTTTTGCTTTCTGTTTTGCTTTTGTACAAAGAGACCTGCTTAAACAAGTACTGCTGAGATAAGTGTCTGATCAAGCTACAGTGTACTTTAAGTAGAAATGGCAAAGTTGCTTTGTTGGGGTGCTGATACTGATGATTTTAGGATAAATTCATTTCTTTAAACTTGTAATACATGGTTTTATTGCTTGTTTCTCTCCAGGATAGTAGAGATTTCTCTATTTCACCTCAACCTAATAAAAGTGGTCAGATTTATAATGTTAATGACTTAATATTATCCTTTTCTAATAGTCTCATGTAAAATATGCCGCTATTACAACTTACAACTAATTGAATGAGATGTTAACTTAGTAAAATAGTTTGATTTTTACCTGACAGTGTTTGTCAAATTTAAAATCATGAATATTCAATTTTATACAAACATTTATATATATATATATAGATTTGTGTATGTTATTTGCCAAAGACAGATATAAATTACCTGGTTTAATATTAGTGAAGAATAAATAAGTGCACACATTTCAACTGTTTCATTTATTTGCCCTAAGTTGAGCTGAAAAATGATATGAGGCAAAGAATCGAAATAGGTGTGGCAATGCAGCAGATGTTTAGGGCTGTCTACATCCCAGGTACTGTGCTAAGCACTAAACATGTATTTGATCCTCACAGCAACCTATTTTTCCGATAAGAAATCTGAGGCTTGATTGATAAGCTGACTTGACTAAGTTCACACAGTTTGTAAAAGCTAGAGTCTGTGCCTTAATTCACATAATCTCTATTCAGAGCCTGTACTGTTAACCACTCAAGGATTCTGGAACAGAAGCTAACAGTTTTCTGCAACGAGTCTTTGACTTAAACATCTGAAATAACATTGGAAATAGATTATAAGAGGAGTCAGTGTGTTTTTCTATAGTTTCAAAATACTTTTAACATCTTATTGTCAAAAAGATTGGATAACTGACTTTCTTTGCTCATAATAACTCTAAATTCTAGTTCCTGAGTACATTAACACATCTTCTTTACCTAACTACCAATGTCCCCCATCATCGACTTATCAGCTTGTTTGAGACAATGAGAAAGACTGATTTTATTTTCAAGAATATAGACTCTTGGTTCAAAACATTTTCAGGAAAAATATTTTAAAACCCTACAGTTGAACAGGTGTGTTTCCGTGTTGATGATGTGCTCAGGATACAAAGGTGAAATAAACATTTTTTCTGCCTTCAGGAAGCCCTCAATCTAGAAGAGTAGAGGTCCAAAGGTGCCATATGTTCACACTGTGAGCCTGCAAGATCTCCACGTTAACAAAGGAAAACTCTTCCTATGAATCTTCATGATGATAGGCCATGTCTCTTCTTATTTTTGTTTTAAATAAACATCCACCTTATCATGATTTCTTTTGGTTTATTGTGGGGTTTTGTCCTTGTCTTTTTAAAAAAATTTTCAGTTTTTAGCAAGAATTATTCCATCAACATCTAGTGTTTCTCTAGAGATGATGTATGCACTTTATGCTAATCAGGAACCCAGAGAGGAGAATTTTATTTCTGGAGCAACAACTAAATGGTAGTTCATTGTGCCCCAATTTGATCCCTGCCCCTTTCTGTAAACACTGATAGAATCTTCCTGTCAGATTTTAAATTACACAAATTTAAGAAAGAAGTTTGTGTACAGACTCACCCTCAGTTTCCACTTTCTGCAGCTTCCATTTTTTAAGACACTACTGGATTGACTCATGCTGTCCCTGTATTGTTCTTAGAATGTATGTCTTAGAAAAATCTGAGACAGTCCATTATTCTTTATCTGGATGTAGCAATGAGAAACACACTACTTACAGGCTTTTTCTGTGGCCACCTTCAATTATACTGCTGTATTTGAGGGAACTATACATGCCAAGATACAATGTATCATTCCTCATTTCTTTTTACCCCTGCTCATGCTTTAAGTTGGAAATTGTTTCTAAATAATTATAGAAAGACTGATGTTGATGGTCTAGAAGAAGCTGACTATACCTCTGTCTACCTAAAAAAGTCTCTTCACCCATTTGGGTACTGGCTGCCCAGATTTCAAATTGGTGTAGATCCTGTGCCTTAGCTACTTGGAGGTAACAGAAAAGGACCAAAATCTTTTTCCTGCCTACTTCCCAGCTGACTATGCAGTCCTGTTTTAGATATCAAAGCATGAATTTGTCACTACGTGTGACTCTGAATCCAGACAATTTTCTTCTATACTTTCTAGAAGCTTTTCTTGGGATCTGGAAAGGCTAAAAACTCTTTTGATTATTTTCAATGTTGTTTTAAATTTGACCGTATATTTCATCAAGTTTTGTTTTTATCTAGACTTTTTTTAATAGAAGTAAGAATTTGAAACAAATATAGGGTCTATAAACTTGAACTGATTCCTGCTCCAATTAGTACCCAGGAAGAAACCACTTTTAACAATACAGTGTATAATTTTTCAGATTGTTCTTTCTAAGAACATGTGAGCATGCATATGTGTGTATGTATATACACACACATATATATTTTAGCATCATGTTAAATAGTTGTGCAACTTTTGTCACTTTATATAGACAACTGTATTTTTTCATGTTGATACATACAGGGAGAAACTCATTGCTTATAATTACTCAGCATAAGTAACTTTCAATGTGTAATTCTCTGATAATTTTACTATTTCTGTTGTGGTTTTTTGTGTAAGTATTCTATTTTTTATTGTGCCAGTTTGGGATTTTATATGTTTACAAAAATGTATTCTTGTTATCTGCTTTGTTACCACATAGTTATTCATGATAATGTGTTTTACTTATTATTTTAGTCTGTATTTTGTCTGGTGTTATTTCCCCTTTAAATGCATCTGGAAGCCCAGAAACCTAGTTTCACTATGTCCTCTGGAGGTTTTTAGGTGATAAGAGTTTTGGAGACCTATACAGACTTCCAATACAGGATTAGGACTCAGCCATGACATAGTTGCTTTAAATTATTATTTCATGCTTTGAAGAATTTATTGTGAAACGAATGTTAATGTAAGAAAAAAGAACACCTTCTGTAATGCTTTTCATTAGGAAATGCAGACTCTGTGAAGGCTATGATAAGTCACACTAAAGTTCTAGAACATTATTTTAGGGGAAATATAAATATCTCTTCCTTTCTTGGCCCCTCGGAATCTCTGGATAGTGTCAACCCTACCCATTCCAGGAAAAAGGGACCTAGTCAGCTAGTAAAATCTGGGCATGATGACCTGTCTTCTCTCTGGTACTTGGAATGGGTATCTAAACTCACTAAGCAGGCACTCATAGGTGCTCTCAGGTATGTGAGATCCTATCTTCTTTTGGCAGTCGGGAAATTAGTAGTGCTATGTTTTTGTTTTTGTTTTGTTTTTTCACTATTGTGATTTAAGCTGTTAGGAAATTTGAGATCAGCTAGGGATTCTAAGTGATGATCATCTTACATGGAGATAAATAAATGTCCCTTCCATCAGGACTGCATTTGATGGGTTGAAAATTATTGGGCATCAATTACAATGACAAAGATAATGTATCAGTGTATGTGGGAGCTCTCCCTCACATGGCCAATTGGTGAAACATGGATAGTGCAGAGATTCCTCGGCTATTTTTCGACTCTAGCAACATCTTAATGAATTTCTGGTATTTTTCCTTGAGATCTAGGCCACAAAGTCACAGTCACATTGGTAGTGTGTGTGTGTGTGTGTGTGTGTGCTTTTATTTTCTTTGTGTTCACTTTGCAGGGTACTATGTTGGAATTTACCTAAAAATCTAGTCCACAACTACCAAAGAAAGCATTTTCAACTTTTGTGAAACTTTCTTTTATTTCATCTGTTTGTTCATAGTATTTTAAAGATTTGGAGCATGTGTGTGTTAAAAACCTTAAGCTTCCTATCATCTATTAAACAAATATGGTGCAGTTCCTAAACATGTACCTTTTTATATACAACCTTGCTTTTTTTCCCTATAACTTCAAAATGGTTTTTCCCTTCTTTGAAATTGGAACTCCCAGATAAAAGCCCTTTTGTTGTTACACAAACACTATTCCTTAGCCGACTTCTGTCCTCCATTAGAAGGCAGTCTTTCTAGAATTTAAAGTCTCTTGCCAAGTTTAGCTACTTCGTAAGTGACATTCTGTCCCAAGCTTTTATAATAGTTAATACATACATAAATAGCTAATGCAAGTCTCTCATAGCACTACAAGGAAGGTAAGTCATTTTAAAATCAAAAGTATTAACCTGTGGAGTCAAGTGAAAACATCGCTTGCAGCAGGTAGGCATGGCTGTGGTTTTAGTTTTGTATAGGAAATCTTATATGTTTAATCTTCATTAGAAAAGGTTCTAAAAAAATAAACACCTTTAAATTTTGGAATCATTAAATATTTTTGTACAATAAAAGGTTAAATGGAGATTAAGACAAAGAATACAAAGTACAAAATGATATGTAAAAGTTATTACATACCTCTGTATTCATTTATTACTCATACAGTGTCTGTATCCAAAAAGGATTTGCTGCGATTTACAATAAAAGACAAACATGAGACACAGGACACACCTTTAGAAACAGGGCAAGAAGGGCCAAAGAGAGAAGTTTAAGATAATTTAAAAAATCTAATCCAAGGAATGCTACAGGTTTGGAACAAAACTTACTGAAACAGCAGTGTTCCCTGACACCCCTCGCAGGACATGCCACAGGGGTGTGATTCTGTGTTCAGGCCGCTGCAAGCTCAAAACCCTTATTGGACAGGGAGCACACATACGGGCAGGTGCAGGAACTGGGGTGAGAACTTTTGGGCTCCAGCCCCATGGCAGCATCTAGGGGTGGGTGCCTGCGACTCCTGAAGCCCCAGTGTTACAGTGCTCTTTTAGCTCTGCCATCCGCAGATGGCTTAAGTGCTAGCCTCTCAGTGCCCCCCTTGTCACACAGGCTCTTGTTTGGAGTCCAGGAAGAATCAGGTCACACATGGACTTGAATGATGAATGTGGGGGTTTTACTGAATGGTGGACGTGGCTCTCAATGGGATGGGTGGGGAACTGGAAGGGGGATGGAGTGGAAAGATGATCTTCCCCTGGAGTTTGGCCATCCACCAGCTGATCTCTCCCATCACCTCCAGCCGAACTCAACATTCAGACACTCCTTTCCTTCTCTCCTTCTCTACTGTGCCTTTCCGCCATTTTTCTGTTCGTCTCCTCATCTGCTGCTGGAGTCTGGGGCCTGAGGTTCATATGGGTGTAGGATAGAGGGCATGGCAGGCCAAAAGGCAACTTTTTGGGTATGAAAACAGGAATGCCTGTTCCCATTTAGGGCCGTGGGTTTCTAGGCTTGAGAGTAGGGCCTTTGCCAGGGAACTGCCCTCTTCTACCCCGTATTTTCCTGTCTTCTGTCCGTATCATTATTACACATGAAAATGCAACAGGTTACATTGCTCCTACTAAATAAAAGTTATTAAATTATGCTTTTAGGGCATACAGAGTTTTTCTTTATCTCAATATTGAGTACAGGTAAGTTTTTATATTACACACCCTAAACAGAATGATTTACGTAGTTAATAGTAGTTGCTTTAAAATGCAAAAACATGATCCAGAATGTAGGAGTTAAGTTCTGAAGATGGAAGAAATGGAGCAGGGGAATATTCCTCTAACTGTCCACCTTTTGTCTCTTATGTGAGGAATGTGTTTGTTTTAATGATTAATGTAAAGGGTCTGAAATATCTGCATATTTAAAAATTATTAGAAGCAATAATTACAAGAAAAAGTCAAATATTTTTCTGGTATTAAAAAATCTATTCTCAGCCGGGCATGGTGGCTCACACCTGTAATCCCAGCACTTTGGGAGGCCAAGGTGGGTGGATCACAAGGTCAGGAGATCGAGACCATCCTGGCTAACATGGTGAAACCCCGTCTCTACTAAAAATACAAAAAAATTAGCTGGGCGTGGTGGTGGGCGCCTGTAGTCCCAGCTACTTGGGAGGCTGAGGCAGAATGGCGTGAACCTGGGAGGCGGAGCTTGCAGTGAGCCGAGATCACGCCACTGCACTCCAGCCTGGGCAACAGAGCGAGACTTCGTCTCAAAAAAAAAAAAAAAAAAATCTCTTCTGATACAAATGTCACTGAGAAAATTGGCTTTTTGCCTTTGCCTTTTCCTTTTCTTGTTGGAGGTGATGAATTAAAAGAAATCTTGAACAGAATGATTCATGTCAGGAAGAATGCAGGTTTTAATGAGTTATTTGGAAGACATGTATTCCAGTTTTTCACCTTTACTGCTCCATGGAAGATGTTGCTTTAGTCATAAGTCAAATTAGCTTCACACCTGTGCCCAACTGGGAATTTGCTGGGAGAGTATTTTACCTACATCAAATTTACTAAGCTCTAATACCCAAACATTACATCTAGTCATCCATGATTCCTCTTTCTTTTGCGCTCCACATCCAATCCATTATAAAAATTATCATAGCTAACTCTTTAAAATAAATCCAGAATTTGACTATTTATTACCACTTCTACCATCATGTTGGTCATGCTACCATCTTTTTATGCCTGGACTAGAGCCAGTGCCCTGCAACTGGTCTTCCTGCCTCCACAATTTCCCCACATATTGCATTCTCAGCCCCAGGTTGATCTGTTAACACATAAGGCACATACTATTTTCCATGTGATTACCATGGCCTTCACCACCCAATGTGATAGATTCAGTTCCTCACTACCACTCTGATAACTTCTATTCTCATTTTTCTCCTTTCACTGCTTTCCAAACACTGGTCTTATTTTTCCAACCTACAGGTCCTTTGTACATGATGTTGTTACTTTAGTCTGGATACTGTTGAGTAGTTGTAGGTTTCATGGTTCATTGCCTGACATCCTCTGTTCCAACATGATCTTACCAGAAAGGCCACCCCTGACTATATAAAGGATAACCCTACCCATCCCACTCCATGCCCCCACCCCTGCCTTATTTTTCTCCACTGCTTTTATCCATCTGACATAGATTTATTTCTGCATCTCACATACATTTATTTGTTCAGTAGAACATGAGCTCCTTAGAGAGGCACAGAGTTTCATTTGTTCACTGCCATTCACCAAGTATCTAGAAATTCATGGCACATAATAAATGCTCAGTAAAAATTCCTAGAATGAATAAAATGATCATCTCATATTTGAGAACTCTCTCCCAAAAATATCAGGTTAGTGCAAAAGTAATTGCAGTTTTTGCCATTTAAAGTAATGGCAAAAATACTAGAATTTATCAGCACCTAAAGTGATTTTAGAGCAGTGGTAACCTGGGATGCAGAAATTTACATTGAAAAGTAAAACCGCTTGAACCCAGGAGGCAGAGGTTGCAGTGAGCCGAGATCACGCCACTGCACTCCAGCCTGGTGACAGAGTGAGACTCCATCTCAAAAAAAAAAAAAAAAAAAAAAAAAGTAAAACCTAGGTAATTGTGATATAGATTGAATAAGGATTCGATGAGCTGAGGCTCAGTCATTTGTGTTAACAATGTCCCCAGATGATTTCTCCTTTAGTAAAAATATGTGGACACACTTTTCAAAATTCTTTTAGAGTATGGGGTCTGTATCTGATTGCTTTTAAAAATTTATTTAAAATGCCTGGCCCTGAAAACAGTTGAGTTGAAGCGCCTTGATCTAGAATCTGTACCAATCAGTGGTTCTTAACCCTGGCTTCAAGTTATTAATCTGTACCAGTCAGTGGTTCTTAACCCTGGCTTCAGGTTATTATCACCTGGGGAGGGAATTTTAAAAGTATCGGATTCCAAGGTGTCACTCTGGAATCTAGCTCAAGACTGCATGGATTCAACTGCCTGATGCACAGCTCACTAGCTATTTGACCTGAAGCCAGTGGTTAGCTTTTCTTGAAAACTGGGAATTATAATAGTGCCCACTTTAGAAGGCCGTGATGGGGCAGGAAAAAATGAAATATTAAAATGCTTAGAATCCGGCACAGAAGAAAGTCTCATAAAGGATTAGATGTCAGTAAGTTTTGGCGACAAAAACCAATCATCTTTATTGTTACCCTCTTAAAAAGAGCCTTAAAATTTATTCCTTTCCTCTATTTTGCTGATTCCTTAACATCCCAGCCACCCTTGCTTTAATGTTGACAAGGGGAAGCAACTACACCCTTCAGGTTATTTCAGGCCCAACTAGTGAAGCTATTACAAAATGAGTATGAAATGGAAGGAACATGGGAATGAAATGGAGTGAATGTCATTGGATCAGTTGACCAAAGAATCCTCTCCTAAGATGGTTATCTGGATAGTTTTTCGATTGCAAATGCTATTTTTTTCATTATCTTGTTCCTGTTGTGCAAAAATATGGAGAAAAAAGAAACTCAGTAATCATTATACACCAGTAGGGCTGATTTTTAAAATAGAGAATAGCTTGACTAAGTGACTTAATGAAGAGGAATCTGAAAATAATAGTGTACAAGCACTGAGGAAGAAGGAAAACACTCTTCTACTCTGAAACAATGGCAGAAAGGAAGTCATTTGTAAATTTTATGGGAAATTTTTTTGCATGTAGCTAGTTTGTGAAAGTCTGCAGTTTCTTCATTCAAGTCACTTAAAACTAAATGCAAATAAAACTGTACATTTCCCAATGCCTTTATCACTCTAAAGTGTTTATATGTAATAAATCATTGACTACCATTAGTTGTTTTTCAGAGTCATCAGGAAATATTTGTCTTATTATTTGGTATGATCTAATTTGGAGTGTGATTATATAACTCAATGTACCTGTCTCTTCTTATAATAGAGATTTAAAGAAAGAATAATGATATAATACACTACTAGTGTTGAGTCCCTGTGGCTTTAGTGAAATCTAAATGCAAATCAAAATGCGTTTTTTATGCTAGGATATTTGGTAAGACATTTTAATGCTTATTTTATGGTTCTACAGACCATAACATATCTATTTGAAAGCATTGAATTTCCAATATTGAATATGCAAGATTACTTTCTACCTTAAGATCACAAAAGAGACATGGAACATAATTTATCTACCTCAGAAAATAAGATTTGGTTCATAATGAGAGAACACGTTAGGTACTTAAAATTTACTGAAATCGGGCTTCAATGTATTCCTCAGTCTTTATGACACTACACTTGGTCATTCTAAGACAGTGATAAAGCAAATCTTTGACAGCAGTACCACACCCACAGGATAACAGCAGAGGAGGTAAAACCATGTGGCACAATTCAGTTAACTTCCCCTATTAGGGAAGCCAACTCTGCAAACATTCATATCATGTTTTCTCCAGCTCCAATCCAAAAAGATCAATGTACTTTTCCAAAGTTTAAAAAAAAAAAAAAACAGCTCATACTTGTCTTAGTCATTGGTTCTTTACCAGAAATTCCACTCTGCCAAAAGAACACCTGCTGAGAGGTTGAATCTCTCTTGGTGGAGCTTAAGTTTTTTCCCTTAAAGCCTTAAGCCTTCATGAAATGCAAATCAATCTGGAAAAACTTGATGTTGTTGTCAATATCTGAGATTAAGTGACATTTTATTAAAAATAGAATGATTACCAAGCACAAGTGTCAGAAGGCTCCATTGCACAACTCTGGGGATCACCCCTGACACAGACTCAGGGTGAATGGCACCAGCCCAGCCCAAGTTGGGAAGTGAAGGCAGAGCTGGCAGATGAGATTGCTTACCCCAAGCCTCACCTGCTAAGAGTCAGCAAACTTGAGATCCAGTCCCAGGCTTCACACTAATTCATTTAATCCTGAGCAAGTCACTTCTCTGGACTCTTATCTATAAAAGACCATTTGCTTTCCAATTTTCAGCACTTACTAGTTTACAAAGTATTGCCTATAAAATTTCACCTATTAAATGAAAATGTAAATAAGAGCTTTTGGTCTGATTAATATAACTAATGCTGAATTTAACATAATTCATCTACTCCTAAGCAAAAGCAAGGAACTGTTGCAGATTTCTCATGGTTAATATTGCAACTGTTTAAGCTTTTTGAAATGTTGAAAATAGTTTAGGAACCCCACTTTCTGCCCATTGCTCCCTTGAAGTCCTCTAATAGTTCAGAAATGGTTTGTAAACCAGTAAACTGGAAGATCTTTAAGGTCCCTTCCAATTCTAACATTTCTTTGATTGTTCAGTTTTGCCCAGAGACACTTCTGTTGTATCCCACTGACTGTTGTTGTTGACTGCCCTAAAATAGGAAATCACCCTATCCAGTAACGAGATGTTTTACACTAACTATCTAGCTAAAAGGCTTAATATAGTGAGCATTCTCAGTGGAAAGAAGGAAATGACAGAATACTGCTTTACAGGCTTCCTTCTGGACATGATTTAAGAACAAACCCCTAAGTAGCCTAAGGGAAAAGTAAAAAGAAATAAGAAATATTACCACAAATCCAAAATCATCATTGACCTTTATTCATAATTCTCTTCCTGTTGAGTTTCCTCTTCTGAAGTGTGAATTCCCTTTGACATCTGGAAGAAGACTTTTCAATCTCACCTAGAAGAACTTTATATTACCCCTGTTCATGTCAGTGTTTTGAGAAAGAGGAAAATTAATTGCTTAGCTCCTTCATCTCAATGGAGTTTTTTTTTTCTATTAATTTCAGTGTGTAGCAAGTAAAACATTAGTGTTCTTGCAAACTAATCATTAATTTTCTTTAAATCCCTGGCAGTTTATTTAGGTAGTAGATATTTTTAAATGGAAAAATCACAAATTTAAAGAAATAACTACATACATTACTCTTTATAATTCGTAATGCTCTTCTAGAGACTTCAGGTTGGTAGCAGTATTAACCTGCCCTGAATTCTCTTATGTCCTTCCTCCCACCTTGGAGCGGGTGGGGGGTGGGGAGGGATGCAGGCTGTAGTTTTCCCAGCAGATTCTTCTTACATTCCTCCAACTTCCCCCCAAGAGCACTGATCCAAAATATACAGCCTAAAATTTTATGGCAATTAATAAAATTATATCACTGCCTGAAACAAAAGCTTTACATGTGGGTTTGTTCCACAGATTTTTACTGGACCCCATTATGTAGAAAGAATTGTTGTACCTCCATTTTAGTATCAGACATACCCATTTTCTTTCCTAACAGTTATTTAGGAGACATACTTCAGACTCTGAAAGCACAGATGAACACAGGAGAGTTAACAAGTTGGGTGAAGATAGCCTGCATCGTTCAGTACACTGTCAACCTTTCTACCAATATTCAGCTACAAGCCAGGTGTAAGTAAAAAACTGATACATTAGAAGTCATTGGTATTAACTGATGTTGACATAATAGCAAACATATGTAATTATTCTAATATCTAGATAGATTTTTCAAAATCCATAAGAAAGAATTTTATGCCTTTCTCAGCAATAGTTGATTTGTTTTTTCCTATGAGTAGACAGAATGCACAAATACAATTTCATGTATATGGTACAAATTAAAAAGGCAAAAGGATCAATGTGATATTACAATGTTTATTTATAGTAACCTTTCTCCAGGTTAGTGGATCACAAAAAAACCTTCAATGAGGCACTTCAAAGACAATAGATGAAAAATGTACTCTTTTGTTCCTATTCTTGTTGCATTAAGGAAAAAATTCAACAGTTGTTGGAAGAAAAGTTAGTTTTCATGTGATATACTTCAGTTGTATACTGTTGGCTAATCTAAAGGCAGGCTGTTAATGACAAAAAAAATGCATTGATAAAGATAATCACCATAAACACCAAAAAATTATTTTAAAAAGTCACTGCCTTTAGATATGTATAACAATACCTTTTTTGATTGTGTTTTATCTTGGTCTTCTCAACAACCTGTCTTAGGGAAATTTCATTATCTTCTTCCTACTACAACCAAGAACACTGGCACTTGAAGATCTTTACTATGTTGGAGGCTGTTTGAATCCGTTTGGCTGCTATAACAAAAACCATAGACTGGGTGGCTTAAAAACAATAGAAATGTATTTCTCACAGTGCTAGAGGCTGGGAAGTCTAAAATTCTAATGTTAGCAGGTTAGGTGTCTGGTGAGGGCCAACTTCCTGGCTTATGATGACTATCTTTTCACTGTCACCTCACATGGCTCTCATGACCTACTCACCACCCAAAGATCCCACCTTCCAATACCATCATCTGTGGGGTAGGATTTCAACATACAAATTTTCAGGGGACCTAAACATTTAGTCCATTACAAAAGCCCTAACAAAAAAAATCTGTGATCAACTGACACATCCCCTCCGCACTTTAATGAACTGAAAACTGAAACTGGCTTAACCAGAAACTGACCCAGGGCTATAACTATATTGCCAACTCTTAGTTTTGCACTTTTTCACTATATAATATTAATACATTAATATTAATTTACTTATAATACAATGCTTATATGTCTTAAAAGTGGAAAACTGTGTTATAACAATGTTTCTTTCATGAAATGATTAAGGGTCTGGTGTCCACAAAACAATCTTTAAAATCTATTCTAAAGGCAGCAACAACAGAATGTTCAATGTATTTGGATTGCGAATTTCCTTAAGAAATTATCAGTTGAAAAATGAAGCCACAAAAAATAATACATGAACTTGGTTTTAAAAATTGGTAGTGACAGTAAATAAATTAGGAATGGAATATGGGTAGAACAAAGAGTAGCCTGTCAACTTCATTTTTCTCTATTTTAAACAGTCACTTTGATGTAAAGCCTTTCATCTAACATGTGATCTAGTTTGACTATTCTTAAGGTTTGTCTCTTGATGTTATGAAATTAATCGTGTCCTACTATATAAAACTATTTGAATTTACTGTTGTCAAAAGACAAAATTACAACAAATTTAGTTTAAAATTTTTAATTGGCTTTATCTGCAATTATAGAATTGGGCAACATTTATTTAATAAAATGGAATGAGCAGGCTGACGAGCTGAGCAGAGCAGAAGGGGTTGGTTTTATACACAAAGAAGGGCTGAAGAAAGCAGGAACAAAGAACAAAAATCCCTTTGTAGGGAATAAAGCAGAGGGAACTTCATTATCATGCCCATTGAAACTGACCTATTTGGGAATTTGGCTATTCTCCCTCTTTCTCTTTCTCTCTCTCTCTCTCAATCTCCTGCTTTCTCTGAAGGTCAGATAAAGTCGTTTCCACCTGGTAGCTTGGAATTTTTGCAATGAGTAACTCCATTTTGTTTTGGTCTATTGGGCCTAGCGCAAGAGCTCAGTCTAAACTGGTGACCTCCAATAGATTTTTCTTTAATGCTGTATTAAACTAACAATTGATCCTATTAAGTTCTGCTTTCTGCCGCTGGTATTCATACTAAAAGACAAAAGAGCATTGGTATTTTTCATGATGTCAAAATTCCCCAAAAGTCATCCTAGTATTTTTAAACAACTCATTATTCATGCATTTATTTAAATCCTACTTAAATTAATATATACCCTGCTTAGTCATCTTAAGCTATTGAAGTATTTCCATTCTATACCATATGTTTTCTTGTTGTGCACCTAAAGCCATTGTTTACAAACTGCTGAAGTATCTCAGGATACCACAGCAAACATACGAAGGACGGGCAGGATATTTTCAATGTCTTAGAGAAGCAACAGCAACATTTGTCAGACTAAGGTTGCAACATTAGAATGCTGCATTCCTTCCAGTTATATTTATTTTTAAATCAGGCTGGAGCAGAAAACAAGGCCAGGTTGAATAGGGCCTGGGAGACCTCACTTAGTGGTTTGAACTTTATTCTAAATTAAATGGAAAGCTTAACTAACATTTTAAGCAGGAAAAGTGCCACAGGAATTATATTCCAGACATCATAATCTTGAGGGTATTTCTCCACAAATATGAATTTTTGTGTTTTTTGAAAGAAATATATGGAAGATTCTATCTCTTGACCTACAAATAAAAACTATTGGAAATAATCCTTTAATTGTATACACTGTATTTAGAAGTTCTGCAAAACACTACATTTCAAACTCATTAGATGAGTTCAACCATAGTAGGGTTTGACTCAGAAGTAATATAAACTGTAATAATTTGGGTGACACACATGCCATTTATGTCCAATTATAATGTAGTACAGTCTCATTGATGTACATCATTTAAAATATATCAACTTCTCATATTTTAAAAAATGCTTAGCACAATGACCAAAAGAAATTTCATCAGTATCTTTATAAAATGGGATAATGAATAATTTTTAAATATACTTTTGTCCTAACTAAATTTCCTGCAATAACACAGTCATATTTATAATTTAAAAAGTCTTTCATTAAATTATTTTACATTTATATTTATCAGGCTCTTTAAATTAAAAAATTGGGCTGGGCACAGTGGATCACACCTGTAATCCCAGCAATTTGAGAGGCTGAGGCTGATAGATTGCTTGAGTCTAGGAGTTTGAGACCAGTCTGGGGAATATAGTGAGACCCTGTCTCTACCAAAAAAAGAGAAAATGTTAAAGTTTAACCAGGCATGGCGGTGCATACTTCTAGTCTCTGTTACTGTGAAGGCTTAAGCAGGAAGATCACTTCTGCCAGGGAGGTAGAGGCTGCAGTGAGCTGTGATCACGCCACTGCACTCCAGCCAGGGTGACAGAACAAGACTACATATATATATATAAAAAGAACAAATACATCAATATACCAAAAATATAATGCAAATAACAAACTATGATAAAGTTTGTGAGAAATACGACATACTAATTGTTGCAACAAAAATGACTTCATAATATAAATAAATCTTGAAAAATAAATTCAAATGCTTAATTGCACTAAACATCAAGAAATGCAGATTGAAACATATTTTTGTATATGAAATAAGGAAAGATTGAAAAAATTTTTTTTTCTGGAAATAGATTTAAAAAGCACCTTCGATATTATCATTAGGAGTTCGGCTTTTTTGGTAAGTTATTTAGCAGCATAAATAAATTCTTTTTCAAGTGTTCCTCTTTGTGCCGGATTTTCTTCTTTTATGAACTGTGAAAAATTGAGAATGACCATAATGTCAAAAAATACCATTTAGAAAGAATGGGAACAACCATTCTGTCCCCAAATACTGACTGAGAAATTACTGATTATCACAAAAAGGAACATAATATAGCCTGCGACGATCATGTTTTACAAGAATATCTAAGGACATTTTTATATTTACTGTACATGAAAAAGAGAGACCTGGATTACAGTATGACCCCATTTTACTATGTTTGTCTGCATTTATTTAACATGCAAATTTCATTAATCTCTTACTTTGTTCGGGGCTCAATGATGAGAATTGGGAATACAGCAGTAAACAATACAATGCCTTCCTTCAAAGATCACATGGACACATGCATGCCAAAAATTACAGGCAGAGCCAGACGGCTAACAGTGATTATCTGGTTGATGACATTTTGGCATCTTTATTTCCTTTTTTGGACTCATCTATAGTTTCCAGAATTCTGTGGGGAGCATGTATCAATTCATATTCAGACTAAAGCATAAACACAGTTTTGTAACATGTCACTCATTTTACTCTACACATAGATGAGGCAAGACCCTACCAGAATGAATGTGGTTTCCTTAGGCAGCTCGAGAAAATCAGTCTCATTATATCGTAGCGTTCATGATAGTCTTCATAACATGCTGCTAAGTCTCTAGAGCAAGGAGGGAAAGTAATGAAGGAGAGTACACTATTTTCTGGTATTTCCATTTTGTAATTAAGAGAGGCATTATTTTAAAACTTAGTCGAATATCAGCAGGGAGAATTTATAACAAAAATAAGAGAACCCTTCTATACCTATTGTATTACTAATGCTTAGCTATTGAGAATTTGTATAAAATTACTTAATTCAACATCTATTCAATAAAGTGCAACACTGTGTAAGATCCATCATTTTTAATTATGCTAAAAATTCCATTTAAAGATGTCACTAAATGGTTTAAATATCAGTTTATAATTATCATTGCAAAGTCTTTTTTATTCCATTAGGTTTCTAGGTGTAATGAATAATTCAAGAAAATCACTGTCAAATTTAAGTTAACATCATATAAAATAAGACTTCTATATTCTTATAAGCTTCACATTAAGAATAATTTATTATTTAGTATGCCCTTGGTAATGAGAAGGTTAATTTTTGTTAGGCCTTTATAGATGAATAGAAGTTCAAGTTAATATTAAAACATTTGACAGGGACTTCCTGCTGCTTTTTTTGTTGTGAATTAGGCCATGATTTTAATGATCAAATTTTGCTACATACTTAAATAGATATCAAAATTAATCTACAGAGAAAATAACCACTTGAAGGGCCAGGCGCGGTGGCTCATGCCTGTAATCCCAGCACTTTGGGAGGCCGAGGCAGGCAGATCACGAGGTCAGGAGTTCAAGACCAGCCCGGCCAATATGGTGAAACCCCATCTCTACTAAAAATACAAAAATAAGCAAGGCGTGGTGGCACGTGTCTGTAATCCTAGCTACTCGGGAGGCTGAGACAGGAGAATCGCTTGAACCTGGGAGGCGGAGGTTGCAGTGAGCCAAGATCACACCTGGGAGACAGAGTGAGCTTCCATCTCAAAAAAAAAAAAAAAAAAAAAGAAAAGAAAAGAAAATAACACACTTGAAATAGCCAAGGAAATTTAAATTTCTACTGGCAATAGGTCATTTAAGACTTACTCATAGAAATAAGGTAATTGATGTATGCCATTGTCTTCACTTTAGTGATTTTGGATTTGATAGGCAGAAAATAATCCACATAATAGATCTTATTTGTAACACTCAAGTTTTTCTATTTCATTCATTTTTAGCAAATGTAATTTGTATACTTTGAATTTGTTTATTCCTTCAACTGAAATTCATTTGTAATTGTTTTTCAAAAGTAAAAAGGGATGAATTTGGAGACTGGCAATGCTAAAGAAACTTATTGCAAGATAGCTTTAGGCTTCAACAGCTTGAAATGTTGCCTTTGTATCAGAGGCATAACATTTGAGTTTTGAGTGTGATGGAGAATATCAGAATACTAACTAGTTTTTAATGTAGTGGCTATTCTTATATCTTTAAAGAGCAACAATTTTACATGTATATACATATGTATATGTATATAGCATCTATATGATGTATATAGTATCTATATACATATATTTTTATGCCTTTTGTGAAAACTGCCATTTATATACTATATACTGCACTATATATACATAGTATTTATTGTAAAACCAGTATTTATCAAAATCTAAAAACCAGAAATGAATTCAGATGAGTTTAGGGACCTTTGATTCCAAAGTTTCAGTCTCCATGAAAATTTTTTTAGCCAATAAATTTTACTGAATCATTACATGATTCATTTAAAAGGGTCTTTTGTTCATTCATTCAATGTATGTGCATGAATATATGCTATGTAACAATAATCCACAATCCACTATGATTATCCAGAACGTATTGAGCATATCTGTGTGTGAGAGTCTGGATAAGAAGGGAAACATCCATTAGACCAGGATGTTCTTGTAACAGAAAAGTCAGATGGACTCAAATATCTTATTGGCATTAATTGGCATTAACTTATCCTGTGATCTGCTGTAAATGACTTCACATCCTTGGGCTGCCTTTCTTTAAACTCAAGTATATAGATGTTTTCCTTCTTTTAAAGCATAATTAAACACCTTTCTTCTGTAATGAACTTTCATAAGAATTAAAGATGATGCTTCTATGGATTATAATATTTGTTCTTAATAAAATTAATATAATGCATTTTCATTAAGGACAGCAGAAAGCTCTCCTCAAGATTTTAGAAATCTTTATTTTCTGCTTTCAAATGCAAATGTATTTGGCCTTTAAGTTTCCTTCACAATTTAAATCAAAATAACAGAGGTTATCTGCAATCTTGTCTTAAGTAGCAGACTGCTTTTCGCCTATATTTAGGTTGGTGCAAAAGTAATTGCAGTTTTTCCCATTGTTTTTAATGGCACCAACCTAATAGTAGCACAAAGCAGCAAAATAAATATTTTATAGATGTGTATCATTATATTAGAAAAAAAAACCTGGGTTAAAAGGATTGGCTTGCTTAATACAGATTTTATTTTAAATAAGCAAATTCAGAAGTATTCTAATTTAGTTTGATAGTTGCTCATTGTCTTTTCAATCATTCTTTACATATTTCTCACCACGCAAGAAAACTAATGAGACATGTCTCTACCCCCTTAACGTATTTATTTTGAATCTCTCGTTCTCTCCTGTAAGTTACTGTCTTCTTTCATGACCTTTTCTTAGACAAGAGAGACTATTTGATTAAAATGAATCAGATTAAAACTCAGTGTGAGAAACTGTAATAATCTTTTCCAATTCTTATTCATTGTTTAGGTGTGAAATTCCTCAGGTATTTGTCCTTGAAGTGGTTATTTGTAACATGGAAACTTTAGTAAAGAAATCAACTGAGAATATGTACAACTTTTCTCAAAATTATTATAAAGAAGGGAAAGGTGTATTCATGTAGTACAAGGGAGTGGTCTCCTTTTTTTTTTTTTTTTTTAATTTCACCAGTACAAATTATATCCCTAAGACTCTGGGGCAACAGAGAGATTGATATTTACGAAAGTCTTCAGGGGCTGAAATGATTTTAAAATGTCAACATACAAGTAATAAGATGTCCTCATTCTCCCTCTTCGTTAGGTGTCTGGTTCGGGGTGGTGGGAAATGTAGTGGATTGTAGAGGGAAGTGTATTTGAGTTTTATTTTTTTAATGATTACACTTTTCCAGTAAGAAAGCAATAAAGAGTTTCAATAAAAGTGTAAAGGTTAAAGCCACTGCTAAGTCTGTTGACTTTCTTTTTGTTGTTGTTACTATTTGTGGCAAACACTGTTGGTTGGCTGATCTGATAGCCATCCACAGCCCCTGCTCTCTAGTGACATTTCAGCCAGGGATGACCATGTAATACATTTCTGGGTCAGAGATAGAAGTTTACCATCTGAGAGGTTTGCTTCCCTGATAAAATGAAAGAGATTAAGCTGGCACCCAGCTCTAACCTTCATGCCTTTTGTTCCTTCCTCCTTTTCCCTGCTTGGAATGCAGAAGTTGGTAACTAGAGATACAGCATCACTTTACAATCATGAAACAGTAAGGATGCATACACAACCTTCACCCTGAAGACAGTGAAGTATAATGGTTAACAATAGCCTGAATCCGTGATAGAGCCTTTGAGAAGCTGAACTAACTTCCCACCTCTGGACTTTTTGTTCTGTATGAAAAATGAAATCCTGCTTGCTTAAACTTAAACTTGCTTTAAACTTGTTTTTGTTTTCTGTTATTAGCAATGGAATCCATTCCTAATCAATTTATAATTTTAAACTCTTCTGTTATCTGCCATCAACTGAGACTTACGATGTGCCACGCACTGTGCTAAATATTTTACATATAATAATTGATTTAATCCAAATGACAGCCATGAGGAAAGTAATATTTTGTTACAGATAACATGCTGGCATACAGGGTGGATGGACCCTGGATCCCAGTGTGACTAGATGGATTTATCAAATGAAGAAACTGAAGCTCAGAAATATTAAGCAACTGTGTACAACTAGTAAGTGGTAGTACTAGGATTCAAATGTCAGGTATATTGCCAAATTTCATGACTTTATGATTTTTGTGACTTACAAAAAGTTCATCTTTACTCGTATTTGATTTATTGTGAGGCTGGCTTTCCTTTAAAATGCATTTGTCGTTATTATTTATTTCACCCACTTTTAGGACATTTCTATTATTAAAAATGGGGCTTAACCTCATCCATTCTTTCCTTTCTGTCATTTGTCATTTCTACTTTGGTTAGGGGCTTCATTTTGTCTATTTTATTGTGCAAAATAATTTTATAATTATAAAGTTAAACTTATCATTTATGTTATATTTTCTGATGATTATATTCTACTTACATCATTCTTAGACTTCTAAGAAAAATATTTCTCCCATAATTGTATTTGAATGCTTTTACAGTTTATTTATTTATTTATTTATTTATTTATTTAGGGACAGAGTCTTGTTCTGTTGCTCCAGCTGGAGTGCAAAGTATGACCATAGCTTACTGCAGCCCTCTACCTCTTGGGCAATCCTCCTGCGTGAGCCTCCTGAGTAACAAGGATTATAGGTGGATACAGATGGCTAATTTTTAAAATTTTTCATAAGATGGGGTTTTCCTCTGTTGTGCAGGCTGGTCTTGAATACCTGGCCTCTAGTGACGCTTCTACCTCCACCTCTCAAAGCACTAGGATTACAGGTGTGAGCCACCGCACCTGGCCTAATTCTCCCTTTAATAATACTTGATCTGTATAGAATCTATTTTTGTGTGAGACGTGAGGTAAGACTATAACTTTCCCAGCTCATTAGAGCGCCCCCACTCTCACGTGCAAGAACAAACAAAAAAAACCCTGCACAGTCTGTCCATAACTAAACTTTCTGTTCCTTTCTATTGATCTCTTGTGATAAAGAATATCTCTCTCATAACCAAAGTCAGCACCATAATTAATAGAGAATTGCAGAAAGCATTTCTGTGATATTTAAGAAAAATATTACAATGCATAATTCTTCTTTAGCTACTTAAAATTCTGGAGGATATAGTCAATGCTTTAGTTATGTAGCAGATCTATTAGTATACATATAGGGAAAGAAAACACAAAATTAAAACATTTGCAATTTCTATGATGTTAGAAAACCCAAGTGTTAACTGAGAAGCTATGGGAATTAATCAAAACAACTCAGTAAATTGGCAGAATGAAATTTAATTAATCCAAAATCATGAGCTTTCTTAAATATCAGTGAGCCTAGATAATGTTTTGAGATTATAATTTATGTTTGTTCTATGTTTTTGTTCCTTTATCTTTCTTCTACCCCTACTCACAATTTAGGTAGGTCTCAGTTCTGCATTTCATTTCCGCAGGAAAGGTTTGGCTAAACAGGAGGCAAAAATGACCTATACGATGTTCTGGCTTCCTTTTTTCCACAGATGTTTAAATAATACTGAGGAGAATGGAGAGGGCTTATGGGAAAGGGAAAAGGGATATGAGGGGTGTGTGGTAGAGTCCAGATAGATGTACATAGTTAAGATAATGCAGGTTTACATATAGGAAGTTATGGTCTGCCCTTTTTTTTTTTTTTTTTTTTTTTTTAGATGGAGTCTTGCTTTGTCGCCCAGGCTGGAGTGCAATGGTGCAATCTCGGTTCACTGCAACCTCCACCTCCCGGGTTCAAGCGATTCTCCTGCCTCAGCCTTCTGAGTAGCTAGGATTACAGGCGTGTGCCACCACGCCCAGTTAATTTTTGTATTTTTAGTAGAGACGGAATTTCACCATGTTGGTCAGGCTGGTCTTGAAATCCTGACCTCGTGATCTGCCCGCCTCGGCCTCCCAAAGTGCTGGGATTACAGGCGTGAGCCACCGTGCCAGGACTTCTTAACCCTTTTTTGTGTTCTGCATTGGAATTTAGGATGAAGATCTTAAAAATGCCCATGTCGCGCCGGCTCCCTAAGAATGGAGCAGGCCAGTGGCTTATGACGCTGCCCTGAGGCTATCGTGTACCAGAAGGGATGTGAATTCTTTGCCCCCTTTTAGATACATTTCTGCCACATTTTCATGAACTGCTCTCGAAGACCTAAGAGAAACCCATAATATAAGTTTATGTGATTCTTTTCTATGTAGTGAATTTTACTCTCTACTTAAGACAGTTATTAATATAACTACTTAAACATTTAAGTCGTATAGGATAACAAAAAAAGAAAGAGAGAGAAAGGGAAAATGGGAATAGACTTTTTAAATGTGCTAAACAATCTACAATGCAATATTTTTTCTTCAGTTTTATACTTAGAAATTTTTAAATACAAACTTGTGCTTCTTATAGTTAATATTTCAGTTACGAGCCCATATTCATTAAAAATGTAGATAAAAAAGAATGGGGCTTCCTTATCTTCTTTATTTCTTATGAGAAAGCTTGAGTGGGCCTTTGAAACTTAGTTTTTTCTTCTCCCATTTATAAATGTCAAGTTTCAGATACTGGTTAACTTAGAAGCTATTATAAGCACTTGCATATTTTTACTGCAATTTTCTGGACTGCCTGCAATGCTTCTATTAACAGCCTTAGGCAAACCCTTCTAAAACATATGTCTGTCAGGCCATGCCAGTTCATTTATTGAATCATGTAGTAATAAACATAAATTTTAGCATAATCTATGTAAAAGACATTGTCTGATTCTACAAGAAAACTACAATGTTAATGATACATAATCTTATAATCCATTTAGGTAAACAAAATATAATCTTTTAGGAAGGGAAGAGATGACCATATTACGTAATAGCAGTTCCAGTCTCCTTCAATCTGGTATTTGTGCAATTACTTCAGGTTCAGTTATTCCATCACTAACTCACTGAAAAAGCTGTGCTTTGCCTCCAGAGATTCTTTGTATTTAATTACCTATAAACCAACCATCTGTTTAACATGCAAGAATTATATTCAAACTTCAGGATCATGCTACTATCTTAAGAAAATTGTCCTGCTTTGTTGTCATTTTAACCTCTTTTGGTGAGTAGTTTAGTTCATTTGGACATAAATCTAAAATTTATGTTTGAACTGCTTGAATCTTATAGATCATCTTCTTGTTTTTGCTCTAGGTCTATTCCATCTATGATATACAATGCCTATAATTCTCTAGTTTTCTTTTTATATACATCGTACATATGATACATATATAAGACAAATATGTATATATACATATTCTAGTTATAGAATTCAGTGTGATCAAAGTGTTATTGACTCTCCATGAACAGAATGCAATTGTTTAGGATCTGAACAAAAAGAAAAAACACTCTCAGCATTTACAACAAGGAATTTAATGTAGGAATGGGTTATATGGGTGATGGAAGAAACTCAGATGCTAACTAGATGGCAGTGAGGCTATCTAAACATTGGCCCACCCAAGCTTCCTCCAGATGTAGGCAGAAGGACAAAAGGAGGCAACCCGTGCCCTTGGGCTGCTGCATGAAGGCTGGAGCTCACGGTTTTTATGGCAGGAGCTAGGCCCTAGTGTGATGTTAGCTACTACCAAAGGCAGAAAGTTGAATACCTTGACTTCTCCCTTACCCCTGCCTCTAATCTGCTGATGGCAACTGGTGCCTGGAAAATGTAGACTAAAAGGACAGCCCCTTGCAAACAGAACAAAACTGAGAAGGACAAGGGCAGACATTACCAGAATAGGCACGCAGGCATACAATTCAAGTTGTTTACAGAAGTGGGGATGTGTTGCACTGAACTGTCTGCTCTGTTTCACATGTCAGTCCCTTACTCTCACTGTTCTAGCCCTGTAAGACTGCAAGAGGGAGGCATGCAGCGATTATGGCAGAGCTTCCCATGGGCCTGAAATCAAAACAATTGTCTTCTTGACCCTATATTGCATCCTGTTGAACAAACCAAGACACATAGAAAATGATTTTATTTTCCGCGGCTCATTTTTGGCAAAAACATACATTGCCACTTTATCATGCTCTTCAGTGACAGCCACAGGGAATACTTTTGGACCATATGGTAGTAGAAAAAAATCCCTAATTAAGACATTTATTTATTTCTGTGCTTTGAAGTTCTTTTTTTTCTTCATAGTTTTACTTACATGTAACACATGGAGGTGTTGAGCTGAAGTGAAAATACAGAGAATAAATGATTCTAAGAGTTGGGAACTTGAAAGCTGGGTACGAATCAAAGGTAAAAAGTCAGTAAACTGCAATTATTGTACTGCTATACAAGAATAATTATATAAATCTCAAAGAAATTGAAACCTTTGAGGCATGTACAAAAACCATATTAACAACAATGGCATAAGATAGCCTTGCTGAAGTCTGGTCTTCAGGAAAGGATTCGGTATAGACATCAATTATAAGCAAGGTGCAGCCGGGCGCAGTGGCTCACGCCAGTAATCCCAGCACTTTGGGAGGCCGAGGCGGGTGGATCACCTGAGGTCAGGGGTTCGAGACCAGCCTGGCCAACATGGCGAAAACTTGTCTCTACTAAAAATACAAAAATTATCTGGGCATGCTGATGGGCGCCTGTAATCCCAGCTACTCAGGAGGCTAAGGTGAGAGAATTGCTTGAATCCAGGAGGTGGAGATTGCAGTGAGCCGAGACCGCGCCACTGCACTCCAGCCTGGCTGATAAGCAAAACTCCATCTCAAAAAAAACCAAAACCAAAACCAAAACCAAAAAACAAGCAAGGTGCTTCATGGGGAGTGAGGACTTTCAATCATTAGAAGATGATTTCAACCGAGAATTTTTATATTGTCTCTTTACAAATGCAATTACAGAGTTACAAGGTAATTTTATGTTTGGCTTTACTATATTTCAGGTAATCAGCTTGCTACAGTTTATACTTTTTGTAGTTTAAGTACTCTGAGAGTCAGATATTTGTAAATTATAATACTAGATTGCAGAATAGATTTTAACTATTTTGATTTAAATAATATCCTGTGATTTTAAAAAGTATCTGTATTTTACATTTTATTGTAAAGATTTTGATTTATTTTTTTAGTAATGCACACATGTTTGAAGGAAGAGGAAGAGACAACTATATCTATAAATACATAGTTAATTGCTGACAAATCTTTGAAAATTATATTATCTAAATATTGTTTTTATATTCAACTAATATTAGCCACTAAAATTGCTAATTTTTACCTTCAAATTTTACAGTTATTTGATAACTACAAATCATTAATTTTTAGCAAGAAACCCAGAAAATTAAGGTAATGTCTAATCATCCTTACTGAAAAAAATCGCTAATTTTAATGGTGAGAGTGACTATCTAGGAAGAAGAGCCTTTCTTGAAAATAAATGCCTTAAATTTATAATTTCTGTGAGTTTCATGTTAGTTTTCATTTTATGATAAAGTTTTAAATAAAAAACTATACCAGTGGAGTAAGAGTTTTCTCAAAGGCTGTGAATGATCAATACCAAAAAAACTTGTTGCAAAGTAAAGACTATGGGCAATTGTTATTGACTGACACACGGAAAGAGGTAGTTTGGGTGGTAGGGGAAGGAGGCTTGAGAGAGGGATAGAGAAGAGCCACGCAATATCAAATAAGAGTTAGACAGATCTGTCTTCCTCCTCACACATACATCCAAAACTTCTGTGACTATTTTCAGAAAGGTAATTGCAAATCCAAGGAGAAACTGAACATTTGACACGGTTCAGTGTGACTTCCTTAAATCCTCACCTCTTTTGACTCCTTAGCCAAAAAAAAAAAAAAAAAAAAAAAAAAGGTGAAGTTAGGATACAAGGAACTAGGAGTGAAGGATAACATTCTATTAATGTATAAAGCTAACTCACTTGTAGCTGGGGATATTTTCTGATGGATTTGGTCATTGTTGAGTAGGTAAGATTTTATTAGGTAGAAATAGAAATTCCAAGAGGAAATAATGTGAATTTTGATTCAGTTGTTCTATGAGTGGGCCTTGGATTCTGCAGTTAACAAGCTTTTAGAATGCCGATGGTGCTAGTCTGGACCACACTTGAAATATCAGGCTAGCAAGGCAGCAGCTTCCAGTTTCTGCATCATGCAGAAACATATTCCCAAACCTATTAATCATTAGAATCACCAGTGGAAAATCATTATGTTCCCCTCCCATCTATTCTACAAACAGAAGCCAGGGCACACCTTTCACAATGTAAATCAGATTCTATCATTTACCTGCTCAAAACTACCTTCTCATCACGCTCATTACAATCAAAACTCTTTACAAAACTATGTATGATCCAGTTGGGGCAACCTCTCTAATCTAGCATATCTTATTCTTCTCCAGATACACTGGCCCTCTTATTACAAGAATCAGCCTCTGCCAAACACCTTTGTCAAGGTTTTTAAATTTGCTATTGTTTAGCCTGGAACACTTTCCTCAAGTATCTGCATAATGGCTTCTTCACTCCATTGAGGTCTCTGCTCACATAGCAAATGTGTTTTATTTTATTTCATTGTTTAGAGATGAGGTCTTGCTCTGTTGCCCAGGCTGGAGTGCAGTGGCAAGATCATAGCTCACTGCAGCTTCGCACTTCTGGGCTCAAGCTATCGTCCCACGTCAGCTTCCTGAGTAGCTGGTACTACAGACACGAGCTACCATGCCTGGCTAATTTTTATAATTTTTTAAAGATGGGATCTCACTATGTTGCCCAGGCTGGTCACATAGCAACTTCTTTCATGAGGTTTTTCTCCAATGACCCTGTCCAAAAACTATTCCTGTCACTCTTTACCCCCTTCTTCTGTTTTATTTATTTCATAGTACTTATTAACCTGATACTATCTTTTATATTTGTGTATGTTTCTGTCTTCCTATTACACTAGAATTTCACCTCCTTAGGAATGGGGAATATATCTGTTTTGTTCACTGTTGCATTGTCAGACTCTGGAAGAGTGTCCAGCACATAGGAGGTGCTTAAAATAAATGTATGTTTAAGGAACAAAAAAAGAGGAACTTTATTTGAAAATGAATCAGCCAAACAAATAGGTGTTCTGTTTCTGATAATGGTGGAGTAGGTTATATTCCATTAATATCCTTCCCCCAGTGTCCTAGGTAACAATAATACAATCTGAAAGAAAAAAAAATTAAGGACTGGAGAATAACCAAAATCAGAAATTGATCCTTGACATAAGATAACAGCATTGATCTTGCTTTTCCATTCTAGTTTGTGTAGTACAGGGCAGCAAGGACTCAAGCAGAAAGCTACAGTGTTTTTTATTTGAGTTGCTAAGGGACAACCTAAGTGGCTAAGAATTTCCCTTCAGTAAGGAAAGAGTTACAGAGGAGGGAGCACCACAATATAAATATAAACTTTCCTCAATCCCTTGTTGACTATGTAAGTGTAAGTGAGAATCCAAGAAGCTCGGTGGAAATCAATAGCTGAAAGTTTAAAAGGCTTCCTAGAGATTTTAGCTACTGTCCACTACAAGGAAGACAAACATTTGGAGTGTGAGTCATGACAAGTTAAAAGGGCTTGACAAAGAATACCTTTGGTTTTCCATTGAAACACCATGCTTTCGGATTAAAGACTATAACACAGAATTTATGAGATCTGACCTAAGATATGGGAATAGGCCTGCTTTAATGACATGTAAAGCAAAACTTCAGAAGTTTATGGTGAGCAGCCTGTAATTTAATTGCCTGCTATCAAAAAAAATACTACTACTCAGAGAACAATAACAGAATCCAACATTTCCCCCAAGTATCATCCACAATGTCTCACCTATGATAAACATCACAAAATATGCAAAGTAAAACTATGACACTGGATCAGGAGGAAAAGTAGTCAATAGAGACAGACCAGCAGACCCAGAGAAAAATTGGGTGCTGGAGTCGGCAGACAACACCCTTAAACCCACCATTATAAAGAAGAAAAAAATGGTCATAATGAGTGAACATAGAAATGCAAACTAGAAAAAAGAACATAATGCAAATGCTAAAGCTAGAAATTAAAATATCTGAAAGAAAAATGTCACATGACAGGCTTAACAGTTGATGAGAGATGGCAGAAGAAATAGTCAGTTGAACTTGAAGATGGATTAATATAAATTATCCAATTTGAAGAACAAAGAGGAAAAAATACATTGAAGATGAGGAACAGACCTTTAGAGATATGTGCGATAATATCAAGCCATCTAATGTACATATACTTGTAATTCCAGCTAACAGGAAGAGAGAAAGAGGAAAAGAAACATATAATAAAAATATGATAGCCAAAATTCCCTAAATATGGTGGGGAATTTTTAAGGCTGAAAACAAACTTCAGGCTTTAAAACCTCCAATAATTTCCAGTAGGAGTAATGCATATAAAACAGTAACATAATAAAACTGCTGATAACTCAAAACGAAAAGAAATGCTGAAGTAGTCAGAGGTGTGTGTGGGGAGAAGGTAGGGGTAGGGTGATGGAATATTAGACACAGGAAAACAATGATTCAAAGATGATTGACTTCTCACCAAAAACACTGAAGGCCAGAAGACAATGGAACAAGTCTTTAAAGTGTTGAAAATAAAATTATCTCAACTCAGAATTTTATCTCCAAAAATAATAACTTCAAAAAGAAAGACAAAACAAAGACTTTTCAAATAAAAGCTGATAATTTGCCATGAGCAGAACTTGCACTGTAAGAAATGCTGAAGAATTTTCTTTAGGTTGAAGAAAAATAATGACTAAACAACTCAGATCTTCAGGAAAGATTGAAGAGCAGAAGAAAAGATAAATACGTAAATGCATTTAAAATGATATCCTTTTTTTCTCCCTTAATTTCTTTAAAAGACAACTGCATTTTTTGGTTTTAAATTGTGTATTGACAAATTATAGTTGTATCTATTTATGGGGTTCAAAGTGATGTTATGATTTTTTAATACAGTGTGGAATGTTTAAGCTAATTAATGTATTAATCATCTCAAATATTTTACATTTTTGGTGATGAGAACATTAGAACTTTACTCTCTTAGCAATATTGAAATGTACAGCACTCAGTTATTAGCATATTCAGCATGCTATGTAACTGATATAAAAAAATCAGATAAGGTTGTATCATGAGTTTTATAGTGTATATGGATTTGACATCTATAACAATAATAGCACAGAAAATGGGAATAGATAGGATCATGGAGTTAAGCTCTAGCATTTAAGTCAGCTGGACAAAATATTAGCTCTAAGTGCTGTGATAACTTAAAGATGCATATGGTAATTATATGTAAATTACTAAAAGCAATCCACATAGGTGTAGCTAAAAGCCAAAAATAAATAAATAAATAGGTCGGGCTCAGTGGCTCACGTCTGTAATCCCAGTACCTTGGGAGGCTGAGACTGGAGGATTACTTGAGCCTAGGGGTTCAAGGCCAGCCTGGGCAATATAGCAAAACACCATCTCTACAAGAGATTTTAAAAGTAGCACATGCCTGTAGTCTCAGCTACTCAGGAGGTTGAGGTGGGAGAATTGCTTGAGCCTAGGAGATCCATGCTGCAGTGAACCATAATTGTGCCTCTGTACTCCAGCCTGGGCAACAGAGTGAGACCCTGTCTCAATAAATAAATAAATAAAGACTTAAAATGGATTGCTAATAATAAATAATTAACTAATTTAAAGGGGTGAAGAAAAGAAACCTGTGCATTTTGATGTATGTAAAGTTTTACTGTAATAAAACAAGGAAAAAAATACTCAAATGAACAAAAACAGACCTAGTGGATCCCAGAATATTGGGAATGGGATTTAGAAATTTATAACAATCCCCCCCACAACAATTGTGATGATCATCCATGTTTGAAACTATTAATGTAGATAGATCTTACCAACTTTCCTGTGGTTATGAAAAACACAAAGCCACTTTCAAGGCTCTTCTCTCCTTCATACAGACACATCACTCAATTGTGAGAGCAGCAGGAACCTCAGACTTGTCAGCTGGGGGAAGCTGGATATGGCCTAATGGTCTGTAAGAACTATGTCATCAAAATGACAGCAGTTATGAAAGCCTTGGATAGTTTAAAGCTTGCTATTTTCTTTTTTATTCTTACATACTTCTTGCTAACTTTTATCTTCCTTCAATTTGTTTTTTATAGGCATCTGATGGAGAGAGAATTATCATAATCTGACACTTCCATTTTTATAGGAAAAGAGACTTGCATGGGGAGTATCAATGTCCTCTGTCAACTCAGACATTTATGGCCTAAGCACATTTGGCACTGAAGTTTTAAGGAGACAAGTCTGTGGTATATACAGTATTTCTATAAATCCAGTGCTTTGAGGAGGATGGAGAATCTGTCAGAAATGTAGAGAGACCAGTGAGATCTGTAGTACATCATCAGGCAAGTCATGAGAGATTTGATATAAAACTGTTTCTTGTTCCTCTGGAAGTCACCTTCCATTGTGTTGTGTTGAGGCAAATAAGAAGGAAACTCTTCAGGAAAAAAGCTGATTTAAAATCAGGACAATAATTTATAGTGCCTAGTGTGGAGATTACATGTGCAAATCTCAGTGTAGATAAAAGTGTATAATTTGTAGATTATAAATACTCATTTAATGTAATATTAAGAAAATTTTATAATCATTTTAGAAACATGAATTTTTTCCCAGTAACCTTCCAGGATGGTGGATAAGGTTCCATATTCTTCAGGAATATAACCTGATCAAAATCCTCTAATTTCATAATGAGTATCCTGATTGAAGGTTATTTCTACTAAATTTCTCCACATCTGACTCTCTGAGTTGGAAATTTTTTTTCATTCATTCAATACTTATTGAGCAACTAATGTGGTTTATGCTCTGTGATATCCTGTGAGGATACTACTCCTGCCTCACATATCTCAATCTAATGAGAGATGCACACAATTTAAGAGACAGTTGGCAGATACTATATTAAGTATTGCGATGGGGAAGTACAGGTACATGGGGAAGGCTGTGTAACTCAGAGCAGAAGGAAAGCTTCCTGGGAGATGTGCTCTCTTAAGGCAAGACTTAAGGAATGATTAGGATTGGGAGAGTAACACAGGAAGAGGATGAAGTACAGATTCCTGCTTCAGGAAGAGGAACAAACATGTGCAAAAGCCTAGAGGTGGGAACGGGCATGGAAAATTCAGTAAACCCAACATATCTCAGGCTATTGAAATATGGGGTGAGATAGAATGAGAAGGTTAAGAGAGAGGCTTGTGAGGAAAGCAGGTCCCAGATCATGAAAAATGTGTAAGCGATATTTAGGAATATGTAGTTTATTCCAGAAGCAACTAGACGTCATTAAAGTGCTTTCAAAGCGGGAATGGCATGGCCACATTTGCATTATAGAAAGATAATTCTCACTGCAGTGCAGAGAATGAGTTGGAAAGGGAGTTTGGAAGCACTAGGGTCAGGAAGGCCAAAGAGGATATTGCTGAGTAATCTATGTGAGAGGTAATGGTGACCTAAACTGGGGTGGTGATAATGGAAATAGAGAGAAGAGTAGAGATTCCTGGAATATTTAAGAGGTGTGATTGTAGGACCTGGAATACAAGAGAAGAATCATTGAGGTCTAAACTGAGTTATAAAGGATGTGAATATCAAAATAATTTTGTAGAAGTGGATTCAAAAGAACTGAGATCGCTGTGAAGTAAAAATTAATGTTTAATGGAAGTAACAGAATGCAAGAGCTGGAAGAGTAGCTGGAAGAGTAAGAATCTGTACTCAAATAGTGAACTTTCGGGTTAAGATTTCAGAGGTGGAGAAACAGCAGGTGATGATAAAGCCTAGGGTATGGTATTGAGTGTCTGTAACTAAAGTGGAGCGGAGGTGAAGACCATTAAGATCACTGGAGACAGAAAGCCAAGGAAACAGTAGATGTAGTGCTGCATGAGATTTCCACTTTTTTTTGAATTGTAAAATGAAGATTGAGGCAGAGATGAAAACTGCGAATCAGATCCTCAAGCTTTCAGTGAATGAGAATTACCAGGAGGTCAATTCATGAGAGAGTTAAGAAGGAATAGAAGGTTGTATAGACTAAATGACATCATACTAAAAGAACTTGTCTCTGTTACTCAGAAGAAACAGAAAAATTTCCTTCAGTGACATTCTTCTGACATCTTCCAGATGGAAGCTCATTAGTAGAGTAGTTGCTCTTATCCAAGTTACATCTTTGACATCTCTTTACCTGAGTTAACCTCTGCTGATTCATCACTTTATTATTCCTTTAAATTCCAGTTCTTCTGATGTCCTACCAGTGGTTTCTCCTATCCTAACATTAACAGCCCTTTGGAAATGTGTGCAAGTATGTGTGCCTGTGTGTGTGTGTGTGTGTGTTTTTATGTGCTGAGTGGAGGTAAAGGTCATTCTACCTGTACAGTTTTGTGTCTCATTTTTGCTTCATAGAAATGATGATCCTTTGGGTCCAAAAGAGAAACAAAAATGAGGCATGTGCTGAGAAGTCAGCTAAATATGCAATGGACATAGACAAGCACCAACGATTGAAAAGTAAAGTTAGAGGATCACAAAGAGCAGCGTTGGGAAGGAGAGATGTTGAGTCTCCACCCTGTTTTAGATAGACTGCTGTATTTGAGATTCTGGATTTTCAGGACTTCATTGGAGCCAGAATGAAATTATAGGTTTGCAGGAGTTAGTCTTCCTATTAACGAGTGCTATGGGGAAATGAAAGTGGGATGGAGAGGGAAACCAGGATTAACAGACCCAACAGTCATGAGGGCCTCTCATTCCAAAAATAAATGCCGTAAAACAGGAAATTCAGGGTCTTCTACCCGACTGCAGACAGTGACATCATTGAGAGCAAAAAATTATAGCTTATAATTTCTTTGCCCTTAGGGGCCCCTGCAATTTTATTATAATGGTTTTAGGTGTTAATTAATTGTTTTCAGCTTGGGATTCATTGAGCTTCCTGAATTTAAATACCGATGTCCCTTAACAGTTCTGGAAAAGCTTTAGCCACCATCTCTTCCAATGTCTCTGCTATTCTTTCTGGAACTTTGAATAGCTGCATATTTCTTTTACTCTGTCATTTACTTTTCCTACTTGTGCTTTCACATTCTGGATAATTTCTTTTCCCTGCAGATTCAATCATTCTCTTTTCAACTATACAAATCTGCTGTATAATCCTTTCTCTGGGTTTCTTCATTTTAAGGTTTATCTTTTCAATATCTTGAAGTTCTATTTTTAGAAAACTAAAGCCAGGACTAACTTAACTTAAAATTTCCCCTCAAACTTTCTTCAGACAAGAAAAATGGTGAAAATTTGAACTAAAGACTCGCGAGAAAGCTTGCTAATGGTTATAAATCCTCTAAGGAGGCACCAAGTTCTGGACAGACATATTTCTTTTTGATCCTTTTCTAAAGGAGAGGATTTACTTCTCATTCACCTTTGCTCCGATCGTTTAGTACTCTGGGGTCCAAGCTGTATTAAGGTTTTAGGCTTTATCTCCTTCCTCCTTCCACCCCAGTCCTGCCACGGGGTTGTCAGAAACCACTGAGAGCAAAGCTAATTTTGTCATTTACTGCTCAGTGTTTCTGCTTTCACTTCAGAGTTGGGCTCTCTGCTCCTTCATTTTGAGCCAAATCAGATAGGCATGTAAAAAGATTTTCTGTTGGTATAGCTGGCACTCTTGTTTCAGTAGGAGGACCACGCTGGGTATCCAACTTGAGAGACGTTAAAGTGAAGCAGGCAGAAATCCGCTTCTGAGAGAGGGCTTCCTGAGAGTGATGGTGAAAGTTACTGGAAGTAATGGGAGCAGAAAGGGTTTGTACCAAGGCTCCTGAAATCACGCAGGATGAAGCAGAAATCTACTCTTTGACAAACATGGAGGTATGATCAGAAACTAAGACAATGGAAATAAAGAAAAGGCTGGCTTGTGTCAAGGAAGCATGATGTGTGTCTCAGAGGAAGAGTACATTTTATAACGGAGAACAAAATGCTTCTCATCAGCAACAAGACTGAGAGCTCTGCTCTAGAATATATATATATATATAAAATGCATTTTATGGTTAAAATATCCTTTTATTAAAAGTTAACAAATGCCAATTATACTTACTAGAGCAAATGATAATTTGAATGTTGTTTCTGAATTGAATCTTTTCTATTCCTTGGGAAAGAAAGAGAATTGCCAAAGCAAAACCAAAAACAAAGAAAAAAACAACAGTGGAATCTACTTATCATGGGAGGTAAATTGGAATTACAGGAGTGCTTTATCCTTGTGGGAAAGAGAAGAGGGATAAAGTGGGTGGTTGAAATTATAAAGGAGAGAATGGGGACAATAAGGATAGGAGTATTAAAAGAAAAACTTCAGCCACATTCAATGTAAAGGAGTTTAATTGAGCAATGAACGATTCGTGAATCGAGAAGCCCCCAGAATCACTGCAGATTCAGAGAGACTCCAGGGGTCCCTCAAGGCCAGAACAAATTTATAGGCAAAAAAAGTAAAGTGAGGTACAGAAATCTAAAGTGAGGTACAGAAACAGCTGGATTGGTTACAGCTTGGCGTTTGCCTTATTGAACACAGTTTGAACGCTCAGCAGTGTATAACTGGTTGAAATATGGCTGCTGGGATTGGCCAAGACTCAGTGATTATTACAGGGCATACTCTTAAGTTTTCAATCTTGTCTACCTATTCAGTTAGGTTGCAGTTCATCCACAAGGACGCAAATATAGAAGTATGGAGTCCTTCTCAGGCCATATTTAGTTTGGTTTAATAAGAGATAGAAATGGCAGATAATATAATGGGCAAAAAAGAGAAAGCGTAAATGTCAGATTATGTAAAAGGGAAGAGAGACTAACAGAAAAATACACAATAAAGATGCTTGAAAAACTGAGAGATTACCTGAAGAAAAAAACTAAATAGACCAAAGAAACATGTGGAGATGAGGAACAGAAAAGAAGAAAATGGGTTCAAAGGAGAGATGAGAAATGGAAATCTTGTGAAAGGGAAGGAAGTGCAATCAACAAATGTGTGTCTGTGACTTTTGGATTAGTTGTGAGGCTGTAGATGTATGTCTCCAAACAACATGATTTCCAGTCTTTGTGGGCATATACTGATTATCCATCCACAGGGAACTTCAGTGTTTCTTTCTTAGTAGTATAGAACAATCCAGTAAAAGAGGAAGAGTAACCTTCCCATAGGCAGTGAAATGAACTTTCATAAATATTTGCTTATAATTTATTAGTTTGTATAGGATTTGACTTCCTCCTTAAAATTATTTAAATGACTTACAAATGAATCCCTTGAATGGTATGTTATTTGAATAAATACCTAAAAGAAAAAAGTATTTTTCTTACATTCCCCTGGACTCTACAAACTGGTATTGTTTAGATTCCTGTATGGGCAGGCCCTGTGAGATTTTAGTCCAATTTGTGACACATAATTAAGAGAAACATTAAATCCATTTATTTGAAGGAAAATAAAATCCCTCACTTAAAATCTGATTCTTTCATGAATACAAGGCTATATACTTGAGAGTATTTTGAGATATACTCTAGGTTTGCAAATTTGCAAAAAACAATCACTTAAAGGATTTCCCACATGTTAGTTTTGAATGATGTTAACTTCATTCAAAATGTGTGATAATGGTTCCCTCAAAACTAACTTAGATTTAAGATGACAACATTAGCGCATATCTAACTCCCTCTATGCAGATTGCCATTAAAATGACAAAGTGGTTATTTAACAAAAATAAAAACAATTTTAAAGGAAAATAAACTCTTCACCAGTGCAGTTAAATATGAAATAGTGACAGTCACTCTCCACAAACGTTGGGAGATTTCTACCCCATGTAGAGCAAATAAAAGAGGAGCGAAAGAAGACCAAACTTAACCTGCCACCTCATAGCAAGTGTACCTGGGAATAAGCGGAGATCTCAATGTAACCCTTGGCGCTCACCATCTGGGGAGCTCGGACCTTATCTGGTGCCCAGGACACAATGATCATGGTGCATACTCCTGACTTACTGTTTTCAGGTCACACACACACACACACACACACACACACACGCACCCCTATCTTAGATAATTTTGGGCTGTCAGTCAAAACAAAGAAAATAGCGTCTCCAAACAAAAAGTGTGCACCTCCTAATTTCCTCCAATTTATTGGATCTCTTAGCTGGTCATGATTTATCCCTTTTCCTCTTCCTTTGGACCCAAATGATGCAGAAAGGGATCTATACCAATGCCTGACAGACTCTGTTTCAAGCATAATTCTCCCTTTCTACGATGGTATAAACAGAAATGAAAAAGTTCATTTTCAGAATTATAAAAATGCATTCCAATTCACAACAAGAAAAGTATAAATATTTTTCTTTTAAAATGAATGCAACAAACAGGAGGAAATTTTAGAAAATGTTTTTTCCATTTTGTTTAATAAATATGTATCATAACTATAAGTAATATCCAAAATATTTTCAATATAGCAACCAAATGATATCTATTCAAAATCATCTAGGATGTCTCTCTATAGTTCCCTCCCTCTTTATGCTTAAACCCACAGGGCAATATTGGAATCAAAGGATGTGAGTTCAAGTCTTGGCTCTTCAAATTCTATCAGGTAAGTCTTCTCCAAAATGTTGTTTAGTACTTTCATCTTTAAAAATGAGAAAAAGTATTCTAAGTTATTATGTGCTTGGCAGTTAATATGAAAATTATATGCAGTGACATAAAAATGCTTATCCCGTGGAAAATTCTAAATACATTTTACTCTCTTTTTTTCTTCTCTTTTCCTTTCCATCTTCACCTTTTTGATTACTATTTTCTTCTTTTCCACCTCATAACTACATTATATACATATATATATACATATGTATATATATAGAATTTTCTTACACCCATCCCATTCTCTATACTGAAGCCTTGTCATTTAAGTTAATCTCTGCCCAGATCTGACCAAATTCACTTGTCTTATTCTACTTATCCTCTTTTGACTCTCTGTTGTCTCTCACATCAAAAGCTAGTATTTCTCCTTTTGGGGCTCTTTTCTTGTTGGCATTTTATATGCTATCCTGGCTCTGTTAACTCTAACTTCAGTTCCACACAAAATTCATTAACCAGTAGTGTACTCAAGAAATGGCAAAGCGGCCGGGCGCGGTTGCTCACGCCTGTAATCCCAGCACTTTGGGAGGCTGAGACGGGCGGATCACGAGGTCATGAGATCGAGACCATCCTGGCTAACACGGTGAAACCCCGACTCTACTAAAAATACAAAAAAAAAAATTAGCCGGGCGTAGTGGCGGGCGCCTGTGGTCCCAGCTACTCGGGAGGCTGAGGCAGGAGAATGGCGTGAACCCGGGAGGCGGAGCTTGCAGTGAGCCGAGATCGCGCCACTGCACTCCAGCCTGGGCGACTGAGCGAGACTCCGTCTAAAAAAAGAAAAAGAAAAAGAAATGTCAAAGCATTGTCAGAGAAATCATAGTTGTTAATAAATCATTTAGTCTGAAATGTACAGGGTAGCGGTTAATACCATGGGGTCTGGAGCCAGACCTTGGCTGAAAATACAGCTCCACCACTTCCTGGCAGTGTGAGTTTGGTCACGTTATTTAACTCTTTTGGCCTCAATTTGCTTAAATTTCCTTGAAGTCTTGAAGTTTAAAGGGGATAAGGAATGTAATGCAATCAGCACAGTGCCTAGTAGATAATAGTAGCTAACATTTGTGGAACACTCAATAAATGTTAATTCATATTAATTTGGGGATTTTCCAATTCAGTGTGAGAATTAAAGCACAGGTGAGGGACAACTACTGAGAATTGCTTTAATTACTTTTTTGTTTCTGTTTTCATCTTCCTTTTTCATAACAACTCCTTTCTTTTATTTAAAACCTTGTAAAGTTCCTAACAAATGTGAAAAGAACTTTCATGTTTGAGATTCAGAAACTGTAGTACTTCAAATATTTATAAACAGAGAAAAATAATTCTGTCAGTATGGCCACTTAGATTGTATTAGTCTGTTCTCACGCTGCTGTGAAGAAATACCTGAGACTGGGTAATTTATTAGGAAAAGAAATTGACTGACAGTTTTGCATGGCTAGGGAGGCCTCTGGAAACCTACAATCATGGCAGAAGGCATCTCTTCAGAGGGTGGCAGGAGAGAGAATGAGTGCCAGGAGGGGAAATGTCAGACGCTTATAAAACCATCAGATCTCATGAGAGCTCCCTCACTATCACGAGAACATCATGGGGGAAACCGCTCCCACGATTCAATTACCTCCCATGGGTCCCTCCCACAGCACCGAGGGATTATGGGATTACAATTCAAGATGAGATTCCGGTGGGGACACAAAGCCAAACCATATCATAGATATACTAATTTGAATTCTGAAGACATGCCTAAAAACTATTTACTAGAATGAGTAACATAACATGTTGCAGATGAAGGTGACAGGAAAGGTTTTGAGTAAAAAAGTGTTTTTTTACTTCTAGCATTTTGAGTTTTTATTTGACCTGTTATCAACAAGTGAAAAGTATTAATCTGGCAAGCATTAATTAAAACTCTTTAACTTCAATATTTCTATAGGTAAGTCAGATCTTTCTGTGGTTTGTGTAATTTTCATTGCAAGGCTAAAGATTTAAATTTGGCATTCATACTTCTGTCAAAATTCATTTTAAGTCATACATAAACAAGTCATTTGCATGTTGATTAACTACCACAATTTCCTCTGTAACAATCTCACTTTGGAAGTGCATATAAATCACAGCTGAACAGATTTCTATTAGTTCCAAAAGCACATACGAAGTAATTGTTGTTTTTCTGAAGAAAATCTGTAGTGCAAATTATACATTTTGTTTATACAAGCAATCTAGAATGGATGTTTTAATTATGCATTTGTTTATATATAAAACTTGGACTTACAAATCAAGGACTATAAATATAGAAAAGATCTATCCAAACCAGAGTGCAAACTTCACGTGATCAAATTAAAGTTTGGCTTCTGGAAGCAGTTAGCCTACTCAGGCAATCGTATCCAGTAGCATTACCTTCTGCGCGGCAGGAGAGGGAGCTCTTTCCCACAGTATTCTGGACTAATCTTGCAGAAAAAAATCTGGTGCCAGAAGGCAGCCCAGTCAGAGAAAACACCCTACAAGTTCAAGCAGCATCTTGGGAATGCTATGTTTGGAGACCATGAGAAACATAGGTCCTTTCTTGAGTTTATGAAGGTTTTCAGAGATTCCAAATAGTTTTGGAGGAAGACTAAAGTTACAGCATCCACTCAGAACTTCAAAAAAAAAGGAAGGCTTTCCATTTAGTAAGCTCATCCAAATGCGCTCTCAGCCTACTATCTGAAGTCTGCTTAGGGACAAACTACACTAACCTGGAGAGCGCCTTTTGGACCAGGTTCCTCTGGGCAAGTCATTAAGGCTGCTGAGTTAGGAAAGCCTTTACTCCTGGGTAAGTTTCTAGGCGGTGGAAGATGCCACAGCTGTGAATATGTGGTGGACTTTTACTTTGGATTCTGGATCCCTTCCTTCACATATCTCTCGAGAGTTCTAAAATACAAAAAAAAAAAAAAAAAAAAAAAAAAAAAAAAAAGAATGATTTGGGCTATTTATTTTCGGAATTCAACAATTAGAATTGTGCGTTTTTTAAATTCAGATTTAATTTGCACTACAATTGTTATGAGCCTCCCTTTTTTACTAAAAGCATTATGGATAGCATGGAAATATTTATTTTAGTAAACAATTATAGTTAGTGAAGTTGCATACTCCTCCGTCTTAAGACTGAGTATTTACGTAGTGACTATATTAATAACAGGTGTGTATATTTTTTAAAGAACAATTTTCTGAGTTAGTTCTATGTTTATGCAGAGAAACTTTGAGGTGCTCATCTATCACAATCACTGTCATTAATGACAAAAGTAGAAGCATTATGCTATTGCTTTCAGAAAGTCAATGGACATTTCTTAGTTTCAGCAATGAGCTAAAAATAAAATCAGGGTTGATATTGAGTTGTGATAAAATGAACAGTTCACATTAATTTTTCTCAGGAATGAATAAAAACATAATCAGTGAACATAGGTTATCATGTTGAAATAATAACTTTTTTTATTGTTATTTGATTTTTTTTTGAGATGGAGTCTCGCTTTGTCACCTAGGCTGGAGTGCAGTGGCATGATCTCAGCTCACTGCAACCTCCACCTCCCTGGTTCAAACGACGCTCGTGCCTCAGCCTCCTGAGTAACTGGGGCTACAGGCGCGTGCCACCATGCCCGGCTAATTTTTTATATGTTTAGTAGAGACAGAGTTTTACCGTGTTAGCCAGGATGGTCTCGATCTCTTGACCTCGTGATCTGCCCGTCTCGACCTCCCAAAGTGATGGGATTACAGGCTGGAGCCATCGTGCCCAGCCAATGATGGTATGTTTTAATAGATTTCTAACATTCACAAAATAATTGAAGAGGGCACGTATGTTTTGAGGGAAAAGTAAGAAAAATGAAAGCATATATTAGATAGATAGATAGATAGATAGAGATACATACACACATGACCAGATAAGGCAGTATGGTGAAATAGAAAGTAAAGGATAAGAAATGGGGAAGAAAAATAGTTTATGAGTGATAGGCCAGTAAAAATTCTCTTCCATTTTTCTCATGGCAAAGTTCCTTCCTGGTTTCTTGAATTAAAAGGAAGAAAATTGTTATGTGAGAAATATTTCTGTCACATGGAAATACATTTTGTTTTATTTCCATATTGAATGAGGAACATGAATTCCTTCAGTCAGAATGTCAAAGATAATTTTTTTAGAACCTAATATATACATTTTATTAAGCAATTTTTTCCAGAACGTTTTCAAGGTTAGCATGCTGCCATTTTGCCTAGTCTGCTCAGCTCCAGACAACTGGGTGATTTATTTCCTGAGTCCAGGGATGTGTCTTTTGCGGCTTCCTCCTCCTCCGCCTTTTTGACCACTTCTTCCCTCTACCGTCATCTCCATCTCTCCCTAAGTCAACACTCTTCTTCCTGCCTCAATGCCTCTTGAATCACTTACATCCTCTATCATTGTTCTCCATGTGTGTCTTGGCTTTTTCTCTCTGCCATTCATATTCTATATTTTTCTCTCTCACTTTCCCTTTTTCCTTTTTTCTTCCTGGATTGCGAGCAATATAAAGTAGACCTATGAGTTTTAAAAGATTTGGTACGTAAATTAATAAAATTTTGTGATTTTGTTCTAATTTCAAAGTAGGGTGATTTTAATTTTAAAACAACAGTCAAACTGAGGCAGGATAAGTAAGGTTAGGGAGCTGTATTAGTTCATTTTCACACAGCTATAAAGAACTACCTGAGACTGGGTAATTGATGAAGAAAAGAGGTTTATTGACTCATAGTTTTGCAGGCTGTCCAGGAAGCCTGGCTGGGAGGCCTCAGGAAACTTACAATCATGGTGGAAGGCGAAGGGGAAGCAAGTAGGTCTTATGGAGGAGCAGGAGAGAGAGAAGGGGGAAGTGCCACACACTTTTAAACAAAAGGATCTCATGAGAACTCACTCACTATCATGGGAACAGCAAGGGGGAAATTGGCCCCCATGATTCAATCACCTCCCACCAGGCCCCTCCTCTGATACGTGGGGATTATAATTCGAGATGAGATTTGGTTGGGGCCACACAGCCAAATCATATCGGGGTTATACTGACTTGTCCCCTTGTGTGAAGCCCCACGGGCCCCTCCACAGACAGCCCTACATCCCTTGCATCCTTGTGTGCATCAGCACTTCTTTGGCAAGGTAAGCAGTCCTACAGGATACCAGCAGACCACCAACCAGATGGTTACAAGTTCCTGACATCCAGTGTGGCCTGGGAAAGAGAACAAAAGTTTCTTATTCCTGATGGAATTTCCCCATTCTCCAACCAATCGGCACCAAAAGCCCAAGAAGCTATTAGGTACAAATTCCTGCCTTGGGGGAAGGGAAGGGGGAGGAGAAAGGAAAGTGGGTGGCCGGGGGCTTCTCTGGTGTCCTGCATATGCAGCTAGAATCAAGGTTTAGCTTTTAGTAAACTTTTCCTCATTTTAATAATAAAAAAAAGCACCCCTAGGTGGAGATTTTATATGCTAATGATACACATGATTTGTATTAGGGCATGATACATGCGGTGTGTGTTACTGCTAAGCGCATGCTCCAGCTGCAGGTCTGCCTTTGCATATTTGACCTTCCCAGGTCGTATTTTATGAAAATGTATGTACAGCTCCCATAAAAGGAATTCCTTTGAGGCACTAGCTGCTGTCTGCCTCTGAGTAGCTTGCTCTGCCTCTCAGAGTGTACTTTTGCTTTGCAATAAATAAACTTTGCTTACTCTTACTTTAGGCTCGCTCTCAAGTTCTTTTGTGCGGTGAAGTCAAGAATCCGTACCTGCTCACCAGCAACAAAACCACAGTGAAGTAAGGATATGTGTGATGTGTGTGTGTGTATGACCACGCATGTGTGTGCGTGCACGGTGTACATGTGTGTTGTTAATGTTGCTTAGAATATTCTCCTCCTTCACCATCTGACAGTCTCTGGTTCCTCTGGTTCATCCTTCAGAGTTTAGTTCAAATTTCCTTCAAAGTCATTTCTGTATGCTCCCCTATTCCCAATTTAAATTATACCTTTCTGCTACACTCCCTTAATAATGACCATTTCTCAAGTTTCTGTTATAGGCCATAGTTGTGCTTCAGACCTTATAAACATTATCTCATTCTGACAACAACTCTTAAAGTATGTCTCATCACCATTAATTTACAGATGAGGAACCATGGCTCAGAGAGGCCAAGGAATTTGTCTCAAGTACTCTGGGCAAATACTCTCCTGCCTCTAGGCCTTAGTACTTGCTGTTTCCTCTGCCTGAAATGCTCTGACTCCAGATCTTGGCATGGTTGGCTTCTTATTTCTAGTCATCTTTCTACTCAAAAGTCACCTCTTTGGAGAAGCCTTCCGTGATTACCCAATCTAAATAATTCTGTATCGTATCTGCCTGTTTTATTTTTTCTTTACTTTCTGAAAGTAACTTGTCTGTTTACTTGTGATGGTTAATATTGAGTATCAACTTGATTGGATTGAAGGATGAAAAGTATTGATCCTGGGTGTGTCTGTAAGGGTGTTGCCAAAGGAGATTAACATTTGAGTTCGTGGACTGGGAGAGGCCGACCCACCCTCAAACTGGAAGGGCACCAGCTAATCAGCTGCCAGCATGGCTAGAATAAAGCAGGCAGAAGTTGAAAGGACTTGACTTGCTGAGTCTTCCAGCTTTCATCTTTCTCCTGTGCTGGATGCTTCCTGCCCTTGAACATCAGACTTCAAGTTCTTTAGCTTTTGGACTCTTGGACTTACACCAGTGGTTTGCCAGGGGCTCTTGGGCCTTTGGCCTCAGACTGAAGGCTCCACTGTTAGCTTCCCTATTTTTGAGGTTTTGGGACTCGGACTGGCTTCCTTGCTCCTCAGCTTGCAGAGGGCCTATTGTGGGACTTTACCTTGTGATTGTGTGAGTAAATATTCCTTAATAAACTCCTCTTCATATATAAATATATCCTATTAGTTCTGTCTCTCTAGAGA
Source organism: Homo sapiens (assembly GCF_000001405.40). Lineage (NCBI taxonomy): Eukaryota > Metazoa > Chordata > Mammalia > Primates > Hominidae > Homo > Homo sapiens. The sequence goes on along the minus strand of NC_000007.14, from coordinate 124,780,852 downwards.
ACTCTGACTAATACAATTGTTGACTTATATATTGCTCATCTATTCCACTAGTTTTAAATAAGCATAAGAGGAAAGAGCTGGTCAATGTCCTTCTCCACTGTACCCTCAGCTCCTGGAACAGTGTCTGGGGTTATCATAGATGCTCAGAAAGTATATAATGAATAAAGAAGTGAATGAATAAATAAATAGAGAAATCTTGGACCTGGCCCTGTGACTTTTCTACTTCATGTTCTTTCCACCTCATCTTAATAGTCTGTATATCATTTAAGATTGTTTACACTGAAATACCCATATCCTTAAAAAGTTATGCTAATACTAATTGTATTATGTCAGGGTTCTCCAGAGAAACAGAACCAATAGGCTGTGTATGTGTGTGTGTGTGCATGTGTGTGTAGAAAGAGAGAGAAATTTACTTTGAAAAATTGGCTCAATAAATTATAGAGGCTGGCAAGTTCAAAACCTGCAGCAGGTGGCCAACAGGAAGGAGGTCTAGAGAAGAGCTGGTATTGTAGTTGAAATCTAAAGGCAGTCTGCTGGCAGAATCCTCTCTTGCTTGGGAAGGGCAGTCTTTTGTTCTATTTAGACCTTCAACTGATTGGATGGGGCCCACCCACAGACAGCAATCTGCTTTGATCAAAGTCCATCAATTTAAATTTCAGTCTCATCCAAAACACCCTCACAGAAACATCACTTATGTTCCTCAAATAACCAAACTACATTTTTTTCACCTTAATGAAGTAATGAAATAATTTAAATCAATAGGCATTTGAAAATTTAAAAATTTAAGTATTGATTAAGTGGCTATGACACACAGGGTCTGCTGGACGCTGGCTTTAAATAGGTGAATGAAATAGACACATTTCCTGTATTCATAGAGCTTATTTGATGGTAAAATAAACATGTTCATATTATCTCATATGATTTTCTTGTGTAACATCAAAAGAAACAACCTAAATTTTCTCCACACAGTGTCAAGATTACACATTTATAGAATTGGTTTTTGTTTCTCTTCACCCTGTAAGTGTGTCTTCAGTGTTTTGCCCTTTCCTAACAGTTTCATATGCAAAGGGCATAGTTGTGTTTATTATAACCTCATTATTATTGCTGGTTAATTTGGAGGAGTGACTGTTATGCTTAGGGCTTCAGTGTCTTTATAAAATGAGTGTAATACTTTCTATATTGTCACAATGGGATGGGAATGCAGTCAACAGAAAGATATAAGATTTTAATGGCAAATGGTTAGGAAACTTAGAGAGGCAGAAAAAACAGAGAACAGACACGTAAAACAGGAGTTAGCACAGTGAGGTTTCAGAGGCAGTTGTGACTTCTCATATGACCTTAGCATTGCTGTGAAATTACGTAGCTTCAGATGATACTGCCTAAATTGAGCAAGAACACCATCAGGTAGGAGAAGCTTCCTTTGCCTTTCTCTAGTTTTTTTTTTTTTTTTTTTTTTTTCCTCATGGCATCAGCTAGGCTGTTCTGGAAATTCTGGCTACATGCCTGCTTCCTCACTAGGTGCAAATAACTACTGCAAAACAAAATTAGCACCTTCTCGAGTGTTTACATAGAGGTGGGATGAAGTGAGGTTCTATTACTCACACTCAGGCTTCAGCAGGTCTGGGCTTCAAGCTCTGTGAGTTCCCCTCCTGCAAACAACTAGCTCACAAAGATAATATGAAATGTTGGAAACACCTAGCACATAACATGCACTCAATCAGTTAAAAACTGGAATGTTATGACATGTATAATTTTGTCCCTAATTCTATAGGTATATTACTATATTACTAGATTGACTTGAAATGATAATATTCTATGAGTTGATTTCTTTTTATTGCTAAAGTCACTCATAACAGCAAGTTATTGTTATTGTCATTCTATATGTTATTACTCAGTGCATTATTCAGCCTGCTATACCCAGAATATATTCAGAATTCTTATATTTCTAACCTCTTGTGCATTTACTATTCCTAAGTTCCCGGGAAAAAAGGGGGACACTATTCTTCTTTGCATGTAACTAATACTGGCGGGTACAGAATATTTTACTCATTATATTGATCAGGAGCAAGAGTGTAATGTACATGCTTAAAGGTGATTCAAATATTTAATTGGTTTTAATAGGAAGGCGGTTTTCCTTGATTCTCTTCATGTTAAGAATAGCAAATTATACTATCTCTGAATACAAATTATACATTTTAAAAAGCCATTCAGTTGCATTGTCTTACATAAAAAAATGCAAAACTTGTGTTTTTTTATGTAGACTTATTTGTACTTTCCACAGTCTAGATGTAAAACCACTTTATATTCAACCCCAGTTACTCTTACCATGTACAGAAACTGTTAACAGGATAGCTGTCTGTTGGTAAAATTAAGAGACGATTAAATAGAGAATAAAAACAAATCTGATCATGTCATGTCTCTCAGACAGCGTGACACCCCCACATGCAGAAACATGCCCTTTAAATGCTTCATTGACTTTATTTCTCTCTCAGGGTAGAGACAGAACTCTGTATCATGCCTCTGAGGCCCTTTAGGATGTGGATCCCCCATGTCTTCAGTGCCATTCATGCCACAGTGCCTTGGCACTCTCTGTGTTAGCCACAATGGCCTCTTTTCAGCCCCCTCAACTGATCATACCCTTTCCAGCCACCATGCCTTAGGACATGGGTGTTTCCTCTGCTCACAATAACTTTTTCCCTCCCTGCTTAGTTAATATCTAAGGGTCCTTCAGAACTTCTTTATAGAAGTTGTTTTCAATTTCTGGTTTAGTTAAAATACTACAATCATAGATTCTAGGCACCACATATCTCTCCTTCAAATCTGTGCCCACTGCAATTCCTCATGTGCTTATAGGAACTTTTAATTACTATGCCTGCCTCCCCATCCTCATTAAACTGCGTGGGCTCCGCAGGATGGAGATACAGTCCTTGTTGGTTTCTGCTCATCATTGCATTCCCCAGTGCCTAGCACTGTGCCTTGCAGTAGTAGAAATTGACAAATATTTGTATCAAAAAAATGAAAAATGAGCATGAGCTGCATGTGAATGAAATCATTGTAATGTTGGCCAAGTTTCCACAATATGTATTTGTGCAGTTGAACTATCAGAAGACATAATACATGGTTTAATTTATCTGTTTGAAATATTGAAATCAAAAGATTTTTGTGAATGAAGTGCTAATAGTTTCTGCCCTTGCTTTGAATTCCTTAGGGCAGCTACTAATTTGCCAAATGCCTTTTATGAAAATGTTTGCATTTTCTTTTATTTTTATTTGTTTTCTTGTCATCCTTAGGGAGCAGAATGCCTGTCTGACTCACCCTGACAGATCAGCTATGGCAGGTCTGCTGTTGTAGAAAATTCTTCACCCCAGAGGCTTTATCTCTCCTGCAGGGAAGGCTCATGAGCAAATGCTGTCATTAGCAACCATGCATTGTTGAAGACATATAGTGAGAAAATATGTCAGGTATTGTTTCAATGTACCAATGTTAGTAGAAAATCCTGAAGAATTTTCGAGATATTAACTGTAGATTAAAACAACCTTTAACCTAAATCCTGAGAATTTCCCTTGGCGTTTTGATTTTCTTTTTGTCTTTCTTAGCCATCTTTTAAAAATTAAATCATTTTTTTTTGTTTTTCTGGGAAAAATTCTTTTATCTGAGGATTTTTCTAAGCTGTACCATTAGATTTCACTTCCCTTTTTACATAGTCTATTTCATACCTATTGGTTTAAAATTATCAAAAGAGCCAGGCGTGGTGGCTCATGCCTGTAATCCCAGCACTTTGGGAGGCTGAGGCGGGTGGATTGCCTGAGCTCAGGAGTTCCAGACCAGCCTGGGCAACATGGTGAAACCTTGTCTCTACTAAAATACAAAAAATTAGATGGGCGTGGCAGCATGCACCTGTAATCCCAGCTACTCGGGAGGCTGAGGCAGGAGAATCGCTTGAACCCGGGAGTCAGAGGTTGCAGTAAGCCAAGATTGCACCACTGCACTCCAGCCTAGGCGACGGAGCAAGACTCCGTCTCAAAAATAAAAAAAATAAAAAATAAAATCATCAAAATAAATATTTCCTAGAGCTAGGACAATAGACATATCAAGCTTCCTTATAGAATAGCTCTATTTTTGTAAATATGCAAGTATACCTCACTGTTTTTTGCATAACAGATAGCAGATAAATATTTGCTAAATTAGTAAGTGCTTAAATAGTTATATGTATGTATACTTTTTTTTTCCCACAAACCATTATGGGAAATAGTAACACTTTACATAATTTGGTGAAGACATTGTGTTGTTGTGGTTTTATAAAATTTTCTAAAGCTATAAACCAGAGTAATAATCCTAGACTCTGCATGGGGCCACAAACCTGGGTGAATGTATAGAATTGACCAAAAAAGGAATTCCCTATACAAATAAAAGTGCCTAGAATAATAGTCAGGATTAAAGGCTGATTTGTTATGGGAACTTCTAAGATAATTGTTTTCAGACTGTTTTCTTTCAGGTTTTAAGTTCAAAGGGTATCTATGTACAGTTGATTGTAAAATAAATATTTGGCAGGAAAGGGTTTGAAATTCAAGTATAAGAGATAGTAGGAAAGGGGCCACAGGATGATTAACACCCAGGCTCGTAAATAAATAGTTATAATTGGAATTCTCTTATCTAACTCGATTAGAATCTGTATTTGGTTACAGAATTAAAAAGCAGTGAAAGTAAGGAATCATTGAAAACTTAATATATACCTTAAATACTTATTTTAATCTAAAATATATAAATGTTCATTTATTCACCAAGCTTTTGGGATGAGGCCAATAACATGAGTTCTATTTCCTGAATGAAGGTCCTTACCTTCTTTTTTGCATAAACCACACACCTATAACATATCATTTACATTTCCAATTTGAGTTTCATTAAAGTTAAGAACTTAACACTTAATAAAGCAATCTAAAAACATAAGCATTTTTAACTTTTTATCATAACATTTTATAGTTTTCTTACATCTAACTTAACATTTTAAAAATCAAATCTTTCTGAAACGTTTAAAGAAATGACTCTATTTTCATAATCACATCTCATCACTTTTTAATATAATGTTAATTAATTTGCATAATTATCATGACAAGTACAAGTGACTTTCACAGGTAAAGAAGCAGACACAACTGATTTTGACTCTGGTAAGCAACACCACTCAAGGAGAGGGTTGGAAGCAGAAGTGCCTGAGTCTCCTATGGAGTAGCCTGTCAGTGACTGGGCAGCCCTTGGGCAGTCCATGTGTTATGGGTGGAAGGAAGAGCATTAATGAATCCAATAGTTTGGTTAATTCTAACTGAACAGTATTCTTTTAAAATTTACATGTCCCTTATTTTAAGAATAATATGTTTATTATATATATCTTGAAATAATATGTTTCAATAAATTGAAAATAAAACACATACATACACACATACACACACACACACACACACACAATGCACCACCTGGAAAATCACTATAAATATTCAATCATTCTATTTCCATAATGCTCTCTTATGCAAGGACCACTTACAACACAATAATTTTTAAACACAGTCCATGGTTTTAGCTAATACTGCATATATCACATAAAAATAGGACAATATGCCCTTATAATGAGTTATTCTTGTTATAACTCATGAATATTAGTACCAGTGTTGGACCTATAGCTAGAGTTTCCAGATTTCCTTCAGTTGCATAAACCCTCTATACAAAAGAGAGATTTTTTTGTATAAACAATGTAAAGAATGTGAATCACTAATATGGAAATTATGTGAATGTGAAAAATATTTATTATGTTTTGGAATATAATATTATTTAACAGTGCCTTAGCCATTTTCAAATGAGGATATATGAGTACAAAAATAATAGAGATGTCTCTAACCCTTCCAGATAATTAATGAAGGAGTCAGGATTAGAACCCAGGCCTTTTCTCAATATTGTAATATTTATGGGTACCTGATTAAAATATAGTCATTATGATCTAAGCGAACAGTATGCTGTAATGGTCTGAGGAGATGTTTTCTTTCCAAATATATTTCTTCGATTAAAATGGCAGGTTTCTAACATTCTTTAAGTGTATTTCCCAGTAACAATTTAAAATTATAGGAATTTCTGTATAAACAATTACGGGATAGCAATAAACGACCTCAAAAAAAAAAAAAACAAAACTCTGGATTGCTTTTGAAAAATGGCACATGAAGTAAAAAGAATTTCAGAACTTGTTAGAAATAAAAATATCTTGTGTCATGTTGCCCCAAAGCCCTGCATATAATGTTGAAGCTTAATTTTAGATTATACAACTTAAAGTTAAGAACCGCCTTGGCTCAGTTTGCTTTGTCAGGCACCCTGCCCAGTGCCACATGAAGATGGCACATATTAGATGCTTTTTGATTGACTGTCTCCAATTATTTTTCTTTCTTTAATGTGATCTCCAAGTCTTTCTTAAATACTGGATTTGTTTCATTTCTCTTCATCTGAAGCCTTAAGAGGAGAAATGCCTTCTCCTCCCACCTTCTGTTTTGTGCTAGAGTCAGGTAAAACTGTTCTCCAGAGATGAAAGCCTAAGTTACAGATCCCCTTATTTTGTGTATGGCCCTCAAGGGCATTCAAGGAAAAAGGGGCAGAAATGATTCAGTTTCCCATAACAGTGTCACAGAAGGGCTGTCTTTCAAACTGATCTCTGATAATTTACTAGGTAAAGGTGTGAAAGCGATATGACTTGGTTCCCCTTCTTACTTCCTCCGCTTTATAGGGCTAGAGAGGAAATCTTTCAATGTATAAAAACCTCGATGGGTGGTGGACACACTATATAATCTTATACAGTTAAAAATCCAAGATCTAGAATAGTTAACAATTTTTATGCAAAACTCTGATATCGTTTAGGGTTCTACCTGTGGTCATTCTACTAGGTTTAGCATGTTGATTATAAGTCTTCACAGTGATGATGTATACAACTTTTTCATAAATGTTAGGGAATTTGAGTAGATCAAAATGTCATAAGGTTTCTGGGCAGGGAGTATTTGTAATGACAGATTTGATTGCAAGTAATTGAACAGCAACTCAACCTTAGTGACAAAGCACTGGAGTATCTTATGGACTCCAAGGACTGAGTGGCAGCTGGATTTCAGGCACAGAACTATGTTCTGGAGCTCATTGGTTTCTTTTTCTGAGTCTCCTTCATTTGTCTTCCAGGTTACAAGTTGCTTTTCTATGTGCCTTTATCCTCACTGGAAACATTATCTACCAATAGCTCCCATGTCGTGTTTAAACTGAAGCTACTCTGTGCACCCGCTTTCTGTTTCTGTTCCAATTGGAGGAGTTCCAGGTATGGGACTAATTGCTCAAGCTTTGATCAATTTGACAGAGCCAGTATTAGGACAATAAACTGTTGGAGTAGTTGTACCTCCCAGAAAAGTGAGTGTGCCTGGGGGCTGAGTGGAGGTAGTCATGGCCGTAGTAAGACAAAACAAGGGGTCCTTGTGAGTACTTTACACTTTTCAAGAGACTAAAATCAATTCAACAACAGTAACTCACTGAGCAACACCTGCAGGTCACTATGCCCTTTGATTTTACATCCATTACCTTTCAGTCATTACAATCTTGTGTGTCAATGAAGTGAACACCCATAACTTTTTCTGTCCAGAACCCTTTCTCATACTTGGAAATCTTCTCACCATTCCTGCTTCTATGAACTCACCTCTCTCATAATATAATTGTGCAGTGTCTGTGGAAGCTGTCTACTATAGCAGGTTGCACATTCCCTCCAACCACATTTAAAAGTTCAGGTATGCTCATCTGACTATGTCACGTTCCTGCCTAGGACACTGAAACTAAAAAAAAGAGAACTCAGCCTATTTGTCCCTGTAACAACTGATTGTTAATGCATAAATGAAAAGGGTGTTGGCAGGCATATTTTATCATATATTTGAGATGCAAAGGAAGCAAGAATGTGGTGAGAAAGAAATAAAAATTAAAAAAAAAAAGCTGAGTGGTAGAGAGAAGCCAAGACAAGGTATGGATTTGGTTCAGAGTCATTTCCTGCACCTCCATTCACCCACTGCACTCCTGTAGGGCATTCTGTAGGGCTTCCCTGGTGGTGGTGCCAGTGGGAGCACTCTCTGGTTGAAATTCACTGGCCCATGTTTCCCTTCATCGCCTCTCTGACCTGTCTCTCCTCATTTCTACTTTCAATTCTATTACAAGCCACACTGTACTACTGTCACTTTTGTAAGTCTATGATATTGAATTTCAGCTTTATCCTGGTTTCATTTGGATGTCCAACTCTCCCCTTCCCTCTTGTCCCCCTGCATTCACTTGCAGATCTCAGTTTAGAACTTTTTTTCTTCAAAAATACCTACTTTGTCCCCTCCCCCAGGCTATATAAGATACTTCTTTATGTCTTCATAGCACTCTATATTTCCCTATTCTAAGAGCTAACTTTGTCATGGTGCCTTCTAATTAAATGTCTACTTACATGATTAAATTGCCTATTACCACGTAAGCTTCTTGAGGATTTGGGCCATAAACTGCTTTTCTCACCATTGTATATCTAGTCCACCTAGCACAGTATGTGGCACATAGGAGGCAGGCAATAAATATTGCTGAATAAAGAGATTAATATATATTTGAAGATCATTAGGCTTGGAATAAGTGGCCAAATAATAAGTATTATCCTAATTAGACATTCTTCAAAAACAATATAATGACTAAGCGTTTGTTTGTTTGTTTGCTTGTTTAAGAACAAAAAGTATCAGCCATTGTTCCTAGCAGCACTGAACTGCTTGTAGTTCCATACACACCATCCTTTTTCTCTTCTCCCAGTCTGCTGATGCCAGTCACTCTGTTGCAACATGGATTCTTTGTCCACTCACTTCAGTATCTTACTCCATTCACCTCCTTCAGGAAGCCTCTCAGAATTCCTGACTGGTTTGCCCCTTTCCTTCACTCTCAAAAACCTTGGTTTTCAGTCCAAGTTCTATTTCTATTACACTACATGATGTAGGGCAAATAATCTCACCCACTTTGGTCTCAGTTTCCTTATTTCTGAAAGGAATGGGGAGTACTGTATGATTGACTTTTAATTGTTTTTTAGCAGTCAAATTCTCTTATAAGTACAATTCTTTTATGAAGTCCAATATTTACATTGATTAAAATCTTATCAGAGATCAAATGTGTCTTTTCTTTAGTGAGCTGAAAAGCATCTTGAAATCTTAGAAGGGACGCTGCCCACATACTACAAGGCCCCAAAGACACCACCCTTGTGAACATTTCGCAGTCACTAGGAGGTGCTTCTTTTGGACCACCACAAAGATCTTTAGTCATGTTATCACATGTGTGTAGTCTCTTTAACACAAGAGGAGATAATCAGTTTCCTTGCTGTCTAAAACTCAAAACTAAAGTTTTGTTTTGGTGCTCAGGGATGCTCAGGGAAGGATATTGAGTTCATGAAGAAATAAGCAGGAAACTAGCTTTGAAAAAGCATTCCATGGACCAGCTGGGGCCTTGGAAGACAATGCAAACACTAGAAACTAGTCATGTCAGGCAATCCAAATTTCATAACCTTGGGCCAAATCTTAAAATTCTATTAAGTTGATCATTCAAAATGTCTACATTATCAGGTCAATTTGTTGTGATAATACTGAGTCACACCCTCTCAACATCCTGAGTGAATTAAAAAAACTAAATATAACACAGAGATACTTTTTTCTTTCTTTCTGGACCTCAATCCAAATAAAGAAAATATCACCTGCAGAAGATTCTAAAAAGTGAACAAGCAAATCAGGAAGATTATACTAGAAAAGCTATTTGTTGTTGTTTTTGACCAGTCTTTAGGGTAGTTTTATAACTCTCACAAAGCAGATATTGTTTTGGTACTATTTATATTTCAACCACTAATCAGGAAAATAATGCTAAATGTGCCAAGACTCAGGTCTTAGACGTACGTGTTCATTGAATTGATTTCTTTGCCAGAGCTAAAATTTAATAGGTTGCCAGGAGAGCCAAATCAATGGTGTATTATCTTTTAAAATCCCTTCTATCTCAACTTTTCACTTTTCATATAGAAATCCATGCTCTTCCTTACTGACTCTGTATACAAAAATTATTCTGGTCAGAATACTAAAAATTCCAATTTGCTAGCCTTTGTTATTTGAACCAGGCTGACACTTCTGCAATTTGGCTTGACTTGCATTTATTCTAGTGTATTATCCAGTATCAACATTACACAGAAAACTAATTTAAATAATAATGCTTGGTCAGAGATGGAGCAACAATATAGAATAAGATGATTTGGTTTAAACAGTCTCAGAAGGAATCTTATTGATATAGCATACAGCTTGTACCCAAATTCTGGGAGAAGGAAGTAAAATGTATCTTTATATCACATTTATTTTGGTATATCTTTATATCACATTTATTTTGGTATTATAAAGATACAATAAAATGTATCTTTATATCACATTTATTTTGGATAATTGTTAAAAAGTTCAGCTTACTATGATTTTTGGAAGATTTACAATTAATGTGCTTGCTAGGGAAAATACACAATTTGAGAAGTCATGAGAGGCTGAAGCCTGAGATGGTCTGATCTCCTGCTACATTGCTATTGGCTGAGGGCCAACTAAGTATCCAAATTATCTTTGCTTCAAAAAGGATGTTGATCAAAAGGTAGGGGTGCATTTCACAAGCATTTATTTCTATAAAGAATTATGAAAGGTTGAGAATGTTTGGTTATGCTTGTGTTAATTCATCTTCAGTTTCACCCTTTTGCATTCAAGTTTCTTTACAAACAACAACAACAACAACAACAAACCGAATCCAACAAAACCCAAAGGACTTGGCTATGCAATTAGTGTGCTGGTCCAAGTATGGTTCAAACATATTTTATGTAGCCCAATGTCTACATTTTTGTCTGGAATAAATAAAAGACTATTTTGATTATTGTTGTTTTATTTTAAATTTTAAGTACTTTAATTTTGATATTTGATTTTTAAGGTAGACATAACCATATTGATATTATATTCCAAGCAGTGCCATTTCCCACCCGTTAATGATAATTTGGCTCTTATATATGGCAAAAGAGAGAGGTGATTAATGAAGGTGATCAATGGAGGCTTCCAAACTAACAATTAATAATTCAGTGACAGAAAGGCTGCAACCACAAACTATTTGGAAAACAGACAAATTTTGAATTTCAGAAAATAATAATCTATTGGTGGTATGTTACAGTTTCTTTCAGAAAAAATGACCCTTTTGAATTATCTGAGGCAAAAAAGAAAGAAAATTATTTGATAAGTGAATTGTGTGCTGGGTAAAGCTTCTGTTCAACGATGTATCTTAAAACTTGAAATAGTAATTTCTCTCATTCTGTGATGTGTGTTATTTCAGCACACCAAACACCAAATGAAGTGTAATAGATTTTATAAAAATGCCAAGGCAGGTAATAATTTACATGTTCTTTTTTTATTAAAAAAATCAATAGTATGTATTATAAACCTTGTGAAATGCTGACACAGGAAAAAAAATCCATGTTCAAATCAGTTTTCTTTGTACAGATAAATGGCCTCAGATGTAAACCAGACAATGATTAGCTAATTCCTTTTCTGATCTATATTTCTAAAGTAGAATCTACACAAATGAATGAGATGTGACTATTTCCATTTAAAATTTATAGTTACAGCTGAGCTAAGCTTTGGAAAAATATTTGAAGATGTGTGTTTTTCTTTTTGCAGGGAATGCATTCTAAATTTTCTTATAAACCTATTACTTTACACTTTTATTTACCAAGCATATTCTTTTTCAAGGATTATGTGTTTTTGACAGCATTTAAATTTCACTAAAAACAAAGTTGAACTACCAAGAGCAACAGTAATAAATATTTTATACTTTATGTAGTCTTTTCATATCTACCTAATCCACATAACAACTTGGGTGAGCAGAGCTGAGAGTAGGTATTAGTATCCTTATTATACAGATGAGAAAATTGTGTTTCCAAAAATATAAATAATTGATATTTTTGGAAACACAATTTTATAAATAATTGATATTGACCTGGGCTCCAATAGAGTAGCTGGAGCTCTTTGGTTTTATTCATGGTCCGAATAAGTTAGAGAACCAGAACTTGGCAACCATCCAAGTAGGTAGGCATCATTGTTCAGGTTAAGGAAGGGACCACTCATGAATGAGATACCACCACAGACAAACACAGGTAGCTCCTCCTTCAGGCCTTTCCCCAGCCACTCTCCAAGCATGGTACCTGAGTTCTATAGCCCACCACTTTAAGAATGATGCCCAACTCTGGGCCAAGCATGTGTGAATTACAATGGAGCTTCTAAGGGAGCAGGTAAAGGGATTTTTCCCTGTTTAGCTTTGATTCCTTTCTGTGTAGTGATAGAGATTAGTGACACATTTATGTGGTCTAGAGTAAAAAGGATAGAAACATATCTTACATGTGTAACTTAAACTCTAAGCTAATGAGATGAGAAGGGAAGCTATATCACTGTTTCATTTTGGCAACTTATTTTTCCTGTTTCATTATTAATCCAGATTTCCCTCTTCTAAATTTTTTTTAAAGAAACAAGATACTACAGTTAGAGTAGAAGCTTCCTTCCATCCCATGACCATTCTTCTATTTCCTGAGGTGACTAATATTCTGAAGTTGATCTGTATTTATTCCATTCACATATTTTATATGATACACCATGTATGATTATCAAATTGTTTTATGTGCATTTTAAGAGCTACACAAATGGTAGCATTATATAGTTAACACATCAAGTTCTACGTTTTTCCCTTACATTTATGTTTCTGAGATTCAGTCTTGGTGATACACATAAGCCTAGTTTGTCCTTTTTATGAGTATACAAGAAAATATAAATTCAGTGAGAGCAGAACTTTATTTTATTCACTGCTCTGACCTAAGTAACTTGAGCAGAATATTTCTTTAATGAAGTAGTGAATTTGAGAGAATGAGTTAGTGTATATAAATGAATGAATTAATGTACAAATGAATGTGTGCTATTAGCTTATATTTTTTCCTATTTCTGGCTTTGTCTGATTTTGACATTAAGGTTATTCTGCCTTCACAAAATGAACTGAGTAGCTTTAAAACATTTTGTATAAATGTATATTTATTCCGCAGGATATGCTAAGGTCTAGCACTTTCCTCTGGGTAGATCTTGATGAATGATTTGATTTCTTTAATGTTATAGTTCGATTACAGTTTCTGAAAATTTTCTTCTTGAACTATTTTTGGTAGTTTATGTTTTTCTATACAATTATTCCTGTTGTCTCCATTTTTAGATTTAATGGTGTATTAGTTTACTATTGCTACTGCAACAAATAACCATAAATTTTGTGGCTTAAAACAACACACATTCATTATCTTACAGTTATGGAGGTCAGAAGTCTCAAATGGGCTAGTAGATCCTTTTTTATGCCCATTCTAGCTTCCAGAGATTGCCCACATCACTTGGCTTGTGTTTGTTTTTACTCTGACCCTCCTGCCTCTCATTTGTAAGGGCTCTTGTGATTATAGTGTACCCACCTGGATAATCACGATACTCTCCCCATCTCAAGAGTCTTAGCTGAATTGCATTGGCAAAATCCCTTTTGCTCTGTAAGGTAACATACTCACAGGTATTAGGAATTAGGATTCGGACATTTTTTTGGGGGGGCATTATTCTATTTACCACAATTGGTATCATATGTTCCATTGTGTTTTCTCCTGCCTCTCTAGATGTGTTGCTTTAAAAAAATTCAGGCCGGGTGTGATGGCTCACGCCTGTAATGCCAGCGCTTTGGGAGGCCGAGGCGGGCGGATCACGAGGTCAGGAGCTCAAGACCAGCCTGGCCAACATAGTGAAACCCCGTCTCTGCTAAAAATACAAAAAAAATTAGCCGGGCATGGTGGCGGGTGCCTGTAGTCTCAGCTACTTGGGAGGCTGAGGCAGGAGAATCGCTTGAACCCGGGGAGGCGGAGGTTGCAGTGAGTCGAGATCGCACCACTGCACTCCAGCCTGGGCGACACAGCAAGACTCTGTTTAAAAAAAAAATTCAGAATGTGTTTATTTCTTCCTCTATCATTTTCTCTTCATTAATTTGTCTATTTTATTAGCTATGCCCTGACAGTTTTGACAGGGTTGTGGGATATAGTAGAAAGGTTGGAAAGGCATGGACAGCCGTGCTGGGAGTGCTGTTCGAGTAATTTTCTGCCTCCAGTCATTTCCCACTACTTCATCAAATACAACTACCTCACTATGCTCTGGGTGGTACGAAGTAACCCATGGTAGGATGCTTCCCAACTCAGTGTTAAAGGTAATGGTGCATCCTGAGCTTTCTCGCTCTGCATCTCAATCCTGGAACTGGTAATTCTCTATGACTGACACCTCTGAGCTCCCATTCTCTCCTATCTCTAGGGAATACCTGAGGAGGTGAGGTTTCACCTTCTTACTCCCCGCGGCCCAACCCCCGTCCGCCCCTCCCCCGCCCCGCCCCTCGCCCCCCAGAGCTGAGACCTGGGCATGCGCATCAGCCGCAACAGATTGGAGGGGACCCTGCTGCTCACTCCCCTGCTACCCTCCTCTCTTCCCTCCCCCGACCGCTCTCATATTCCCGTTCCCACCCCCACCCCCCACTCCCGCCCCGCACCCGCCCCTAGCCCGGGCTCGGGGACCTGTCAGGCTGGTTTCGACAGCTGGGGAATTAACCTGTCCCGCCCATCCCTAGCCTCGAGCCGCGCAGGCTCCGCGCCTCCGCCCTTGTTCCCTCCCAGCTCCTCCGAGTGGAAGCCGCTACAAATGGCTTGAATGAAACGTGTGTGGGTTTAGTGAGTGGTGAACCACCAGGGGATCCCGTCTCCCCACAAACCAGTATCTCTCCGAGGAGGAGGCGAAGGAGTGGGAGGAGGCAACGAGCCGAGAGTCGAGCTTCGCGGGCGCGCGCAGCGGCTGGAGCGCGGGGGCGAGGCCGGGCCACCTCCCCTTCCCGGCCGCGCACTGCCTGGCCCGCGGCGGTTCCAGGCACCACCCTTCCCGTCCGGGCTGAGCCCGCTGTGGCAGTGACTAGCTCCCGCGGCTAGCGGCACTGTCCACCGACGAGCGGCGCCCTCTTCTCCCCCTTCTCCCCACGATTTCCTTCTCTGCGGCGGCACGCCGTCCAGCAGCCTGCTTCGCCCCGTCGTCAACTTTGAGCTGGAGGAGAAGCAACTTTGGCAGTGGCCGCGGGGTTGGAATCCCGCTTCTCCTCGGCAGCAGTAGGCTCGCAAGTCGCTGGGGTTAGGTGGGGCAAGAGTTTCGCCGGCGCATCAGCGCTGCTTCGGACTGTTTGCAACGTGTTTCCAGCGAGCTGGGAGCGGGGTTGTGACTGCGAGTCGTCTGGGGGAGGGGGACTTGTTTTTCTTTTCCTCTAGAGACCTCGGCTTGCAACTGGATCAAACGCTGTCGAAAGGATGTAAATAGGCAGAGCAACTGTTACCAAGAAGGCCACCACCCCCACCCAAAGGCAGTGAGGAGTGTGGGGCTTCGTCTGGGCTCCCCCGAGTCTCAACAGTAATCAACAGTCAGGTGTTGATTGCAACTTTTCAAGGTCAGCCACCGGGAGTAGCCTATTCCCTCTAGGAACCTTGGAGGGCATACCTTGCTGGGACTCAACTTGGCTGAGAAATGCACAAGATGCCAAAGGAGGAAGGATTATAGGGGGCGTGTGTGTGACCCCCAAGACCGATCTTCCGCTATCACCCTAATCTCCGGTTCCCCGCTACCCGGGCGGGGGTGAGTATGTGACATGTGCCTAACTCTCAGCAGCAACTTCGGCAGCAGGTGTCGATCCTAACTAAGCAGGAGCTGCGGCTGCCGGGTGTGCCCTCACCAAGCCATGCGAGCCCCGGGCGCGCTTCTCGCCCGCATGTCGCGGCTACTGCTTCTGCTACTGCTCAAGGTGTCTGCCTCTTCTGCCCTCGGGGTCGCCCCTGCGTCCAGAAACGAAACTTGTCTGGGGGAGAGCTGTGCACCTACAGTGATCCAGCGCCGCGGCAGGGACGCCTGGGGACCGGGAAATTCTGCAAGAGACGTTCTGCGAGCCCGAGCACCCAGGGAGGAGCAGGGGGCAGCGTTTCTTGCGGGACCCTCCTGGGACCTGCCGGCGGCCCCGGGCCGTGACCCGGCTGCAGGCAGAGGGGCGGAGGCGTCGGCAGCCGGACCCCCGGGACCTCCAACCAGGCCACCTGGCCCCTGGAGGTGGAAAGGTGCTCGGGGTCAGGAGCCTTCTGAAACTTTGGGGAGAGGGAACCCCACGGCCCTCCAGCTCTTCCTTCAGATCTCAGAGGAGGAAGAGAAGGGTCCCAGAGGCGCTGGCATTTCCGGGCGTAGCCAGGAGCAGAGTGTGAAGACAGTCCCCGGAGCCAGCGATCTTTTTTACTGGCCAAGGAGAGCCGGGAAACTCCAGGGTTCCCACCACAAGCCCCTGTCCAAGACGGCCAATGGACTGGCGGGGCACGAAGGGTGGACAATTGCACTCCCGGGCCGGGCGCTGGCCCAGAATGGATCCTTGGGTGAAGGAATCCATGAGCCTGGGGGTCCCCGCCGGGGAAACAGCACGAACCGGCGTGTGAGACTGAAGAACCCCTTCTACCCGCTGACCCAGGAGTCCTATGGAGCCTACGCGGTCATGTGTCTGTCCGTGGTGATCTTCGGGACCGGCATCATTGGCAACCTGGCGGTGATGTGCATCGTGTGCCACAACTACTACATGCGGAGCATCTCCAACTCCCTCTTGGCCAACCTGGCCTTCTGGGACTTTCTCATCATCTTCTTCTGCCTTCCGCTGGTCATCTTCCACGAGCTGACCAAGAAGTGGCTGCTGGAGGACTTCTCCTGCAAGATCGTGCCCTATATAGAGGTAATGCCTTCCAGGGGCTCTCAAGCTAGTGGCTTTATCTGTTTTCGGGATTATAGCATCAGAGAACTGCTGCTGGATGCACCTATCTAGCTGAACGCCTTTCCTTTTTATCTGGGGCCCTCTTTCATTTCTCTTTCCAATCATTTATGCATGTATGTATATACAAAAAGAGGCAGCTTCGCGAAATCACCTTCAAATTCATCTGCTCCTGGGCTGTAAAAAAAGGATGATCTCACAATATACAGAATTGTTTGGAGTATAAATCTATCTCCCTGAATATGGTGTTATGCGTATTTCTGATTTGGCACTTGTCAGAGATTTTAGGGTTAAGTAAATGGCCAGCCTAAGGTTGTCATCATCAGAGCCTACAAGGAAAAAAAAAAAAACATTAGCATTTGTGTACTAGTTACCAAGTGCTTCAATGTGAGTTTTCCCCCAAGAAGATTATTGCATTTTTTCTTAAACAGCAAAGTTGGAGTAACATTTTATTGAAAGAAAGAAAGAAAGAAAATTGTGTTTGTCAGTTGGCCTCATGATATATTAATAACCTCTCAAATTAGTTTAAGTGTCTGACTGTCTTCCATGCTATCCCATCTAAATTCTTAAGTCATTTTTTGTTCCTGTCTTTTCCCATCTCGGTTTCTTAATTTTATTTTTGTGTGTTTGCGTGAACTTAAGCAAAAATAAGACTTTGGCCAGCGTGGCACATAATTTGTTTAACATTCTCAAAGTTATACATTTGTTATTTGTTATGGGTGGAAAGATTGGCTATTTTAAGGGATTGACCCTAAGACTAGAAAATTTCTTGGGAAGAAGGGGGCACATCTAGTTTCCAAACTTTGGAAACAAAAATCATTTTGAGTGAAATTGCATTGTTTCATCCTACAGCTAGTGTCCTGGCCCACTATTGTGGTAGGTGGACTTTGCTCTTTAAATGGCCTCTCTTTAAACACCAGCTCTTGGAAGGGGCCCAACTGTTTTGCTGCCAGTTGTGTTTTTAGCCAGCTGGCCCTTGATTTTCTCCATTCAGACTGTCCATTTCATTTATGGAAGCAGAAGAAGGGAAACTGTAAATATTCCGCAGCCCCTGATCCTGTCTGGCACCAGGGCCTGTGACACTATGTTCAACATTGTTCCAGGCCTAAAGCTGGGGGATAAGTAAACAGAAAACAGTACCTACTTAGACGGACCAAAGCTGGAGACAGTAAATAAGACCCTCTGTTATCTTGACAGGGATCAGGTGCAGGATCATTCCATGACTATGAAATCAGCTGTTGCTGCTTTAGCAGCGTCCATGATTTCTCCTGTTGCCAAGCTTGGCGTATCTCTGAAACATCTACTTTGTTTGGTAGACAATTCATTTTTGAATTGTGAAGGAGCCAGTTGAACTCATGTTAGAGAATATGTGTCTATTTACCAAACTGCCTCTTCAAGGTCAGTTTCAAATTTCTTTTTTTCTTTTTTTTTTTTTATCAGAAGAAATTGACTTATGCAAGAAAGAGACAAAAGTATAAAGCGGACAAGAGAGGTACCTCAATGACAGAGAAGTGTATTGGCTTATCTCACTGGAAATGTACTGGACATGTAGAAATCTGTATACACTAGAGGGAAAAACAATAGGACAGAAAAAGGAAATTGGGGAAAGAAAAATAAAAACACCAAAGTTCTTGAAAGAACACCTTAAAAGAAAAGAATATCAAATTCAGGAAAGATTATAAAAACTTTGGTTAATTTAATGAGATATAAGCATTTTGAGCAATGGCATTTATTATGTACTTATTTTAATTTTCTTTTTCCGTAATTCTGAGTTTGTACAAATGTAATACTTTCTTTCATTTGTATTTCACTTTTTAATTTAATCAGCTCCTCCTTAAGAGTGCTTTGTTTTTTGCCTCTTATTATTAGTAAAATCTTTTACTTTCTGTATTTTTGCTTAACTTTTCCCCATCCTAGTAGCTTTCTCTATTTTTCAGTTATTAGTGCTAGCATTTATTTTTCTTAGAGAATCAAAGGCTTAAAAAATTCACTCATTTATTTTTTAAAATTACAGTATAATATACATTTTTACTGTTAAAATAGTGAATGAACATCTTAATATGTAGCATTTCTATATTTCTACCTAATCCTTATTACTCTGAAATAATTTTAGAATGGTTTATAAAAATAATTATTGGACAATATTGCTGGCTTCATAATTCCTGATTACTGAGAACAAGAACTACAGTCCAAATCTCAAAATAAAAGTGTGTCTCCAGGAGGCACTGATGTTTTCACAAAAGTAAGAGGTATTTAGGGTTTCTCCTACGTTGGGTTCCTGCAAAAACAGGCCCTGAGATGTAGATTTATTGGGGCATCAAGTTTATTGGGTTGTGCTCTCAGGTTCAACCTATTAAGGAAAGAAGAAAGCAGGATTGGGCGGGCAAAGGGAGAAGTTGAACTGTGATGCAATTGCCACAGAGACCTCAGCTGACACCATTAGGAGCTTTAGGGCTGGGATGGCCATGCAGCCATATCCCAAATTGAGGCAAGAGGGCTCAGCCTTTACATCTCTTTATGGACCAGTCATTAGATGTAAGACATTGGATGCAAGCCTGCTCCCAGGATGGGGTATAACCTTGAGTTGGGTGGATCTCTTTGGTCAAGGGCAATTCCTAGAGAGGGATGCAGCTAAGCACTGTCAACCAATAGCCCCAGCAGCTGGAGGAATCAGTGCTTCATTCTTGAAGGACTTTGGAGGGAGCTGTCTGGGTGGAAAACCACAGCATCCACTACAGTAGCTTTTTTTTTTTTTTTTTTTTTGAGACGGAGTCTTGCTCTGTCACCAGGCTGGAGTGCAGTGGCACGATCTCAGCTCACTGCAACCTCTGCTTCAGGGGTTCAAGCTATTCTGCCTCAGCCTCCCAAGTAACTGGGACTACGGGTGCGTGTCACCACACCCGGCTAATTTTTTTTGTATTTTTAGTAGAGATGGGCTTTCACCATGTTGGCCAGGATGGTCTTGATCTCCTGACCTTGTGATCTGCCCACCTCTGCGTCCCAAAGTTCTGGGATTACAGGCGTGAGCCACCACGCCCAGCTTACAGTAGCTTTTGAACAATCATGTTAAATCAGACATAGATAATGTTCTAATCCAACTCCCTCATTTTAAAGATGAAATTTGAAGCTCAGAGACTATCCTAAACATATATACCTGGTCAGTAGCCACCAGACCCTTGGTCTCAATGCTTCATGTTTATATTTGCTGATTAGACCAACCTGTATGAAGCACAAGCTTTATCCAGTGAGTGTTTTCTTTTCCTTTCCGCTCCTTGGCATCTGAAAAATTTTTTCTTTTTTTAATCCACTAGACAGGAAAAAATAAAAACCCGTAAACATCATTTGTTATATAATGAAATGTATAGCTTCTTTTGTTTCTCATAAACTGTCAGTAAGTTCTGCAATTGGTAGTTAATTAAAATTTTTTAAATTGCAGTAATCTGAGACAACTATACTTTTTAATTTGCCTAGCATGATGACTTTAATGACCAAAAAGTTATATAGGTTAAATTTTATGTTCTTAAAATCATGAAGTATGTTAGATTGGTGAAGGACATTACAAGTACATTACATTTGTTCAAACTTTCTCCAAATCCCCTTCCAAAATTTTGCCTCTGACCTCAAGACTTTTAAAAATTTTTTGACATCTTGTCTACTTTCATATTTCTAAATTTTGCCATTCCTTCACTTGTTACTTTCTTATTTTATTTCTTGGCTATTTTTCCTTTCTTTAACTATGTATAATACCTTCTTATAGATTTATGATGTAGCATTCACCATTTTCCAGTAAGATGTTTAACCTTTTTCAGTGTTTTTATTTTTAATTTTTTCGTAGTTAATTTTAAATTTTATTCTCAATAGATTATGATTGAATTTTATAATTTTTCTCTCCCAGCTTCTCTTTTGCTTTATTTTTCTTTTCTACCACAGTTCTTTCTCCTGTACAGCTTGAGCGTTAGCATAATCTGAAGGGAATCGTGGGATTTTGGGGAAGATTTGGGTTTGTGTAGAAAAATATGAGGTACTTCTTGAGTAAAAACTATACTTTTTCTAATTTTCATTCAACTCCTCTTTCTATTTTAATTTGTTGGCCTAAAGCTTGAGGATAGCACCCAGCTTCCAAGGTCTATTGTGAGAAAGGAAGTTTTATGATGTTTAATATTGCCGTGAGTGAGAATGTTCTGGGAACTGTTGTAGTTGATGACTTTTCCCTTTCTATTCCAGGATTATGACATCTTTATGGCCTAATAATAAATCTCATAAAGTCGAAGGACAAATGAAATGGTAGGAAATGCCAGATAGGAGAGAAGAAAATTTGGATAGATCATGGCCGTCCTCCTAGACACATCAGTTTAAAGTGGTTTATTACTTAGCCACAAGAAAAAAACTATACTCAAAACAAAACTTGTATATGTAGTGTGCTTTTATGTGTATTAGGGGAGGTGGAGATATGTGTGGGTGTGGATTGCAATAGGAGAATGGCAGAGGAGTTCTCTACCATACCTACCATTCACTTAGGAATCTAACAAGTGTTTAAAACCAAATAATTTGGGCCAGGTGTGGTGGCACACCCCTGTAATCTCAGCACTTTGGGAGGCCTATGCAGGCAGATTGCTTAAGCCCAGGAGTTCAAGATCAGCCTGGCCAACAGGGCGAAACTCCATCTTTACAAAAAATACAAAAATTAACGGGATGTGGTGGTGCATGCCTGTAGTCCCAACCATTCAGGAGGCTGGGGTAGGAGGATTTCTGGAGCCTTGGAGGTTGAAGCTGCAGTGATCCATGATCATGCCACTGCATTCCAGCCTAGGTGACAGAGTGGGACCCTGTCTCAAAAAAAAAAAAAAAAAATTCAAATAATTCAGACATCAAATATGGCAACTGGAATGAATCTTTGCTCATTATTTAATGGAAGTCAGAATCAAGGTATCATCTGACCGAGATCCCAGATAACAGATTAAGGTCTGTTTGGACATTAATTGGAGGTTTTGAATGATCGAGATTCTCTTTAGTTTAAAGAACCCACACCTTCATGGAGTGTTGTAGAACAGAAGGCTTCAAATAATTATAATGAGATAACCCCAGATCTAACTGTATTTTTATTTTACTGGGATAAAACTCCTGCACAGAGGTGGAGAGAGAATAAAGGGAACATGTCTTACCATGGCCTCTGGTCTGGGAATAATTTGTGACAAGTCTAGAATCTTTTCTAATGAGAGGAACCAGCTTCTCCAATGACTTTAGCAATACTGGTTTTAAGTTGAGTGGAACAAATGGCTCTTTCATTGCCTTAGATTGTAGCTAGCACTGACAAGAAAGAAAGGGTTTTTGGAGGTTGAAGATGACAGTGCCATACAACTATCTGAGTCTACACAGATTTCCCTAGAACGCCTGTATTCAAGTAATAGAACATTTATCATGGCATATGGTAAATTTTCTTTGAGAGGTGGATTAGTCATTAGGTATTCTGCCGGACTTTTAAGTGGAAACTTACTGTTTTATGAGCAATTTTAAAGTTACTAATAGTATTCTTAGGGAAAATGTGCTCAATATATGAGAATGGTGCTGAACAAATATTTTATGACTTCCCATTAATCTTTTAGTAATCATTTTATATATTCCCATGCAAATGAAAATATTTAGCTGATGACTCTAACAGGAAGAAAAGTGTTTCTTAGAGTGCACTTTTATTTATAACTCCATTTCTGAATGGTGTATGGTGAAGTTAACTGAATTTGGATCTTCCACAAGAAAGAAAAGTTTTATAATATTCAAATAAGAAATCCAAATAGTTTCCTTTTCCATTGATCATAATGAGAATGTGTCCTTTTCTAAAGCTTGTCAATGAAGTATAAATAGGAAAATTGATTTTTTAACTTCCCTTCTATAGATATTGTCTGGCATTCAGCTTTTAAGGATTATATATAAAACAGCAGCACCCAATAACTGATTAAAGAACAATTTGAATAATTTATTATTTTCTGTAATCCTTTTCCATAGGTGTCATCATTCGTTCATTTGTTCACCATTCATTGATTTATCAAATGTTTACCTGGCTTTTCTTCTATGCGAGGTACTATTAGGAGTGGGCAGGAGAAGGCAATACAGGAAGAGGGGGAAAAGTTTCCAAAGATGAATATCATAGATGAGCCACTGCCATTAAAATTACAGAAAAGTAAAGTAATGTTCTACACCATGATGAATATTATAATAGAGGTTTGAACAAAGCATCGTGGAAGCTCAGAAATGGCACTGAAATGGGTCAAGTCACAGTTGTGCTTGTTATGACCAGAGATGGAGAAATTAAAGGGAAAACTGTGCTCCCTCTAATTCTTTTCAGTTACATTCTTACTATTAATCTTCATAAATTTCATAAATGCCTATACAGCCTAGATCCATGATGAAAAGTTACAAATGTGAAAATCTTTTAATTCTTGCTTTTTTGTTTCCTTTAGCTTTCCCAGGATAGAAAGTCCATAATAATAATTGGCAAAATAATTCAGCAAATAGTTCAGTTCTAGAAATTTCTTTTAAAATATGGAATTTGTGCCAGTGCCTAGGATATCTATCTCTGCTTTACAATTAGTCCTTATTAGCTATAAGGACACTAAATACGTCAAAATTAAACATTTTATTTAAATGAATGGCTTATTTGGCAATGTAATAACAGTATATTAAATTGAGTCCTTTTCTTCTGAAAAAATCAAAACATATACAAATTGTTTAACTTGACCTTGGAGAACCTAAGAAAGAAGATGGACAAGGGCGATACTTTAGACTCCATTGTGGAGTCGAGGAAAGGGGAGCACGATGAATGGACTTTCTCAAGAATTGGATTAATCTCTCAAGCACATAATCAGAGTGAAGATTTATTCTGAGCTCCTGAGGGCTCCCAAGGTATCCTGCCATGTCAGCAAAGTATCCTTCCACAGAGACAAGGAGGCAAATGTGTCTGCAGAAGTAAAACAGATATGAGCTTATAAGTTTACCGAAGGCTGAGTGGGTGAGGGTCTACCTTTGCTTTCATATTTAGGCTGCATGGACCTTGATACAATTTTTACACCTTTAATGGCATTCGTCTTATGTGCGGCAACCTTTTAACAGTATCCCATTGGAAGCACATGGACCTGTGTCTGGGATGTAGATTGTGGGAGAGGGATGGGAAGGCAGCTATGCAGTGCAGTTTGTCTCTGCCTCTGCACTTCTGCTCCATCCTCCAGGGATGCGCCTGTCATTTCACTTCCCATGAATTGACCTGCCAAGGTCCAATAATGAACTCAACCTTGTTGCCAAGACTAACTCTTAAATATCCTAATTGGAATAATACTCTTTGTGCCAGAAGAGATGATCTCATCCAAAATTTCAGAGTGGAGTTGAGAATGGGATTACTGCAACGTCAAATATGGAGGGTCTTTTTTTATTTGCAGAGTAAGTGTAGGTACTTTTCATAAACTTCCATAAAACGCAGGATATGATCACTGTGTCAGTCTTGTTCTTGAGACAGAATACTTTCCATTTGTGAATTTGTAATAGTTTTCAGTGTTATCTGTCTGTACACTTGAATAGTTCATAGCATTCATTAATGAGGCCAAGGTCATTGATTTGATCCCTGCCTAGAATGAGACATTCTTATTAGGTCTGTGACTCTATTCAGGGATGTTACTTTTTTCTTTTTTTCTGTCAAAATAGCCCCTTCCTCATCAATTCCCATCTTCAGGGCCTATCTTTACTATTGTCTTCCTAATTCAAATCCTTTTTATATCGGAAAAGCATCTGATAAGCCAATTCGCATCAAGATATGCAATTTAGAAATAACTGCCTTTTATAAGAAGATTGAATCAAGAAAGAAATTTCCTTAACAGACTACCAATAGTGAAATTTTGGTTAAAAGCAGATAAATTCTGTCCTAAAATATGGTTTCTCAATTTTATTAAAATCATGATGACCTAACTATACATAATTTTGTTTTTAGTTTGAGTTCACAGTCATGCAAATCAATATCATTAGTCAGAAAGGGAAATAGGTAAAAATGTGTTACTGCTTTTTGGAAACTCATCAGAACCCCAAGGTAAGGAACTGAAATTCCAGGTCACTTTAAGATTGACTAGGAACATCATAATAATACCAAAGATTGAGAACTGGACTGTGGGCTTGGGGGAAATATTACATTTTGAAATGATTTTGTAATTACTGAGAATAAACATGGAATCTTTAGAATCTAACATAGATGGTTTATATCTTAAGACAAAATGTTGCTAATCTTGCTTCATTTACATTTTTATTTTAATAAACACCTGACAGATTGATAGGAATTATAACATGTTAGGTTGTAGTTAAATGAATTTTTTTAACCATATAAGGAATGTACTGTGCTATAGACATCATAATTGGTAACAAACCTTAATTCAAGATAGGACTATAAAGGAAAAGAGGATTTATGGAATCAAGACAAGTTTTGGGAGAATATGTTGATTTTTAAATAGTCTTAAACGGCTTTTAAAATAAGGAAAGCGTGGTATCAAGCTTAGGCAAAAGAAGAGAAGGTGGAGAATGAGGCAGTAAGGACAGTTGATAGTTGATGCTTTCAAAATATTTTTCCCCCACGGCATTGGGAATCACATGTAAATGGAATAGTCTGAGTATATTAGAAATAAATGGTTATTTATTATATGTGGGCATATCAGACTAAATATCAGTTGATAAGGATAAGAAGTCTTCTCTTTGACTGTGGAACAGTGGCTGCCAGAGCTCTGTTTCATTCCAGAGAGTGCACAAGCAGTGTGTGCATGAATGTAAGGGGTGAGGAAAGTCTCTCCTTCTCTGCTTTTGGTTTAGAAATGCTAATCGAAGTGTGTCACTGCCATAGTATCATGATCTGCATACACTCCAAAATTAAGACCTTTTGCAAAAGGTCATCTTATTCAGAGCAGTCTGATAAACAGTGGCTCTGATAAACTTGTTCCCCCACTTGTGCTCAAAAAAGTATCTCCCACTGCTGCCCTGAAATGCTGCAAGGACAAGGATAATGGAAAAATGCAAGAAGAAGCCAAAGGCATAGAAGCTCCAGCCATTTAGAGGTTCTACCCTGTGCTCATCCTGTTCTTTTCCTGACTGGTTGTTAGGCCTGTAACCACTGACATAATAGGTTATCATTCACAGCCCAAATGAATGGGTTTTCTTAACAATAATGCCCTTGTTTTGAGGGTTACTTGTAAACAAAGGACAGCACATAAATAGATGTACTTAAAGATTTTTTATGTAAAATATAAGCCAGCCTAGAATGCAGTTAACAAGAACTTGGTTAGAAATTTTCCTATTTTATAAAAACCAGTGTATTCTAGTCACTTCACTGTACTTGAGCATGTAGATTCAATTTCATAGGAAGGAAATTTTGCTTAGGACACTGTTTCGTTTTTTCTTTTCCCATCGGTGTTATCACTGATTTGTACCGGAAAGTTTTGCGAAAGACACAATTTACTTTATGATTTGTATTTTATGGGCTCTGTGTTGTCTACTTCACGTCTTACTCTCATTTTTAATCTTTTTTAACTTGTCTGCAGTTAGCTTCTGAGAAATGCAGCAGTAGCTAAGACAGGATCTCTGTAGATTACTGGTTTTCATAAAGCACCCATGGGCTCTTTCTTCATATCATTTTGAATGAACAGAGATTTAATGTAGCACAAAGTGGCTATGGTAGCCCAGGTTCCTCAGGTCCTGATAGTTGCTTTAAATTAGAAACTTGAGCAGTGGGAAAAATGAAATCTAGTTATATCTTGACTTATAAAGCATGCTTTTTACCTTTTATTAAGTATTTTGCCTTATAAGTTTCTTTCTGTTTGTATTATTTTTTTTAAGAGAAACCTAGGGAAACATGGGACTTGAAATTACTGGAAAGAGCGATACATTTTTTTCTTACTTTATCAAGAGATAGTTTCACTCTGAATCTTTCCCCAAAGTCATTGTTGTCATGTAACTTACTGACCGGGTTAATTTCTCATCGGGGTATAAAGTAGCTGTCTTAAGTTGGACAGCATAGGTGCTGAACCAAAATTTGGGACTCACGATCTCATAAATACATGTTTAACAGAGGGACAAAATATTTGAAAGCTGAGGTATATTTATGGTTCTCATAACTACCAAGTTGGGTTTCTCTAAATTCAGTCTTGCCAGTGGTGATAAGGGACTAGATGAGGACCCGTATCATTTCCATGCAGGTGACTGTATTTGTACTCCTTCATTATCCTAACCAAACTACCTGTTTTTTGTTGGTTTCTTTCTGTAACAAAATTTAAAAGGTAACTCAAGAAGCCACTCACAAAAACTTCCATTATATTTTCAAAATCCTCCATACTTTATAGGTTTTTTTTTTCCACTTTGTGGTAGACTTTCATAGTGTATCATATCAGCATCCACAATTAGGGGAGAAATACATATTACCTTGCTCCTTATTAAGAAAACTGAGGCAAGGAGAAAATGAGAACTAATCTGTCAGAGTACTGAATGTCGCTTGAATATTGAACATCTGGAATGT
This sequence comes from Homo sapiens, assembly GCF_000001405.40. Classification (NCBI taxonomy): domain Eukaryota; kingdom Metazoa; phylum Chordata; class Mammalia; order Primates; family Hominidae; genus Homo; species Homo sapiens. The sequence goes on along the minus strand of NC_000007.14, from coordinate 124,753,386 downwards.
CACTTGAAATATCTGGATCATTAAATTGAGCCAATTGCATCTTAACTGTAATTAGGAATAAACCTTTTTAGATGACTTCAAAATGGAGTTTTGTTAGTTAGAAAAACATTCAAAATATAGAATATAATAAAATTATTTTATGAGTGTTTTAAGCCCTTAGTATTCATTCTCCAGTATCTTATAAATCTCCAAATGAGCAAATATTGTAATAGCATAAATTTTACCCCTAAAATTATCATTATAAGAGAAAATTTATCTATTATCTCTATATTATCATTTAAGAGAAAACTTAAGAAACCCATCCAAACTTTAAATGATTTATTTAATGATTTTCTAAATGACTAAAGTAACATATAAAGCTAATGGCAATCCTTCCTGGGCTATTTTTTTTTCCTACACAGGAGCAAACTTTTACAACTTTACAAGGGTTACTATGTATGTCAAGAGCAACAAAGAGTACATTTAGACATGAATTCTGGGTGGTCTTCAAGTTCTCTTTCCTTTTTGTACCATCCTTGTATCCCACGGATTTAAATAGATACTTCAGTTAAAATACAAATCATGACTGTACTGCATTGTTAATAAACAGTCAAACTGACAATCACAAGGTTATCCTAGTCTAATAGACTAAGTAGGACATAGATGATATTTGCAAAGAATTGGATCATATCTCTTGAAATGCAGCTATACATCAGGAGAGGTTTTATAATTTGGTCAGCCTGTAAAGTTAGTTAGACATCTGTAGCAATTTCCCTAGGAGATACTGTGAAATTATGTTTGTCTTCCAATCTTGTTAAACTAGTGATTCTCAACTGCAGTCTCCAGGCAAACATGGATATGTCCCAGATCAAGGGGAGTCACAGTGAGCATGCCAGAAACTGTTAGTCAATCCTCTCTGCCTAGTAGACTGTAATGAGTGATTCCATATGTAAAGCAACTTGCTGGCTGCATGGTAGCAGGTGGGAGATAGTCGAGAAGTTCTGTCATAGATTCCAGACCTCTTGAGGATAAAATTCCTGCTTTATTCATCATTGTTCCCAGCAGCAGCTACAGTATATTTTATAGATTCTCTCTCTTTCTCTCTTAAAAACAAGACACACACACATATAGCATTGTGCTAATGCAGTGGTCTCTTTGCTAGTAATACAGTGTTCAATAAAGGCATAATAATGGGAACAGTTTAGGGGTGATCAAGAAGAATGACCCTAAACCCCTCACTTTGGTGTCCAAAGCCTCACTGCTCCACATGTGGGCTGGGTGGGAGCTGAAGGAGCTTTATTGTTGTTACTCTGGGACACAAAGAAAAGCAGAACATTGTTGTTTGAAAGATCTTAGAGTTGTTTATTTTGATTCCTTTCCATCTCTGTATTCTAATGCCAATCCTCTCAAAATGCTCAATATCTTATTTTCCCCAATAGTTAAAATTTTGTTTCTATTTTCCCGCTGATCTTGAAATTATCAAAATTAATAGTCTTGTCTCTGAAAAGTGTTTACAGTTCTGCTTTTGTTGCTGTTAATTATTCCTCCCATTGCAGTTTAATTAATAAGAGATTGCATCTTACTCATTCAGTCTCTCAGGATGTTGCTTCAAAGAACTACCCATCTAAGCCAATGCTTAACAGCTTTACTCCTGAGAGCATATTTCATGGTGATATTGAATTTTAGCAATCAGATATGGTCATTAAATGCAGAAGATCTGGCGTTCATGATGCAGTTTTATAATTGCACATAATTGCACTATTCATCTTAGAATTTTTAATAAGCTGCATGTAAACAAGTATATTTCAAAATTGTGATAGAAATCTTTTCATGTTGCTCCAATATCTAGGAATTTTAATTACATGGATAGATTTCATGTTTGGGTAAGAAGAAATTAGAACGCCACTCATTATTCATATGATTTTTATCAATTAATTTCTGAGGTGTGCAGTTACTACTTTACACATATTTAAAGCCTCCTATAAATAATTTGGAAAAGTACTGACAGGGCCTTTGTACATTTCTTGCTCTTTCACACCATAAAATGTAGTGCGTAAGTGAATTTACAGAAAAAAGATCTGAAGTAATATCACTGCAGGCAGTGGCAGCAGGAGAGAGTAGATGTCTAGGACTGGCATTTGGGATGCAGTTGCCAAGAGCAACTGCATCCCAAGCGCTAGCTGCATTTGGAGCAGTGCTACTTTCTTTGGCTCCTTCAGCAACTTTCTCTGTTGCTCTTGTGACCCTTCTGGACTGTTTACCCTGTTGCAGCTGGATCCTAACTGCAGAGAGTACTATCAGAGAAAAGTTCAATTTGAAAACAGAAGCCTGGATGTAGGAGCTTTTTGAAATTTGTATATGAAAACTGGGGAGGATTCCTTAATTCATGATTTATCAAAAAGACTACAGATCATGTATGTTTGAGCTTTTGACTTGGTACTAAAGCTTTTGGGAATATGACTGAAGAACTGAGCATCCTCAGATAAAACACAGTGTAGAATTCCTGATGATAAGTTGGAATACATGTAAATCTTGCTTAACATTTGTCCTGGCTTTTGTTGTCTTATGAGATTGAAGGTAAAGAACCTGGAAAAACATTGTTTTGCTTTCTTAGGCAGTTAACATCTTCTAATTAAGAGCGGATGTGCAGCACAGCTTCTGATATCTAAGGAGTTGGTAATCTAACACACCCATCTTAATACATGTCCACCGGCATGCATTTGCCATTACCTTTCATTAAAGACTTTGTAACTCCTGGAGTTAGGTATGCAGTTACTAGCATATGTGATAATTGATCCATATTTTTTCAATCTGTGGATTTAAAACTAGGGAGATTAATAGAGAAGATGCTATCTTTTGTGCATTGTGTGTTCTTTGCAAGTAATGATAGAAAACCACCAAGCAAATAGATGTTCTGAGCCTCTAAAAGATTGCCTCTCCTCAGAGTCTCCAGTATTTTTATATTACTGAGCTTTCCTTTTAATAGAAATCCTATTTGTGATTTCAAAAGGATGTATAGCATAAACTTTGGAAGCCTTGTATTTGTGGACTCATTCGGGCTATAAAGTGACGGGGAAGCATGCACAAAGATTTGCCTTAGTGAAGATGGCACGAAAGCCTTGACGAGGGTTTCTGATAGTTTAAGAAGTTTTGTTTTGTTTTTGACAGACTTAGGAGAAATGAATCAAAACATTTGAAAAACTAATATACAAATGTCAAGTTTCAAAAATCTATAAACTAAGGTACTGTAATTTCTACATGATACTGTTTGATATAGAATTTTAGGAAGTGGCCAGCCGTTCTTAGATGTCTTTATTAAGTGGCAATTACTGGCATTTTAAAACATGATCATAAGACAGTTGTACAATGTGGACCTCATTTTTAGAATTATTTTGTGCCTCTAGCATAGACGCAAAACAAATTTTCATCAATGTGAACAATTTTTAATTTGAAGGTTAATTATTAAAAGATGAAAGTGGAGATTATTTTTTGTCATTTGCAGTCATATTAGGTTGATGTTTCATATGCCAATGTTTATGGGAGACATTCTGAAAAATTTGGAGAATAAGAATTGTGGTTATCAGCCCAATTGTGCCTCTTTATCTGCACTGACTAGAGCTTTGCTAGCCATATTTTTTTTTTCATTTTTGCTTTTAATATAGTTAACACCTCATTATACCTCATTTTCAGACTGTCTCCACTACTAGTTATGAGAGTAGTCAGGGCATAAATACAATGTCCTTATTTTCCATATTAGAACTAGTAGATGCCGTCTGATATGTAGTGTATAAGGAGGAAATATTTGACATTGGAACTGTCAGAATCCCCAAGGCAAGTTGCCGTAGCTCTGGGGAGAGTGACAGCTTGAATGTAGTAGATAAACAACTAATGTTTTGAGTACTAAAATTGTATGACAAATGGTTTCCCTTTTGTCAACATCATCCCTTTGACTTTTAAAAAATGAGATATTAACATTATACTTACATTTCCCCTGCCCCTTTACCAGGGAATAGCCTATAACCATGCTTCTTAAACCTTCCTACCAGCAGGCAGGGGAGAGCAAAAGCTTATATTCAAGTTGTCTGGGATGTAGACCAAAGCATTCCATCCACCCAGGGAGTTTTCTTTTAGTCTCATATTTTATCTGAAACGTTATTAACATTTTACCTTCTACTCATTGTTCTTGTTTAAATATATAAATAATGACTACATTTATTACATATTAAATTACTTAAAATTTCCCCAGAATATTTAAGTAGGTTTAATATTGCCAGGTGATTGCTGTGTTTATGTTGTAACTTTGAGAACCATCGTCCCCATCTTGGTTGACTATGATATGCTTGAGGGAAGGGACTGCTTCTTGTAACTTTCTATTTTCTCGATACCAAGCATAGTGCTCGGCATAGAGTTGATATAAATAAATGTGTGCTTGTGTTGGATATGTATCTGTTTGCCCCATTTGAGTACATGTACAATGCTTAATAAATATTTTATAAGTAAATGAAATGATAGCATGCTTACATTAGGAACATGTGTTTATATTCCTGGAGAGCCTCTATGTGAAAAAAAAATAGGTACATATTTTTGGTTCTTAACCTTTAAATGTTGATTTTTTTAGATGTCTGGACCATATGCTTATAAGAGCAGTGCCTTTTTGAATACAGTTTTTCATGTGGTTATTGTCAAAGAGTTTTATGCTCCAAAATTTTCCTGTGTTTGGGATATCTAGACATTCTTTTTGGCTATTTTCTGCATATTTTCTTGTATTTTTACATGTTCTATTTTAGTATCTCCTATTTCTTTAAATTTGATGTACATACCTATTTTATGATAAATATACTTCTTATGTCTGATTCTGTATCTTTGGCATATAAATTCATAGTGGCTCATTGTCTCTTGCATATTGTGACTTTTGATTTTGTGAACCCATGTCCCTTGAATTTTAACTATAGGATTTTTTGAGGCCTGGTTTTAAAGTGCATTCTTCCAGAGAGGATTTATGTTTGATTTTAACCAGGTGCCTGGGATTATTTTAAATTGTATTTTGGGTTTTCTGAGCCACGTAGATCCTGGAAATTCTGATCCTAACACCATGTAAGTTCAGGCTCCCAGTTAGAATTTGCCATTTTTTTCCCTCCTTTTCCCCCAGTTCATCCAGACCCAAACCCTGTCATCCAGGCAGATTTCTTCATTATCTCTCTCTCTTTTTTCCCTTTACACCTCTAAAGATGTCAGCATTTGAGGAGTTCCAAATTCACAGGGAGTCTTTGACCCAATCCCCACCCACATTGGCCCCAGCTCTGTTTCCTGTCTCTGTGCACCTGGGCACCTTGCCCCATTTTTCTAGCTAAAACTAACTTGAAACCCTCACCAGGATTGGCAGGTGCCCCTAGGGCAAACACGCAGCATGAAGAGGGAGGGGTCTCTGGCCTGTTTGAAATTTGTTTCCTTTTTGATTTTGGCCTCTGGAGAATTTCCCTTTCTTGTTTTCCGTAAGTGTATGCCTTTGAAAATAATACTGTAATACTTTATTTTGCATTTAGGAAAAATTGGAGGAGCCCTCCAATCATTTAGTCCATTGGAGACAATAAGCTCTTGAGTGTTTGCTGTGTGTAAGGCACACTACTGACCCTCACACTGGAAAACATGAGCATCCTGGTCAGCAATGAAAATGGGAATTTCTGCACTACCCTGACTCCTTATCTAGATCTCCTAGTGGCAGACATTTTCGTGGTGAATAAAATTTTTAGTGTATCTGGGTTCTGATCTATAATAAAAAGGGATTGGACTAGCTGATCTTTATGGATCCTTCCAGTCCTAAATGTTCTGCACTCCATGACCCTCAAACCACTACAGTGTGTTTTCTTTTTTTATGCTTACAATGATTCAGCTGACGTCCTGAGCCCAGTTACCCATGCCTCATTCTGGAAAACTGTTCTCTCTCTCTCTCTCATTTTTATTTATCCATATTTTTTTTTACAGTTTTGCCAATCTGCATTTATTTCCTAGTGCTTTGATCTTTCGGGGGACACCGGGAATAAATGTCTTCTATGTTCCCCCACAGGTCGCTTCTCTGGGAGTCACCACTTTCACCTTATGTGCTCTGTGCATAGACCGCTTCCGTGCTGCCACCAACGTACAGATGTACTACGAAATGATCGAAAACTGTTCCTCAACAACTGCCAAACTTGCTGTTATATGGGTGGGAGCTCTATTGTTAGCACTTCCAGAAGTTGTTCTCCGCCAGCTGAGCAAGGAGGATTTGGGGTTTAGTGGCCGAGCTCCGGCAGAAAGGTGCATTATTAAGATCTCTCCTGATTTACCAGACACCATCTATGTTCTAGCCCTCACCTACGACAGTGCGAGACTGTGGTGGTATTTTGGCTGTTACTTTTGTTTGCCCACGCTTTTCACCATCACCTGCTCTCTAGTGACTGCGAGGAAAATCCGCAAAGCAGAGAAAGCCTGTACCCGAGGGAATAAACGGCAGATTCAACTAGAGAGTCAGATGAACTGTACAGTAGTGGCACTGACCATTTTATATGGATTTTGCATTATTCCTGAAAATATCTGCAACATTGTTACTGCCTACATGGCTACAGGGGTTTCACAGCAGACAATGGACCTCCTTAATATCATCAGCCAGTTCCTTTTGTTCTTTAAGTCCTGTGTCACCCCAGTCCTCCTTTTCTGTCTCTGCAAACCCTTCAGTCGGGCCTTCATGGAGTGCTGCTGCTGTTGCTGTGAGGAATGCATTCAGAAGTCTTCAACGGTGACCAGTGATGACAATGACAACGAGTACACCACGGAACTCGAACTCTCGCCTTTCAGTACCATACGCCGTGAAATGTCCACTTTTGCTTCTGTCGGAACTCATTGCTGAAGGACAGTACTTGGTTGGGTCAGATTTATTTGTTTGATTTTCATATCCCGTGAAAGTTTTTAATTCATATTTTTCCTTATAGGGAAAAATGCAAAAAAGAAACAATAAAGAAAGAAATATTAACTACTGTAGAACTGATTTTACAAATTAATATTTGTGCTTTGAAAAAAAGTTTCTATTTAGTTATTTAAGAAGAATGAGAAGGCCAATAGTTTTAGATTATTTTATCTGGTATGGTGCTAATATTTTATTTGAAAAAAGTTACTGCAACTTAACTTAAAATTGCTAACGTTTTTTCTTCTTTTAAAAATACAATTATTGTATATTGATTATAGCAATGTGATTTTGTAGGTTATTTTATATTTGAGTTGTGATTGAAAGTATGTTGTATATGGTATTGTGAGATGATTTGTACTTGGAAGCATTCACAAAGTAGCACCAAATAAATTACACTTTATTCTTTAATGTCATTGTCAATCTACTTTTAACCAATATTCAATAAATCTTCTAATTGCCTTAAAGATACAATTACTGGTTCTATGCACAATTTAAAACCGGCCTTACTGTTTTATAACGTATTTTCTTTTAAGGCAGGTAATCATTATGTTATAAAGAAGTTTTTCTAATAGCAGTATTTTATATGCATGATTCATAAAACTATGTTGTATGTTAAAACAAAGCTGTATTTTTAATATTCAGGTATAGATGTCAAATTACTTCTGAATACTTATAAAATATGAATAAATAGCAGAGTAGGAAGAAAGTTTCTTTTTTAAAAAATTCACCTCTGAACTAGCACATAGAGCTACAGATTTTCCCTTGGGGAATTATGGGCAGAATCAAGAATTTTAAAATGCAGTTGTCATCTGATTTCCTCTGAACACTGACCTTTGAAGCTTTGTGAATCCTACGTAAAGCACTCTGAGTTCTAATTTTTCTCCTTTTGAAAAATAAACTTGATGAAATCTATACAACTTAATTTCTTTAAGTGCAATGAAAGTATAGGAGTGGAATAATAAAATATTTATATATTTTTATTAGAACATTCTACCTTTAACTTGATACTTCATAAACTCTGAATAAAAAAACCTAACCTCCTCCATTGGGAATATTTGAATCCCCTCTTTTGCCTCTTCTGGAGTTTAAAATGCAGCAGTTGTGTAGGATGCTTGCTGTGTGGGACACATGTCTAACTCAGGTGGCAGAGACCATGACCTAGTGACACAGTGATATTTAAAAGCTACCAAAGAAGATGTGTAGTTGGATGTCTTTGTCTTCAGAAAAATCTTGTTATAGAGAACCCAGTTTTCTTGCTGGGAAAACGTAGTTTCTGCTTGTTGATTTCTGTTCTACTCGGCATAAGTAAGTCAGTATTCCTTTTTCCAAATTATAACATGATGTTATTTAAAAATCATTAAAGAGATTGGTGCAGGTGAAACTTAAATGGCAGTGCCCAGGCTATCTCCTTTTTCCCAGTCCAATACTTTTCAAAGGGGTTTTTCCCTCCATTGTGTGTATTCTGTGGGATCTGCAGGAGAATTCAAACAAGGTGCCCTTGTCTTCTTGTAGATCCCTGTAATAGGTCTTTGGAAAATTTCTCAAGAGGACACCTGAGCTAGGTTTTGGCTGCTGAGCAGAACAGCAACTGTGATTCCATAGTGTCTCTCCTGATATTTAGTCACTTTATAAATCAAGGAACAATTGAGCATGTCATGTGGAAAAGATTCTATCCTATTACCTGAGTAACTAAAGGTAAATAGGTCACAGCCTCAGACCTTACAGAATCAGGCAGGGATGACATGGATGGGAAGGAATAAAATAAATACATAGACAACTATGATATAAGCTGGGGCTTGTTAGGTGCCTCAGGAAGATGTGAAGTTCTGCGATACTTTGGAATAGAGGGAATGCTTATAGGGTTAGAAGAGAGCATGAAAGGCTTTATGAGATAACTGGATGAGTGGGCTTTTAGAAGGAGCTGATGAAAGATGGTGTGAGGAGTGGACACTTCAGGAGGAGAGAGCTAATTTATAAAGGAATAGAAGAAGAAATCAGTGGGTGTGATTGAAGAATAAACAGCCCAGTTTGACTTCTGTGCTACGTGTGCATAGCAGCCTTGTGGGAAATATTAAAGAAAATATGCACCAAGGCCATCTAATAATAGGACCATGTTTTGAAAGATGTTTACATGGTGGTGCTTCAGGAAATGGGGCTTTGCTTTTAAGGTTTTTGAGTATGGAGAAATAGTATCCCAGCTCTGCAATAGGAAGATCAACTTGCAAACAGTTTAAATAGGCTGGTAGGGGACAGTCTGATCATGAAAAAGCAACTAGGAAGCTATTATAAGAGATTGAACCACAATGGAGGCAGCAGGAACTTAAATTTCTTTTTTCATTTATACTTGCCTTTCAACTTTTTGTAGTTGCAACATGTACTTTCTTATTGAATCCTACCTCTGTCAAAGTGGAAACTTTGATAACTCAAATTGTCCCAAGTATAAAGTGATTTCAAAGTTTTCTCATAGTCGTCTTGTGTTTTTCACAAAAACCAATTTCTATAATATACTTTTAAAAAATTGTTAATCATTTCTGTTCAACATTTCTTCAGTCTGGATCTTATCCAATGTCTTACGCTCCTCGTTAAACAACAAAAAAAAAAAAAAAAGAAAAAGAAAAAGAAACTCACATCTAAGATTAAGTTCAGTAAAATTTTGATTAATCAGAAAATGCTAGGAATGGCGTTTTCGTTACTTAACAGTAACACTTTTGTGGTTTCAGGGTAGTCAATGAAAATATTTTCAAAATATATGTCTATATCTATAACTGGATATAATTAACTCAATTTAACATTTATTTGATGATCCACAATTTTGAAGCCTTTGAATGTTTGACTTCAAGCAGCAAGAAAGATGGAGTGATAGTGGGAAGGTAAAGGTGAAGTGGTACTCTGAGGGATCAGTGGTTGAGAGGGAAGAGGTAGGAAGAAGAGCTTCACAGAGGAAAAGGATCAAATCCTTATTGTTCCATATTATAGATGTAAGTTACTGAATTCTAAGAAAATGCTGATACTTATTTTAAAAACTGTATCCCTAATCTTTTTTCCTCATCAGTTCCTTATTTCTCATAAAAGTAAAATTAGAATAAAAGATCCATTTCTTTAAGAATTATGGTGAGATTGATTTTAGTATGTTATGTAACGTAGCAAGTGATACTGAGTGCAGGGCATTTTAAGTAACAGCTCTTTCATTATATCTCAGCTAATTTATTCAACAACTATTGAATGAGTACTGTTATATGTTAAACACCATTGTAGGTGCATGTGATATAGCTGTGAACAAAACATCAAGAAGCTTTGCCCTCTCTTGTTGAGACAGACAGACACTATAAATAAGGAGAATACATAGTATATAGTTTTTAGAATACATAGCATTTTTGGTAGTGAAAATTACCATGGAGGAAAGGAGTACCAGGGTAAGGTGGGGTTATGAAGAAGATCTTACTGCTAATATGACATCAAATTAAGGCTTGAAGAGAGCAATCAAGTCTTATAGCAACTGGGGGGAAAAGGTTCTGAGGTAGGAATATGTCTGATAGGTTTCAGGAATGTAAAGCAGCTAGTGAAGCTAGAAAAGAAGGAAGAGGAAGAGAAGTAGCAGTTGAGATCAAAGAGCTAAAGGGAGGCCTTGTAAACTATTGTAATGACTGCTTTTTATTCTGAGTAACACACCACTGGAGGGTTTTAGATGAAGTGATCTGATTTTTTTCAAACTAACAATTTAATTTTAATATTACCATATAGTTAATATACAGTAAATTCACTCCTGTTAGCACACAGTCCTGAGCATGCACAGTTGTGTAACCACCAATACAAAGTATAAAACAGTATCATTATTTCAGAAAATCTTCCCATCCCCATTTGTAGCCAACTTTATTCCATTCTCTGCCCAACCACGGTCTTCTGTCTTTTTTGATTGTTGCAGAATGTCATATAAATGGAATTGTATCGTACGTAGCATTTCCATCTGGCTTCTTTCACTAGCAGAGTACGTTGGATGTTCATCCATGTTGTGTGTATCAGTAGTTTGTCTCTATTGCTGAGGAGTATTCCATTGTATGAATGTACCACTGTGTGTTTATGCATTTCTTGTTCAGTTGAGGGACATTTGAATTGTTTCAAAACTTGGTGATTATTAATAAAGCCACTATAAATGTCCACATATAGATTTTTATGTGAACATAAGTTTTCATGCCTGTTTGGTAACCAGCTAAGAGTGAGAATTTTGGGTGATATCATAAGTATATTTTTTAACTTTATAAGAAACTGCCAACTGTTTGCTAAAGTTGCTGTACCATTTTGCATTCCCACCCACAAAGTATATTGTCAATAGTCCTTGTCAATAGTCCTTGATATTGCCAGTTTTTTTTTTAAGTTTTAACCATTGTAATATGCATGCAGTGGTATCTCATTGTGGTTTTTGCATTTCTCTACTCAATTTTATTTTTTTAAAAAGGTTAACCAATACAGAAGTTGAAAGACAAGAACAATGAATGCAGGTTTACTATTTACCTAAAGTAACCCACCGTTTACTATGTTTTCACACTTGCTTATTTTTTCTCCAATTTTTTCTCACCATTTGAAAAAAGTTATAGATTACAGGCATTATTGATGTTTTCCCCATAAACATTTCAGCATGTTACCTCTTAAGAACATTTTCCTACTTAACACAATATCATCATCAGAGCCAAGAAATTAAACATGAAACAGTATTATTCCCTAATAGATAGTTCATTTTCAAATTTCCCAAATTATTCCCAATAATAGTCATTATGGAGTTTCCCTTATAGAAAGGCTTTCCCTGCCCATTTCCCTCCTGCCTTTTTTAATTATTAATTTGGATTATCACCAACCGTCTTATTGGGGATCCCTCAAAAGCAAAAGTTGGAAAGAAAATGATTTGGGTGCCAGTGATTTATTTGCTCTTTCTTTCCTGACTGCTTTGATAGATATTAGTCTGTAGTTTATTTATTTGTTTTTTTACTTGTGATGTCTTTCTCTGGCTCTGGTGTCATAGTGTCACTGGCCTCATAGACTGAGTTGAGAAATGGTCCTTTCTTGATTTTCTGAAAGAATTTTTGAAGGGTTGCTATTATTTCTTCTTAAATATTTAGTAGAATTTATGAGTAAAATCATCTCAGTTGGGGATTTTATTTGTAGAAAGATTTCAAATTATGAATTCAATTTTATTACCCCTTGTAGGTATTACTTGCATCTTCAATTTTTTCATGAGTTGGTTTTCGTTATTTGTGCTTTTATACGAATTTGCCAATTTCATCTAAGTTATCTAATTTAATAGAAGAAAGTTATTAATAACATTCTCTCATGTAATAGATAATTTTGAGTGTCAACTTGCCTGGGTCAAGGAATACCTGACATTCATCTAGCAAGAAAAACATTATTTCTGGGTATGTCTGTGAGGATGTTTCCAGAATCAATTAGCAATTAAGTAGCACTTAGACATTAAGCACCTCTCTGTGAAGAGAAGAAAATCTTCAAAGCAATAACGTAAGATTATACCTTAAGAAACTAGAAAATGATGAGGAAGCTAAATCCAAAGCAAAGCCAAGAAAGAAAGTAATAAAGATTAGAGTAAACATCAATAAAATATAAGACAGGAGGAAAAAAAATGAAATTAGTTTGCTTCTTTGAAAAGATGAACAAAATTGGCAAATGTTTTACTAGACTTTCACAAGGAAAATAGAGAAGACACAAATTTTCAAAATCAGGAATGAAAGTGGAAACGTTACTACCAACCCTGCAGAAATGAAAAGTTATAAGATATGTTAGAGTCCTTCAGAAGTGCAAAACCAATAGCACATATATAAGCATATAGTAGGGGATTTATTATGGAAATTAAGTTGCATGATTATAGAGGATAAGAAGTCCCATATTATGCTGTCTGCAGGCTGAAAAACCAGAGAAGTTGGTCATGTAATTCAGTCTAAGTCTGAAGGCCTGAGAACCTGCGTGGGGAGTGGAAGAGGACCATTGATGTAAGTCCAGAATCCAAAGGCCTGAGAATATGGAGTGCTGATGTCCAAGGCCAAGGGGTGGCATCTTAGCTTAGGAAGATAGCAAAATCACCCATCGTCCACATGGACTGGATGATGCTAGCCCACTTTGGTGAGGGCAGATGTTCTTTACTCAGTCTTCTGATTCAAATGCTAATCTCTTCTGGAAACACCCTCACAGACACAATCAGAAGTAATGTTTTACAGTTATCTGGGCATCCCTTAGCACAGTCAAGTTGACACATAAAATTAACCATCACAGAGGATATACTCGTTCTTAGGGCAATTGTTACAAAATACCACAAACAGAGTGGCTTAAAACAACAAGAATTTATTCTCTGACAGTTGTGAAGACTGGAAGTCCAAAATCAAGGTGTTGGCAGGGCTGTGCTCCCTCTTAAGCCTCTAGAACCAGCTTGTTCAACCCACGGCCCACAGGCTGCATGCGGCCTAGGACGGCTTTGAATGCGGCCCAACACAAATTTGTAAACTTTCTTAAAACATTATGAGATGTTTTTTGCATTCTTTTTTTCTCGTCAGCTATCATTAGTGTTAGTGTGTGTTATGTGTGGCCCAAGACAATTCTTCATCCAATGTGGCCCAGGGAAGCTAAAAGCCTGGATACCTCTGCTCTAGGAGAAGATCGTTCATAACGCCAAAATCTGCCCTCATCTTCACAAGGCCATTTTCTCTCTGTGTGACTCTTCTCATAAAAACACCAGTCATGGCAGCTTAATAGTCCATTCTTTCCAATATGACCTCATCTAACTTAACTAATATTTTAAATAATTAATTAATATTTCAGTTAATATATCTGCAATGTCTTATTTCAAATAAGGTCAAATTTTGAGGAACTGAAGGTTAGGGCTTCAACATACCTTTTTGAGTGACACAAGTCAGCCCTCTAAGGGCAGTCTAAATACAAGACTGAATTCCTTGAACTGGAAATTACACCACAGGCTTTCCTGGTTTTCAGGCTTTCAGAATCAGACCAATCACATCACCAGCTTTCCTGGTTCTACAGCTTGAAGACAGCATATTGTGGAACTTCTCAGCCTCCATAATCATGCAGGCTAATTCCCATAATAAATCCTATGATGCATATCTCCATATGTCCTATTGGTTCTATTTCTCTGGATAACTCTGACTAATAGATTTTACAACTGTTTTTATTTCTGCAAAGTTGGTAGTGATGTTCTTTGTTTTATTCCTGATTTTAATAATCTGTCTCTTCTCTCTCCTTCTTTTGGTCAGCTTAGTTAAAGATCTGTCGATTTTGTTAATCTTTCCAAAGAAGGAATATTGATTTAATTTTTTTCTGTTGTTTTTCTGTTTTATATTTCATTGATTCTTACTCTAATTCTTATTATTTCTTTTCTTAGCCTTGTAAAGAGCTTAGATATTGCCAGTTCTTCCTAACAACAAGTAAGAATTCCAACAGACAAAAAAGTTAACAACTCTTCTAGGATTTGGAAGAGAGTGAGGACACAGGACAAACTGCTACCCTGAAGACTAGAGAGACAAATGAAGCCAAGGAGTCGACATACCAGAGCAGAGACTAAATGAGCAGAACCCACCACAGGAACCTGTATCCCGGTAGGAAATCTTGAGCTGTCATTGACAAACTGCTGGAGGCTCAGTGTGGACAACTCTGAGTTAAAAAGTCCAAGGGGATCCAGTCACTAGGCGGACTTGACAATTTTGTAAGATTTACCTCCAGGAGCTTACCCAGATTCTTACAGTAAATACTGAAGAAAAATCTCTTTATGCTTCCAGCAGGAAGAGGGAAAAAGTAACCATTTGAGATATACCAGAGCACTCCATTCTTCTTAACAAGATCTGCCCTCCGGAGAAGTTAGTTAACCAGAGGCTAGCCTGGGGGGTGTTATCACAGAGTAACTGACCTGGGAAAAAAGGCAATAAGCAACAGCTCTATTCTTCCACATGAGACAAGATAAATACCCAACTCAAGCCTACTCTAGCCATCCCCTCCAAGTCAAGGGAGGAGAAAAACAATCAAACAAACAAGGAACACTTGTGAATGTCACAGTCCAGAGACATACGCTTCCTAAAAGACAGACATAATTATAAAAACTGCAGAATGCTTCCTGTTCCCCTCATCTTATCACAACATTACTAAAGGCCTATTTATAGTAGTTCCTTTCACCTAATACATCATGTCTAGCTTTCAATAAAAAGTTACAAGGCAAAAGTTGCAATTTGAAAAGAGAGCAAGCATCAGAACTAGACATGGCAGGGATCTTGGAATTATCAGACCAGGAATTTAAAACAACTATGATTAATATGCTAAGGGCTGTAATCGACAGCATGCAATAACAGATGGGGAATTTACATGAAGAGATGGAAATTCTAGGAACTAAGAAGAAATGCTAGAGATCAAAAACAGTATAACAGAAAGGAAGAATGACTTTGATGGGCTTACTAGTATACTGGGCATAGCTGAAGATATAATCTCTGAGCTTGAGGATATCTCAATGGAAATTTCCATTGAGAAAAGTAAAGAGAACAAAGACAAACAAAACAAAACAAAACAAACAAAACCCAGAACAGAATATCCAAGAACTGTGGGACAATTACAAAAAAATGTAACATACAAGTAACGGGAATACTAGAATACTAGAAGGAAAAGAAAAACAGAAAAAAATATTTGAAACAATAATGACTGAGAATTTCCTCAAATTAAAGTCAGACACCAAACTACTGATCCAGGTAGCTCAGAGAACAAGTAGAATAAATGTTAAAAACAAACAAACAAAAACTGCACCTACACATGTCCTTTCCAAACTACAAAAAAAAAAAAAAAAAATTCTAAGTTAAAGAAAAAAAATCCTAAAAGAAGCCAGAAGGGGGAAAATAATCTTTCCCTATAGAGGAACAAAGATAAGATTTGTATCTGACATCTCAGAAATCACGCAAGCGAGAAGAGAGGGAAGTGAAATATTTGAAGCATTGAGAGAAAAGAAAAACAGCCTAGGATTCTGTATCCTGTGAAATTCTTTTTCAAAAGCGAAGGATAAATACTTTCTCAAACAAATAAAAATTGAGGGTATCTGTTGCCAGTAGACCTGCCTTGCAAGAAATGTAAAAAGTTATTTAAAGAGAAGAAAAATAATGTAAGTCAGAAACTTGCCTTTATAGAAAGAAAAGATGTGCATCATGGGGTTTTGGAAATATATAAAAAATCTATGTACCTTCCTCCCAAATTTGCTGTGAACTTAAAATTGCTAAAAAAAAAAAAATAAGTCTTTAAAAAATGTTAGAGAAGTGGTCTGGCTTAACCTAAGTTATTGCAGAATCATTCTGGCTGCCATGTTGAGATTTAGACTACAGGTGGCATGGATGAATGCAGAGACCAGCTAGAGGTTATTGTTGTGATCCAGAAGAGATGAATTAGGTGAATTAGGATGGCAAAGCAGAGGTGAGGAGACATGGATTCTGGATTCTGGGCATATTTGTTGATGCCCAGACAGGATTTGTTGATGGATTGTGTATTCGTTCATTTTGCATTGCTGTAAGGGAACACCTGAGGCTGGGTAATATATATATATGTATAAATATATATATATATATTTTTTTTCTTTGAGACGGAGTTTTGCTCTTGTCACCCAGTCTAGAGTGCAATGAATGGCACGATCTCAGCTCACTGCAACCTCTGTCTCCCAGGTTCAAGTGATTTTCCTGCCTCAGCCTCGTGAATAGCTGGGATTACAGGTGCATGCCACCACACCTGGCTCATTTTTTTGTATTTTTAGTAGAGATGGGGTTTCACCACATTGGCGAGACTGGTCTCGATCTCCTAACCTCAGGTGATCCACAAGGCTGGGTAATTTATAAAGAAAAGAGGTTTATTTGGCTCGAGGTTCTGCAGACTGTAGAAGAAACATAGCACCAGCATCTGCTCAACTTTTGGTGAGGCCTCAGGAAACTTTTACTTATGGCAGAAGGAAAGTAGAGCCAGTGTGTCTTATGGTAAGAGAGCAGAGAGAGATGCCAGGCTCTTTTAGACTACTGGCTGTCATGTAAACTAATAGAGTAAGAAGTCACTCATTACCTCAGCGAGGGAACCAAGATATTCATGAGGGATCCACTTCCATGATCCAAACACCTTCCACTAAGCCCCACCTTCAACAGTGGGGATCACATTTCAACTTGAGATTTGGAGGGGACAAATATCCAAATGATATCAGATTGTATTGAGGGTATGAGAAAAGAGAGGTTCAGGCTGAGCCCAAACTTTTAGTTTAAAAGACTGGAAGAGAGGAGTTGTTTTCAGTAGATATTGGGAAGATAACAGAGAAAACAGGTTTTGGGGGCAAGACCAGGTACTCACTTTTTGGATTTGAGATGTCTATTGCACGTAGAGATGCTAACAAGCATCTGGAAATATAAACTCATGTTTATATAGTTTAGCACACTGTATCATTTAACAGTTTCTAATACAGATGCTGAATTAAACATTTTATTTTGTGGCCTATTTCTTGCACTCACATTTCCTTCACATATATATTGATTACAACTCCGAATATTAGGTTATAGTATTACTTGATGAGCTTTATGAAACAGATATTTTGTCTAATGTGTTATGGTCACTTTGCTCTTTTTTTTTTGGACACAGTCTTGCTCTGTCACCAGCCTGGAGTGCAGTGGTGTGATCTCGGCTCACCGCAACCTCCGACTTCAAGTGATTCTCCTGCCTCAGCCTGCCGAGTAGCTGGGACTACAGGAACGTGCCACCACGCAGAGCTAAATGCTGTATTTTTTTTTTTTTTTTGAGATGGAATCTCGCTCTGTCCTCCAGGCTGGAGTGCAGTGGCATGATCGCGGCTCACTGCAATCTCCTCCTCCCAGGTTCACACCATTCTCCCGCCTCAGCCTTCCAAGTAGCTGCGACTACAGGCGCCCGCCCCCACACCTGGCTAATTTTGTTTTTGTATTTTTAGTAGAGACAGGGTTTCACCATATTGGCCAGGATGGTCTTGATCTCCTGACCTTGTGATCCGTCCGCCTCAGCCTCCTAAAGTGCTGGGGTTACAGGTGTGAGCCACTGCACCCAGCCCACTTTGCATTCTGTCCAGTTTTCTTTAATGGGATTAGAAAGTCTTGAGCATCATATTAATGATAATGGTAATCTCCGTGTCTAAGTTACTGATATGGAGGTAATCATATTCTAATCTTTTACCTCTAAATCTTGCAGACCTTTTCCATACAGTGGTATTTCTTTCACATTTAGTGAGTGCTTAACACTCAAGAAATTCCCTGATTCTTGTGAAAAATCCTGGGACCATGATTTATCTGCTTGAAGGACTAACTCTTCTCAAGGTTAAATCTGAGCCATTGGATGAAATTTTGATTAAGTCTATGGTGGACTAAGCACCCAGGTTGTTCTGTTAGGGACTTGACTTGACTTAGAGAAACATTGCCCTATATGTTCTAAAAAAACAAACAAAAAAAAACAACAAAAAACCCCAGTCTATCCTTTATTCATTCTAGCCTTTCATAATTCCTTAGAACTTCTAACACCATGTGACTATTTTATAATTATATGGATATCCTCTCATGTTTGATAGTACTGGGGACCCATTAATATTGAATTTAAGTGAATTAATGCATACACGAAATTGTGTCTTCATAGAATAAGCACTAATGAGTATTAGCCATTATTACTACATTTTATTATTAATAATTTTATTATTATGTATTTTCATGCACGTCCATGTGAAGAGACCACCAAACAGGTTTGTGTGAGCAACATGGCTGTTTATTTCACCTGGGTGCAGGCGGGCTGAGTCCGAAAAGAGAGTCAGCAAAGAGAGATGGGGTGGGGCCATTTTATAAGATTTGGGTAGGTAAAGGAAAATTACAGTCAAAGGGGAGTTGTTCTCTGGCAGGCAGGAGTGGGAGTCACAAGGTGCTCAGTGGGGGAGCTTTTGAGCCAGGATGAGCCAGGAGAAGGAATTTCACAAGACAATGTCATCAGTTAAGGCAGGAACAGGCCATTTTCACTTCTTTTGTGGTGGAATGTCATCAGTTAAGGCAGGAACTGGCCATCTGGATGTGTACGTGCAGGTCACAGGGGATATGATGGCTTAGCTTTGGCTCAGAGGCCTGACTTTCCTGTCTTCTTATATTAATAAGAAAAATAAAATGAAATAGTGGTGAAGTGTTGGGACTGTGAAAATTTTTGGGGGTGGTATGGAGAGATAATGGGCAATGTTTCTCAGGGCTGCTTCGAGCGGGATTAGGGGCAGCGTGGGAACCTAGAGTGGGAGAGATTAAGCTGAAGGAAGATTTTGTGGTAAGGGGTGATATTGTGGGGTTGTTAGAAGAAACATTTGTCGTGTAGAATTATTGGTGATGGCCTGGATACAGTTTTGTATGAATTGAAAAACTAAATGGAATAACAGAAGGAGAAAAACAGGTATAAAAGGTCTAAGAATTGGGACGACTCAGGACATCTGATTAGAGAGTGCCTAAGGAGATTCAGCATAGTCCTGCCAGCAAAGATTATTTATTTACTTTAAGAGTTAAGAGTGGCAGTTTGGGGATAGCACCAGGAGATATCAGCTGTGATGGCTTGGAGAAACAGTGTAAACTGGCAATGTAAATAAGAGCAGGGCATGTATGAGTAGTTGAGAATGGTGAATAGGAGTATGACTAGACAGAAGATAGTAGGGATGACAATTTTTTTGGGGCACAGTCTAAGTTGGTCTGGTGTCTGGAATGAGACTGGGGCCTAATAAAAAGGAGCATCTATACAGGAGCTTAAATGGGCTGTACCTTGTAGCATTCTGAGGACAGGTCTGACTTCTGAGAAGGGAAAGTGGTAAAAGTATTGTCCAGTCCTTTTTAAGTTGGTGGCTGAGCTTGGTGAGGTGTGTTTTTAAAAGACCTTTAGTCCATTCTACTTTTCTTGAAGATGGAGGACCGTAAGGGATATAAGGGTTTCACTGAATACTAAGAGCCTGAAACACTGCTTGGCTGATTTGACTAATAAAGGCTGGTCTGTTATCAGACTGTATAGAGGTGGGAAGGCTAAACTGAGGAATTATGTCTCACAGAAGGGAAGAAATGACTGCGGTGGCCTTCTCAGACCCTGTAGGAAAGGACTCTACCTATCCAGTGAAAGTGTCTACCTAGACTAAGAGGTATTTTACTTATCTGACTCAGGGCATGTTGAGTAAAGCTAATTTGCCAGTCCTGGGTGGGGGCAAATCCTCGAGCTTGATGTGTAGGGAAGGGAGGGGGCCTGAATAATCCCTGAGGAGTAGTAGAATAGCAGATGGAACACTGAGAAGTTATTTCCTTGAGGATAGATTTCCACGATGGAAAGGAAATGAGAGGTTCTAAGAGGCGGGCTAGTGGCTTGTACTATAGCATAGCCTGCCTTTGCTGGTGTGTGGCGATTAGGCCTAGTGGAACCGCCATCAATAAATCAAGCATGATCAGGGTTAGGAACAGGAAAGAAGGAAATATGGGGAAATGGGGTGAATGTCAGGTGGATCAGAGAGACAGTCATGGGGGTCAGGTGTGATATCAGGAATAATGTGGGAGGCTGGATTGAAGTCTGGGCCAGGAACAATGGTAATTGTGGGACTTAACAAAGAGTGAGTACAGCTGAAGGAGCCGGGGATCAGAAAGTATATGCGTCAGGTAAGAGGAAGAGAATAGATTTTGGAAGTTATGAGAAATGTAGGGAGTGAGTTGAGCATAGTTTGTGATTTTTAGGGCCTCTAAAAGTATTAAAGCAGCAGCAGCCGCTGCTTGCAGACATGAGGGCTAGGCTAAAACAGTAAGGTCAAGTTGTTTGCACAGAAAGGCTACAGGGTGCTGTCCTGGCTCTTGTGTAAGAATTCTGACCGCACTAACCATGCCTAGGAAGGAAAGGAGTTGTTGTTTTGTAAGGGATTGAGGTTTGGGAGATTAATCGGACATGATCAGCAGGGAAAGCACGTGTGTTTTTATGAGAATTATGCCGAGATAGGTAACAGATGAGGATGAAATTTGGGCTTGACTGAAGTAATGGGGGCTGTCTGTGAAGCCTTGCGGCAGTACAGCCCAGGTAATTTGCTGAGCCTAATGGGTGTCAGGTCAGTCTAAGTGAAAGCAAAGAGAGGCTGGGACGAGGGGTGCAGGGGAATAGTGAAAAAAGCATCTTTAAGATGGAGAACGGAATAGTGAGTTGTGGAGGAAGGTATTGAGGACAAAAGAGTGTACGGGTTGGGCACCACAGGATGGATAGGCAAAACAATTTGGTTGATAGGGCGCAGATCCTGAACTAATCTGTAAGACTTGTCTGGTTTTTGGACAGGTAAAATGGGGGAATTGTAAGGAGAGTTTATAGGCTTTAAAAGGCCATGCTGTAGCAGGCGAGTGATAACAGGCTTTAATCCTTTCAAAGCATGCTGTGGGATGGAATATTGGCATTGAGCGGGGTAAAGCTGATTAGGTTTTAATGAGATGGTAAGGGGTGCATGATTGGTCGCCAAGGAGGGAGTAGAGGTATCTTATACTTGTGGGTTAAGGTGGGGGAATACAAGAGGAGGACACAAAGGAGGCTTTGGATTGGGAAGAAGGGCAGCAATGAGATGTAGCTGTAATCCAGGAACAGTCAGGGAAGCAGATAATTTAGTTTAAGTGTCTCGTCCTAGTAAGGAACTGGGCAGGTGGGGATAACTAAAAGGAGTGCTTAAAAGAGTACTGTCTAAATTGGCACCAGAGTTGGGGAGTTTTAAGAGGTTTAGAAGCCTGGCTGTCAATACCCACAACAGTTATGGAGGCAAGGGAAACAGGCCCTTGAAAAGAAGGTAATGTGGAGTGAGTAGCCTCGGTATTGATTAAGAAGGGGACAGACTTACCCTCCACTGTGAGAGTTACCCGAAGCTCGGCGTCTGTGATGGTCTAGGGGGCTTCCGAGGTGATCGGGCAGCGTCAGTCTTCAGCCGCTAAGCCAAGATCTGGGAAGGAGTCAGAGAGCCTTGGGCCAGAATTCCAGGGGCTCTGGGAGTGGCTGCCAGGTGAGTTGAAAAGTCCGATTTCCAGTGGGGTCCCGCACAGATGGGACGCGGCTTAGGAGGAATCCTGGGCTGCAGGCATTCCTTGGCCTGGTGGCCAGATTTCTGGCACTTGTAGCAAGCTCCTGGGGGAGGAGGTTCTGGAGGAACGCCTGGCCGCTGCGGTTCAGGCATTTGGAAGTTCTTGTGTGCTGGAGTTGTGGCTGGGTTTGTCTCACAGTGGAGGCAAGGAATTGCAACTTTTTTCTATTATTTTACACCTTGAAGGCGAGGTTAATTAAATCCTGTTGTGGGGTTTGAGGGCCGGAATTTAATTTTTGGAGTTTTATTTAATGTTGGGAGCAGATTGGGTAATAAAATGTATATTGAGAATAAGACGGCCTTTTGACCTTTTAGGGTCTAGGGCTGTAAAGCGTCTCAGAGTTGCTGCCGAAGGAGCCATGAACTGGGCTGGGTTTTTTATATTTGATGAAAAAGAGTCTAAATGCTAACTGATTTGGGAGAGGTCAGATAAAGAAAAAGGAGCATTAACCTTGACTATGCCTTTAGCTTCAGCCACATTTTTAAGAGGAAATTGCTGGGCAGGTGGGGGAGGGCTACTCACGGAATGAAACTGTAAACCGGACCAGGTGTGAGGAGGGGATGTGATAAAAAGATTATAGGGTGGAGGAGCAGAGGCTGAGGAAGAATTGGGACTTAGCTCGGCCTGGTGATGAGCAGCCTGAGGAGGAGGGGAAAGGTCAGATGGGTCTGTAGAAAAGTAAGACTGGAAAGACTCAGAGATGCTTGGGGTTGGGACTGAGGGGACAGGCGGGAGGGAAGAAGGAGGATTTGGGAGGAGTCACATTGGAAACAGAGACTAGAGAGGGACTGATGTGTAAAAGAATGCCTGGACATCAGGCAACTCAGACCATTTGCCCATTTTATGACAAGAATTATTTAGATCTTGTAGGATGGAAAATTGAAAGTGCCATTTTCTGGCTATTTGGAACTACTGTTGAGTTTGTATTGGGGTCAAGCGGCATTTCAGAAGAAAATAAGATGCTTAGATTTTAGGTCAGGTGAGAGTTGAAGAGGTTTTAAGTTCTTAAGAACACAGGCTAAGGGAGAAGAAGGAGGAATGGAGGGTGGAAGTTTGCCCATAGTGAAGGAGGCAAGCCCAGAGAAAAGAGAGAGTAGAGACATGGAGGCAAGGGGTTCAGGGGTCCTTACCCTCCAGAAAAGCAGGAAAGGGGTCGGGGCACAGAGATATGAGGTTGGGGTGTGGAAATAAGGGATTGGGGTGCAGAGATATAAGAAGTTGGGGCACGGAAATAAGGGATTGGGGCATAGAGATGTAAGAGGTTGGGGCATGGAAATAAGGGATCGGGGCAGAGAGATATATAAGGGGTTGGGGTACTTGCCCCTTCCCTAGAAAAGCGGGACTTGCCGCTAAGGCAAGCGTCTCTGCGTGGTCTGATGCCTCTGAAACCTGGCTGAATAATCAGAGAGGCATCCCTGCAATGATTAAACACCAAGGGAAGGTTGCCTTCCCTAGTTCATGACTGGTGCCGGAGTTTTGGGTCCACGGATAAAACTTGTCTCCTTTGTCTCTACCAGAAAATGAAAGGAATTGAAATTAACAGAAGAGAGAGATTGAAGTGTGGCGCCAAGATTGAAAGGAGAAAGAGGTTGAGGGATAGTGAGGGAGGTTGGAGAAGAGAGTAAAAAGAGGCTGCTTACCGGATTTAAAATTGGTGAGATGTTCCTTGGGCTGGTGGGTCTGAGGACCTGAGGTTGTAGGTGGATCTTTTTCACGGAGCAAAGAACAGGAGGACAGGGGTTGATCTCCCAAGGGAGGTCCCCCGATCTGAGTCACGGCACCAAATTTCATGCGTGTCTGTGTGAAGAGACCACCAAACAGGCTTTGTGTGAGCAACATGGCTGTTTATTTCACCTGGGTGCAGGTGGGCTGAGTCCGAAAAGAGAGTCAGTGAAGAGAGATAGGGGTGGGGCCATTTTATAAGATTTGGGTAGGTAAAGGAAAATTACAGTCAAAGGGGGGTTCTCTGGCAGGCAGGAGTGGGGGTCACAAGGTGCTCAGTAGGGGAGCTTTTGAGCCAGGAGAAGGAATTTCACAAGACAATGTCATCAGTTAAGGCAGGAACAGGCCATTTTCACTTCTTTTGTGGTGGAATGTCATCAGTTAAGGCAGGAACCGGCCATCTGGATGTGTATGTGCAGGTCACAAGGGATATGATAACTTAGCTTGGGCTCAGAGGCCTGACATGTATCACAATCTCTAAGGGCGCTATGAACTTAAAAAAACACACACACACACACACACACACACACACACACACCTTATTTCTTCCCACCTTCAGAGTTACTTAGCACTACAAAGTCTGTTTATGTGAACCACAATGTTCCACTTTTTAAAGAATCACTGGATTAGGAGATAAATTGACCCTACTGAAAATGCCTTTACCATCAGATATTCAACACACAATCTGATACTCTTGCAGACTAGTCCATATTCCTGAGGCTAACATCAGTGTATAAACAGCTATTTAGCCTGATGACTTTGACATTCTCAACGTCCTGTGTTTACATGAGAGGCCCTTTCTTCCCTTCCCACTCCCTGCCCTCTCATATTATGTGTTCATTAGCAGAGGGTACAACAACTTCCTCCCCACTACATTTATATCTGGTACTGACTTGAACTGAAAAATGTTTGGCAGGAAGCTGAATTCCTCCAAGAAACATTTCTATTCAAGGCATTTTCTCTAACCCTTCTCCATTATTTTGAAATAGATGGACTTTTTTCAGTCTTCAAGGATTCTTTAAGATGACAGAATATGGTCTCTTTTTGATAATTTCCATACATCTTGCATTTTAGTATACTCTTCAATTATTTTTTGTTGGCTTGACTTTTTATATTCTCCATCTAGACAGCAAAGTTCTATTATATCTAATTACAGATAACCTTTCTCA
This sequence comes from Homo sapiens, assembly GCF_000001405.40. Classification (NCBI taxonomy): domain Eukaryota; kingdom Metazoa; phylum Chordata; class Mammalia; order Primates; family Hominidae; genus Homo; species Homo sapiens. The sequence continues at coordinate 124,728,451 of NC_000007.14, read as the reverse complement.
TAAGAAAAAAGGAGAGAAAAACACATTCAAAGTTTCTACAATTTCACAGTCATGTTTTATGAGTGCTGCCTCCCTCTCTCTAGGGAGTAGAAAAATATATATTTTCTTTGTCCTGTGGATGTAACTGAAGGGTATTTACTGAAACCCAGTTTTGCTTTGCTACTTATGTTGTCAGCTTTGAAATTCAAAATCATTCAACCTAGGGCCTATATAATACACTGGAATTATATTACTTTAAAGCACGAAGTGATTTTAAGGTCTCGTAGTATTACCCAGCTTTTTCCTTTATATATATAGAATTGATTCTTTGAGAAGTTAACACAACGTCACAAAATTTGATTTTAGTTGAATATTGATTTAGCATAAAAATTATGAGAATAGAATATCTCCTTCTGAAGCTTATAAATAACTCTTTCCTACGTAACCAGTACATTCACAGCAATCTGTAAAATACTATCTTGACTTAGGTAACACATAGTAGGTATGTTTAGACTATAAAATTAGCAGTGTGAACAGCCTTCAGATCATAAAATTAGCAGTTCAGCATTAACCAAATGATGTACATATCCATGACCGTATAAATGGTATATGTTCTAGTTGAACCGGCTGCTTCAATTGAATCTTTAAACTTCTCTATCCCAGAGTTATTAAGTCTCAGTATCCTTCAGGACTTTGCCCATTTATTTCATTTTCCTAATCACTGAATGAATGCATTTAACAGCTATATGTTAGACATAGTGTAAGTCCTCAAGTCAAAACCGTGTGTGTATTAGGTACAAATCAGTCCCTCTTGGAATTTACATTATGGCAACATCCTTAGATAGTAAAAACTCAGTGAAATATTTAGCAGAAATGTGATTAGTGATCAGAAAGAAAAGTGCTTCAAGAAAATGTAGTGGGTATGTATGTATGTTGGTAGTATCATACAAAGTTCCTTTGAGGAAGTGCTGGGAAAGGGCTGGAGATGGTGAGTAGGAGAAGCCCAGGTGGAGGGAGGCATTTGTAGTAAGGCTCTGTGTGGAGACGGAACAAAGTAAGTTCAGGAACCAAGAGAGGCCAAGACATCCTGACATATAAAAAGCAAAGTGTTGCATAGAGTAGTAGCATGAGACCAGAGTTGATATGGAGCAAACCGCTGCTCAACTACAGTAGGTTTCTGTTATGTGTAATTCGAATAAACACTTTTTATTTATTTATTTTATTTTTAATTTTTTAATTTTTTGAGACTGGGTCTCACTCTGTTGCCCAAGCTGGAATGCGGTGGGGTGATCACAGCTCACTGCAACCTCCACCTCTTGGCCTCAAAGGATCCTCTCACCTCAGCCTCCTGAGTAGCTGAGACCACAGGCAGTTGCCACCATGCCTGGCTTCTTTTTTTTTTTTTTTTGGTCATTTTCTGTAGATATGGGATTTTCTGTGTTGCCCAGGCTGGTACTGAACTCCATCACTCAAGCAATCCATCTGCCTCAGCCTCCCAAATTGCTGGGATTATAGGCATCAGCCACTGCACTGGCCTATTTTTTTAATTTAAAACAAATTTTTTTTTTTTTTTTTGAGGCAGAGTCCCTCTCTGTAGCCCAGGCTGGAGTACAGTGCTGCAATCATGGCTCTCTGACGCCTCAACCTCTCGGGTTCAATGGGTCCTCCCACCTCAGCTTCCCCAGTAGCTGGGATTACCGGTGCATGCATACCACGCCCCCAGCTAATTGAATAAACACTGTATTAATGAGCTTCTGTGGTTCATCAGAGACCACTCATCATTGTTATTAGGAAACAAACTTTCTACATGTTTGAATGTCACAGGCTCACTATACTCAGTCCTTGATTTTTCACTATATTTCACTAAACTGTGTTTGCCACACTTTTACTTCAAATAATCGAAGTCTGAATTATGATAAGGATTCATTAATTGAAGAGATTGTATTGTTGTAAGTAGAAGATAATTTTTATTTACTATCAGAGTTATGAGATCTTTGATTCCTATATCTCTGGTCCTAAATCAATTTTTTATTGCATTCTATAGATTGTTAGAGGATTAGAAGTCTTTATGGCTCAAATACTCAGGATTTTGATTGATTTTTTCAAAGTGCAATTTAATCCATCTCAAAGTGATCATTCTCTTGGACTAGTAATATTTTAATCAATGACATGGCTGTTCAATGACATTTTCTTTTCCTATTAGCCCAGTTGTTGTCAATTCTACAAATTGAATTCGATAGTTTCCTTGAATTTTCAAGAGATATAAATAATTCATATATAATACAGTCTGTAAAATCTGTAAGAACCTTTGGAGTCAAATAGTTTCCTGTACAGATAGTTGTATAATTAGTTTATTTTACTCCTTTATATATGCCAAATTTAAGTATAACCATAGACATTGAAATATTTCCTATTTAACCACAACTTATTTTTCTGAGTTTTAGGGAAAAAGGACTCTTGGAATTGTATTCCTCTTATTTGCATTTGCACTGATAATGTGCCTAGAAATTTAGGTCAAAAAGGATTTTTTTTCCCTAACCAAAGTATTCTGAACTTGATAAATTTTGAAAATCTCAGACACAATTTGAAAGTTTAAGTGAATAGTTTCTCCAGGGAAAAAGACATACATATATATCTGTGCGTACACACACAGACACACACACACACATGTGCATGCAAGAGACAAAGAGAAAGAGGGAGAGAGAGAGGAGAAAACATCTGAGGTATCCAGAATGGGTGAAGAGATGGCGATGGTTGTTTGGGAAACTTGCAAAGGAGCTTTAAAATAATGACATAATCATGTTTTTCTTATACCCTCTTCTTATATTGTGGAATAACTTGTTGTTCCTAATTCTGTTTATCAAGAAGAGTGGGCTCTGATTACCAGTGCTTTCAAGGCAATGGGAGAATGATCTGAATCTAAAGGATTTTGGCAATGGAGAAACTATGTTGGAATGTATAATTATGTGCTTTAGTCATTCTAAAACCTTATCGTGTTTTTGTTTTAAGACTGTCCACAATTTGTTTTGATCATGTTGACATTTTACATTTTAAGTCTAAAGATTTTAGAACAGTTTGTGAAGACAAGTGTGTTCTTTTGTGAATTATTAGCATGTGGACAGGATGAATATGATGAATCACATTGAAGTCACTGATGTTACATGGGCCATGCTTTCCTTCACTTTGAAAATGTGCTCTGGTACCATATAGTTAGGCTAATGTGGGCAGAGTTTAGATCTATTAGGTTTTAATCTTGTTTTCACGACTCCTGGAAAGAAGAGTATTCTGTTTTTGTTTTTGTTTCTCTAAAGTTGACTTAGCCTCAGTGAGTTGTTGTGGGTGCAGCATTCTATCCTGATTTATTCTGATTTGAATTCCAAATTGACCAAACAAACCCCACATTAACAGGTTGGCATTATTCTGTGGCCATAATACAACGATTGTTAGAAAAGTGTGGCTTCAAAGTCCACGCAGGGTGTCAGATCGTAAATGGGCCTTTTGTTGGCTTTGGGGGTTGAATTATTTTTCTTTGTCTTGCTGATTTTGAGATTGTTGGATAGAAATTTAACTTTTTCTTCTTTTTGTTTTGGCAAGAGATTAAAAAATCTCAATAATGTTTCTTAAAAGGCTTCATTGACTTTCATAAAACTTTGTTTCTGAATTAACTTTTATCTTCTGAAAACCTTTGGGCAGGACAAACTGGGCATTTACATGGCATTTTGCAACAATTAGAAAGTTCACTGGTTGGGACTGATCTTTGGTCACCGAGTTCAAAAAGATTGGATGCTGTAATGCCAATTGATTGTGTGATTGTTTAAACCTCACTCATAAAGGATTTTAGCTGAAGAGTCTTTGTCTAGGGCAGCCCTGAGAGACCCAGCTGCATCTGCCCCTGGAATGAATGCCTTTGTGTAAATGGTCAGCCTAGCTCTGATATTTGATCATCCATGATTTGTAGCCCAACCTATTTCTACATCAGTAGAGTGGGCATATAATGCTGGGTTTTGTAATCTGTTTGAGAAAATGCATGAATGTGTAGAGGTTCCCCCTATACTGTCACCTTTGGATGATTACGTCTAGTGGAAAGAAGTTTTGTGTAATTAATTAAAAACACAGAATGACTGATTCGTACCAAGTGGGGTTAGGGACATGACTTTGTTTCTCGTGCTGCAATTCCCTGTTACCAAGGTGAGCTATCTTACTTCACTGCTTTGATTGATCAAATTAGCTAGAATGTTTACAAGCTCCTTACTTAATTTCCAAGGACTATTTCATCAGGCTTCAGCCACTGAAATAGGGGAGAAAACATTTTTTATCGTTAGAGACTTTCAAAGAGTAAAGAAACTCATGCAAAGCCAGCTACACACATATACATATGCACACACATACGTGCTGCTGTAAACAATAATATGAAAGTAGAAAGTTAAACAGGTAATATTATTTCCTGATATAGCAGCAGGAAATGCACTTATCTCCAGGGTCTTTTTGTTTTAAATCATAATCTCAGAAAATCACAATCAATTCTTACATTATAAGGAAGTAGGAACAATGTTTCTTATTAGAAATATAATTGGCATTTGTGACAAGAAAGTTCTTTGTTGCTCTCTGTTGCATGTGACCTTCTCAATGTTGCACCATGTTTAGTATACCTGACCCCTGTAACATCTCATTGTTATGACAACATTTGCCCCTCCTTTTCACCCCAATCTCCCACATTTCCAAATGATTCCGACAAGCTATTAAGTGGTACCAGCCCAAGCAGATCGAAAACAATGGTAAGGTCCTATGGAATAAAATATTTTTAAAAATATGAAAGCATAGCCACAATCCATAGTTTATCATATTTTATAAAGATTAAAATATGAAAAGAAAGATTCAACCCTAAAATTACATGATAATTACAGATAACTCCTTAGTTTTAAAATATTATTCCAAGAGAGTTTTAATTTTTAAAAATTAGTTATTTGTAACTTTATGCACACTTTCCCATAGAAATGGTGAGTCCATATTACTAATATTTATTTAACAAATTGTAGACATTTTTTGAATATAAAGGTCACAGGCCCAATGCTGAACAGAGGTACCATCAAGGAAAGATTCACCACAGAGTTGAACTTGACAAGGTCCAAAATCTGTGTCTTGGCCTTGGCCTGTGACTGGGATTGACAAACTGACTGACTGAGATGTGATAAGAATGTCAATTAATGTGTATATTTGGGGTAAGTACATGCTCACATCCTCTATCCACGGTGCTGAGTCACAATATCAAAGAGCCTTAGGAGTTGCATTAGTAATCACATAGTTGCTTGGCGAATCAAGGGAGATTGCAGGTCTAGAGGGCTAGGCTATTTAGGCCATGAGGATCCTGTGGCAAATATCTTTCTTTCATGACTGAAATGCTTATGTCTCCCAGATTCTAAGTCTCTCTACTTTGAACAGTAGTAGAGAAGCTTCAAGAATTTACTCTTCTATACTTCTGTGTTAACTTCACTGATTAAATTGAATGTTATTTCTAGCCAAGTTTACTTCCTACATGGCAAAGAAATGATTTGTTGCTTTCTATTTGGGATTGATAGGAATTTTACCTTCAGAAAAAAAATTGTCCTCCTTCCATCGCTGGAAGAAACTCAGTCACCTCACATACTGCTGATACCCATTAGATAGTTAAAATAGCAATACAATACTCACAGCAAATATTTACAGAGCATTTACTGTATGCCAGAAGTGAAAATAAACATAAAAGTTGGAAAATAAGTCTTTGCTATGTACCAACATTTAAAGAACTCTTGAAAGACCCCAGTGACACAAGCATTATAAAATAAATTCAAACAGTTTGCTGCAATATTCTTCACGACTTTATGACCCTATATTGTCCTTTCTAGGTAATAAAAACATTGTACTCCCATAAACATTTGGTCATACTTATGTCTTAGTCTCATTTTTCTTCCGCTGAATCATTCCTTCCTCTGTTAGGCACTGAGCAAGCAGTCTCCAAGCACTAAGCATCATTGGCCTCATTTCAGACATGTCCTGTGACAAATTACAGCCTCTCCAGACATTAAAAATACATTGATCAAGAGAAGTTGTAAGACATAGAAGAAAAATTAATCCATACCCTTCTTAGGAAGGAAAGAAGAAACTACTTTTCTGAGTAAGCTTTGAACTGAACGAACTCTGGAGTCTTAAAGTACCTGCCAGTTTCACATCCCTTCTGAAGTAAGTGCACTATGGTACATATTGCAGGCTGCCCACTCATGTTCTATTGTGGGGATGGTGGGGCAGTCATTGTGGGGTAGTCGTAGAATATGTGTGTTGCTTCCCTCAGCTCCAAAGTAGGCTTATTGATTCTTGTCCCATGTTACCATCCAAAATAATTTGGTTACATAATTCATGCCTAAATGATTCAGCTTATGCTATCTCCTTTGCTAATGTGACTTGTTCAGCAGTGTGTCTAAGCTTGTCCAAGCTATGTGAAACTCAGTATATTAGTATTCTATGGCTGTTGTAACAAATTACCATAATTTAATGTCTTACAAATATGAATTTTATTATCTTACAGTAGTTCTGTAGGTCAGATGCCTGACACCCATCTCAATGGGCCAAGATCAAGATGTCTGTAGGGCTGCATTTCTATCTGGAGGTTCAGTTTTCTTGCCTTTTCCAGCTTCTAAAGGCTGATCACATTCCTTGGCTTGTGAGTCCTTTCATCCATCTTCAAAGCCATAAATATTGCATCTCTTTGACCATTTTTCTTTGGCCACATCTCCCTTTGATTATAGCTGGGAAAGGCTCTCTGCTCTTAAAGACCCATGCAATTAGGTAGGGCCCATTTGAATCATCCAGGATAGTTTTTCCATTTCAACATCCTTAGCCTTAATCACATCTGCAAAGTTTCTTTGCTATGTAAGGTAATATATTCATAGTTTCTAAAGGTTAGAACAGGCTCTGAATGCTTATGTCCTCTCCAAAATCCATACATTGAAACCCTAATCCTCAAGACAATGTATTAGGATGTGGGGCCTTTGAGAGGTGATTAGATCATGAGAGTGAAACCCTCATGAATACGACTAGTGCCTGCCCTTATAAAAGTGGCCCCCAAATTTTCCCATGTCTGTCTCACCACATGAGGACACCGTGAAAAGAGAGCTGTCTATTAACCAGGAAACAGGCTTTCACCAGACACCAAAGCATACAGCATTTCGATCTTGGACTTCTCAGCATCTAGAACCATAAGAAATAAATTCCTGGTGTGCATAAGCCACCCAATCTATGATATTTTGTAATATCAGCTTGAGGGATTAAGACAAACAAGAGCATATTTAAAGAGGGTCTTTATTCTACCAATTATGCCTAGATTTTTGTTCAACTGGCAGAGAAACTAACTTTTCTGGACAGTTTTTTGTTTTGTTTTGTTTTGTTTTTTGAGGCGGAGTATTGCTGTGTTACCCAGGCTGGAGTGCAGTGGCATGATCTTGGCTCACTGCAGCCTCCATCTCCCAGGTTCAAGCGATTCTCCTACCTCAGCCTCCCGAGGAGCTGGGGTTATAGGCACACACCTCCATGACTGGCTAATTTTTGTATTTTTAGTAGAGACAGGGTTTCGCCATGTTGGCCAGGCTGGTCTTGAACTCCTGGGCTCAAGTGATCTGCCTGCCTCAGCCTCCCAAAGTGCTGGGATTACAGGTGTGAGCCACCGGATCAGCCTTACTTGAATTTTTAAATTATTTGCATCTGAAGAATCGTAACACATATATACTCCAAGTGTTTTATTTTAGTATGTTATACAATGATTTTGAAACACATAGAGAATAAGTTGGTTCAACTATCTAGCAACAAATTAAGGATCATCACAAAGCAAACCCAAAGAATAAGGCACTGCTGCAAGAGAAGCACATCACCACTGAACTGGCTTAGTAGGAACTTTCCTAAGAGAAACACCCCTAGATTAAATAGGGACAGCCTGGACCCAATCAAACCCTCCCTTTTGGGTCATACACTTGCTGTGTAAACAAATGTAAGGTGGGTAACTTGAGCTCAGATCATTGCACAAGTCTGCAATTCATCCTAATCTTAAAAGGTTTGCAAATATCAGAACCCACAAAAATTCCAAGCCAATGAGACTATCTGTATCTTATTGCAGAATAGGGCATGCAATCAGCAATTCTATCCCTGCAGGTAGTCTCTGCATTTTGTTACCTCCGAGTCTAAGACATCCAACTAACACACTCACCAGGGCTTTTCATGTTGGTTGAAATTTGTTCTTGGGCCACATTCAGTGTTCACACTTCTGTATTTCAAACAGTCACTGTCTTTTTTTTTTTTTTTTTTAAAGTGGGGACACACAGTTTATTCCTGTAACATAATCAACTTTACATAATGGTGAATCATGGCTAATGACTATGATTGTTATTTTAAAATTGGCTCTTGAATGAGATGAAGGAGTTCTAGTAAAAATATTTAGTCACACCTACCATCCTTTTTAGCTTCTCTCATTTTATTGTCTGCAATTTGAAAATTTATAAAACTTTGAAATCTTTATAAATATTAAATTGTAGATACTTGCAGAAGAGATTAATATACAGGACTTAAGGTTATAGATATTTTTTAAGAAACAGATTTGGATAGGAGAAGAAATAAAAGAATAAAAACACATTGAATTCCTGGATTTAGACATGTATTAGGAGATACTTATTTCCAAATGCAGGGAAATGGTACAACAGGCAAAACAAATGGTTTAAATAAAAATTCTGCCTTGATCAACTCAGGTGGAATGAGGGAGTTGATTAAATAGTACCAGTGGTGTCTGTTGTGCTATATAACCTCAGATGTAGAGGAGATTCTTTTCACTCATTGAATGAGAAAACAAGGAAAGTCCTCACTACATTCAAGACAGAAAAAAAATTAACATCAAATGAAATACACTGATGCAGACAGTTTTCTAAGAATGACAATTATGTTTCTTCTCACACATCCATGCTTAATAAGTTTAATTTAATTAAAACAATCAAATAAACGGAGTATATAGATCTATGAAGAATATACTGGCATGGACTGAGCAGTATTAGTACACTTCCTTCTGATATTTCAGGTGACCAGAGAATTAGGTTTTGACACAATGAGCAAAGTGGATATTATAAAATTAGATCAACATTGTTTAGAAAAAAATACAAAGTACTATATTTTCAAGCTAAATTCCTCCTCCTCATTATTTTATTTTCCCTAGGGAAAAACTTGTAAACCATAGCAAGCTGATAATTAACAAGACAGTGTAAGGATATAATGAGAGGAAAACATTACTTAGGAGTAAAAAGGATTATTATTAACGTCGGAGATCACTGGTTTTCAATGATTTTTAATCAAGCTAGAAAATAGAACTGTAATCATATATTTTAAAGTGTAGAAATGCAAGTATTTTTAAAGTCTTCAATAGTAAAAGTGTACAATCATCTCCAACATATTTCAAAAAGCTCACTAGTAAAATATCGCAAAAAACAATCCCAGGCCTGGCACAGTGGCTCATGCCTGCAATCCCAGCACTTTGGGAGGCGGAGGCAGGCAGACCACCTAGTTCAAGGGTTTGAGATACAGCCTGGACAACATGGTGAAACCCTGTCTTTACTAAAAATACAAAAATTAGCCGGGCTGGTGGTGGGCGCCTGTAATCCCAGCTACTCTGGAGACTGAGGCAGGAGAATTGCTTGAACCCAGGATGCAGAGGTTGCAGTGAGCCGAGATTGTGCCATTGCACACCAGCCTGGACGACAGAGCAAGACTCTGTCTCAAAAACAAAAACAAACCAAAAAAAAAAAAAAACCAACCAAACAAAAAAAAACAAAAAAAACCCCACAAAACAATCCCAGTAGTTTCTGTAGTTTTTGTTTCCTCATGCAAATTGTTTCTTCACCAAATATTTCCCAATCATTTTCTGTTGACCATAGTTTAAACTTAAAACTATTTTTTACTACTTATAATACTGCTTCTTTCAAAGCTAGCAGAAGAGAATTTTTAAAAAGTTATCAGAAGTTCTGCTGGGAGGTTTCAAACAAAATCTTCAAAAACCTTAAGTCATATAATATGTTAAAAGATAAACTTAGGCACATTACAATTTGACAGTTTATTTGAGTACTGATTCATGAATTACGCAGCTCCACACTGCAAGCAGTTGGGGGCTCTGCTGAAGGAATGAGAGGATGGCTTTCATAGGGTCAACAGAGGAGCAAGATAAATATTTGATTGGTTAAAGTGGGGCAGTAGTTTTATTTAGATCATTCCAGTAGGAAGTTTCTAGTTAGAGGTTACTTGGCAGTTCCTGATTGGTTTAGCTTAGTTTTCATTTTAGTGTTTACACTGAGATGGGTTTTGGTTTGCTTTAGGTAGAAACCTGGAGTGCTGGAGCAGCCTCAGCCTAATAAATGATTTTAATAAATGCTTACGGTTAAACTGAGTGTTTACCCTCGATGTTTGAAAATTCATACTTTTTTTCCTCTTAAAAGTAAGTCACATGATTCAGATGTGGTGGTCTTAAAATGAATATTATCAACGAAAGAATTGCAGGCCAGGCGCAGTGGCTCATGCCTGTAATTTCAGCACTGTGGGAGGCCAAGGCAGCTGGATCACTTGAGCTCAGGAGTTCAAGACCAGCCTGGGCAATATAGCGAAACTCTGTCTCTATTAAGAAAATAATAGTAACAAAAAATTAGCCAGGCATGGTGGTATGTATTTGTAGTCTCTGCTGCTTGGGAGGTTGAGGTGGGAGGATCACTTGAGGCAGAGGTTTGCAGTGAGCCACGATCATGCCACTGCAAGACAAAAAAAAAAAAAAAAAAAAAAAAGAATTGCAAAGGCAGACATTTAAGCCTTGAATCTATTGCCCAGGAAGATGTATTTTTAATATTCTCTTAGAAGAATATGTTTGTTTTTAGTTAAATGTTTGCGAAAAATTCAGTACTATTTTGATTTATCAACAATAAAGTAAAACTTACCACTAAATTCAGTATCAATTATACAGAAAACATAAATATCAAGCCTCCCAAGTGGAATAAATTTTTATTTTTATTTATTTATTTTCAACTTTTATTTTTAAGTCCAGGAGTACATGTGCTGGTTTATTGTACAGATAAATTTGTGTTATGGGGGTTTGCTATACAGATGATTTCATCATTAAGATATTAAGCCTAGTACCTATTAATTGTTTTTCCTGATCTTCTTCCTCCCACACCTCACCTTCAGGTAGGCCCCAGTGTCTGTTGTTCCTCTATATGTGTCCATGTGTTTTCATCATTTAGCCTTCACTTATAACTGACAACATGTAGTATTTGGTTTTCTGTTCCTGTGTTAGTTTGCTAAGGATGATGGCCTCCAGCTCCATCCATGTTCCTGCAAAGGACATGATCATGTTCTTTTTTATGGCTGCATAGTATTCCACAGTGCATAGGTATCACATTTTCTTTATCCAGTCTACTGTTGATGGGCATTTAGGCTGATTTCATGTCTTTGCTATTATGAATAATGGTGCAATGAACATACATGTGCATGTGTCTTTATGAAGAAGAATTTATATTCCTTTAGGTATATACGCAGTAATGGGATTGCTGGGTCACATGGTAGTTCTGTTCTGAGCTCTTTGAGGAATTGCCACACTGCTTTCTATAATGGTTGAACTAATTACACTCCCACCAATAGTATGTAAGCATTCCTTTTTCTTCATAACCAAGCCAGAGTCTGTTATTTTTTGACTTTTTTTTTTTTTTTTTTTTTTTTTGACGGAGGCTCACTCTGTCCCCCAGGCTGGAGTGCAGTGGCACAATCTTGGCTCACTGCAACCTCCGCCTCCCAGGTTCAAGTGATTCTCCTGCCTCAGCCTCCCAAGTAGCTGGGATTATAGGGGCCCACCACCACACTCGGCTAATTTTTTTTTGTTTTTTGTAGAGACGGGGTTTCACCATGTTGGCCAGGCTGGTCTCGAATTCCTGACCTCGAGTGATCCTTTCTCCTTGGCCTCCCAAAGTGCTGGGATTACAGGTGTGAGCCACTGTGGCAGGCCTGTTTTTGACTTTTTAATAATAGTCATTCTGACTGGTGTGAGATGGTGTCTCATTGTGGTTTTGATTTGCATTTCTTAAATGATCAATGAAGTTGAGCTCTTTTTTCATATGCTTCTTGGCTACATGTATGACTTTTTTGTAAAAGTATCCATTCATGTCCTTTGCCCACTTTTTAATGGAGTTTTTTTCTTGTAAATTTATGTTTCTTATAGATACTGAATATTAGACATTTGTCAGATGCACAGTTTGCAAAAATTTTCTCTCATTCTGTCTGTTGATACTTTCTGTTTACTCTGTTGATAGTGTATTTTGCTTTGCAGAAGCTCCTTAGTTTAATTAGACCCCATTTGTCAATTTTTGCTCTTGTTGCAATTGCTTTTCACATCTTCATCAAGAAATATTTGCTTGTTCTTATGTCCAGAACGGTATTGCCTAGGTTGTCTTCTCAAGTTTGTGTTTTACATTTAAGTCTTTAATACATCTTGACTTGACTTCTGTATATGGTGTAAGGAAGGGGTCCAGTATCAATCTGCATATGGCCAGCCAGTTATCCAGCACCACTTATTGAATAGGGAGTCCTTTCCCACTGCTTGTTTTTGTCAGCTTTGTTGAAGATCAGATGGTTGTAGGTGTGTGGCCTTATTTCTGGGTTCTATTCTATTCCATTGGTCTATGTGTTTGTTTTGTTCCAGTACCATGCTGTTTTGGCTACTGTAGCCCTGTAGTATAGATTGAAGTCAGATAGCATGATGACTCTAGCTTTGTTCTTTTTGTTTAGGATTTCCTTGCCTATTTGGGCCCCTTTGTGGTTCCAAATGAATTTTAAAATAGTTTTTTCTAGTTTTGTGAAGAATGTCATTTTGGTTGATAGAAATAACATTACATCTATAAATTGCTTTGGTCAGTATGGCCATTTTAATTATATTTAATCTTCCTAGCCATGAGCATGGAATGTTTTTCCATTTGTTTGCATCATCTCTGATTTATCTGAAGAGTGTTTTGTAGTTCTCATTGTAGAGATCTTTCTCCTCCCTGGTTAGCTGTGTCCCTAGGTATTTTATTCTTTTTGTGACAATTGTGAATGAAATTGTGTTCCTGATTGGCTCAGCTTGACTGTTGTTAGTGTATAGGAATGCTAGTGATTTTTGTACATTGATTTTGTATCCTGAGACTTCACTGAAGTTGTTTATCAGCTTAAGGAGCTTTTTGGCTGAAACTATGAGGTTTTCTAAACATAGAATCATGTTGCCTGCAAACAGGTATAGTTTGATTTCCTTTTTTTCCTGTTTTGGTGCCCTTTGTTTCTTTCTTTTCCCTGATTGCTTTGGCCAGGACTTGCAATACAATGTTGAACAGGAGTGGTGAGAGTGGGCATCCTTGTCTTGTGCCGGTTTTCAAAAGGAATGCTTCTAGCTTTTGCCCATTCAATATGATGCTGGCTGTGGCTTTGTCATAGATAGCTCTTATTATTTTGAGGTATGTTCCTTCAATACCTACTTTATTGAGAGTTTTTAACATGAAGTGTTATTCAACTTTATCAAAAGCCTTTTCTTTATCTATTGAGATAATCATGTGTTCTTTGTCTTTAGTTTTGTTTATGTGATGAATCACATTTATTGATTTGTGTATGCTGAACCAAACTTGCATCCAAGGAATAAAGCCTACTTTATCATGGTGGATAAGCTTTTTGATGTGCTGCTAGATTTTATTTGCCAGTATTTTGTTGAGGATTTTTGCATCTAGTGGGAGATTTCAACACTCCACTGACAGTATTAGACAGATTATCAAGGCAAAAAATTATCAAGGAGATTCAGGGCCTGAATTCAGAATTGGATCAAATGGACCTGATAGATATCTTCAGAACTCTCCATCCCAAAACAGCTCAATATACGTTCTTCTCATTGCCACATAGCACTTATTCTAAAATTGACCACAAAATTGGATATAAAACAATCCTCAGGAAATGCAGAAGAACTGATAACACCACTCTCTTAGACTACAGAGCAATAAAATTAGAAATCTAGACTAAGAAAATTGCTCAAAACCATAAAATTATATGGAAATTAAATAACCTACTCCTGAATGACTTTAGGGTAAATAATGAAATTAAGGTAGAAATCAAGACGTTCTTTGTAACTAATGAGTACAAAGATACAACATACTAGAATCTGTGGGACACAACTAAGGCAGTGTTAAGAGGAAAATTTTTGACACTAAACACCCACATCAAAAAGAGAAATATCTCAATTTAGCCACCTAACATCATAACTAAAAGAACTAGAGAACCAAGAGCAAACTAACCTCAATGCTAGCAGAAGACAAGAAGTAACCAAAATCAGAGCTGAATTGAAAGAGATTGTGACACAAAATAATCATTCAAAAGATCAATGAATCCAGGAGTTTTTTTTTTTAAATTAATAAAATAGATGGATCACTAGCTAGACAATAAAGAAGAGAGAAAATCCAAACAAATACAATTAGAAATGACAAAATGGTTATTACCACTGACCCCATAGAAATACAAATAAACATCTGAGAATGTTGTGTACACCTATATGCATTCAAACTAGAAAATCTAGAAGAAATGGATAAATTCCTGGACACATACACCCTCCCAAGACTGAACCAGGAAGATGTGGTGGTCTTAAAGTGAATATTATCCCTGAAGAGTAATGAGCTCCAAAATTGAGTCAGTAAGAAATAGCCTACCAACCAAAACAAATGCAGGGCTAGATGGATTAACAGCTAAATTCTACCCGATGTAGAAGGAAAAGCTGGTAGCATTCCTACTGAAACTATTACCAAAAATTGAGGAGGAAGGACTCCTCCCTAACTCATTCTATGAGGCCAGCATGACCCTGATACCAAAACTTGGAAGAGACACAATAAAAATATGTTTTTCATAGGAATTCGACATGTTGACTTAAAAAAAAAGAGATGTATCAACACAATCTCTACATAGAATTTTATTAAATTTGGGTAAGCTTAAAAGTCTAGGCTCAAGTAAAAAAATGCGTGAAAGATTCCATTTCATCCAAATTCCTTAGAAATCTTCTTGTCAGGCAGCCAAAGGGGGACTTCTTTTAATGGGCACCCTAAAGTTTTGCTTGGCTCTTGAGTAGCCACTGGCAGAAAAGCTCATATCTGTGAGAAGCTCATGCTGAGCTCATAGAGGCAATGATCCTTAGTGAGTGGTTTCCAGTTCTTTATTGACTTTTTAGCATTTCTATTATTTCTACTGGCAGCAGCAATGGAGTGAGTCAGAATAAATTTTCGTATAAAACGGGTACCAGAAGGGCTAGAAATTAGTTACAAATCTGAGCAATGTGATACTTCTGAAGGCTTACTATGAGAGTTCGGCTTAATGTTGAAATTCATTTCTCTGTATTCTTTAAGCATTGCTTGTCTTTGTTCTAGGATGTCTAGAACTTCAGTTGGAAGACTTAAAGGCTGAAATCATTTCAAGGATCACAACTCACATGTCTGGTGGTTTATGCTAATTGCAGTCTTAGATGTTAGCTAGGCTGTGGGCTACACCATTCATGTTACCTGAGTTTCTTTACAACAGGGAGGCTGGGTTTTGAGGGCCAGTGTCCTGAGACCACATAGAAGCTATATATTTTTTATAACCTGGACTTAAAAATTACACAGCATAACTTTCACCCTAGCTTGAAGCAGATACAAGCCTGCCCAAATTCAAGGATTAGGGAAATAGAGGACACCTCCTAATGGAGAGTGACAAGGTTTGGAGAGTATGTGAGACCAGAAATATTACTGTGGTCATTTTGGAAAATATAATCCTTCACATCTTGCTATAAGACAGTTCTAATTACTAACTCACTTTATCACAGAAAGTCTAAATCTGTATTATAACAGGTACCCATTAAGTTTAGTCCTACTCTTTGGGGCTACATAAGAGCAGTATAAATAGTGTATTGCATGACAGTTCTTTAAATACTCAAGTATTGTCACTTTGAAGCCTTCTTTTCTTTATTTAAATATTTCAATTTCCTTTTAAAAACTCTATGAATATACTCTCACTTATCAATTTCTTTACAATGTGATAATCCCAAAGTGAACACAATATTCCAACATTTCAGTTGAGGCTTTAGTAAAGAGTAAAATAAGCTGTGAGCCTGCTTGTTCAGAAAGTATATCTTAGATGATGTAGCCTAAAGTAACTGGCTTTCTTAGGAATGTCACATTATTATTTAAATTGGCTACATTGCTAACTGGTATTTCCTGTTGTGAAAATTCTAGCTTGGGTGATTTCTTTACTTCACTATTATAGCCTCTTTCTCTCTCCTTCCTTTTTTCTTTTTTCCTTTCTTTTCTCTCTTTCTTTCCTTCTCTTTCATCTTTCTGTCTCTTTTCTTTTTTCTTTTCTTGTTCTAAGTGAAAAAACTTTATATTTACCCATATCTAATTGTATATTGTTAAATATGGCCTATTTTTTTCCCCAGCTTGTTGGAGAGGTTTTGGAATCCTGATTAGGCTACATAACATGGTTCTAATTTTTAAACTTCTTTTGATCTGTGAGTTAGCTGGATTTTGGCAGTCAGCTCATGAAACAACTTCTCAAACATGGAGGACTTAAGAATTGCATTATCTAGCAACAAGTTTTAGAGATAGCTTTGTTATCAATTCGTTGATCATTAGAATCAGCAAATATTTCTTTGCATTTCTTTTTCCAACTCCATTTAAAATCAGACCTTTATGATTAGTCACAGACTGTTGGTAGTATATATATTTCCTGAGATAACTGGAGAAAGAATGTCCATACTCATATATTCAACCTTTTTTCATAATTGGAATAAATGTTCATCATACATCTCTTCTCTGAAAGGGTCTGTACTATGAGGAGACAAAAGTGAAGGAAATATAAATTCTAGTTTCAAGGAAATTATCATATGTCATGTTTTATAGTGAAAATATATTTGTCTATAATATATATAATATGCACAATAGCTGCCTTGTTATATAGAATTGGAAGAAAAAGTTTCCCTGAGTTTAGAATGTGAACAAGCATCATTTTCTCCTCTAAATGTTCTTCATATCAAATTTAAAACAGAATTTATGTGAATTAAGCATATTGATTTCTTTATGAAATTATAACACCTACTGTTCTACTCTCAATAAACCATTCTCTCAGGTCATATTCTTACTGAATCAGTTCTATATCCATGGCAAATATAAAAGTTCCTCTGCCTATGACCATGAAAATTAGAAATGAGAAAAGAAAAAAAAATCTCACTTTTCTCTCATTCAAGGAGGAAAATATACAATAAAAATAGAGTTGTAGGATTAGTTTTCAATAGACATTATACACCATGAGGCAAAGCTAGCCAAACATATTTTGTGATAGCTTGCCGCAAATAACATTCAGGTTGTAGAAGTCCTTTTGAAAAGTTTGCCAGGGCTTAGCCTATTTGAATGAATCTTTGAATAATAAAAGTAATAATAATAACATAAACTAAAACAACTACAACTAATACTTTAGATGTTTTATACCTATTATGCAGGCATTATATAAATAATTTCTTACAACTTTGAAAGATTAGTATTACAGTATTATTATCCCCATTTCATAACTAACAAAACTGAGCAGTAGAAAAATGAAGCAACTTGTTCAGGTTCAAAACAGCTGAACCTGAGATTCAACTATTAATAGGTAGGATTCCATATTGTATGTTTTTTGTGCTATGTCATAAACATTCCCTTCTAAAGGTGCAACTGATTTTTTAGAAGTTAATCATCTCATAATAGCACATTGGGTTATATCAATGAATGCTTTTTCCAGCTAACTTAAGCAAAAAATAAATTTATTGAAAGGATAGGGGGTAGCTTACATCTGAAAATATAGGAACCATGGTAGCTCTGGTATCTGGATTAAAAACTCATATAAGATCTTTCTGGCCAGCACCATGGAGCTGAATCTGACCAAATCTTTTTCTGTACTAGCATCATTCTGCTCGAAACTCAAATTCTCAGTAGGGTTTTCTTGGGCTTATTTGGCTCATATACCCACCTTTAGTGGCTTATGGGGCAATAATGTGATTGATAGCCCTGAAAAAGGTGCCAAGATTTAGGAGGTGGTAGATAATTCTCTAAAGGGAAGTAAGGATATTATTGCCAGTAGGAGGCAGAAAGAACCCTGGGCAGCTAAAAACAACAAACTTCCACTATAGCATCTTCTAGGGTTGTTGGAGAAACTAAATGAGATAAGAAGTGTGATAAGAAGTATGTTCCAGTGTGGCTTGAACATTGTGCTCAAAAGTAGAAGTAGTTTGTATTATCACCTTCACTTACGTAAAACCCAAGAGTCAATGCCTGACATATCAAACATAAAACCTGAGAAAAATCAATAACAGATGGGGCTTCAAGATGGCTTATTAGAAGTAATTCATGCTCACCTCCTCTACTTAGAAGAAGCAAAATAGTATATAGACAGTCATACTTCAAATACATTATCAAATATTATCCAAGAGAGAATGCTGGAATTCAACAGAGAAGTGACAAGAAACACCAAAAGTGGAGAAGGAAAAGGAAGAGAGGCAGCCAGCTTGGCTGAGATTGGCTGAGACTCAGGAGTGATTTTCCAACGTGGGGAAAGGGTGAGTGAGACTTCCAGCAGCCCACATCTTCACCGTGGGATCAGGCAAACCTGGCTATGGGAGAGCCCCTCAATCCCCCAAGCCCTGCAACTAACATAGGGAGCTTCCGGAAGACCATGGGGCAGAACTGCTCCAGAGAGAAAGCTCTTGCTGGTCCCACACACTTTGTGAGACCTAAATGGTTATAGCAAGGTGCATTTTTAAACCTAGCCCTTGCTATTTTGGCAGACGGGGGCCCAACAGTGTTAGGACTGTAATGTTACGGAAACTCGGAACTCGGGCTGTTGCTGCAGAAAATGTGGTGTGAGCTTGGAGCATTCCCACAGCTGGGGCTGAGAACCAAGTGAGGCATGGACTGCAGCTGCCAGTGCCAGGAAGTGAGCACTGTCAGTATGGAGACTTGGATGCAAGCAGGATACCTGTTGCTACTGGTACTGGTTCATGAGCTGGGCAGAGGCTGCTGCAGTCAGGGCTAGGGTACAAGCTAGGCTTGAGTGACCATTTTCAAGGGTTGGGGTCAAGCTCCCCCAGGACTGAGGAATGAGAGGGATGCACAATTCCTACTAGCTTGCCCAGGCTGTGGCCACTGAGGGTGGTCCTATCTTTTCCAGTAGTGGGGCCTCAACATGACTATTACCACATGGGACCTGGGAATCACCCCACCCCTTCTCACCATGGCTTGTGACTGCTCTCAGCATTGGGAGGTTTAAGTCCAAACCCACCCAGTCTTGCTTCCTTCCTCTCTCCAAAGACAGAGCATACTCTGGGGTCCTAGGAATTGCCCAAACCAATCCACCATTTGGGCACCTGGGCACACTTCACAGGGGCATGAGGTTGAGACTAAACTCCCATCTGCTACCACCTCAGCTACAAGTGTCACCTGTAGGCCTGGAAACTGACCTGCCCAGCTCATTTCAGCCACTGCCAACATCAACACACACCACTTGGGACCTAGAGAATCATCTCACCACTGCTACTGCCAATGCCTATGTCATGTGAGCTGCCCAGGAACCAAAGAATCATCAACTTGCCCTGTTCATCACTGCCACTACCAGCATCTGAACAAGACACCTGGAGGCCCAAGAATTAGCCTGCCAGTAACCACCAAAATAAATGCCAGCATACATTGCCCTGGGGCATAAAAATAGGCACATTCAGCCCACTGCTGCCAACTCTGAAGCCTACAGACTGGTCGTTCCAACTGGCATCCCGGTTATCAGCACAACTTGACCACAAACCCCACTAATAATCACACCCTAATCCACTGATGAAATCACAAAAAACCAATAACACCATTTATAGCCAAAAAAAAAAAAAAATCAGAGGCAAGACTCAGAATCAAAGCCAAAGTTCCCCACCCAACCAACACTACAGATGAATCTTCAGGAAAAAGTTCTCCCCTATGAAAGTAAATCCAAAAACAGGACGAAATGATGGTTACACCAGATGTGCAAATATTAACATAAGGACATAGAAAACATGAAAAATCCAGAAAATATGACACTTCCGAAAGAACACAATAATTCTCCAGCAATATGTCTTAATCAAGAAGAAATTTTCAAAATCCCATATAAAGACTTCAAAATATTGATTTTAAAAACCTCAGTGAAATGCAAGAGAATTATGAAAAACAATGCAAAGAAATCAGGAATAAAAAACCAATTCAGGATATGAATGAGAAGTTTACCAAAGATATTTTTTAAAGAACCAAATAGAAATTCTGGAACTGAATAATTCATTAAAGGAAATACAAAATACATTTGAAAGTTTCAACACTAGGGTAGATCAAGCAGAATAAAAAAAAATCTCAGAACTTGTAATCTAGTCAGAAAAAAAATAAAGAACAAACAATAAAAAATAATGAAAGCAAAGCCTTTGTGACTGCTGGAACAACATAAAGTGACCAAATATTTGAGTTATTGATATCCTTGAGGGCAAAGAGAGGAAGAAAGAATTAGAAAACCTATTTG
Source organism: Homo sapiens (assembly GCF_000001405.40). Taxonomy (NCBI): domain Eukaryota; kingdom Metazoa; phylum Chordata; class Mammalia; order Primates; family Hominidae; genus Homo; species Homo sapiens. The sequence continues at coordinate 124,707,844 of NC_000007.14, read as the reverse complement.
ATGAATCAATAGATAAGACCTTCCAAAATGTAGCAAGAGATTTGCACATTCAGATACAGGAGGCTGAACAATCCATAGGCAGATACAATGCAAAAAAGTCTTATCAATAGCAAAATATATTCAGTCAGACTGTATAAAATAAAAGATAAAGAGCAAATCCTAAAAACAGGTGAAAAGCTTCTAGTCACCAACAAAAGAAACCTCATCAGACTAACAGTGAATTTCTCAATAAAAATGTTATAGGCCAGAGGAAAATGGGATAATTTCAAAGTACTAAAAGGAAAAAACCTGACAAGAATACTATAACCAGCAAAATTATCCTTCATACATGAAGGAGAAATAAAGTCTTTCCCAGACAAACAAATGTTGAGGGAATTCATCACCACTGTACTGTTCCTATGAGAAATGCTAAAGGGAGTTCTAAACATGGCAGCAAAAGGACAACATTTATTATCATGAAAATACATGAAAGTATAAAATGCATTGGTGAAGCAATCACACAAAGTAGGAAGAGAAAGTACCCAAATGGAGCCACTGCAGAAATCTACCAGACCACAATGTCAAACAAAAGAGAAAAAGAAATTAACAAAGAATATATGAAATAACCAGTAAACAATTAACAATATGACAAAAATAAAGCCTCAAATGTCAATAATCATCTTGAATATAAATGGCTTAAATTCTCAACTTAAAAGATATAGAATAGATGGACGGATTTTTTTTTTTAAAAAATAGTCCTACTATATGCCAGTTACAAGAAACTTACCTTAGCAGTAAAGACATTTATAGACTGATACTAAAGGATTGGAAAAAGACATTTCATGCAAATGGAAACCAAAAGTAAGTGGAAGTAGCTATGCCTATCTAAGATAAAATAGACTTTGAGTCAAAAACAGTAAAAAAAAAAAAGACAAGAAACATAATTATATAATAATAATAAAGGGATCAATCCAGCAAGACAATATAGCAATGTAAAATTTATATGTACCCAGTACTGGAGCACCCAGATTCTTAAAGCAGGTATTACTAGCTCTAAAGAGAGAAATAGCCTTCAGTACAATAATGGGAACTTATGAGCACCCCACTCTCAGCGTTAGACAGATCATCTAGATAGAAAGTCAACAAAGATTGGTTTGAAACTGGGCTTTAGATGAAATGAACCTAACAGACATTTACTGAACATTCTATCTGACAACTCCAGAATATACCTTGTTTTCATCAGCACATGTACTATTCTCCAGGATAAACCATATGTTTGGCCACAAAACAAATTTCAAAAATTTGTTAAAGATCAAAATTGTATCAAGTATCTTCTAAGATCACAATGAAATAAAAATAGAAAGTGATACCAACAGGAACCCTGGACACTACACAAACATATGGAAATTAAACAACATGCTCCTGAATGACCACTGGGTAAATGAGGAAATTACGATGGAAATAAAACAATTCTTGAAACAAATGAAAATGGAAACATAACATACTAAAATCTGTGGATATAGCAAAAGCAGTTCTAAGACGAAAGTTTACAGCCTGGAAGCATACAACATAGCAAGACTGAATCAGGAAGGAATAGAAAATCTGAACAGACTAATCACAAGTAACAAGATTAAATCAACAATAAAAAGGCCCTCAACAAAGAAAGGCCTAGGACTTGATGGATTCACAGTTGAATTTAACCAAACATACAAAAAAGAACTAATAGCAATCCTTCTGAAACTGAAAAATCAAAGAGGAGAGAATTCTCCCTAGCTCATTTTATGAGGCCAGCATAACTCTGTTACTAAAACCAGACAAGGACACATTAAAAAAAAATAGGCCAATATTCCTGTTGAAATAGACACAAAAATCCTCAACAAAATATCAGCAAACCAAATCCAACATCAAAAATGTAATACAAACCATTAAGTGGGATTTATCCCACGGATGCAAGGATGGTTCAACGTACCCAAATCAATAAATATAATACATCACATCAGCAGAATGAAAAACAAAAATCATATGATTACCTCAATAGATGAAAAAAGCATCTGATAAAATTCAAATCCCTTCATGATAAAAACTCTCAACAAAATAGAGAGGAAATGTACTCATAATAATAAAGGCCAAATATGACAGGCTCATAGCCGATATTATGGTGAATGGGAAGAAATTGAAAGCCTTTCCTCTAAGAAAGTGGAACAAGACAAGAACACTCACTTTCACCAGTTCTATTCAGCACAGTACTGGAAGTACTGGAAACCAGAGCAATCAGACAAGAGAAAGAAATAAAAAGCACCCAAATTAGAAAAGAGTAAGTCAAATCATCTCTCTTTGCAGATGACATGATCCTATATTTAGAGGAAGTTAAAGACTCCACAAAAAAATCTCTTAGATTTGGCAAATGAATTCAGTAAAGTTGCAGGATACAAAAGCAACATGCAAAGATCAGCAATATTTCTGTACACTAATAATGATCTAGTCAAGGAGGAAATCAAAGAGGCAATCACATTTACAATTGCTACAAAAAACAAAAACAAACAAACCTAGGAATAAACCAAGGAGAATTTTTAGCCAAGGAGGTGAAAGATCTCTATAAGGAAAACAACAAAATTATAATGAAAGAAATTGAAGAGACAGAAACAAATGGAAAAGCACCCTATGCTCATGGATTAGAAAAATTAATATTGTTAAAATGACCATGTTGCTCAAAGCAATCTACAGATGCAGTGCCATCCTCATCAAAATACCATTACAATTCTTCATAAAATTAGAAACAACAATCCTAAAATTTATATGGTATCAAAAAAGAGCCTGGATAGCCTAAACAATCCTGAGTATAAAGAACCAAGCTGCAGGCATCACATTCCATGACTTCGAAATATATTAAAGGCTATAGTAACCAAAACAGCATGATTCTGGTATAAAAATAGACATGTAGACCAATGAAATAGAATAGAGAACCTAGAAATAACTCCACACAATTACAGCCAAGTAATCTTAAACTAAGCCAACAAGAACTTCCTTAGGGCAAAGAACACTCTCTTCAGTAAATGGTGCTAGGAAAATTAGATAACCATATGCAGAAAAGTGATCTTGGACCCCTCTCACCCTAGACAAAAATCACTCAAAATAGATTAAAGACTTAAACATAAGACCCAAAACTGCATAAATACTAAAGGAAAACCTAGGGAAGTCTCTCCTGGATGTTGGTCTAGGCAAAAAATGTATAATTAAGACTTTGAAAGCATAGGCAGCAAAAACAAAAATAGACAGATGGGACTTAATTAAACTAAAAAACTTCTGTAAATGCTCTATATCACTAATCATCAGAGAAATATGAAACCACCATGAGATATCATCTTACCCCAATCAGAATGGCTATTACTAAAAAGACAGAAAATAATAGATGCTGACAAAGATGTGGAGAAAAGGGAAATTTTAAATACCGTTGATGAGAATGTAAACTAGTACAGCCACTATGCAAAAATGGTATGGAGATTTCTCAAAAAGCTAAATATAGAATTACCATTCAATCCAGCAATCCTACTACTAGGTATCTTCTCAAGGGAAAAGAAATCAATATATCAAAGGGATACCTGCATTTGCATGTTTATCACGGCACTATTCACAATCGCAAAGACATGGAATCAACCTAAGTGTTCATCTACAGATGAATGGAAAAAGAAAATGTGGTATATATACACAGAGGAATACTATTCAGCTACAAAAAATAAAATTATGTCATTTGCAGAAACATGGATGGAACTAAAGGACATGATCTTAAGTGAAATAAGCCAGACACAAAAAGACAAATATCACATGTTCTCACTTATATGCGGAGCTACAGAATTTGATCACATGGAGGTAGAGAGTGGAAAGATAGAGACTTGGAAAAGTGAGTGGGGAGGATGGGGGAGGATAAAGAGAAGTGGGTAAAAGGGTACAAACACACAGAATGATAGAAGAAATAAACTCAATGTTTGATAGCAGAGTGGAATGACTATACAATAAAAATGTATTGTACTCAGGTGATGGACACCCTAAATAACCATGTTTCTAGAAAAAAAACCTGAATAACCTGACTTGATCACTGCATATTATATACATATAACAAAATTTCACATGGCTGGGCCTGGTGGCTCACACCTGTAATTCCAGCATTTTGTGAGGCTGAGGTGGGATGATTGCTTGAGCCCAGCAGGTTGAGACTAGCCTGGGCAACACAGTGGGATCCCATCTCTGCAAAAAAAAAAATTCAAAGATAAAAATTAGCCAAGTATAGTGGCATGTTCCTGTAGTCCCAGCTACTCCAGAGGCTGAGGCAAGAGAATCACTTGAGCCTAGAAGGTCGAGGCTGCAGTGAGCTATGATTGTGCCACTGCATTCAAGCCTGGGAAATGAAGGAAAACCATGTCTCCAGAAGAAAAAAATCACATGTGCCCCCTAAATTTACACAAATAAAAAAAGCGATAATCATTAATCAGTTTTTTTATTATTTGAGATACAGATTTACCACAAAAGAGGCTGATGCTTAAATTCTTGCACACTCATTGTTGTCAGGCAGGAAGTCAACCAGCTGAGCACTGGAAATGCAGAAACACCAACGATTGTCTGTCTCTCTTATTCCCTCCTAAGCCCATGCCTAGACTAGGATGAGCTTGAGACACCCAAGCAGGACAGTAGCCTGTTGACTGGATGATGCTCAAAGTTACATGATAGTCTAATTCAGAGCTCCATTTCAAACAACTACAGGTGTCAGGAAAGGGTAAATGATCATGGAGCCAACAGAAATAATGAGTTGGAAATGAAGAGGGCATGCTTGATCTAAAGAGGGCACCTGCCACTCCATTCCAGCCAGTGTGGTAAGGACAGGAAATACAGAACCAGTGTTGTCAGATCACTTAATGTTGAGAAGAACTAGACATCATAGTTTTAGGTGAAGTTAGTTGGGAGTGAATTTAAAAAGTTAAAAAACTACTTGGTGATCTAACACTGTGCAGACCAAATAAAACTCATTTGTTAGTTAAATCTGTCCCATGTGCAATCTGATTACCATCCCAGCTCCAAGAGGCCATCATCCCACAACTTCATTGTCAGTAAGCAAGTTCACTTTATTCCTACTTCTGTACTCCAGAGGTTGCTGCTATTGTCGACATTGTTTTCTGATTCATGCTACCATTCATTGCTGTTCATTTTGGCATAAATTTAATTTGAGAGCTGTGGGGGAGAAGTTAAGAGTAGAATTGAGAAGCATTTTTTTCCAGATAATGACTCAGACTGCTGTACTTATTTCCCAGGCTCAAGACTATCAAGCTAACCAACCTCCATAAAAGCAGCCTGAACAGGCTAGCTACACGTGGTTCTTGGCAGAAGGAGAATAACAAGATTATTCTTCAAAAATCTTTTCAAATGTTCACTCTACAAAATACTTGTGGAATTATCACTAAGTGTCATTGTTATGTCCAGGTTTTTCTGTTGTAAATCCCTCCCTCCCTCCCTTCTTCCTTTCCTCTCTTCCTCCCTTCCTCTGCTTCTCTATACACAGCTATTATGGAGTATTTTTGCCTCCTGAATGAGACCTCTGCTGGATTATTATTTGTTGGCAAACACCATAGGCTCACATTGTACTCGGTTGGCTTTTGCAAGTTTTGGCCTTTGGGCAATTTTCCTCTAGCAGCTGTGCATTACTAAATCAGATGTCATTTTGTGGCAGAACTTTCATCTTATGTTGTAATGCTCCACAACACCTAGTGTGCTACTGGGTACAGAGTAAATGCTTCTTGATTGATTTATGACCGGTGACCTTATATAAACTTATTAAAGTGCTTAAAATTTACATCACTGGCCACTTTTATGGGCTGTCAGCTGAAGATAAGTAATTATCTCCAAGAAAACTGTGTATTATTCTATTAACTACCATTATTGTAAGTTATAAAATAATTATAAAATAATCTATAAAATTAAAGATAGATGCCAAAGAAGCTTTTTCTAGATGATGGATCCTGAAAGCATGAGAAGGACTCTGGTTCTCCAGGAAGTAGATGAAGCTCACTAGGAGGCAAGAGGTGGCTGTCTAAAGGGACCATTTGTTTTCTCTTAAAATTTGGTCAAGATATTTGATCTCAACAGAGTTTCTAAGGGAGCAGGAAGCTTTACAGAATTTACCAAGGTTCAGGTTGCATTGCCAGTTATTTCTAGGAGAACAGTCTGAAACCTGTGGAATAAATAAGAATGAAAGAGCAATAAAATATTTAGTAGCCTCTAGTTTGCAGTGTATGATTGAAACTGTTGAGGTTTATAGCGTCTCCCACTGATGTCACCTTCAGTAAACTCCAGATATAAAAACTAAGAAGAATGAAGATTCCTTCTGACTTTAAATGTTTTCCTAAAGTGCTTTAAATTTTAATAATCTAAAAAAGATTCTATGAAATTTACATAGAAGGTACATTGCAACACCTACCATTTGCTGCAACCCAATGCAAGCCAACTATCTTAAATGGTTTAATAGTAATTATAAATCTTATGAGCCATTCTATCACATCTCATTATCAGTTATGGCTTGTACTCTGTTTCTTCAGCTCTCAAACTACTCACTAGAGGTTCCTTTATAAACCTAGAAATAGTGACCACTTTCTGCTGAAATGCTTTTATTCTCTCATCATATAAACACCCCCTCTCACCCTGGGTTTATTCAATTTTAAGATCTCAGATAAATAATTGGCCCAAATCCTCAGGTTTTACTTTAGCATTATAGCAGCTTATATTGTAAAAATATGCACTCAGGTAAAGAGGTAAATAAATAACTTTCAATGAGTATATTTAAAAATTTTTTTTCTCAGCAAATATCTTCTGAGTGTTTCTTTTCTGTATTACTGAGCTTCACTGGAGCTGAATGCCTGTGTAAGACACGGATACCGTTTCAATTAGTAATAGATCTCTTATCTACACCTACAGGCTTGTTTATGGAGAAAGTGGCCACAAGTGAGATCGTCATTGGAACATCTGAGCAGAACTTGTCAGTATCAGGTTAACAAACCTAAGCTAACTTAGAATAAGACAGGTTTCAAACATGTGTATTAATATGACATCAGGGAAGCACATTGTTGGACAGAACATGTCATGACTTGGCAAATGCTCCACCAGTCATAAAGCAAACTTTAGGACTGCAGAGTATACTCATGATTGAATAAATGATTCTAGTGTGCAATTTGTATTTCTTTAATAATAAACATTAACTGATCAATTATTAATTGGTCTATAGAAATAAATTAGTTAAAAGTGACAAACTGCAACCATTATTACATAATACCTTCTAATTAATAAGTCTTATTTGAGGAATTCAAAGAAATTATATGTACATTTATGCATACTCATAAGTTTATAGAAACATTCTATTTAATGGCAGCCACCAATCATATATAAACTATTAGTTCTGTTCTATATAGTTTGAACCACATAATATTGAGGTTGTGGAGAAAGAGGAATGATTTTATACTGTTGGTGGGAATGCAAATTAGTTCGACCACTGTGGAAGACAGTGTAGCAATTCCTCAAAAATCTAGAACTGGAAATACCATTTGACTCAGCAATCCCATTAGTGGGTGTATTAGTCTATTTTCACACTGCTGACAAAGACATACCCGAAATTGGGAAGAGAAACAGGTTTATTGAACTCACAGTTCCACATGGCTGGGAAGGCCTCACAATCATGGTGGAAGGTGAAAGGCACTTCTTACATGGTGGTGGCAAGAAAGAATGGGAGAGAAGCCAAAGCAGAAACCCCTTATAAGACCATCAGATCTTGTGAGAGTTATTCACTACCATGAGAAAAGTATGGGGAAAACCGCCCTCATGATTCAATTATCTCCCATCAGATCCCTCCCACAACATGTGGGAAATATGGGGGTACAATTCAAGATGAGATCTGGGTGGAGACACAGCCAAACCATATCACTAGGTATATAACCAAAGGAATTCTATTATAAAGATACATGCACAAGTATGTTCATTGCAGCACTATTCACAATAGCAAAGACATGGAATCAATCCAAATGTCCATCAATGGCAGATTGGATAAGGAAAATCTGGTACATATACACTATGGAATACTATGCAGCCATAAAAAGGAAAGAGATCAAGTCCTTTGCAGGGACATGGATGAAGCTGGAAGCTATTATCCTCAGCAAACTAACACAGGAATAGATAACCAAACACCACATGTTCTCACTTATAAGTGAGAGCTGAACAATGAGAACACATGGACACAGGAAAGGGAACAACACTTATTGGGGCCTGTCAAGGGAGGGGGGGAGTGGAGAGAGCATTAGGGAAAAGAGCTAATGCATGCTGGGTTTAATACCTAGGTGACGGGTTGTTAGGTGCAGCAAACCACCATGGCACACGTTTACCTATGTAACAAATATGCACATCCTGCACATGTACCCCAGAACTTAAAAAAAAACATAATTCAAAAACATAGTCTAATATTTGCAGTTTCAGATAGCTCAACCTAACAGTTGAGAAAGCCAAAACTCTGAATGATTAAATAATTTGCACAAGCCGACAGAGTTGGTTTTAGGAGAGCAAGCTTTAATCCAGTATGTCTATGTGTAAATCTGTCAGCCACTCCACTTTCAGTGTTCAGTCCTGTTCATTGTCTCAGTGACATCTCCAGCTTTGTGGCAGTTACGCTGCAGTTAAAGCAGCTTGAACTTAGAAGCACTTCCTCATTTGGGTGGAACACAGCAACAGATTATGATCACTTCATGCCTGAACCATTCCAACCTGCCTCGATTTACTTTCCTCCCTTTGAAAATCTTGTCCTTATATTCTGAGTGAGGATGGAAACAGTCAGATGAGAACTCATCCCAGTTCATTTAGAAACTGACCAGTGTATTCAGCAGTCTATGCAAGAAAAAACTACGTACCTTAAAAGACAAAGTTCATATATGTATTTTCTAAGCCAGTAAAATTGATTTTAATTAGAGTCCTGGATGTGCTTCTGAGACACTGCACTGTTATATGATACATATATCTTCTTCCTCCAAATACATGCTATTTGAAGCAGGAAACAAAAATAGCCTTGTGTCTTATTATAATTCATTTCTTCACATAACTACATGCTCCACATAACTACATTTGTCATGGCTGGCTTCCTTGTTTGCTTCTTTGTCCCAGTAATTCAAAATATGTTGCATTAAAATAAATTAATTTGAGATTAAAATTAAAAAGAGTAAAATTGTTTTGTTTTCCTCCTAGCAGTTTCAGATTTGCATGCATACCTTTTTTTTTCTTTTTCTTCCTTTACTCTTCTTTTCAACTGTCTCCTTTATATGTGACTATTTCAGGGACATTTTATTTTGAACAAACAAACACAGAACTAATTTGATATGGATTAGCTTTTCCCTGATGGAGAGATGTTAGGCCATGTCAGTCATAATTTCATTTTCTAAAAACAATTTTAAAGATGTATCTCTGTTCTGCTTTGGCTACAACCTGTTTCTTTCCTTTATCCCACTAAGATTTTTATCTCTTGGTTTTAGTATGGAACAAAAAATTATGTTTACATAAAGAAATCCATTTAAAATATAATATCAGGAAAAAATGGACTTCTGAATATCCTAGAAAGATATAAAACTTATATTAGTTTCTTCTTTTTTATATCTAGTCCTATGTAGCTTGTATTGTGAGAAATTATTTTTTTAAAGGATATTAAATCTAGAGTTCCCAGCATAAATAAGATACGTGTTCTATTTCATGGCTGTGGAACATCAGATAAATTGTCAGATGGAATGGTGATTTTGATTAACATAGTTTCAAAATATGCTATAATGATAGCTGATAACATGAAATTATATGGATGTGATTTAAACTGGAAGTAATATCTACAGCTAGATTTGGCCCATGGCCAAAAATAACCTTCTACCTGTTTCTGTAAATTAACATACTCACCTGTTGATTACTGCGTATGATAGCTTTCACGCCACAATGACAGAGTGGAGAAGTTTCAGCAGAGATCGCCTGGTCTGCAAAGCTGAAAATATTTACTGTCTGGCCTGTTTAATCTCCTGACCCCAGATATATAGCATATAAGTGTTTAGAAATAAGTCCTATAAAATGAATACAGGAAGAAGATGAAAATGCAATCCTATTTTACATCTAAATTAAAAGGTGGGGAAGAAATCTTCTAAGAGATTTAGGCTAAATTGTCATTCCTTTAAAGGGCTTGTAATTCAAAGAAATTCTAGAAAAGTAGAGGTGAGTGAGTATGAAATGAGAGTCAGTAGACTAGCTTTTCATAACTAACTTCATTAGATATGTAGTTTTAAGTAAATAGTTTCATTAAGTGTTATACTTTAATAAAAACCAGTAAAAGGTGGTCTTGTAAACTATGATGGTAAAGTTGCAATTGAGCTGGCTAATGTAAAACATCCATTATTGTCCACCATTTCTGACATCAAAGAACTAAAATATTTCACTTGTTTTTTTCTGAGTCTCTGGGGAAGTTGGAACTTGTAATAGTCAGGATAGGCAAGGTATGGCACAGTAATAAACAACCCCCAAATACCAGTGGCAGAAAAACAAGGGTTAAGTTTTGTTCATGCAAGGTGCACTGTATGTCTGGTGACCCTCCAGGCAGCTGTCCTCTTTGTGATAGCTCAGCTTTACCTCTCCACATCAACACCTGATTCCATGATTATGGCAGCAAAAAAAGAATGTTCTGAAAATCTCACAATGACGATTCAATGCTTCTACCTAGAGGTGATATATCACCTCCACTAACATTCTATTTTCTAAAGAAAATCACGTCATCATTCCTTACCTTAAGGAGGCAAGGAAGTGCAATTACCCCATGTATCTGGAATGAAGACAGCAGGAAAGTTTGAGGGGTAGCACAGGAGTATTGGACAATGGGCCGGCGCAATAGCAGTTTTCCTTGTATTTTCTCAATCTCCTCTCACCAGCCCTTCTGGAGTGCTTTCAGAAGATCATATGGTTGGCCTCAGTAGAAGGAGAAACTTACGAGAAAAAATGTTGGATTTCAAAATATGCATAGGCAGGCAAATGTTTAGGTTGGTGCTTTTGTTGCAAAGACCAACTAGATTTCCGAATTCTTGGTCATTGCATATTTTGTTATATGTCTGACAAAGATATTTCCCTTAGCTGCTAGGGAGAAAACTAGGGCCTTTTCTAACTTGGTCCCAGTGTGACAACCAATGTAAAACAACACTGTTCTCTCTAAATCTACAAACACAGCTTTGAAGAAAAGCAGATAAATCATAAACAAAAAACCTGAACTAGTTTCTCCTCACTCTGGATTATACATGATGAGCATTCTGAATCAGCTTTTTCATCAGCCCAGCATCAAATTTCTAAAGCCATTCTCTAGCAGTTTCTTCTTGCTTGACTCAGTCCTTCCTTATTCTCTATATTAAGCATAAATATCAGAATTCTTGCTCCAGTAGCTTTGTTCTACTTCACATTTTTAACTCTGATTTTCTCTGGGTTTGAATACATTTTTGTCCTTGTTTCTTTCATGAGTCAATAGCTGTCTCATCAGAAATGTATAACATCATATAATATTCATAATATAATGTCAGTCTCCTCTTGTACAACTGGGGAAAAGTGTTCTTCATAATGGTCATGTTTATTTACTGCAAGAATCTTACTGAGATTTTGTTAGACCAACAGATGTTTTCTTTCAAAGTTTTCTCTATGATGCAGATAGAAATAAAGGATGATAGGTTATGTGTTCCAAAGTTTGTGAATCAATCCATGCCTATCCCTACGCATTCACACATATTTATAGTGTTCATCAAACTTCCTCCTTTTCCTCAAATCACCTTGATTTTTGCTAATTTGATGAATTTATTTTTGTTCTCTTAGTGTATACACATTCTAAAATACTCCTTGCAAATTAAATTCCTTCCTTCCTCTCTCCTTCCTTCCTCCCTCCCTCTCTCTTTCTCTCTTTCTTTCCCTTCCTTCCTTCCTTCTTTTTCTTTCCCTTTCTTTCTTTCCTTCTTTCTTTCTTTTCTCTTTCCTTCCTTCCTTCCTTCCTTCCTTCCTTCCTTCCTTCCTTCCTTCCTTCCTTCCTTCCTTTCTCTTTTCTCCTCTCCTCTCCTCTCCTCTCCTCTCCTCTCCTCTCCTCTTCTCTTCTTTTCTTTCTTTCATAGCAAACGCCAAGGCAGGCAAATCACTTGAGGTCAGCAGTTCAGGACCAGCCTGGCCAATACGGTGAAACCCCATCTCTACTAAAAATACACACACAAGGCCGGGCGCGATGGCTCACGTCTGTAATCCCAGCACTTTGGGAGGCCGACTCGGGCAGATCATGAAGTCAGGAAATCAAGACCATCCTGGCTAACATGGTGAAACCCCGTCTCTACTAAAAATACAAAAAATTAGCCAGGCGTATCGGCGGGCACCTATATAGTCCCAGCTACTTGGGAGGCTGAGGCAGGAGAATGGTGTGAACCCGGAAGGCAGAGCTTGCAGTGAGCAGAGATCGCACTACTGCACTCCAGCCTGGGCAACAGAGCGAGACTCTGTCTCAAAAAAAAAATGCACTCACACACAGAAATTAGCCGGATGTGGTGGCAGGTGCCTGTAATCCCAGTAGCTCGGGAGGCTGAGGTAGGAGAATCGCTTGCACCTGGGAGGTGGAGGTTGCAGTGACCTGAAATCACTGCACTCACTGGAGTGAGTGCAATAGCACTCTAGCCTGGGTGTCACAGCGAGACTCCATCACAAAAAAATATAAAATAAAATAAAATAAAAAGAAATAGCAAATGAAAATGCTTACTACAGTCATTGCTATATACAAACTAAAGATTAAATCTAAACACTTTATGGTATGTGGAATTTCCCATGCCTTAAGCTAAGATCCCTTAAAATTTGAATTGGTCAGAATTCAAATATCTTGGAGTCTTCAAATGTTAATAAATATTGCTGTATTCAGTTTGTGTTTTTCATTTTAGGGATCAGACTTACAACTTGAGATATGGTTGCTATGATTTGGATCTAGTTTGCCCCTGACAAAACTCATGTTGAAATTATATTTTCAATATGGCAGTACTGGGAGGTGGGGCCTAGTGACAGGTATTTGAATTATGAGGCACTGCCCCATGAACAGATTGATTAATGCCCTTTCATGGAAATGAGTGAGTTTTTTCTCTCTCTCTGGAATGAATTAGTTTTCAACAGAGCAGGTTGTTATAAATGAACCTAGCCTCTCTTGCACGACACTCTGTACACACTGGCTTTCCCTTTTGTTTCCTTGTCATGTTGTGATGCAGCATAAGGCCCTCACCAGAAGTCAAGTGGATGCCAGAATCATGCTTATAGGACTTCCCAGCCTCCAGAATCATAAGCCAAATAAACCTCTCTCATTTATAAATTACACAGCCTCGGGTATCTTGTTATACCAATGCAAAATGGACCAAAATAATGGCTCACACTAGTTGGATTCCTATTCCACTGTTTAGTTCTCAGCACTTTAGTATCAACTTAGATTCCTCTTTAATCTTATATATCCTTTCCCCAGTATCCAATTTGGAAAGGTCTAAACCGTACGAAACTAAAAGTAGGTGAAGTTTTATTAATCTTGTAGGTGCTTGAAAAGGCAGCATGTAGAGACCTGCTTCAAAATAGTGTCCAGAATTCATAAGTCTTTTTCATGCCATAAGAGCAGATCAATGACTATTTCCAGTGGGCAACTGAGCATAGGTCTGATGGTTCTCTATTAACACTAGGTATTATTGATGATGCCCTCTCACACCCAAATATTCATGTAATTCACAGTTGGCATCTTGCTTATGATTGATGGCCCAATGTGAAATGCTGGGTTTGTAATGGATTTCACTTATGACTGTTTCTTAAGTATTTTGCTTAAGTTTCTTTGCTAGCTGGACATTCATCAAAGTTATTAAACTCAATACATGTAACATTTTAGGTTTGCACATATTTGCTAGCCATATCTTTTCAAAACTTTATTTTCTCTGAAAGTATGGATAAAATAAACAAAATTGGTATTTTTTTTCATTTCTACCCAGTGTAAATTGTTACTTTCTAGGTGTAAATTATCGAGTGACTATTTCAAATTTGGATTCATTATGGGGCATTCCCTATAATTTAAAAACTTCATATAACCCACTCATCACAGGGTAGTCATAAATTCTTAATTGCTTAAAGAAAGAGGAAAGAAAATAAGGCAATAATTTGAAAAAATAAACATTTTTGAAATTGTGTTCATGTATTCAATAAAAATGAAAACAGAGGTTTAAACTCAAACCAAACTGTTCACTAAAACTTTGGAATTTCAGCTTCTAACTTTTGTTTTCTGCAATATGCTTACTATTATGATTCTTATTGATTGAAGTCAATGTATGGATACATGATATTCTGGCCTTGACTTTCTCTCCAACAATAATGTTCTTTGCACAACCTCAGTCACTTATTCCCACACCTTCACCTAAACATTGAGTTCTTTCTCTCTCTCTCACTTTTGTTCTTTGTCTTCAACTACTTCTCACTGTCACCTCCTTCCTCACATGGCCAACACTGCCTGTGCCATTGTTATCCTTGCTCTCCACTGAAAATCTTGCTTCCTATTCCATAAGTTAACAGGACCAAAAACAACTTTCCAAAACTACACCACTCAATCTACTCACCTATTACATCACAGCCTCAATCCTGTCTTTTCCCTTCATTAGTATTAATTCATTGTCCATGATCCTAACTGAACAACTGTTTCTGCTGTACACTAGCTCCCATTCTCTCTCACCTACTGTATTGCTTGGCTGTCATTTCCTCTCTCATCAATTTCTACTATCTGCTTTATAATTAACATCAATATAAAACTGCTGTTGTTTCTCCTTGTTGAAATAAAAACAATCGTCTGTTGACCCCACTTCCTCTCTAACTACTGTCACTTTAAAGCAAAACATTTAAGACATGTTGTCTATAATCTATGTGCAATTCCTTTCTTCCTCATCTGTCTTAACCCCACTATAAAAAGGTGTTTGCTACTTCCATGCCATCCAAATTCCTCTTGGTAAGGACACCAATGACTTCCCCATCCACTCAATTAGAAAATCTGTTGGCTCCATCTTCACATTGTATCTAAAACCTCATTACTTTATATCACCCCTATTGCTATCACCCTAGCCAAAGTCAGCAGGATTATAACCCACTGGGATCATTGCCATAGCCTTTCAACATGCCTCCCTACTTCAACCCTCATTATGCCTCATACCCCAATTATTTTTGGCACAGCAATATGATCTGTTAAAAAGTAAGTAGATCATGCTACCCACTGTTTAAAATGTTCCAGTGCTTCCCGTCTCCTTCAAAGTAAAAGTCAGCCCATAGAAAGGCCTATAAAATTGGGTCTCCCTCCTTAATTCTTCTTCATTACCTTTTTAGCCAATTTCTCCATCTAATTTCCCCCTTGCTCACTTTACCATTCTCACCTGAGCCTCCACACCATTTCAGAACATTTCAGGACACTTGTACCTCAAGGCTTTTGCCTTTGCTGCTCTCTTTCCCCTGCCTGAAGTACTGTTTCTCCAGGGAGTTCACCAGGATTATGAGCTCACTTTCTTCAGGTCTTTGATCAAATATCTCATTAAGTCTTCCCTGACCAGCCTTTAAATTTGCATTCACATTCTGTCTACTTGCCTCTCCTGCTTAATTTTCTCTTCAGCATTATCAATGTCTGGAATGTTATATATTTTATTTTATTTTTTACTTGCTTTTCACACTGCAGTGTAACCTCAATGAGGCAGGGAATGTTGTCATTTTCCTTTGTTACCGTATCTCCAGTAGCAGAACAGTTCTTGACACATAGTAAACCTTCAAGAAATGTCATAAATTGCAAATGAAAGGTATTGGAGACTATGGTTGGTTGGAATTACCTGCAGATATTACAAAACTACTAAGGCATCTACCTCTACACTCCAACAGGACACTATTACAAGACTGATCTCAAACTGTTGTATCTTTCCTATGACATTGTTGGTTTCTTGAGGGAAGATATGATGCTTTTTATTTCTATATTTTTATCATCTGGAAAATGGGTGTGGGCAATGAATGTTGAATGAGTAAATACGTGGAATAAAAAAAATACCTTGATGAATTTTAAAGACCCCGATCATTTGAATGTTCTGCTCTGCCAGAAGATTGAGGCTGTCATGTACTCTTCCATATTAATGTCATGGGGATGGTGATGCTCCAAATTACTCTGTGACCATAAAGGACATTCTATGCTTCTCTGAAGCTAGTTTAAAAATGAACATTGTGGATAACCTTGGTTGCTCTATAAGTCAGATAACCCGAAATTAATTTGATTTTAAAAGACTTAGAAAAACTAATTGCTTTTTCCTTTTTTTTTTTTTTTTTTGAGAGAGAGTCTCACTCCGTCACCCAGGCTTGAGTGCAGTGATGCGATCTCGGTTTAAGCGATTCTCCCACCTCAGTGGGAGTAGCTGAGTAGCTGGGACTACAGTTGCCCGCCACCACGCCCAGCTAATTTTTGTATTTTTGATAGAGACAGGGTTTTGCCATGTTGGTCAGGCTGGTCTTGAACTCCTGACCTCAGGTGATCTGTCTGCCTCGGCCTCCCAAAGTACTGGGATTATAGGTATGAGCCACCACACCCAGTCAAGAGGGCTGATTTTCAAAGTTGCCTTTAGTTTAATCATTTAGGCATAAACTGATGGCTGCTTTCTCAATGTCATCCTCATTGTCATTTACACATGCTAATCATACTCTTTCATCTCTTCAGCAAATATTGAGTGTTGACCACATACATGACATGACATGAGGCACAAGCAATAAAAAACAGCAATTAAAAAAAATCAGACTTAGTCATGTCCTTTTAGACTTTACAATGATTATAAATTGTGATAATTTCTACCATGAAACAGGATGAAGGCATGTGTACCCTGGTGCTTTTGCAATTGCTGTTAAAATTTTTTAAATCCTTTTTAAAAATAGTTCTATTGAGATAAAAATAGCAGCTTTATTGAGAATAAAGTATTTTAAAAATCTTTTTTTAAAACATAGGAGCTTTATTGAGATTAAAAAAATAGAAGATTTACTGAGAATGGAGTATTTTTAAAATCTTTCCAAAATATAGCAGCTTTATTGAGATATAATTCCCAAACTATGAACTTTACCCTTTTAAAAGGGGCAATTCAGTGTTTTTAGTCTAATCAGAGTTACACAAATATCATCAGAATTTTGTAACATTTTTGACATCCCAGAAAGAAACTCCAGTGTTTATTGGCAGTCACTCTCCAATCCTTAATCCCCCCACCCGCAACCCCACCCCTGCCCCAGGCCACTGGCAACCACTAACTAGCTTGTACCTCTAGATACATAGATTTGTCTATTCTGGACATTTTATATAATTGTGATGGTACTATATGTTACCTTTTTGACTGGCTTTTCTCACTGAGTATAATGATTTCAAGGTTCATCCATGTTGTAGCAAGTACTAGTACTTCATACCTTTTTGTTGCTGAATAATATTACATTGTATAGGAAAACCATATTTTGTTTATGCATTCATCAGTTGATGGACACTTGTGTTATTACTTTTTGGCTCTCATGAATAATGCTGTTATGGACATTTATGTATATGTTTTTAGTTTATACATATGTCATCTTCATTTGAATTGTGCATATACCTAAAATGTATTAGTAGGGTTCTCCAAAGGGACAGAACTAATAGGATATGTGTACATATGAAAGGGTGTAAGGAGAATAGGCTCACACAATCACAAAGTGAAGTCCATGATGGCCATCTTGAAGCTGAGGCAGAATGAAGCCAGTAGTAGCTCAATCTGAGTTCAGAAGCCTCAAAAGTAGGAAAACCAACAGTGCAGCCTTTAGTCTGTGGCCGAAGACCCAAGAGCCCCCAGCAAACCACTGGTTTAAGTCCCAGAGTCCAAAGGGTGAAGAACCTGGAGTCTGATGTCCTAGGGCACGAAGCATCCAGAGCAGGAGAAAGAAGAAAGCCAGAAGACTCAGCAAGTTGGCTTATCCCACTTTCTTCCACCTGCTTTGTTTTAGCCATGGTGGTGGCTGGTTGGATGGTGGCCACCCACGTTGAGGGTGAGTCTTCCTCTCCCAGTCCACTGACTCAAATGTTAATCTCTTCTGGCAACACCCTCACAGACACCCAGAAATAATACTTTACCAGCTGTGTAGACATCCTTCAATCCAATCAAGTTGACACCTAATGTTAACCATCACAAATCCACTCCTTGTCAACTGAATCCACACACATCTCTTGAAATCATACTTAATCTCCAAAGAAAGACAATAAGGCCATTATTATACTTAACATAATACAGCTATCCTTCGTACAACTGGAAGCACACTAATCCTTAATCTAAATACTATTACATAAAGTTAACAACACTTAAGTGCTGATATAAAGTCAGTAAATCTTATGTCACATGATAAAGGAAAACGAAAGGAAATAAAATGAAGATATTTTTTAGTACAAGTGTATACATGCACAAAAATGTTCTTAACAAAATAAGGGGGAAAACTCATGATGATTACAGTCCTCATTTCTGCAGCTGGTCTCGTGTTGTATTGATGACTACCTTCTTCTACTACCCATTCTGAATTCCCTTTGCTTTCAGCAAGCACTTCAGCTGGTTGTGGTTTCTTACATGGTGGAGTGAATAAACCTTCATTCCTGAAAGTTCTGGGCCATTTGTCATCCTGCCTGGATTGGGTTGGTGTAGTTTCCCATTGAACTTAATCACAGGGCATGGTAATACTAAGAGACGCCCTAAAGGATCTCCTGTATTCCATGAATACTCTTCCTTACCTCCATTGTGGAGTAGTAGTCTGATTTCATCTTGATAGTGTGGGTCAATTTCCCCTACCAACAATGTGACTCTCTTCTTAGCCTGTTGACTTAGAGGTAGGAGGAGCCCAAAGGCGGCAATCTTAACTTCCAGTTTAATGGAATTGTTGTGTCTTCTGGTGGCAGCATTCCATCCTCTGGACTTAAGACCTCCAGGCCAGCAGAACATAATGTCGTGGGAACAGGAAGAAAAATGTTTGCTAGCGGGTCACTAAGGGTAATGGTGAGTGGTACCACTTCCACTTTCACCTCTTGATTTCTGGACTTGTGAATCCTGGCTATGGGAGAAACAGTACCATATATTGGTCACTGATTCAGAGCATACAGAGACTTGAGGAGAACTTTGCCTCAAAGTATTGTCACCTAGTTGGCATTGTAATTGTGACTTCAAAAGGCCACTGCCTCACTTCTTTAGTGTAAAGTGAGTGCCTTGGTCAGAGGCAATGATTTGTGGAATACCATGATGGTGGATGAGGCATTCCATGAGTCCACAGATGGTAGTCTTGGCAGAAGCATTATGTGCAGGATAGGCAAACCCATATCTGGAGTAAATGTCTATTCTGGTGAGGACAAGCATCTGCCCTTTTCATGATGAAAAAGGTCCAATATAATCAGTCTACCACCAAGTAGTTGGCTGATCACGCCGAGGAACAGTGCCATATCAAGGTGTCAGTGTTGGTCTCTGTTGCTGGAAAATTAGGCACTCAGTGGTATCTGTGGCCAAGTCAGCCTTGGTGAGTGGAAGTTAATGTTGCTGAGCCCATGCGTAACCTCCATCCCTGCCACCATGGTCATTTTGTTCATGAATCCATTGGGTGTTGACAGGGGTGGCTGGGGAAAGAGGCTGAGGGAGTCTATATAATGAATAATCCAATCCACTTGATTATTACAATCCACTGCTGAGGTCACCCTTTGATGAACATTCACATAGGACACAAATATCTTCACAGTATTTTACCACTCAGAGAGGTCCATCCACATATCTCTTCCCCAAATTCCTTTGTCACCAATTTTCCAATCACGCTTCTTCCAAGTCCCTGACCATCCCAGCAAACCATTGGCTACAGCCCATGAATCAGATATAATAGTACGTCTAGCCATTTCTCATTCTAAGCAAAGTACACAACCAGGTGCACTGCTCAAAGTTCTGGGAAGATTTCCCTTCACTGCTTTCCTTGGTGGATATCCTAGAAAGGGGCTATAGTGCTGCAGCTGTCCACTTCTGAGTGGTGCCTGTATATCGTGTAGAACCATATGTAAACCAGGCCCTAGTTTTCTCTTCCTCTGTCAACTGACCATAGGGAACTCCCCATGAGGCCACTGGTGCAGGCTGGGAGAGAGAAGGCAGGGTGACAGCAGTGGAGACCATGGGCATTTGAGCCACTTCCTCATGTAACTTACTTGTGCCTTCAGGACCTGTTGAGCCTGATTTCATACATACCACTTCTGTTTAATGATGGAATGCAGCTGTGCACAACCCATTTTATGGCTAGATGGGTCAGAAAGCACCCAGTTCATGATAGGCAGTTTGGGTCGTATGGTAATGGTAATTCTGTTTATCATTTTGAAAAGCTTCCAAAAGGTTTGTTTTCTACAGTGGCTGGACCATTTCCAATCTTACCAGCAATGTATGAGGATTCCAATATCTCCACATCCTCACTAAGAGTTATTGTCTGTCTTTTTCATTTTAGCCCTGCTAGTGGATATATAGTGGTATCTTATTGTGGTTTTGGTTTGCATTTCCCTAATGAATAATAATCTTGAGCATCTTTTCTTCTGTTCATTGGCCATTAAGAATAGGATATTTTGAGATAGAATTTCTATTTTCAGGGAAGGTCTTTCTGAAAACAAGCCACTTTAACAAATATGAAATGTAGATAGAATCTAGCTAGGATAAACATGAGGGAAAGAACTTTCCATGCTGAGAGAACAGCTGTTATAAAGCTCCTGAGGTTCAAAGGCACTTGATTTTCCAGAAACTGAAAGAGGCCAGTGTGACTGGACAGAAGCCAGTGACAGGGAAGGTTGCAGTAAAAGGTTGAGAGAGGTCAGCAGGAGAGGAGCTGAAGCATACCCAATCTTGATAGGGCATAATTCAGAAAATAATTTCATTCTTAGGGCAAAGGGAAGACAGCAGATTTTTAAGCAGAGAAGTGAGATAATCTGATTTATGTTAATAATAGCTGATGCTATATAGCACTTAAATTCTAGGCATCCTTTTAAGAGCTTTACAAATATTTACTGCATTCATCATCTTATGAGGTAGTATAACATTTTTCTGTTGCTGCTGTAATATGTTACCATAAATTTGGTGGCTTAAAACAATACAGTTTCTTATTTTCTGGTTCTAGGGGTCAGAAATCACTTTCACTGGGCTAAAATCAAGATGTCAACAGGGCTGTGTTCCTTCTGGAGGCTCCAGGGGATAATTCATTTTCTTGTCTTCTCCTGTTTCTGGCAGCTGCCCACATTCCTTGGCTCATGGACCAGCATCACTCTGATGGCTGCATCTATCCTCATATCTCCTTCTCTGACTCTGACACTCCTGCCTCCCTCTTATAAGAGTCCTTGTGATTACATTGGAACCACCCAGCTAATCCAAGATAATCTTCCCATATCGAAATCCTTAACTTAATCACATCTCTAAAGTCCCTTTTTTCATGTAAGGTAGCATATTCACGAATGTGAATTTCATGAAAGGTAACATATTACATTTCATGTAAGATACCAGGGATTGGGATGTGGACATCGTCATGGGACCATTATTCTGTCTACTGTAGGTATTCACTATTATTTTCAGTGTAGTAACTTGTTTAAGGTCAGTCACATAGGCAGTGACAGCACTGAGATTTAAACCCAGAACTCTGATTCCAGAGAGCTCGTCTTCAATCTCTAGGGTCCCCTAGATTTTTACAAATATGTGATTATTTCTTTTCCATTGGCACTGACTTTATTGAACTCTTCATTACAATATGTTTAATATATCAAACAGGAATGTATATTAAGAGTTCATGAATGATTCTCCTGTATGCTTGTGGATGAAGCTCAGTACGTTTGGCTCCTTTTATGCTTGTGGTTTAAAATCTCTAAAATTTATTCATCTAGCATAACTGAAACTTTGCACCCATTAAACAACTCTCCATTTCCCCAACTGCACAAAACCTCGCAACCACCATTGTATTCTATGTTTCTATAAATTCGACTATTATATATACCTCATGTAAATAGAATCATGCAGTATTTTTCCTTTTGTGCTAGGTTTATGTTATTTAGCATAATGGCATCCAGATTCATTCATGTTGTTGCAAATGGCAGTATTCCTTTTTTTTAAAAAACTGGAGATATATATATACACACACACACATATATACATATTAAAAATATATGTGTATATATAATATTTTTAATATGTATATATGTGTATATATACATATATATAAACAGATTACATATGTAGTGCATATGTATGTATATACACATATATAATTTTCTTTGTCAATTCATTTGTTGATGGACACTTGGGTTGTTTCCATATCTTGGCTACTGTGAATAATGCTTCAATGAACACGGAGTGCAGCCATCTCTTTGAGATCATGATTCTCATTTTTAAAGACATATACCTAGAAGTGCAATTGCTGAATAATATGGTAATTCTTTTTTATTTTTTGAAGAATCTCCAGTTTCCCATAGCTGCTACACCATTTTATATTCCAATCAGCAGTGTACAAACAAAAGTTTCAATTTCTTCACATACTCACCAATACTTATCTGTTTTATAAATATAATAGCCATTCTAACAGGTGTGTTGTTTATTCTTTTCTATGTTTTTTTATAGATGTCCTGCTAGCTGTTAATATTGGTATCTTTCTTTTATCTTTCCAAAAATTTGGCTATTTCTTGAAAAATATGTGACAAATTTATGCCTGATATTATAGGAAAGGAAATTTGACATTTGTTTCAATAGCTCTTTGTCTAGAAACTGAATATCCTAATATATTTATCTTATTACAAATGAGTATAATGAGGAAAGACCCATGATACTTCTTTGTTTTTAGGTCACTTTAATTGTCTTGTCTGAGGCTACATGTTGATGAATAGTTTCTGTTTCAGAGGGTTTGGCTGTTCAGAAGATTTAATGGAGGGAAAAATAGGTGAAATCATTATACAAAATAAGAGGTACATATACTAAATACCTATACGAAAAGATATCCTAACTATAATTTGACTGATAAGCCCTGAACGTGTTTAAGAATTGCAATTCTGGAGTTTGTAGTTTCTTTAAGCCTAGGTATTTAAATGATCAGTTGACTAGAAAATGCAGCCTACAATGTATTTTAAATGTTAATATCTGAATTCATATGCCTTTAATTAATTGCTGTTGGTGGAATATTTTTGTCTTTTGGGAAAAATTGCCTCCATTTTTTTCTTATTTGTAATTCAGGCTTTCTATTACAATTATGTTCGAAACAGAGGCTGCTTTTTATTGTTTTGGGGGAGTAAATATTAGAACCAACAAATACATCCCCTCATTAATACACAATGTCTTATAGCACATCTGAGCAAGGCTTTGCATTTTAAATTGTTGATTAGAACACTCATAATTTGCATGCATATTAAAACGTATTCTGAAAATAAGGATGTTCTGGAAAATGTTGATCATACTGCTTGCAATTTGTCTTGAAATTACATAAAATAGTTTAAAACTTGACTGGGATCTTGGTGAAATAGAGGATGATAGAAGATGATAGAAGCTTACCTTTCTTGCTATATTTCTGTTTCTTTACTTAGCATTTCCTTACAAGTGCTGAAGGGCACACTAAGATGACATGTTAAACCAATTGTCTAGTCTACTTCTAAGATAGAAGGGGAGGCTTGGGGGTTTCCTGAAAATGTGGTTTTCTCTCCTAAATCCTTCTCTGACTTACTCTTATCTCAATGGTTTTTGATGTTGTGGCACAAGCAGAGACTTAGAGTCTAAAGAGTTGGGTTTCAGAATCAGCTTGGCTTTAAATATGACCTTGGGCCAGTCGCTTAGCATCTTGGGGAACAAGTTTACTAAGTTACAAACTGCAAGAACTAGACTGGGTGATACTGAGTGTCTCTTCTCACACAAAGGCTCCACACTTTATCAGTGATATGATTTTCCAGGCATCTATTATGTGATGGCACACTAACTCAAGGTCAACATGGTTCAAGGAATGGCCAGCACAGAGCCATTCCTGCTTAGGTTCTCAGGGTTTGGGAATCCTCTGCCAGGTCACTGAAGTCCTGCCTCTTCCCATCTGAAGCCCTATATTTTCTTGGTTTTCTCTGATCCTCTCTGGTTCACTTCCAAACTAAATTTAAGCTTCTGCTCCTAAGCTTTTCTGGTCACCAAATAAACGAGATTTTTCCTCCTGATTCTTCATTTTTCCAGGGTGCATAAAGTGAAATAAATTCTGAAATCTCTACATCCCCTGTGTGCACATCTATGTGTGGCCCCAGTGTTTTCTGTTCCACTGGTTCTCACTTTTAGCTCCTCTTATTCATTTTTCCTTTTTTGTTGTTTTGTTTTTTAATGTCTATGTGTGGATCATTTCTCTCTTCTCTCTCTCTTGCTATTCATTTTCTATCCATCTGTATTAGCCAGTAATCAAAATCAAGTGTCTTCCCCTTTATAAATTAGCATATTTGAGCTGCTGCTTCTCTAGAGAAGATACAATTGTGTGCTGACTCATGTGTTCAAGGATATAAAAAGGGCCTCTCCTCACTCATCTCTACACCTCGGTGATCATTATGGGTTTTTGCTGTTGAAATGATTCCAGGTTGGGAATAAGAGTATGAAAGGTCAAGTTATTTACATTTTCTTAATAAATATCAATCTAAACATCTCATTTGAAATAGCAAGAGTAATCAACCATTTCATATGTAGTATTGGAAAAAAATTGAGGTTAGTTGAAGATATTTTGTGCTGTAAAGTGTAGGAGCTTTCAAAGGACTAGAATTTATTTGTTTCTACTATGTTAATCTAGTCTCAACTCTATTCCAATAACAATTCCTAAATATAAAATTTGAACTAGAAATGACTATTCCTCTTTAGTGAAACCTAGCGTGGCAACTTAAGAGTTACGTTCCAGACAGAGCCTTGCTGTGCGAAGTGTGGTCCTTGAATCAGCAGCATGGGCATCATTTGGGAGCTTGTTAGAAATGCAGAATTCAATTCTTTATTCCAAACCTCCTAAATCAGATTGTGCTTTTAAAAAACATCTCCAATTTTAATGCACTTTAAAGCTTGAAAAACACTAGAAGGAATTAATATGAAAAAGACTAGAAATAAAAAATCCTTATAGATGTGAAAATATAAATAAGTGGTTTTTATTGGCAGATTAAAAAACTTACAGTGAAAATTAGGTTATATTTATATGTAAAAATCACTCAAATGTATAAAAACACTATTTCCATTGCAGATGATCCCAAGAGTTTCCAGATAAAATTGAATTCAGAGGTAGGGCTATTTATAGGTTTTTATTTGACCAAAGTATGTGATAATAATTTGAAACAAAACATTAAATGATCTCACACTTGGGAGAAGGTGATACATCAGGAAATCCATTCTGCTGTGCATTGATATAGGTAATATGAGTAATGTATTACTGTGTACCAAAGCATCTTGCAGTTTTAAAGAAAGTTGCCTTTATCCTAACTTCACTAGTTTCTCTTCACTGTGACCCCCACTTCCATTACGGAAGTTTCATAAAGGCTTAATCACACTGTTCTTTGTGTCTCCCTCCTAATTATAATCACATTACCCTATTCAGCAGAGGGCTAATTGTTTCAAAATAGAGTTTTGAAGCAAAAGCCTCAGGTGTATAGTTAAATGAGGTGTTAATTGGATGGCAGATGCATTAACTTGGGCTTAAGAAAACCAAGGGGATGGTGGTTACAGACTCAGCTAGAAGGCCAGAGTCATTTGAAGAATTTACCACTCCATTTTTAAAAAGGTTTGATATTTATATATATATATTTGCAGTCTTGGGATCTGAAATTTAAATGAGGTCTGGGAGAAATCAAACTAGTCAAATGCTAACCGCGATAAGACGTAGAAAAATAACTCATTCCTTGTATATGGTATTTTCTATCTACTTGTGCAGAGCAGCAGCCCAATTTGAGGAGTCACAAGTACAGTTGACCCTTGAACAATGTGGGTGTTAGAAGTGCCAACCCCCACATGGTAAAAAATCCCAATATGACTTTTGACTTCCTAAACTTAACTATTAATAGTCTACTGTTGACCAGAAACCATACCAATAATACAAAAAGTCTAATAACACATATTTTGTTTGTTATACATATTATATATTGTATTCTTACAATAAAGTAAACTAGAGAAAAGAAAATGTTATAAAGAAAATCATAAAGAAGAGAAAATATATTTACTATTCATTAAGAAGTGGATCATTATAAAGGTCTCCATCCTCACCGTCTTCATGTTGAGTAGCCTGAGGAGGAAGAGGAAGAGAAGGGGCTGATCTTGCTGTCTCAGGGGTAGCAGAGGTGGAGGAGGTGGAAAGGGAGGCAGGAGAGGCAGGCACACTGGGTATAAATTTTAGTGAAGAAAAATCCACCTGTGAGTGGACGTATAAAGTTCAAACCAGTTTTGTTCAACGGTCAGCTGTACTGTACTCCCCTTGCTCTGCCATCTCTCTATTCCATTCAGACCTGTCCAGGTTGGGGTGTTTGCTTCCTCCTTTCCAATCTTTAGCACCTCTCCTGAAACCTACATATATATCCAAGTGTCCACTAATAGTCATAACCCTTATCACAAAATGGGTGCTTCTTTTTGCCTGTTTCCTACTTAGCACCCGTCTTGAGACATCTGATACCTTGAGACATCTGTTACCCTCCCCTACTTAGGATACAAGTGAAATGGGAGAGTTCCCTGATCTCACTGCCGGACATATGACAGTAGTGTGGCTTGCTCTTTTACTCCTTAGGTCGCCCCTCTGCTCAAACCCCTAGGGGGATCATGCAGATGGGCAGGTACAGAGGCCATGGAGAGTGCTTTTGGGCTCCGGCCCCATGGCAGCATCTGGGGGTGGGTGTCTACAACTCCTGAAGCCCAAGAGGGTGTGTGTTACACTGTGCTGTTTCAGCTTTGCTGTCTGTAGACGGCTTGTATTAATCAGCTCAATAGATCCTCTGCCTTATCGCAAGGCAGTGTGACAGCCTGGGTTCTTGCCCAGTGTACTGGAAGAATCAGATCACACATGGGCTGGAAGGATGCGTGCAAGGTTTTATTGAGTGATGGAGGTGGTTTTTAGCAAGAAGGATGGGAAGCCGGAAGGAGAGGATAGAGTGGGAAGGGGGTCTTCCCTTGGAGCCTGGCCGCCCAGCTGGCAGACTCTTCTCTGACTGCCCTTGGCTGAACTCCCCTCAGGGTACAGACAACCTTCCTCTTCTCTCTTTCTCTGCCATGTTGTTCCACCGTGGCCGGTCTACCAGTCTGCTGGTCTGTTCCTTTCCTCCTCTTGATGTTCAGCTACTTGTGTCTGTGCCTGCTAAGGTCTCAAGTTTATATGGGCATAAGATGGGAGCATGGCGGGCCAGAGTGGTCTTGGAAAATGCAACATTTGGGTGCAAAAACAGGAGTGCCTGTTTTCACTTACGTCTGTGGGCACAGGCCCAAGGATAGAGCCCTCGCCAGGGACCCACACTTCTCTACCCAGCACTTCCCTACTCCCCTCCCGTATCAAAAAAGAAGGGTGAATTTCAGGTAAATCAGAAATAAAGAGGACAGAAGAATCCAAAATGGTGCCTTGGGCATAATAGTATCCTTTTCAAGTCGGCTCCTTGTATCAGCCTGTGGCCAGTTAGCTCATGTGGTTACTCTACCTTGTTAAAGGGACAAATACTGCAGATAAAATCAGTGGTTTCAAATGTCGTTTCTAACTACTCAGATAAGAATCATCTGGGGAAAATCAGCTGGTTAAAATGCAGATTCCTGAGTCTCACTTCAGTCACTCAGAATCAGAATCACTGGGATGACCTTCAGCAACTCATCATTACACAAGACCTCCGTGTGGTTAATTTGAACGCAGAACAACTGGTTATCACTCATGCTCATTCAATCTATTGTCAAACATTGCTAAAGCAGTTCCCTGCCGTTCATTCTTCCTTGCCTCTAGAAAAACAAGCAAGCAAGCAAACCAACGAAATCCCCATCTGTTTCAGTCTTAAAAAAAATCTAGAATTTTTAGTATGGGAAAAATAAGTGAAAATTGTGTAGGCCTTATGCTTTTTTCTTTTTTTAACTCTCCACAAATGATCAAAGTGGGGTATCCTTAAAGGCTGTTCAACGATTAAACAAAAATAACACATTCAGCAGCTATACGAACAGCTGATCTAACAGAAACATAATGCCAAGGTAGGTTAATATCTATGCCATCATCTTTTCATAATAGTTAATTCACATAAATAAACCCTGTAGAATAGAAATAGTAATTATTTTTTAAAAAAACTTTTCATATTCACATGCCATGATATATGCTAAACATGGGCTGCAAAGAAACCACAAATGTCAGTAAGCCCACAGTAGCATATGAATAGTTGAAAGAAAATGAGAAAGATGATGAATGGGAGTTCCATCCGAGAGTAAGTAATTGTAGATTCAATCACTGTAACCTTTAGGGGCTAATTAGCAAGGTCTGTGGAGTGAGGCTGATACCAGTGAATGCTCTAGGATATTGAAAATGTAATAAGTTTTTCTAATTTAAATGGCAAGTTAGGTATTTAAAATAGGCTTACTTCTCTTACTGGTTAGAAACACTATTTTGCTAATTAAACTCCGTTGATTGTTAAAATGCCATTAGTAAATACTAAAACTTATTTGCATAGCTATGTAGATTGACATAGTCTAGAAAATCAAGTCATAGGAAATTGTATTTTTTTTTTTTTAATTCTCTTGGTTATCAAGAACCTGCATCAAACCACAGGAAAAGTATATATAATGCATCCAAACTTAGTGATTTTTATGGAAGTTTCTTAGTGTATGTGTGAACATAAAAACATTATTTTAAACAAGATCAGTAAAATGTTACTATTTTCTATAAAAAGGAAGATATTATAATGTGGTCAATTAAGAGAAAAAACTTTTATTACTGATATTATGAAGATTAAAAGAACGTGTCATTGATTATTATCTAATAGTTAAATGCCTTTTCAAATTGACTTCAAAATTTTAGCTGCCAGGTTGAATTATGTTTTTTTGAGTCTTAGAGCAAAAAATCATAGTGGTTTTCTAAAGGTTTTCTGACATAATTAGAATACCATTTATATCAATCTGTGTGTAGTTCTTACGGGATAGAATTGGCTGACTTTAGAAAAAATCTTTATATAATAGTAATTTCCTTTATGGAATAATTGCATAAATGTATGTTTTAGCCAAATTTATTTTTGCCAATTCAAAGAAAATAGTAGTTTGAGACAATTATATTTAATATTTGTAATCAAAAGTCTCATGGGAATCTGAACATCCACGTAGTTTTGTCTTATGTCAAGTACATTATTAGTCAAAATACAAACCTAGAGTAATCAGTATTCATATTGTTTCCCTGTAAGACTAGAATTTTCAGATGTATATTTTGATTCTTTATATCATTATGTTATATTGGTTGATTATCTACTCAATAATTTATAAGATGAGTTCTCTAATCCTTGGTTGATTGGAGCTTTATTTTGTTATGCAAAATGCGTGGAGGTACAAATGTGACCTTTGTAGAGCTTCAAGTAAGTAGCCTTGAAATAACTCCTAAATTACTCTCCATAACTTGTCTCCACTATTTGCCTCCTTTTTCTGTTCTTTGTCTCAGGGTTTTCAAGGCAGATGGGGATAAGAAATTAATTTGTGGATGACTAAGCAAGAGACGTAAAACAAAGGTTTGAAATCTTGATGTTTAGTAAAGCTTTAGATGGCAACAGCTATTTTCACCAACTAATTATTCCCCTGACATAATCTTTATATATTTATGTATAATTCCATTTCATGTCTTCAGTACCATCAATTTGGAAGAGTGCAGACTCTGCCACATCAAACATTAGTGAGGATATGAAGCAACTAGAACTCGTATACATTACTGGTGGGAGCATTAAATGGTACTGCCACTTAGAAAACAGCTTGACAGTTTCTCATAAAGTTAAACATGTACCACCTAGCAAGTCTACTCCTGGGAATTCACTCAACATACAAGAAAATATGTCCACAAAAAGAATTGTGTGAGAATGTTTATAGCTGTGTTATTTATAACCATCAAAAACTGAAACAACACAAATGTCCATCAACCAAGAGACTGGGCAAGTAAACTGAAGTATAAGCATGCAATAGAATACTACTCAGCAATAAAAAGAAAAAGGAACAACAGACGTGAGATCTCATAGATATTATGTTGAGTAACAAAAGCTAGAAACAAAACAGCTCATGCTATAATATTCTATTGTATGAAGATTACAAACATGCAAGATTAATCTATGTTGTTAGAAATTAGAACAATAATTGCCTCTAGTTGTGGGATAGTGTGAAAGAATTAATCAGAAATGAATACAAATAACTTTCTGGGGTGATGAAAATATTTCACCTGGCTATTGTCCAGGTGTACACATTTTTCAATACTCATTGAACTGTACACTTAATACCTGTGCATTTCAACTGTACACAGATTGTAATGCAACATAAAGACCTATCTATATACAGGCATAGATACATTTCATCCAATGAATGACTGGATGAAAAGTATAGCCACCAGATTGAGAATGCCTAGATTTAAATCTTGGATTGGAAACTTTCTGAACAAGTTACTTTATTTCTCTGTGCCTTATTTTCCTTACACTTAACATTTGATATAGTAAGGTTTTGTGAGGATAAAGTAAGTTTATACATCTAAAGAGCATAGAACAGTGCCAGGAACATGATAAATGTTTCAATAATTCTTACATATCATAACATTAGTTCCCCTTAGACATGAAGATATCAGTTGGATTGTAATTCAACATCTAGTTTTTTGTTTCATAGATATTGTTTCTTTCTGGGTAGCAAGATAACTTATAAGCCAACAACCATGGTGTGTCTTCTTGTTAAACAAGCAATTTTTTTTTTTTGTAAAAATGAAGGTACCAAACGATTACTTGTTATTTTACTGTGCTGAGCGGTTAGTTAGATTTGTCTAAAATTAACACTTGTAATTTTAGTTATCAGTGTGGCAGGTTCAAAACCAAACATACAAAGTTCATTTGAGACCATTGGACATTTTGGCCCCAATATTTACATGTATATTTTACATTGAACTTCAAAATTCCTACTTTAAATAGAGTCCTATGAATAAAACTCTTGGACATTTTTACATAGTAGATGGAATGGAAGCCAATAGTTTTCACAATTGAAAGAATAAAATTAGTTGCAGTGAATATAACTCCCAGTCCATTCTACTCACCAAGTAAAGCCCCCTTTAAAAACACTAGGGAGAAAAGGCCTGGCGCGGTGACTCATTCCTGTAATCCCAGCACTTTGGGAGGCCGAGGCAGGCGGATCACGAGGTCAGGAGATCGCGACCATGCTGGCTAACACAGTGAAATCCCTTCTCTACTAAAAATACAAAAAAATAAAAAATTAGCCGGGCATGGTGGCGGGCACCTGTAGTCCCAGCTACTCGGGAGGCTGAGGCAGGAGAATGGCGTGAACCCGGGAGGCGGAGGCTGCAGTGAGCCGAGGTCACGCCACTGCACTCCAGCCTGGGCGACAGAGGGAGACTCCGTCTCAAAACAAACAAACAAACAAACAAACAAAAAAACACTAAGGGGAGAGAAAAACCCTTTAATAATTTAATCCTTCCCTAGGATTTATCAGTTAGCTGTAAAGGTGTTGAATTTCCCATTAAGAGATAAAGTATCAAAGGCATTATGGATGCTTGTGTCTATCTGACCTTAATATCTTCTATTTAGCACTGCATATGTGAGCAATAAGAAGTCATCCTGTCATCTCCCAGGACAGCCGTATTCACAAAGAATGGCTGAGGAAAAAATTGTTTTCTCCCACTGAGGTCATTCATTATTGCCTGCAATTTTTTACTTCTAAAGTCATACATCACATCATCAGCCCCCAAGGTGAGCAGTTAAAACAGCAATGGACTTACCTGATAGCAATTTACATTTTTTTTAAATCGTGGGGAAAAGTTCATTTTCCTTTCCTGAATGTAGTGTTATCAAACTCCTTGTTCCTTTATATGAAGGTATCTAGTTTTTTCCTATTCTGTTCAAAGAGATTGGTTATCCATCTTTTCTTTAAGAAAAGGTTTAGACTCTGATGTCTGAAATTCTTGGGTCCATTTATTGACTCTGTTAATGATATGGTGCTCTGATTTTAATTCCTGTTTGGAATAATATCATTCTATTAGCTTATAGATCGTAGTCTGTAAAAAAGGAGAGTATGGAGGTGGATTCACCATTACTTAAAAATAACTTAGTGTGGGACAAGATTATTAGCATTTATACAGTGTCCATTTGTACTAAATACTATACTAAGCATTGGGCATGTTATCTCATGCCTTAGTCTTTTTTGAGCTACTATAACAAAATAACATATATTGAGTAGCTTATAAGCAACAGCAATTTATTTCTCACAGTTCTGGAGACTGGGAAGTCCAAGATCAAGGTGCTGGCAGACTCTATGTCTGGTGATGGCCATTTTCTGGTTCATAGAAATGGCACCTTCTCACCATGTCCTCATATGGTGGAAGGGGCAAGGCAGCTCTTTGGGATATCTTTCACAGGGACACTAATCCCATTCAGGGGGAGGCTGTACACTTATGACTTTATTTCCTCCCAAAGACCCCACCTACTAATACCATCAGCTTGAGTGTTAAGATTTCAACATACACATTTTAAGGGGATACAAACATTCAGACCATATCATCTCAATACTTTCATTTTCTACATGCTGATCACTTTAAATAATAAGAGAAAATCCCTTTTTCTTAAGTGTAAAGACTGGTTGAACTTCCATATCACCTAGTTTAAGAAAACCATTCCCTGGTTTTATGAAGGAGGTCAGACACTGTGGACCCGTAAACTTTTAACATGTTTTCTACTTTCTTAACCCCTACAGGCTATGATTTAACTGCAACAAATTAAATGGCAATTCTTAAGTCTTGATATCTGTCCCCTAAGTATGGAACTGGAGAGAACAACTCATTTTGCACATACAGAAAAAGTCTTCTAAAACAGGCCCCGGCTATGGCTGGCTGTAGATAAACAACATCAGCTCTCACAACACTTCATCAAATATATGCATCCAAATAATATCAGACTCCAACAAGATTATATTAGTCCAAATTATCTTCCTTCACCAGCTGTCAGAAATGTCAGGATTTTTCTGTAAATATTGCTGACATCCTGTTGGCAGATTCCTGATTGGATGCAAATTGATCCAGTAAGGTGTTGGAGTGGATAATTAATCCTTGCCTTTTAACTGTTACAAAGATGTTCAAAAGGCTTTTACTGGGGCAAAAATTAATAAAGGGGCATTGAGGAAGAAATCAGTAAGCACTGGGAAAATGGGGAGAAAATACGGTATTTTGAGAAGGCTTTTTAAAACTACAGTTTGAAAAGTGTAGGGAAATTTATTGCAACATCTCTATATAATTACTCAAAAACAGAATAAGAATGATAATCTTATGGCGCTATAGGGAGCCTCTTAAAATGATGACCTTCTAGTTTAAAAAGATATGAAAAGAAAATTTCCCTTGATATCATCCAGAATGCCAAAACTATAATTTGCACATCAGAATATGGTTGAAGAAAACAGAGCCTTTTTATTCAAGCTTCCTAGAAATTGAGGTTTAAAATGTTCAATTTTGGTAATTGAGCCTACCCTTTTATTATCCTGTGTTCCTCCATCTTTTTGGAAGCATGAGAGAAATAATCCTTTCCAATTCAATTTCAGATAGTATACACATGTTGGTGGTGAAGATAATCATGATAACAATAGTAGTCCCTATTAGTTTTACCATAGTAGTTGGTTATAAATTATGATTAGAAAGCTTTCTGCTTATTCTCATAAGTTTCAGGGGTTAAAAAATTTAATCCTAATGAAGAAAATGTTTTCTACATCTCAAATTTATGTAATTTGTGTACATATGTAATAATCTCATTCTTTGGTCAGTTTTAAGGGAATCTTTTGATAATTTATAATAGAGAAGGAATGAAGGTTTTCTTTCAGGCCCCATGGAATACTTTACATAGCTGTTTCACGTATGCTGTAGCTAAGGCAAGACTTATGAGGCAGGAAGAAAGGGTCATATGAGATGCCTGGGGTAAGGCATGAAGACTAAAGTTGGTGGAACTGACCCAGCAGCAGAGACCAGCTGTAGAAGTACTGACTTGGCAGTCAGGCCTCCACATATGTCCAGTTACTGCCTTCATTCAGAAGGAGCAAAATTATGGTTGATGCTCAAGAGTCAGCAAGCACACTACCATCATTAAGATCTGTATACATTGTTGATACCAGTTCTAGACCCCCGAAAAGAAAGCATTAGGCTGGATTTGGGGCAGGAGTTTAAGGAGGGGGATTGAGATTCACAGTCGGAGCTATGGCTTAATACAGTGTGTAAGGCTGGTAACAAATAAAACTGGCCTGGTTAATTATAATTACGTTAATTATAATCACGGTTGTGCCTGATAAAGTGAAAATGACTCTGTTTTGTTTGGTAATTATATATGCTGTTTATGATGTATATGTTTTTAAGAAAAGGGTAGAAGGAGAAAATTCCATCCTTATCTCTTGCTTCAGACAGGGTTGCTCCAGGCCATAGGATGAGTCTGAGCCTTCCAGGGAGAGGCATGGCCACTTCTCCTGGATAATTGAAAGGTACAAGGAAGGAGGCAGGAGACAGCGCACACAGCTTGCAAAATCTTTGGTGTATGGTGGAACCCTACCACTTCAATAGGAGTACTTACTTTTTCAGGACTTAAAACTGTCTTCATCATCTTTAGGAAATTTTTCTTTAGTGTTATAGCTGTTGGCTATGTTTTGGAGATTCTTTGCTTGAATTAGGAGTAAGCTGTAGTTCAAACAAAAAAACAATAAAAGATATTTTAGGTAAGATTTGAATACTGGATTTTTTTCTCTTATAAAATCTCTGTTGTACACTTTATGACAGGATGGAGATAATAGAAAAAGTTCTCTAAGAACACTGATACCTTTTTCTGCAACATATGGATTTCATAATTTTGTGAAATGCAAAGGGAAGTGTACAAACATACTTCAATTCCAATGAATGAATGCTAATTTTTAAAAATTACATTTCATAATGTTATGAACTCAGCTCTTTTCAAGTTGGCCAAATATGATTCTCAGAGAGTGAAGTGCAACACCACAAAATGCAAATATGCTTGTGAAGTTAAAACATACTTTTATGTTTTTATTTGTCCTTAAGGCATAATTTGCTACCCAAGTAAAGACTTAATGTATTTATGTGACATTTAAACTGAAGATAATGTAAAAATTTACTAGTTGTTCTTTTCCTTTCCAGATGGCTATTAACTGTTGTACTCTGAAATGTTTTATGTAGTAATAGTTGGGACAATGGAAGAATTAATTGAATGATAAAGGTTATCTCATTGAAATTCAGTACTCTGCTTTGTTGAGAGAAAAGGGGACATATTTGGCTGTGGTGAAAAGTGTTGCAAGATATATGACTTGGACATAGAAGCAAAGAGGAATACTGAAAGGATGTCTACGCAGTGGATAGTACTCAGGATTGTAGGGTGTCAGCTTACATTGCATGTCCCCAGGGCAAAGACATTCATGTTTGTACATGCCAAACTCATCTTCACTGTTCAACAACAAAAAGGAAATGATAACATTAATTAATTATGAATATATGAAATCAAATACACCTACATGAAATACTGTCAGACTTTTTCTCTTTGAAGCTACCTCTTTGAAGATGTATGTTCAAATATTCAACAAATCCATCCCAATAACTATTTTGGAAATCAAAGAGAAAATATATAGTGTAGATCTATTTTCATTAGAGTTTGGGTGCATGCGCTTTCTTGGTTTCTTGAGATTGACACTGATAGGAATTGGCTTTCTTTTTAAAACTTCACTTTCAGGAGTCACAGTTATGATTCATCTGACCATTCCCCAGAGATATTTCTGTAATAATAAATTGTGCCTTATTCATCCTTTATTCCAAGTGACTTTCAGTAGAACAGTATTTTAAGATACCTACTAGATGCCAGATATCACTTAGTCTCAAGCCTAGATAAAATAGTGATAATAACAATATTATTATTATATTATTATTATTAGGCCTCAGTACATGCCAGGGATCTTAAATGTTTTTTAAATATATAATCTCATTTAATCCTCAAAATAATCTTATAAGTGTAGAATTAATTTTCCCAATTTTAAAAATGAGGAAACCAAGATTCATAGATGGTACATAAGATCTTGCCCAGGACCTTATAATTAGCAAATGACAAAGTCTTTGATACCTCAGTATTCAATCAACTTCACTCACCTACCCAAACAGCTGAATCTTGCTTGATAATGTCAGACAACTGGATCACCAAATGCAAATGTTTCTTTAGCAACACCTGCCAATCTTATCACATTTCTGTATTCAACTCACCCAGCCAACCCTTCACTCTCAAACTTCTCACCCTCCTTCTTGCCTTCCTACCCTAAGCAGATGAAATTGCCCCTTACTTCAAAAATAATTGAAGTAATCAGGGTGGAACTTCTTTAAATGCTATTATTACACCTCTGTGACTCATCACATTAGCACCCATCATCTTCTCTTTCTTCTTGTTACTGGCTTCTCTCCTGTGGCAACTAACTCCTGATCTTCTCTCCTTTCACATCCTCAGAACCATAACACCATCATGTATCCTTTCTCTCTCCTGTATATTAAATATAAAATGGGGATAACAATTACGGTCAGCTCTAGGGATGATTGTGAGGACTAAATAAGGATATATAAAACTAATGTATTAAAAAGTGTCTGACACATAACTAGCACTGGCTAAAAGATGAAGAAGATGATGAAGACAATAAGGAAGACTACTCTCCAGCCATCCTTTTCTTTATTGGAAATTATGATATCTATATCACTTCTTTCTTCTCTAGGATAAAACATTGGCAAAGGGATTAACAGTAGATTTTTTTTTTATAAAAGTACAACAAAATGTCCTCACATACTTTGGGAATAGCTGTGGTTTTAAAGCAAAAGTGTGCTTAGTAACTTGAGAAACAGGTTTAATATTCTTTCATTGCAAAGAATGCTTTCATATAAAATGTTGCAGACAATATGCCCGAGTGGGTGTTTTGCGAGCTAATATTATGATGCCAAAGAATTATAAAAAGATGTCAGATTTCTTAACTTTTTTTTTTCTCTAGATTGGCTCCTATATTCTCCCAAAGTTTCCTGGCAGATTAATTCATGTGCTAGTTTTAGCTTTTCAAGAAGAAACTATAAAATTTCTATTAAGGGCATCTCTTGGGGGCCACATAATTTTAATGAAGTAAAAATTAAGTTCTGTGTGGAGACAATGGCCTGGAAGTTTCTTTTCTTCCAGTTATTTTAAATAATTTATTATTTTCAATAGTAATGAACCAAATAGATTTTTAGAGACAAATTTAACTTTTTAAATTATATTATTTGAAAGTTTCTTTTTGCTAATTTTCCTAAATTGCAGGCCAAATTAGGTTTGTATTTCTGTCTCCACAATTTTCTTTTTCCATTTAGCTTTTTAATAATTATTTTCTGATGTGTCTAGAATGTTGGCACACTATACCATTATGTGATTTAATACATTTTCTTGTTATCATTAAAGTGAAAACCCCAGATAATCAAAAGGATAAGAATCAGAGTTGAAAAGATTATGCCTTTTAGTCTGAGAATATTATACCTGATTAAAAAAACATACATTTATCTAATTCAATCTTTTAATGCTAATACTTTGTAGACTAAGCCTGTAGAAGATAAATTCGCTTGTCCACAAGTAACTCAGTTGGTAAGAGACAGAGTAAGCTATGATACCCAAGCCTTCTGGAGTGTGAGCTCCAGAAAGGTAAGAAATACAAAACATGCTTCCCTAGTCAAGTTAAAGTTTGTAAAGCCAGTATTCTAGAAACATATTTATAAACATTTTCTAATTAATTCATAGTTCAGCAGATATTTATCTTTTAGTTTTAAAAATGCATTTAAAATATATTAGCTTGCTTTTCTACTACAATAATATTGTAGGTACAATTTAAGTCTTTTTTGTTGTAATATCTTAATGGCTTTTGATTCATCTTCTTAAACATAAATTATGGAGAATGATAAAAATGTCTTATAAAATAAATGCTGACTTAAAAGACTTGAATTTAAATTTCATGCAACTAAGTTAGCTAACCTAGCACCTCTGCATCTCAGTTCATAGGTCTGTGGAATAGGGATCATATATGTTCTGTTTTTTTGACAGAATTATGAATTTCGAAGGAGATGAGCTATTGGAAAATACTTTCTAAATTATAATATATAATTCAATGATGATATTGAGAGACAAGAAAAAAGGTACAGTGGTAAGTAGGAATGTATCCAGATAAGGCCAGTAGGCCAGGTTCTTAGAACCTTCAGGTGCCAGAAAATGGGTGAATTCACCATGATCTAGGATTTGGTTCTCAGCCTTCGTATAGTCAGAAACCCAGATGGATTGAACTCAAGTGAATTGACTCACAACAACTAAATTTATAACCTACCATTCTATAAGCCAGGAAGAAAATTTCTAAATTTTAATGAGTAATATGCTCACATTTTCTCTCCAGCATATTACCTTCCTGGTGTCAGGCAGGACATAGACAAAGGAACTTTGTAAAGAGGAAAAGAGTCTCTTCGTTACATTACAAATACATTAGAGCAGAATGAGGTGCTTGTGAGAGATATTTTATCCAAGTCATGAGAAGAACCTGGTGAATCCTCTCCATCTTCACAACAGTAAGCAACTATTCATCACCTCTTTTCTCTGCAAAGCATCGGGCAAGTATTGCCAACTTCTGTCTCTTTCAGCTTCCCTTTTTCAATGCTCCAAGCTAGCTATCCCTCTTTCTGTTCAATATTTCTTGCAGACAGGCTGAGATGCAGTTTCTTTTTATACTTACTATTTGCAAACACATTTCAGAAACTGTCTTCCTGTAATTATATCCAGGTCAAATTGTTTAGAGTTTTAGTTGTTTCCAACTTGTTTTAGTGGTTTGCATTCTTTATGGATAATTTTGCTGAAGTTTCTAGATCTCTTTGATGCAAACTAAATTTCAAAAATTTGACCGGGTTCAAAAATGTTCTTTTTCTCGGTGTCTCCAGGTAGAATAATCTACTTTTAGGATGACTCATTGCCACTCCTGGAGCAGCACAGGCATTCAATAGATGCTTTTTGAATGATCATAGGTAGTAAGTGAATGAGAACATAAACTTGCAAATGTATTATCATGACTATAAAGTAATATGTTCTTTATCTTCTAGCCTATTTTTTCCTAAAATATCAAGGTTTAGGTTTTTTTTTTTTTCACTAAAACCCAAACAATTGTGTAATATTTAAGTTTCTAAACCTGAACTCTAAGGGGCATTCTGCATGTATTAAAAACCTCAAAACAACCCTGTGAAGACAGATGCCAGTTACAGAGAGATCATGGACTTGTTCAAGTTCACACAGCTGGTACATGGACAGCAGAGATCCAAACCATTATACTGGTATAATATCAGCTTCTGAACTTATTATTTTTACTATGTTTGGATTGCTTTGTGTGATGTTCACTCCTGTGATGGCTTTTGATGGATGTTCAAAAATGGGATTGTTTCACACTGACGAAGGCCATAGATTACATTATGGAACTGAAAGCTGCAGGTTTCACCCAGACTAAAGGGCATATATAGATCTCTGGTGTCTCATATCACCATGCTGAGGAAGTGTACCCATGATATCAGCACTACCGGCTGAATGTGAGAATATTACTCAAGCAGCCAATTTTATTGTTTGCTTTGGGAGGGGAGAGGAGCAGGATACTATGAAAATTGCAGACTCAATTGAACGTTGGACTAAATTCACTGAATTTGGCTGCATTCGAGAGCACACACTTCTGATTTCAGTTAAGAAAATGTTGCATAGTTCCATGGCACAATCTATCATGAAACTTGAACCCGAAGGCTGTGGCCAAATATGTGACATTGAAGGCTGATTTTGAGTGCCTGGAATGAATAGACTGCTTGGTGGTCTAACCAAATAGCAATTAATTTCCTAACACGATGGAAAGTAGGGAGGCAGTGCAAGGCAGAATCAGCAGCTTCCCTGTCATTAATATCCCAGTCTCTCTAGTCTTCATGCTTGGTGATCCTTATCACATAGTTCTCAGAATCAAGGCTTGCCTCATCGTTGAAATATGGCTGTGCTACTATTAGCCTCATCTCAGCATTTCTAGTTGGTAGAAAAAGAAAGTGATTAGTAGGAAAAAAATGTGGTTTTTTTTCCTACTAACACGTCTAGAAATAAAAGCAAACACGTCTAGAAATCCCAAGCAGGTGTTGTTCCTATCTCATTGGCCAGGATCACATGGCTCCCCTAGTTGAAAGTGAGAACAGGAAATGTAGCATTTTACTTGGACACAATGCCAACCCAGAAAATGGCGGGGGGAGGGTTACTACAAATTAGAATGAAGAAGAAAGTAGATACTGAGTAGACAATGAATGCACCTGCCACACTCTGTCCATAATTTTGCATTAGATGTCTTTGAGGCCGAAGCCTTGCAAGCATTCTAGTCATCTCAGTATTTAAAGATTGAACACTAACAACACTAACAACGTGTAAAGTCCAAAATATGTGAGATGTCACATAATTGGCCACAGCCTTTGGGTTCAAATTTCATGACAGTTTGTGCTGTGGAGGCATGCAACATTTTCTTGGTACAGGTGAAATAAAAAACTAATAAGACATAGGGCTGACACATTATGAAACTTGAAATTGAGCAGGAGTTTAATGCACAACAGTTTTTAACAAGACAAGACAGTGTATGACAAAGGTATGTGTATGTTAAATGTTTAGATGGTCCATGCCCGTTAGCATTAGAGATTAAGAGAATTAGGGAAATTGATTTTATTCAACCTTTATTTTCCTTACCAACTCTTCCACTGCTCATATTACCAGTATAGGTCTCATTGATTCAAAAACATGAACAATTTTTCTATTTTTTCTTTTCCTTTATACATTTTTTATTCACTTGAGATATACCTGGCATACGTTTTAAGGGAATTTTGTGATAGAAAATTATGTTATATTCTAGAAACATCTTATGATAAAAAAGAACGCATAGCAAAGAAAATAAAATGTAGGTTTCCTTGAGGTAAAAGAAAAACATCATGTTTTCAGCTTCAATTTGAAATTAGAAGCTTATTTGGAAAGGGTGATTATAATATTATTACAGACAGAGAGATGCCTTTTGGGAACAAAAAGGAAACTTTTTGTATATATTTTATCTGAGGGAAAGTAATGCTGAAGCAACCTGTTGTTAATCTTGCTTTCTCTCAAGATTTACTTTACTTTTCTTAACTTTACTACTGCAATTTATAATTTAATATGCTATTATCTTGTTCAGTGTTTATTATTGTGGCCAATACATTCTACTTGCTAAGGAGACTCAGTCTTTGTTATTTGCTTAAAATTATGTATAAGAACATGGATTTTTGGTAACAGGCATATACATATTTGCAAGATAAGTAAACCTTACCACTCACTTCAAAACTTATCCTGAACCTTTGCTCTGAGTTTCCGTTTCATAAGGACAAACCTACTTCAAATTGCTTTAATATACATCCTGCAGGGTTAGTTTGAAGCAATAATTGAGAAAACTGTATTGAAATCATGCATTTCTCTATTTCACCAAAGTGCCTGCTGCTGAACGTGCAAAAACCTTTGTTTGAGTTCTTCTTCTTCTTTTTTTTTTTTCACAGTAGAGTGAAAGCAAGTTTATTAAGAAAGTAAAGGAATAAAAGAATGGCTCCTCCATAGGCAAAGCAGCCTTTTGAGTTCTTAATAGCAAATGAAAATAATTATTCTAAAAGGAAAATAAAGATCTTGAATGGATAAAGTAGTTATCAAGGTTACACTATCAGTGACCAG
The DNA here is from genome assembly GCF_000001405.40 of Homo sapiens. NCBI lineage: Eukaryota > Metazoa > Chordata > Mammalia > Primates > Hominidae > Homo > Homo sapiens. Next base: position 124,665,789 of record NC_000007.14, on the reverse strand, counting down.
TCTGGAAATAGTCCCCTGGTTTCCCAGTCAATTTTTAGAACTGTTCTGATTCCTAGCAAGATGAAAAAGAAAGGTACACCTGGATCAGGAACCTGAGACTACGCAATGTTTCATAAGAAACAAACAGCATTTGGTCGGGTGTTTAAGAGACACTTTTAAAGTGAACTCACTACAGAATGAGGCTTATTTTTTTTTTACACATCATAAATCTTCAAAAATCATCATGTTGAGGTAGTGATTTCAAGGTTTATCCCTGAGAAGAATTTTAAGGGATTCTGAAAGTATTTTAGGAAGAATATAAAATTACTATGGGGGAAGGAATAGTGCAATGTTGGGTATTTCTATCTGAGTTGATTAATTAACTTCAAACACTTTATACAAGACTGTGGTATTTGTCAAATCCTGTAACAAAGTTTCAGGTTGGAATACAGAAAAGTTTTCTAGTGGTCCTCAAATCCATGTTTTCTCCTTTGATATGATTTGTTATGTGTTATAAAGTCCTTGGTTTTGTTACATTTTCCTGTTATCATATTTACTAAAAATAATTTGCCCACCAAGTGAGCAGTTGAAATATCTTTGTGGCCAAGAAATATATTTCAGGTGTCTGTAACTCATTTTTTATTCTGGCCCACTCTACTTGATATCAAGTAGAATTCTTGCCCCCTGAAACTTTCTATTGTACAATTTGTCTGTAGAAATGTCACCAAATAGAATCAACTATTATTTTTCTCCTGTGGCCTGAGCTCCTTTAGGGGATTGTGTTAGTTTGCTCTTGCTGTTGTGACAAATTACCCCAAATTTAGTGTTTTAACACAAATTTTATCTCAAAAATTGTATTATTACAAACTATGAAGCTACTGTCTTTTAGTTCTGTAACCAAGAAGTCCAACACAGGTTTCACTGGGCTAAAACCAACTTGTGAGCAGGGCTGTGGTGTTTTCTTTTTTGTTTGTTTGTTTGTTTGAGATGGAGTCTCACCCTGTCACCCAGGCTGGAGAGCAATGGCGCGATCTCGGCTCACTGCAACCTCTGCCTCCGGGTTCAAGCCATTCTCTTGCCTCAGCCTCCTGAGTAGCTGGGACTACAGGCACACACTACCACACCCAACTAATTTTTTTGTATCTTTAGTAGAGACGGGATTTCATCATGTTGGCCAAGTTGTTCTCAAACTCCTGACCTCGTGATCTGCCTGCCTTGGCCTCCCAAAATGCTGGGATTACAGGCGTGAGCCATGATGCCTAGCGAGGGCTGTGGTGTTTTCTGAAAACTCCAGAAAAGAATCCATTTCCTTGGCTTTTCAGTTTCTAGAGGCCCCCTGCACTACTTATATTATGATTCTCTTCCTCCATCTTTAAAGCCAGACACATGGCATGTCTTTGACCATTCTTCATAATCTCGCCTCCCTCTAGTGAGCCTCCCTCTTACACAACTCAGGACCCCTGCAATTACAATAGGCCCACTCGGCTAATCAAGGAGTTTCCCACGTCAACTTTTTAAACTTAGTCATATTGGCAAAGTCCCTTTTGCCCCACAAGGCAGCATATTTATAGGTTCCAGGATTCAGGATGTGGACATCTTTGGGGAGCCATTGTTCTGCCTACCACAAGGATTTTAGCCACAATGACATTCGATGATGTTTCACCTCTGTCGCTTTTACCAGTCTCAACTCCCACCTCTGGGCTTCCTTCTTGTTCATGCTCCCTTAAAATTACAAAGGACTGGGCCACACTGAGAGAAGCTGCTTTGCTGAAGTGGAGGGTGTCACTTTCCTTGCCGTTCTTGTTTGTCATCCCTTTCTTATATAATTCAGACATAAGTCCCTGAGAACACTTTTCAACAGTATTGATCACAGTAGAATTCTATTCTTAGCCTAGAATAGAATTTTATTGGCTCATCTTTGAACTTGACCCTCACTGGAAGAATTTTTACCTACAAAATCGTAAAGAGGAAACCGAAAGCCTCTTGAGGGAGAGATAAAGCAATCATCTAACAGACATACAGCATTGCTGAAATATGTTTTATGCCACTATTACTGCAAAATGTTTTGCTAAATAAAAATGGTGTGTGTGTGTGTGTGTGTTTGTGTGTGTGTGTGTGTGTGTGTGTGTGGTGGATGTATTTCATAGTCAAATGCACTTTAGAGGGTAAGGCAGCAGTACGGAAAAACTGTTAAGAAGACAGATTCTGGAGTTGTGTGAAATTGGCAAATTACTTAATCTCTGAGTCTTAATTTCCTCATCTGTAAAATAAAGGGAGAAAATATTCATACCCTTGGGATTGTTATGAGGACTAAGTGAGTTAGCATTTGTAGCCTTTTGAATAATAAATATTGTACATGAAGTATTGAATGAAGGTGTGTAAAACACAAGAACAACGGCTCTGAAAAATCAGACTGTAAAATGATGTTTAATTTTGTTTATTTTAGAGGTTTCCCGTGCTGTTTGACCATGGAACTATTTTTTCCCCAAATAATATCTATTCACATTCCACAGAAGTACTTTTCTACAGAAAGCCCTTTAGAAAATACTGATATAATAACATTTTACTTTGTGTATTATTTAATAGTTGTGTACTTTCCAGTGATATTTGGGTCTTTATATTAGGAAGTGCAATTACACTAAAAGATAATGCAATGAGGCAAGGGACAGTGTCTCCCTCTAGCAGCTGGCACAGGGCACATAGTTAACATACAATATTTGCTAAATGAAAAAAATGAAAATGAAAGACATCTTTTCATTAAAGATCTTAAGTTAATGTGTACTAATCCCTTACCTTATCCCTAATTCTTTTTTTACCTGTTTACAAAGTTTAATTAGATATTTTTAAACAGCAAAAACTTTGATTCATTTAAAGACTAAAATATTCATAACCAATTCTGATTTGTTCAGGTGGTGTCAGGTTTCATTAGCTCTATATTACGTCTTATAAAAAGCAGATAAGAAACTAAAAGGTGCCAATTATTTTCTATAAATCACAAAGAAAAAATGTTATGAGCCTGAGATCGAAATGAATTTGTTACTCCAAATCAGTGTCAGTAAGCAAGGGAGTTCGGCAGCAGTATGCTACCTCCATTTTACTTATATAATTTGATTCTAGTTTGCCTTCATTTAGGCTGGATATTTCTATTGTGAGATAACAGAAATATTGGCTTCTAGAGTATCCTAGTTGGCAAAGTTCGGATAGCAAAGCTTTTAATGTGTTTAATTTAAATTTCTCATATCTCTAATTTCATTCAATTACTTCTCGTTTGGTCCTTGGTGAAAATAGAAAGCAGCTGTTCATTGCCATCTGCTTAAAATTCTTTCATTTATTTAGGACTATTGGATAACCCGTCACAATCTCTTCTTCAGAATTAATAACCCCAATTGCTTTAGTTATTTCATCTCACTTCAATTAATAAGCATTTAGTAAACAACTACTGTGGGCTGAGACAAAAAAAAATCTCTTTTCTACAAACACAGAATATAGTATCCTAAGAATAGAAAGCTCTCTCTCTCGCGCTCTCTCTCTCTCTATATAAATTTATATATGTGTATATTTATGTATAAATTTCTATCACATAAGCAAAGTTATACCAAATATGAGGGACATATGAAGTACTATGTAATTATAGAGATGGAGAATCTTTGAGGGCTTAGCAGATAACATGGATTATCAACTAGTTATTGAAGATCATATAGAACTTTTGAAAAAAATTACATGCCAACCTAGCACATAGTAAATAGACTGAAGGGGCTAGAGTTTCAGGCACATGCTTCTGATAGTTGAAACAGTATATTTAGGGGTCAAACTCTGAAGAAGTCTAAATACTTAAATGAAAAGTTTGAATTATTTAAGCATGTTTTGAGCATGCTCAAAATTGAACTTTAAGAAAACTGGAAACAATATGAGTAATGGATTGACAGGTCTGAATAATCGGAGATAGGAATACCAGTTCAGAGACTATTAATTCAGCTAATGACAGTGATGGGCTGAACTAAGTTAATGAAATAAATTTTTTTAATGGATGAACACATGAGATATTTCAGACGGTGGTAGAATGTCAAAAGCGATGGAAAGGGAGACGGAATGACTGCAGTAAATACGACAAAAAATAATTAGTCTAAACTATAAATAGCCTGTACAAATTAATAAGAAAAATATTGAGATACCCATGAATAATTACATAAAGGATATGAACTGCCAATTTAAAACAAGGAAAAACAATGGTTAATATTAATATTTTAACAATGTTAGTATTATGTTAATTAAGATAAATATTTTGGCTTCAAAATCAGTAACTCAAAAATATACACTTTTTAGTGCTTTAATGCTTTAATGTATGTAGAGAAATGGCCCCATTCATACATTGCTAATGGATGTATATGGGTGAAATTAATACCTTATATAAAGAGACAAAAATATTATTCTGTTTGATCTATTAATTCCACTTCAAAGAAATGACCCCAAGTTATTAATTTTAAATAACAAAATTCATGCCTAAAATGTGTATAACAGCTTAATTTATAATATAGGAAATTTTAAAATAATATAAATGTCCAGTAATAGGAAATAGTTAAGAGAAATATCATACATAACATGAAAAGTATGTTTTAAAATGGTCTTAATGACTACAGAAAAATATATATGCCTATATTTAGTAAGATATTTTTAAATTAAAAAGAAGGTTCTAAAGAATCACAGAAGACAAGAATGATATCAAAAGTTCACACAGGTATGAGGTGATGAGATTATGGACCACTATTCCACATGTTCAGACTTCACAGTATTTACCTAAGTTTCTCAAAAAATTATGCACTGTTTTTAAATCAGAAAAACATAAAAAATTGTAGACACTTGTTTGCTGAATATATCAAATCCTGCAGCGAGTAAGGGGAGCAAACTGGCCAAGGAGACAGTCATTGGTGACTTTCAGATAGGGTGTGAACAGTCCTAGATGTGAAATGAAAGCTATACACTGAGAAGAGTTGGAGGGACTTCGTGCAGATAGCAGAGACACTCGGTACCCCACAAGCCCTGTATACTTTCAAGTATTAAAGTTGCTGAGAAATGAAGAGTGGCCAATAGAATGAGACCTGGCATAGAAAGCAGGGCTCAATAAAGATTATTTTTTTAAATGAAGGACATTTAAGAACTTATGTTAGATGATGCTAGGGTACAGTCCTAGAAGTGAAAGAATTGAAGCGACAGGAGATCGATTAAAAAGTTCTCTTTGGCCGGGTGCGGTGGCTCACGCCTGTAATCCCAGCACTTTGGTAGGCTGAGGCAGGTGGACTGCTTGAGCCCGGGAGTTAAAGACCAACCTGGGCAACATAGCAAAACCCAGTTTCTTTAAAAATACAAAAGTTCACCGGGTGTGGTGGCACACGCCTGTGGTCTCAGCTACTCAGAAGCCTGTGGTGAGAGGATGGCTTAAGCCTGGGAGGCAGAGGTTGCAGTGAAAACAGATCGCGCCACTGAACTCCAGCCTGGGCGACAGATCCAGAAAATATATATATGTATATGTATATATATACATATATATATGTATATATGTGTATATATATGTATATATGTATATACATGTATATGTATATATGTGTGTATATGCATATATACATATATATGTGTATATATACATATATGTGTATATGTGTGTATATGCATATATACATATATATGTGTATATACACATATATATGTATATATACACATATACGTATATATACACATATACATATATGTGTATATATACACATATATACGTATATATACACATATATGTATATATACATATATACATATATACACATATATACGTATATGTGTATATATATACGTATATATGTGTATATATACGTATATATGTATATATATACGTATATACGTATATATGTACATATATACGTATATATATACATATATACGTATATATATACATACATACGTATATATATATACACATATATACGTATATAAATACACATATATACGTATATGTGTGTATATATGCCTCGTGTGTTTTCAGATGTCAATTATTTACTAAATTCAGTTAACTATTTTGTTAGAATAAAATATTCACATGCATTTATGAATTGAGCACATTTCCTTATTACAAAATAACTTTTCATTGTGAGTTTGGCTTTTTGCTCCAAAATTGCAGGGATAGACCATTTAATCTTCAGATCTTAAATTATCTATTTTATTTTCTTTTTTACTTTGCCAGAGATGAGAGTGAATAAAATAAATAAATGAGACCTGAAACTTTTCAATGTGTACTAATAGGTTTTATACCACCCAGTTTTTGCATATGAGCAAAATGTAAATTTCCTAACACGACTGATAAACTATCTGTGAGGTTTGTCTTTTTTCCTCTTATTTTTTATTTCAAATTAATCATAGTTTTAAAAATAATTTAAATTGACAAATAATTATATATACTTATGGGGTATAATGTGATGTTTTGATATATTTGAAGTCATTATGGAATGATTAAATCAAGTTAATTAACAAATCCATTCATACTTATGATTTTTTTGTGTGTGATGAAAACTTTTTTACTCTGAATGTTGGCCACATATAATGGCTTGTCAGTCAGTCATCAGATTTTTGGTAAACGGTCCCTATTTTGTGAACATAGTTCTAGCTGTGTGCTAGAAACACAGTGGTGGATGAGGTTAACAGAGTCCTGCTTTAATGGAGTTTACAGTCCATTGGGAAGATGACTATTAAACAATGAGTGTGATGATGAATATAAGGTACTATAATAGGGAGTGCATCCTGCTGTGGGGAATCATGAGGAAGTGATATTAAAGCTGAAGTCTAAAGCATGAGTTGAGGTCAGTAGACCAAGATGGCAGAAGAGTTTCAAAGTAAACTAAATATACCAAGGGTCCTCCCTAGGTGGAAGGGAGCCTGAAGTGGAGACTCACTGAAAGACTGAGAGACTATTAGCATGTTGGGAGTGGGAGATATGAGGCTGAATATAGGTGAAACTGAATCATAGATCACAGGAAGAATATTGCACTTAACCCTTAAGGGATTAAGAGTTCCCTGGAAAAACTGACCTTATGAAGTGGTATAAACAGACTACAAGTTTTGGTTTTGTTTTTTGTTTTTGAGACAGGATCTCGCTCTGTCACCCAGGCTGGAGTATAGTGGTGTGATTACAGCTCACTGCAGCCTTGACCTGCTGGGCTCAAGCAATCCTCCCACCTCAGCCTCCTAAGTAACTGGGACTACAGCCACGCACCACTATGCCTGGATATTTTGAAAAAACTTTTGTAGAGGGGGGAATCTCACTTTGCTGCCTAGTCTGGTCTCCAAGTCCTAGGCGTAAGCGATTCTCCTGCCTCGGCCAGATTGCAATTTTAAAAACTCCATTCTGACTGCAGTAAAGGGCAGAGTGCAGGTGGGAAGTGGCAAGAAAAGCTGATTTGAGAAGAGTGGGATCATCCTCCTAGAGAAAGATGAGTGGCCTGGATTGGGGTGTTGGCAGTGGGGATGGAGAGAAGGGCATGGATTTCAGACAAAGGTAGGAAATACAGTTAACGAGATTTGGGGAGGCAATATAATGTGAACCACATGTGTAATTTTATATTTAAAGAAAAAAGTGAGATTAATTTTAACAGTATATTTAATGTAACCCAATAAACCCAAATTATTATCATTTCAACATGTAATCAATATTTAAAAATATTAGTAAGATATTTTATAATCTTTGAAATTCAGAGTGTAATTTATACTTACAATATATTTCAATTTGGACTAGTGCATTTCAAGAGCTCTATGGTCAAATATGGCTAATGGCTAAATATTCGGAGGAGCTGTAAGTGCAGACCCTGACTCTAATGCTTGGCTTTATAGCCTTTATAATCTTCAATAAACTAATAGACTGCTCTGTATACCTCATTACATCATTGTAACGATTAAATGAAGTAATGAACATGAAAATAAATGATGTTCAGCAAAGTATTATTTAATATGAGAAACTGGTAGTTGTCCATGTAGGCATTGTCTTTCTGATGGTAAAATAAGAAGTAATTTATACAAACCAGTGAGGAAAAACTTTTAGCTTGACTTTTTTTTTATAAAGATAGAAAATAAACACAATTGGTTGCTTACTATAGACAAATCATAATTTAAAATCATTGACATGGATTACATCCTTGCATAAAATATCGGCAATAAACAAGTGCATAAAATTATGCTTCAATGGCACTAATATTGTGGTTTCAAAAAAAAAGACGACCTATTGGGACAAAATAAATTATGGCATGGCATCATTTTTCATGTTCTATAAGTTTTCATGAGCAACTCTTTTACTGTGTCTGAATGCATTAAATCTCCAGCAAACACTACAGAGAAACCTGTTACCATCAATATTTGTAATGTCTCTATGAAATAATTTATTTTAGAAGCTGATATAAGACTTTTTCTTTTAGTAGAGGTCACAGAGAATGCTTAAGCTGCTTTTGATCATGCATACCTGGTTGATGAATTAAAATAGTCGACACATCAAACCAATTTACAGATGTTTTATTCTTTGTAACTCTATGGGAATTTTCCCATAGACACATCGGAGGAGAATTTAGCTCAAGGCAACTGATTAATCAATCATATGATTCTCTAGGCAGCTTCTCTATTAGGGAATGAACCTCTTTAACTAGAGCAGCATAATTGAACTGTGAGCAGCATATTGGGGAGTTATCTACTTTTGCCCATTGTAGTTGTAGTTGGTGATTTAAAAAAAAAATTCAATTCTAATCAAGCCACTTTTCTGTTTACCACATTGCAACAACTCCTCATGCTTTTAGATCAAGACCATAGTCTTTAAGGTGGTCCACATGGCTTTGCACAGTATACCCACATCTCCATATTCATCTTATACCTTGTCCCCTGAAAATCTGTCTCAATTTCTGCCCCCTTGATCTACATACACACTCCTTGCTCTCAGCATTGTAGCCAAACTGGCCTTCTGTAGTTCATCAGGTATGCAATATTTGCTCCTGCCAGAACCTTTTCATAAGCCATTTCCTCTGTTTGGAATAATTTGTTTCTACACCCTGCCTTTTGCCTTTTCTGAGGTATAATAAAAAGTTTAATTTTTGTTTCACATGCAATTATAAGAAGTGATACAGACACATCCCATATTTTCCTTATCCGGTTCCCTAATGGTACATCTTGCAAAATAATGGTTTAATATTACAACTAGAACCCTGGTCTGATTGCTATATGTGATACATGTCAAAACACTGTTATACTTCATCTGTACAATTATTACATGTCAATTTTTAAAAACTAAGAAAATTAAGTAAAGGAAGTTAGAAAAAAAGATGCAGAATATTTTATCGCCACGTTGTCCTTCAGCACTTGCACTCCAAATTAGTGTTGGCAACCACTAATTTGTTGTCCGTTTCTATAAATTGTCATTTCAAGAATGTTATATAAATGGAATCATGGAATACGTAATCTATAGGGACTGGCTTTTTTTCAGTTAGCTTAATTCTCTGGAGGTTCATCCGAGCTGTTACGTGCATCAGTAGTTAGGTATTTTTTATTGTGGATGTACCACTGTTTGTTTAGCCATTAACCACTGAAGGACATACAGATGTTTCTAGTTGTGAACTATCATTCATAAACCTGCCATAAACATTCATATAATGTTACAATGTAAACAGAAATCTTTATTTCTCTGTGACAAATGCCCAGAAGTACAGCTGCTTGTTTGCATGAGAGTTGCATGTTAGATATTTAAAATACCTGCCAAACTGTTTTCCAGAGTGACTGTGCTGTTCCTCATTAGCACCAGCAAGGTGTGAGTGATCCAATTTCTCTGCATCCTCACCAGCATTTGATCTTGTCACTAGTTTTTATCATAGCCATTCTGTTAGGTGTATAGTTATATCTTATCATTTTAATTTGCATTTTCTTAGTGGCTAGTGATGCTGAATATCCTTTCGTGTGCTTATTTGCCATTTGTATGTCTTCTGTGAAATATTTCTTCATGTCTTTTGCTCATGCTCTAATTAAATTGTTTGATTTTTTTCCTGGTGAGTTTTGAAAGCTCTTTTTGTATATTCTGGATAGCTTACTGAATATGTGGTTTGAGTCTCTCACCCTGTAGTCTTTGTTTTCATCTTTTTTTTTTTTTTTTTTTGAGATGGAGTCTCGCTCTCTGCAACCTCCACCTCCCGGGTTCAAGCAATTCTCTGCCTCAGCCTCCCCAAAGAGCTGGGATTACAGGCGCCCGCCACCACACCTGGCTAATTTCTGTATTTTTAGTAGAGACAAGGTTTCACCATGTTGGCCAGGCTGGTCTTGAACTCCTGACCTCGCAATCCACCCACCTTGGCCTCCCAAAGTGCTGGGATTACAGGTGTGAGCCACCGCGACTGGCCTATTTTCATCTTCTTAACAAAGTTTTGCTCAGCATAAAAAATTTTAACTTTGATAAAGTCCAATTTATCAATTTTTCCTTTTATGGATCATGATTTTGATGTTAGGTCTAAAACTCTTCACCTAACCTTACAGCCTGAAGATTTTCTTCTATGATTTTTCTAAAAGTTTTATAGTTTTATGTTTTACTTTTAAGTTTGTAGTCTGTTCTGAATTAATTTTGTGTTAGCTATGAGGGTTATCTTATTGCCTATGAATGTCTTATTGCTCTACCACTATTTGTTGAAAAGACCATCTATCCTTTATTGAATAGTTAGAGTCAATGTAGTTAGATTGAGTTCCATGTCACTTCTACTGAGAACGCTTCTCTGACTTCTCTTAGGACCTAAGTCAATTGAATACTAAAGGCTCTCTATAGAAGCATGTATTTCTATCCTTTCTAGAGTGTATTTTAAAATAAAAATTTTATGTATACATATGTAACTAACCTGCACATTGTGCACATGTACCCTAAAACTTAAAGTATAATAATAAAAAAATAAAATAAAAATAAAAAATTTTAAATGAATTGGACTGATTATTTGTTTATTATACCTCCTTCATTAGATTCTAAGCTTTATGTGGGTAGTGATTATGGCTGTGTTTTAACTACCATTTTATTTGCAGTGCTTAGCACTCTGCCTGGACATTAATAGTAGATTCTTAATAATATTTATATAATAAATAAGGTAATGTAATAAAACACCAAGGGCTGTAGTTGGACAGTTAGACTTTGCCATTTTGCCAGATGTGTAATCTTTATAAGTCTCTTTCGTCCTTTACATATTTTCTCATATGCTGATATTAAGTGATGTAACAAGCACAAATCTTTATAAAATGTGTGGCACAATGACAACCAATAGCTGTTAGTCCCTGAAACTGCAGTCTTGCTTTGTTTTTCTTTGTATCTTTGGTGACAAGTACATTTCTCAGGACGTGGTGAAAATTAAATAATTATTGAATGAAATTAAATAGATAAGCTTGTTATTATTTACTGGGACTAATATAAAGTTTCTGATGTAATCATACATCTAGAAAAATGTAAATTAAAGATATAAAAATTTAGGAACATAATTTTTCTTAGAAAACAAAAAAGCTATTTTATCATTAATAGTTCACCCTTGAGCTAGAACAACATGTTGAAAATGATAAATACATTTTCAAGGAAAGAATACAAATGTTCACTGTGCAATAGCCACAGAAAGTTACAAGAACATCTAGAAACATAAAAAGAATCTGAACTGTATTTAGATGTGGAAAGTCCTCTGAAGGAATAGTGAAAATAATTTTTGTCAAATGGAATCAACTTCACCTCTTTCTGAGTCAGGTACAAAGAACAAAGAAAAGTAGCATTTGCTTGCTTAAGCATCAAGATGTGTACTTGGCATTGGGCATGGCAGAGAAAGCTCTCCCACAAAAAGGGGTTTACAGCCTCCTGTTGACCTCTTCTTTAGCAGCTCAGGTTTGTGTCATGAACCTGTAACACTGTGACTATAAGGGGGTTATACCGAGGTAAAAGGTGCCTATTGAATTTTTAGCAACATGATATATATAGGATACTAGATGCTTCCAGCTCCTGAGAAGGCTGCAACAGATAGTTGTCAGTAAGATAAAAGCTCAGGGAAATTCAGAACATATCTGGTTCATATGTGAGTGAAAAGGGGTTGATAGTGAAACAGGAGGTCACCAGCTTATCTGTATAAATGGTGATAAATATTTATCTAGGCCAGGTGTGGTGGCTGACATCTGTAATCCCAGCACTTTGGGAGTCCAGGGCAGGTGGATCCCTTGAGCCCAAGAGTTCAAGACCAGCCTGGGCAACATGGTGACTCCCCTTCTCTATCAAAAATACAAAAATTAGCCAGTCTCATAACCTGGTCTCAAAAATAAGTAAATAAATAAAAATTAAAAAAATATTTTTCTAACATATACTGTGTACCAGGCAGGCATTTCTATGAGTTTTACATGTATTAAATCATTTACCCTATTAGGACTAATGTTTATATAAAGATATTCATATCAGGATGTAGAAGTTATGCTATTCTCCTAGGCCTATGTACACGCTGCCTTTCCAGGGGTGGGTGGGGGTGGGTGTGTGCTTAGGATGGGAGAACAGATATCTTACCCTCACTCCTGTGCTTCCTGCTGCAGGCTGATTTGTGTCCCTCATACTCTTCAACCCCTGCCATTCATATGTTGAAGTTTTAACCTCCAGTACGCCAGAACATGGTTTTATTTGGAAACAGGGTTCTTGTGGATGCAATCAATTAAGGTACGGTCATATAGAGATAGGGTGGACCCATAACCCAGTATGTCTGGTTTCCTTGTGTAAATAGATGCGCATATGGAGGGAATGCCATGAGAACATGAAGACAGTCATCTATAAGCCATCTACAAGCCAAGGAGGCAGGCCTGGAACAGACCCTGCCCTCATAGTCCTCAGAGGGAACCAACTCTGTCAACATCTTTATTTTAGACTTCTAGCCTCCAAAACTGTGAAACAATAGATTTGCATTGGTTAACCTACCCAGTTTGTGGTACTTTGTTATGACACCCTTAAAAAACTAATATACTTTCTCTAGAGCAGTAGTCTTTATAATTTTGGAGGCTACGTATCCTTTTGAAAATATTTAAAAAGAAAAAAAACCATAGAGGCTCTTATGAGAAAAATCTCATGCCCGTAATTTATGTACAATTTCAGTTGGTTCACAGTCGTTTTGAAGTTCATCTGTAGACCCCATCCCACCCCAGACCAGGCTGAGGAACTTTGCCCTAAAGTAAATACAATGTCACCCATCCACTTTATTAGGTAATGCCACCTGAATACATGGTCCTGAATGGAACATTTCCCATTAAAAGAACCATGCTTTATTGTGTGACAACATACTACAGTAAAAGTAATGGAAGAAATTATGGCTGTAAGGAGCTTGACTCATGGAGCCATGACTCACATTACAGTACTCAAATGCCTTAGAAATACTGTGGACCCTTCCACAGCCTCCTGTGAAAACATACAGCTACTTTTCCTTGTGTCTTTCTCTTTTTTTACTTTTTTAATTAAAAAATCTTTCTTTTATAATTGCTAGGTGTAATTTTCAGGGCCAAGACTAGAAATAGGTAGGGCTAACGTGTTACCATTTTGGCATGCTCTGTGGAAAGACATTGAACTCAAAATGACTACAGCTGTTCTTTCATATCAGCAGGGAATTTGTTCAGGACCCTTGTGGATACAAAAATTTGCAGATGCTCAAGTCCCTTACAAAAAATGGCATGGCATTTTCATACAACTTGTGCAATTCTCCTGTGTAATTTTAATCATCTCTATACTAGTGATGATACTTAATAGTAATGTAAATGCTATGTAAATAACTTTATACTGTATTTTAAAGTTTATGTTATTTTTTATTGTTGTATTGTTATTTTTTATTTTAAGAAATATTTTCTGCCTGTGGTTGGTTGAATCCATGGATATAGGACCCATGGATACAGAGGGCTGACCGTACTTCTATTTCTGTTTACAACAAGAAATATAATTGGGGGAGGATATGGGTAAAAGTGGCAGCAGGGAGACTGAGGAAGGAGTTCCTGAAAGGACAGAAGGGCTCTCATAGCGAAAATGGGGGAAAGCCAACACTCACTTTGCTTCTTTCCCACCTTGCTTAGCACTGAGAGTGTTTGTACATATCCCGAGTCTCCCATAGTGTATTCTGTATGTACTAGCTTGAAAAGCATTACGAAGAGAATGATAAGAACACCCGATTACATCTTTTTTCTTTCAGTGTTTATAGCCGTGTCATGCTGTCAAGAGTTAGTTTTCTCCTTCGGCTCAAATAAGCCATCACTCTGTTATTGTGGTTGAAACTCTGGAACACAGTCCGACTCCTGTTGTCATTTTCCAGCCCCAGGTAACACCTGCCCACGCCATGCTGGGCTTCACGTTATTTTTGAAGAATGCTTTCCACCTGTGTTAATACGATTTTCTCTGTCATTCACTTTGAGAAAGAGATACACTGTCTTGATACTGCCAATGCCACTCAAATATTGAGCCAGAAGAGTGACTCTATATTGTTCAGCTGTCATTATTATCATCAAACAAACATCCAGTACAGTCTGGAAGATAATCTTGCCTACAAGCTGAATGAGATTTCAGAAAGCCCAGTTGCTTCTGACATTTGCTGCCACAGGATAGAGGGATCATCCTTTAGGATCTTTCATCTCTTGTGGGTCTTTCCTCATACTAGCCTCTTGGTCTGGATGCTCAGTTATTTGTACCAATCAAAATTCTGCTCACTTTTTACAACTTAATACACATGCTACCTTTAAAAAGCCCTTCTGGATCTCTCAGCTGAATGTAATTTCTACATTTTATAATTTATCTTAAGTCATAGGCATTATACTCATAGTCCATTTATTTACGTCCACCCAATAGATTGTCAGGCTCTGAAGACAACACCTGGCCTTGCCCAGGACTGCACGTACAGTGCTCACAGTAGGTGCACTGGCTTCTTTTAAATAAAGGCTTTTAGTATCTGGATACTTGGTTTTATTAGATTAATCAGAATTTGGGTTGGCTTTTGAATTTGAGGTGGAAAGTAGTTTGGTAGATGCAAAATTGAAGACTGTAGGCAAAGGAACATCATAGGAGAAGCCAGTCAGTATAATTTACTGAGATCTTATAATATGCAGTGAAAATGTAATAGATGGTTAAAAGATAGGAATATAGAGAATGACGGAAGTTTAGATGGAACCTCAGGGAACACACAGAATAAGTTAAAGATTGCAAAATATTTAGATTTATATAGTAATTTTCTTTCGAGAAATTTAAGGGAATGATGGCAATATAGACACAGGTTAAACTATTGTTTACATATTTTATATCATCAGGGATGACATAATGCCTGACATCAAGTAAGAATTCAATTAATATCTGTGAGATAAAGTTTTGAACCTGCATATTTTGGGGAAAAAAAGTTTTGTTAGAGAAGGTGACTATGGGTTGTAGAAGGATGGTAGAGAAAACTAAGACTGGTATCTGCATCAACATTTTAGCCTTCCTCAACTTAAGGAAGATATATTGGGGGAGGAAAGGCCAGAGTAAGAACTGATCAGAGGAAAAATCTTCCCTGGTTAAAAGATGAGTATGATATTGGTTCAAATGCAAACTATTAGCATAGCTCTAATCAGTTCAACTATCAAGGCAGCAGATCACCCAACAGAAACTTGAGGTTTAGATCTGCTGTACCTCTGCAAGCTTTTTAAATGAATCTTAAATAGAGATAACTTTTCAAGACATGCCTCTCAGGCTGCCTTAAATCAAGACAACCACTCCTTACTTTTGGTCTGTCATTTGAAAAAGAAACACTCTGAATATGCCATAGTGATTAACCCTAAAATAATACTGACAATATTCTTTTCTGGCTGTAATGCTACATGAAGCATTACATGACTTTACATTACATTACATTACATTACATTACATTACATTACATTACATTACATTACATGAACAGTGACTACATGAAGTGGTACAAAGGAAAACGAAATGAAAGTGAAAGCAGAGAAGACTAACAGTCCAGCTTGCAATCCTTCATTTAGTAAATATTTATCAAAAAACCTACTATGTGCCAGTAAATAGCCCTGTGGTGGGGAACACATTGGCATGTTTGGGAATAATAAGGACGATTTGGCTTAGATCAATGAGAGATGGGAGGAGCAGATGGTAGGAGGTAAGATCTGGAAGATGGCTAGGGTCAGATCAGGAGGCTGCAAGCAGTTTGACTTTAGTTTAAGTGTGACGTCTAGATCCTGGTAGGTTTTGAGTAGAGCAGTGGTATAATCTGATTTTGTTTTGAAAAGCTCTGGCTGCTCTGTAGAGAATAAGCCACAGGAGGGCAGGAATGGAAACAGGGACACTGAGGAGAAGACTATCGCACTCTTTGAGTAACATAACAGTTGATGATGGCTTACACAAGGCTTGTAGCAGTGGGGTGAGTGATTGGATTTTGGAAATGTTTGTACATATAGATGGTAAGACTTGCTGATAGATTTGTTGCAGGGAGTGGGAAAGTTATTCAAGAATAACTTCTGGGTTTTTGGACTTTGCAACTAAATCAAATAGAGAAATTTGGAAGGGGCAGGCTCTGGAGGGAGTTGTTAAGATTGTGGCTTTGGGCAGATGCCTTGTAGACCCCCAATGGAGATGATCAATATGCTGTTGGATATATAAGCCTGGGGTGTCAGGGCTGGATACGTACATTTGGTATTCACTGGCAAAAAGATGGTGTTTGCATGAGGAGATTGGATGAGAGCCATAAAGAATGTATTGATAGAAAAGGAAATGGAACCCTGGGCTGAGTCCTGGGGCACCACGACATTTAGGACTAGAAAGAGGGAAAAGAGACAGCAGAGAAGACTGAGAATGAGAGGCTGGTTAAGAAGCAGAAAACTTTAGAGGATAGAGTATTAAAACCATGTCAATGAGGAAGCGAGTGTGTCAAATGCTGCTAGCAAACCTGCTATCAACCAGTAAGATGAAGATTGAGAATTGATCACTGGGCTGAGCAAGATGGAGGCACTAATAAATTGAAGTGTGCTGAGTAGACAGTGGGAGGTGAGAAAGTTGAGATAACTCTTTCAACTAGTTTGAGTTATAAAAGAAAGCAAAGCAATGGGCAGTTGGTGAATACAGGGAAAATTCATCTGTTGCAACAGAAAGGAATGCAAAGTTTAAGAATACACATGCCCCTAGAAGTCAAATTGATATTGAAAATATGAGACTGTTATCTTAAGATTGCAAGAAAAAAATGGAAAACAATTTTACTCTTTTCCAAAAGCATGTATCACCATACTTGTTGCTTGATGGAAGGCCAAATTATGGATGAATGAAAACTACAATAGGACTTGTAAACTCTCACTTGGTGGAAATTTGCTTTCATGTTTTATGCTTACTTATAAGTTGTTTAAATCAGCAATTTTTGTCTGTAGAAACACTTTCTAGTCAATTCTGTACAGAAAAATAAACAACATAAGAACATTTAAAATGTTTTACATTGCTGTTTAGGCATCAACCTGAAACATAATTATACTTTGATTACTATCTCTTGTCTAGCAGGTCTGAGTATAAAAAATACAATAGTGGCAAATTCAGTCACAACAGATGATTCTACAAATATTCTTATGTGCTGTTATGTAGCAGCATAAATAAATAAACAAAACTCAGCCTGCTCTTCTCAGTCTCTTCAGATTGCAATATTCAGAATTTCAATGCTGTATTTGCCTCTACCTTGCTCAGTAACTGTGGAACAGCAAGTTAGCCATTCTATGGCCATTTAAATATGTAAAATTGTTGACAAAGGATGAGTATTTTAAGAGCTTGGAATCTTCTTAATAAAGCACTTTTAATGCTCATTTTTCTTATATTTTCTATTATAGTAAAATGCACATAAAATATAACATTTTAATCATTTTTTTCAGTGTACAGCCCAGGGATATTAAGTATGTGCATACTGTTGTGCAGCCATCACTGCCATTTGTATCTAGAACTCTTTTCATAAAAGTATGGAAAACTTCATCAATTTGCATGTCATCTTTGTGCAGGAGCAGTGCTAATCTCTGCTTCATTCTAATTTTAGTATATGTGCTGCCAAAGCCAGTACTTTTAAATGCACATTTTAAAGAAAACATTTATTTACAGAGAAGGGAAAAGAAAGAAACTGTGACCTTGAAGACAGTCATAATCTTTTGATTATTATTATCAAAATAATAGCTTAGATCAATTCCATAGAGCTCCATACCAGGATACTGGGGCATGGAGAGTGACTGTCATGTTCTTCCATAACATGCCTTTTGATTCTACACTCAGAAGCAGAATATAGAGATGGATTGTCTGATCCAAAATGAATATTGCTATATTTTTCTAATTTTCTGGTTGAAGATGAGAAACTGAAAAATAATTCAAACTCAGATTAATTGAGTCTTTCTATATGCCAGACATTGTTCTAAATAATTTATACACATTGTTTGCCTTAATCCAATAAGAACGCAATGAGATAATTTTCTTACTTTCATTTTAAAGATAATAAACCTGGGATTGAAATGGTATAATTGATTACTCAAGGCCACATAATCAGTAAAGGGTAGGTGAAAGAAGTAGCCCTAGGTTGGCCTGACTCCACAGTCCTTGGTCTTAACCTCTGTGTTCTGTTGTGTTCTATTTCTCTCTTTTTTAAAAGATAGCAGGCCATGCCTGCGCATACGTTTTAGATTTATGGCCTTAGTCTCCCCAAATCATTCTGTTTTTATTAATATATTATTTTTTCTTTTGCAAACAAATATTTATATGGTAGACAATAATACTTACCTGATTATGGTTTGAACCTGTGTTCTCACAATTCTAAGTGTTTTCTCTGTTGATTTTAAAGCCACTTCATTGAGTTATGGTTGACATACAAAAAGCTGTACCTATTGAATGTACACCAAGTTGATGAGTTTGAAGATAAGTATACACCCGTGAAAACAACACCACAATTTATGCCATTAACCTGTTCATCACATCCAAGTTTCCTCCTGCCCTCTTATTTTTTATTATTATTATTTGTGATAAGAACACTTAACATAAGATAAATCCTCTTAGCAAATTACAAAATATACAGTACAGTATTGTTAACCATAGGCTATGCTGTGCAGTAAATCTCTAAGACTTATTTCTCATGTATAATTGAAACTTTGTATCCTTTGACTAACACCTTCTGTCCTTCCCAGTGCCAGCCCCTGGAAACAGATTTGTGGATTTTAGGGTACAGGGTAGGATTTTTTTTTTTTTCGATGGAGTCTTGCTCTGTTGCCCAGGCTGGAGAGCAGTGGCACGATCTCGGCTCACTGCAACTTCTGCCTCCCCAGTACAGCAATTCTCCTGCCTCAGCCTCCCGAGTAGCTGGGATTACAGGCACCTGCCACCACGCCCAGCTAATTTTTGTATTTTTAGGAGAGATGGGGTTTCACCATGTTGGCCATGTTGGTCTCGAACTCCTGACCTCGTGATACACCTGCCTTGGCCTCCCAAAGTGCTGGGATTACAGGCATGAGCCACCGTGCCCGGCCGGGAAGATTTTTATCAATGTCCTTTGGTGCAATTTCTCTATATTCATTCTTGTAATTTGCTTATTTCTGAAATTATGCCTTTGAAATTAAAACGTTTCTTGAAATAAAACTGCCATGCCAGAAGACACCCTATAGAACTCAATTCAGTTCTTACAAACATTCCTGCATCTACGTTCTGATTCTAACACCTGTTACGTACTAACAGATACAGCTATTTCCAGAATTTGTTCAAATGGAACTTTACTACCATACGCTGAGTTATTCGGGAAGTCTTAAATATTTGTAAGCTGTTGGTGAGTTTTCTGCTTATTTAGACTTTGTTTTGTGGGCTTTCCTCACAGAGCGCCCACCCCTGGTGTTATTAGGAGCTCTCTGCTATAGTTAGGTGGAAACAGTGTGGTTTGGAAGACACCTGATTCAGGTTTCACTTTGGCTCTCTCACTTGTTGTATGTAATGTGTAATTATGGTCAACTTTTTCCAATCTCCAAGCTTATAGGCAGTAGGAATTTCAGACTTACAATCAAGTAGATATTTTTATAGTTGAGTAGAAATATATTTCATGTTTGTTAGAAGGAGTGGCAGAGAGGATTGGGAAATGGCTTTAATTTTATGCTAACCAATCTACACTGGTGATAAAGTGATCTGAGGTCCATGTTTCTCTCTTCTCTCTTCCTTCCCTTCTCTCCCCTGAGCCTCTCCCCCAAGCAGGCCTGACCAACCACTGACACTGCCTCATGGATTCATGGATATAGTTGGATCATAAGAGCAGGAGGCCAGGCACAGGGCACAACTTTCCTAATCCCTTTCCTTTTACTCCCTCCCTTAAGCACTGGATTCTAACACTGCAGGTTAACGAGTCTCTGCACCAAGGTCAGCAGGCAACCTTATTGTCTAAGGCACCAGCCCAGCTTTTCTTTTCATTTCCAATTTTGTTTACTCTCATCTTAGAGACCTGCTTATTTATTTATTAGTATTTTTTAGAAAATGTGGTATATTTAGAAAACAGAGTACCACTATTTAGCCTTTGAAAAGAGGGAAATTCTGCAAGAAGCAATGACATGGATGAACCTTAAAGACATTATGCTGAGTGAAATAAGCCAGTCACAGAAAGACACATACTGCTTCATTCCCCCTATATGAGGTATCTTAAATAGTCAAATTGATAGAATTAAAGAGTGAAATGGCAGTTGCCAAGGGCTGGTGGATGGGGAAAATGGGGAGTTAATTATCAATGGGCATAAACTTTCAGGTGAGTGATATGAGTAAATTATAGAGATCTGCTGCACAACATTTTAAGATAATTTGTAAGTGGAAGCTAAGCTATGGGTACACAAAGGCACACAGAGTGGTATAATGGGCATTGGAGACTCAGAAGGGGGAAGATTAAGAGGTGGGTGATAAAAATCTACATACCGGGTACAGGGTACACTACTCAGGAGACAGGTGTGCTAAGACCTCAGAATTCACTACTATGAAATTCATCCATGTAACCCAAAACCTTGTACCCTAATAGCTATTGAAGTATTTTAAAAGATAGTTCATTCGTATGGTTAACAAAAATGTACTGAACCCATGTTAGACACTTAGCCATGGCATTTTTAAAGATGAAAGAAGCATAATTCTCAGTGTTCAGACTTCATGTAGTACATGTAAACAATTATGAAAATACAGTGTGTTAAAGCTAATAATAGAAGTCTGAGCAACAATCTAAAGGCCCACAGAGCAGACAGTTGAGTGTTTATTACATGTTATGAGGCTTCCCAAGGCAGGTGATAACTGAGCTAGGTATTGAAGGGTGAGTAGAAGCTTTTCAGGCAGAAAAGACAGAAAATGGCCTTCAAGGCTAAAGAATATCATATGGATGTAAAAGCACGCACTGACCTGTAGTCAACAATACTGTGTTATACACTCAAACATTTGTTAAGAGGGTAGATCTCATCTAAGTGTTCTTACCCATAATAAAACAAAAATTAAAAATTAAAGACAGCTGCTTTTGCAATATAGCTTTCCGGTGAGGAAAGCGAGATTACACTAAGGTTTTGTTAAAATTTCCAAACAGTATCTGGTCCCTGTTACCTGGGAATGTTTCACATTGCCTTGATTTAATTTTGTGGAGCGTAACTGCTGAAATTTTGTGGCTTGTTGTGCTCTTTTAGATTATGTTGTACAGAAAAAGATTTCTGACTATGTACCATAAACATCTACTTTAAAATCAGGGCAATTGTTTAAAATGAACAGGCTTTTGAATTCTTGAAGATGTACATTTTCCATGTTATAATTTAGGAGATGAAATGCTGTTTTTAAGTTTGATTCTCCTTTTCTCTCTAATATTCATTTATTTCCTGAAGATTGTTCCAAATGCAAGTCTTGATAAATCAGACAATATTTCCTCAACGTGAGCAATTGTCAGTGCTTTCAGCTTCCAGTTCTGTTGTTTCAATTTTAATTGTTATTTGTGCTTTTTGAGAAAGAAGTTTTTTAAATGAACACAAAGTTTCCTTTGTCTGATGTCCTGCAAAATGAGCATGTCTGAGTTGCATCTATTAAAAAGTCTTACATGAGTCAATTTTGTTATTGTCAGCCCCCAGCCCCCACTTTTGTTTACATGAGTGAACTAAGAGGAAACAACTGTTATTTGACCAATTTGTTTAAATCATAAGTAACTATGTGTCTCCTAGAAAAATGGCAGGATGTGTTTTTAAATTCTGAATGTTACAACTAAATTTAGCCAAAGTGCATTGCTTTCTGAATGCTTCCAAAATGGAACACTGTGCTTTTGATTGCTGCTTTTGGAGTCTCATTAAGACACTAAAAGGTCAAAGGAACAAGGACTGGAGCAAAATACACTCATTTACAATACACACAGCACAATTAAAGTGTAGAAACCAGGCTTACACACCATGTGTTTATCCCAGGATATCTGTATAATACAGAGTCCTCTTTATGTGGGTAGCTGATGTGTCTAAATGGTTACATTTATTCTGCCAAATGTCTACAGAGTTTTTACCAGTGGAGAAATGTTTTAGATTGCCTACTGTTTCTTCATTATTTCTGAAGAGAAGGTGATATCAGATCAGAGTTTTTAAATAAAATGACATCTTTATCTCCCTAGATTTCTACTTTATTAAAAGATAGGCATTCTTCATAAGACCTCTGCTATTACACATACTTTTAAAATTTCATGAGTTGAGAGGGAACACAATGATTTCTGCCCTTGGAAAGTCTCTCATTGAGGATTGACATCAGATTTTGACATAGAATACACTGAGAGTACAAACTAACTTAAAACTCAGTTTTCCCAGAAGAGTCTGATCTAGCTTGCAATTCAATTTTCTCAGGCACATTGCAGGAACTTGTTTCTGCTAGTAATAAGAATATTACTTTCATGTGTATGTGATGATGTCCTAAGTGGAATCAGTGGGAGCTTTCCTCTAATGTGAACTCACCCTTTAATGTTTTTCTTACCTAATATATTAAGAGAAATAGAATAGTTTTAAATACCTTGGTACTTGTTTTTCACATTATTTGCCTTTTATTCTCTTTGGATCTTAAATATCTCAAAACAAATTTTAATAAAGAAATACCCAAACCTAGCTTTTTGTTTCCTTAATTGATTACTACAGTATTTAACATTCTTGCACGTATTAGAACCTACCATATTCCCGACACTGGTTTAGACGCTAAGAATTTAGCAGTGAATCTAGATGCCAAGAATTCAGCAGTGAATTATGCAGATAAAAATCTTTGCCTATATCAAACTTCCATTTCTTTGTATACATACCTATACTCCTTTGTCCTTTCTACTTTCAACGTCTGGCAAAAATTCAAGAATTTGTTCACCAATCATATCATTTTAAAGGTTACATAACTTTTTGAGGGAATAACTCTGAATTATTTCCAATGTGAAGAGACATCCCTTATGGTCCTCTTTGCAGATGAGAACTAAACCCAATGCTATTTAATGAGTTTTTTAAAAATCAATAAACAAGATCAGTATTTCTCAAAGTGTGTCTTTGGACCACCTGTGTCAGAACCACCTTCAGAGTGCTTTTGAAGTTTCTGAGATACACTTCATAGATCCTGATTCAGATACCTGGGTGAGGATCAGGAATCCATATTTTAGTCAGCAAACCAAGTGATCATTACACGTGCTGAAATCTAACAATTAATTACTTTTTTAGACACGGAGGTGAAGAAAACAATAATTAAATTAGAAGATGATCATAAGAAATTGGACAAAAAGGATAGACTTGGAGTTTAGAATTACCAGAAAACTACTTTAGGACAAAATGGAAAATGATATTTGTAAAATATGGATAAAAAAATGTCAAGACAAAAGTTGATCATGAGGTTACATACACATATACATAAAGCATAGGTGCGTAGTGCAATATAGGTAGTGAGTAATGAGGTTCACATATTTATGGTGTTTTCCAACTGGCTGTGTGGACCCTTCTCTTCTGTGTCCCACTGATGTTATTTTCATTTTACGTATGAAGAAGACTGGAGCACAGAAGCAGTAAATAAGTTTTCTGAGGAAACACAGGAAGTAAATAATGGATCAGGGCTACAAACCCTGCAGTCTAGCTCCACAGTCTAGGCTCTCACCCACTCCTGTCACTAAAGGGATCTAGGAATCATCTCAAACCCCAAACATACTGCTTTATGAACAAACTGTAGAGCAGTGAAAATGATTTAGCACAATATAACATGCTAAGTGTTTATGATCTAAGGCATCATTGATCAAAATTAGCTGGGGAATAGGAAAACAGAATAAATACAGATCTATGTGAGGTGAGCGTCCACTTATACAATTCAGGGCTGTATTGCAATTGGTTCTAGATGAAAGTTAATAATCTAAAGCTCCCATAAAGCTAAAATAAGTTCATACTCCATCTTAATGACTTGCTTCTGCATACAACTTTCTTAAGACCTCCCTATGAAACAATTTAACTAAAATTCAAGTTGAATTGTTCTCTCTATATGCATTATTTTGACCCATAACCTTTAAACTAGTTACAAAGAAAAAATTAAAGGCATATAATATCGCATACTAAGGCCTTCCTAGAATACCCTCAAGGATTATGTCATGGAAGACAAAGCTACAATTAAAGAAAGAAAAGTCCTTTAGGGTATCTAGGTTTGCACAAAATCTTATGTTTGGCATATTATTTATTGTCAAGTGCCAATGTGAATTATGCTTACCCTGTTTTCAATGTAGAATGCTCCGAGACACTCTGTCATCATCATTTTCTTAGGCTATCTAATCATTTAATACTTAGTTTAAGTGCTGTCACCTATTTAAAGCTTTTCTGTATCACCCTACTTTACCTAATCTCTTAGTCCTCTCTTCTCTGGAAACATAAAAGTATTCTCAAGATATAAAATGGTGTGAAAGGGTGAAAACATTATTTTCTGAATAATTAGCACTGGAATTTTTCCTAAGAAGAAGTCTATTTCTGGCTAAGGAAATACTTCACATCTGCTTGGGGAGAGAATATAAGACCATGAGAATGAGTGTCACCAAGGGACAAGTGAAAGACAAAAATGAACCACAATTGGGAGTGCCAAAGAGTGCAGACTGAAGGGAGGAGCAGAGAGACACGCAACACTAGGGGAGCCGGACCCTGAGAGAAATGGCCCAGCAGATGTCTAAGATAGAACTTTCAGTCATTTGTGTGACTGTAATATAAACTTCCTTCTTCCCAAACATTTGTGGATGAAGCCTGCTACACACACAAAGGCTTGTTTTACACAGACGGTTTACATGACAATCAAATGAAAGCAACGGAGGTATGTGTCAAAGCTAGAGAGGAGCAGAGAAAATGAAGGAACAATAAGCCATCAGAAGCTGAGCAGAAGATGGAGTATTAAGAAGAAGGGAAAAATCAGAACCAGAGACCACTGGGAGAAAGGGCTGGGAATTGGCAGAAATTCAGAGGAAGACATTAAACTTCCCACTGGACGATAAATAAGGTTTAGGCTAATCTTATAGGGACTTTGAGGGGTGATGAGTCAAGTGGACATTTGGAATAGTAGCCCTTTCTTTAATTACCATTTTATGTAATTATGCCTTATTCTGTGACCTATATTTTGAGTTTCTAGTTAAGGTATTTTTGTCTTTTCATTTATTAATCATTTTCTGTATGGTATATTATGCAAACTGTAAGCTGCTACATATTTATTGATTTATTTTTGTATAAGAGTGAAAGGTGTGGTGGATTTGAATGAAAGTTTTATGATCCCAAATCCTAATTTTATGATCTTTAAGTCTTCTCTTGTGAACCTTCTTACGTTCTGGGTATTCAAATGCTTATAGAAACTGCTTTTTGAAAATAGCTTTGTCTATGCTTCTATTTCTAGAATGTTTTAATTCTTAATATTTTAGTGGATTGAAAGGGCTATGCTTTTAAAATAACACCTATAAACGACATTTCTAAATAATACTGTTCGTTTAATTTTCCTAGAGTTAGTTTAATTTCCCAGCAAGTATTTCAGACTTTATATATGTTCTAAAGTTTATGATTATTTTAACTTTGTGAGTTAAAAATCTGTGGCTAAGCTCATTATATTTTCAATACTGGAAGTGCATCTATTTTCCTATGAGGATTCAAAATTTTTTCAGTAGTAATACTTGAGATCTACAAGTTTGTTGGAGGATGCATGAAAAGGTACTATTTGGTACCCATTATGGGTAAAGAAACCAAAGCATAAATAAGTGGGTAAGGCACAGAAGGCACTTTATCTTTGGAATTCTGCTTACAACTCTAACAATAATTTCTGTGCCCTGAGAAATTTTTTCATCTGCAAGAGAGCTATTCTGTTGATCTTACACATATTAGTTCCGTGGTTTGCAACGAAGATTTGAATTAAGTTATGCACGAATAAGTCTAATATATTTATATTGTGATTTTATAACCACCCACCTTGTGAGGCAGATATTATTTCCACTTTACACATAAATGTGGTAGGCCTCCAACAGTTCACACTTCCATATTGACTTATGTAAGTGTGGGCTGGAGTAAGTAGCTCATTTCTAAAGAATAGAATGTGGCAAAAACGATGGGATGTCACTTCCAAGATGAAGTTGCTGAGTTGGTGACTGCCATTTTGCATGCCTTTTCTTCATGTTTCACTGGCTAGCTCTGAGGGAAGCCAGCTTCTGTGATGTAAACTGCCCTATGGAAAGACTTATGTGGTAAGAAATTGACATCTTCAGCCAATGGCCATTGAGGACCTAGCCATGTAAGTGGCTTAGAAGTGCACCTTCCCCTGTGGAGCCTTGAGATGACTGCACTCTGGCTTAGACTTTGGTTCACTCTGCAAGACACTCAGAGCCAGAGACATCCAGCTAAGCGCACTTGGGTTCCTGACTCACAGAAAATAGATAATAAAAGATCATTTAAAAAAAAGCTGATTCATTTTTAGATAACTTGTACTAGATAGCTAGTACAAAGAGGAAGCTGAACTCCAGAAAATTTGTATGATTTGTACAAGGTATCACACATAAAGAATTTAAAACTCAGGGTTTTCTGACCACTTGGTCAGAGAAGGGCTCTCTAAAAGGTAGCACTGAGCAGAAACCTAAATCAAATGAGCCATGTGAACATTCAGGAAAAATGTACAGGCAAAAAGACATGGCAAGGGCAAATGTTCTGTGGTAAGAACAACGGAACAGCAAGAAGACCAATGTGGATAGAACAGAACAAACTAGAGAAACATGTATCAAAAAGATAGGCAGAAGCCAGGTATGCAGAGGCTGATAGCCATGGTAAAAACTTTGAATTTTGTTTTAATTCAGGTAAGAAGACATTAGGGTGTTTTAAGCAGAGAAATGATACGATCTGATGTACTTTTTAAAAGAGATACTTTTGGTGATTTGTAGAAATGGGAATGAAGAGCAGAAGGAGTAATGACCGGTAAAGAGACTTATCGAGAGGGTTCACTTTTCTGGTTAAGAGATTGTGATGTCTTGAACTAGAGAAGTAGGAGTAGAAATGGTTGTAAATGGTGGATTTGGGTACATTTAAAGGTAGAAACAACAAGAATTGCTGATGGATTGGGTATAGATATCCTGAAAAGACACCTGTTAAAGATTATTTTTATGTATTTTTAAACAGTTTTGTGAATTGTAGGTTGAGTATCCTAAATGTAAAAATCTGAAATTCGAAATGCTCCAAAATTCAAAACTTTCTGAGCACTCACATAATGTTCAAAGGAAATGCCCACTGGAGCATTTCAAAGTTTGAATTTTCAAATATGAGATCCTCAACTGGGTAAACATGTAATGCAAACATTTCAAAATCTGAAAAAAATCTAAAATCTGAAACACTTCCAGTCTCAAACATTTCAGATAAGGGATGCCCAACATGTTATAGTTTTGTTTAATGAAATGGAGGATACTAGAAGAGGGGCAAATTGGGATAGAAGATGGGAAATAAGAATTTTAATTTAGAATATTGCACAGAGTGACAAAAAGGCCATTAAATATATACGTTTGGAAGTAATTGGTGTAGAGATGCTATTTAAAGCCACGGGTCTGGTGGAGTTTACCTAGAAAGTGGGTCCAGATAGAGATGATATAGGAAAATTGAGACCTGATTTATTCTGCTTAGTGGTCAGGTAAATTAGAAAGATCCTGCCAACCAGACTAGGATGTAGCGGCCAGTTCAGTGGGAGGAAAGTCAGAAAAGTGTGGTGTCAAGACAGCTACATTAAGTATTTCAAGGAGAAAGAATTAACCAAATGTGTCAAATATCAGTGACAAGATGAGGAGACATTTACCAGAGTGGACTGAGGGTACAGAGGAAAAGAAAGATATTTGGATAAGAATGAAAAGGTTTAGTTGTGACCAAAGTATGATTTAGGATTTTGATCGCTGGAACCTAATAGTTTCGAAATTATGACTGTACTTGGCTTTCACCAAAGTAGATGTCTAGATTCAAGGTGCTCAGGCTTTAGAGAAGATTTGGGCTAAAGGTACATCTGTAGGTATAATATAGTCTTGACATCCTCCTTAGATTTTGAGAAGATATTCATGAGTGTTATCTCTGGAAAGAGTTGACCTTTTCTTCAGGTTAACTACAATTTATATTTGATTTTGCCCTCTGAAAACTGGACTGAAATTAGATTTTGTTCTTTTCTGATTATCTTTTTGACTAGGTTTCTGGGGAGATAACACAGAACTTTCCTATTTGTCTTAGTCCATTTGAGCTGCTATAACAAATTACTACAGAATGAGTGGCTTAAACTACACACATGTATTCTCACAGTTCTGGAGGCTATAGTGCCAAAAGATCCAGTGTTTGGTTAGGGCACACTTCCTATTGTGCAGATTACTATCTTCTCCTTGTATTCTCACATGTCAGAGAACAGAGAGCTAGAGCAAGCTCTTATTTTTCTTCTTAGAAGGGCATTAATCCCATTCATAAGTGCTCCATCCTCATGATCTACTTACTTCCCAAAGTTCCTATCTAATATCATCACATTGGGAGTTAAGATTTTAACATAAAAAAGGGGGGGACGGGGTCACACACATTCAATCCATAAGAGCATTTCACATTTTGCAATTATTCTTTTTCTAGGAATAGATACGTGTATGCATATACACACACATACATACAGGTAAAGGATGGCACAATTTATATTGGACTTTCTTGTATTTGAGAACACACATTCTTAAAATAATAAGCAGAGATGATATAATTTTCAATGTTGATGAAATACCTAGGGAGCTATGTAGTAGCACTTTTATTTTGAAATTTCCTCTTTTTATGCTCTATCAGCATTAACCTCTCATCTTTTTCTTAAAAGTAAACTGAAGTCTTCTTTACATCTATCCCACCAGGGAGCCTAGAGTTTAACACATTCCGTGGGAGCTCTTTGTATACTTGATTTGTTCACAAGCTTTATTTTTAAGGAATAAAAAAGTGAAATCTCATCTGATAATTTTTAGTCTTTCCTACCTTAAAAGAAGAAATTATATGGTAAAATTTCCAATAAGCAACACTAAAATGTAGCTTCCTTTTGATAAGTGTAAATTTTTTTTCAAATTTCAAAGAAACAAGTTTCAGCATATGTGGTGTGAAACATTCCTTCGTTTATAAGATGTAACTAAGATTTTAGGTAAGACATCCTAAAGACCTACAGATCAATTTTCCCAATGATACATTTATGTAATGAATGGATTTTAAAACTAAATATGTTTTTGGAGAATATGATAAGTGATGTTTGAGAAGTTACTGGTTAGTTACAGAATACATTGTACAGGTAAAACGTATTTTTGCAGCATTTTACCAATTGGGACCTTTAGAATTAAGAGCAATGCTTCCTCAGAAATAAAATTTCATTTTAGTAGCTGACATTTCATGCCATGTAAATTAGAATAGTTTAAGTACTGAAGGGATAACCATATATTGTTTCAAAGTTGTTAATGTTTTCTGAGATGAAGGAGGAGATTAATTAATTAATTTGACACTATTGGTAATAAAAAATTAGAATTGTAAAAACTGAATATGGGAGAAATGTTTCTATTAATCAGATTTTGTCCAGGCAGGATGACTGTCCCTGTATGACTGGGGCACAGGGTATGGTTTTGAGATGGTCACCAAAGGGAGAAGTGAAACTAAGAGCAAGGCACTGAAAGGAATCAGGAACAACTAAAGCCTTACCAGGATTCCAGCATACAAAAGCACAGTGAGTTGTTGACCAAGGCCAGCAGGAGGTACTAGATCTGAGAAAGGTGAATTAGAAAGTCAATGTCTAGGGGTAAATAAAAAAGCTAACGTGACTACTTAAGCAGTGGAATGATTTTCTATAAAAAATGTTTCTATTACATTGAAACTCTTTGAACCAGCACCAAAGGAAACTATAATGTTCTCAATAAAAATGATAATGATAGCTAGTATTTAAGAATGTTTACATTTCATTAACTATAGACAACACTTTATATATAGTATCTCACTTATTTTCCAAAACAACTTCATGAACTATCTCCTATAATTATGTTAATTTTCCGGATGAGATCAAGTCTTACAGGGCATAAGTATTATATTAGTCCATTTTCATGCTGCTGATAAAGACATACCTGAGACTGGGTAATTTATAAAGAAAGATGTTTAGTGGACTTATAGTTCTATGTGGCTGGGAAGGCTTCACAATCATGGTGGAAGGTGAAAGTGGACTTAGAGTTCTATGTGGCTGGGAAGGCCTCACAATCATGGTGGAAGGTGAAAGGCATGTCTCACATGGTGGCAGACAAGAGAAGACAGCTTGTATGTAGAAACTCCCCTAAAACCAGCAGATCTTGTGAGACATATTCACTGTCATGAGAATAGCATGGGAAAGACCCACCCCCATGATTCAATTATTTCCCACTGGGTCCCTCCCACAACATGTGGGAATTGTGGGAGTTACAACTCAAGATGAGATTTTGGTGGGGGCACAGTCAAACCATATTATTCCAGCCCTGGTCCCTCCCAAATATCATGTCCTCACATTTCAAAACCAATCATGCCTTCACAACAGTCCCCAAAGTCTTAACTAATTTCAGCATTAACTCAAAAGTCCACAATCCAAAGTCTCATCTGAGACAAAGCAAGTCTCTTCTGCCTATGAACCTGTAAAATCAAAAACAAGTTACTTACTTCCTGGATACAATGGGGGTATGGGCATTGGGTAAATACAGTCATTCCAAATGGGATAAATTGGCCAAAACAAAGGGGTTACAGGTCCCATGCAAGTCTGAAATCAAGTGGGGGAGTCAAATCTTAAACTTCCAGAATGATCTCCTTTGACTCCATGTCTCACATCCAGGTCATGCTGATGCAAGAGGTGGGTTCCCATGGTCTTGGGCAGCTCCACTCCTTTGGCTTTGCAGGGTACAGCCTCTATCCTGACTGCCTTCAAGGGCTGGAATTGAGTGTCTGTGGCTTTTCCACATGCCCAGTGCAAGCTGTCAGTGGATCTACTCTTCTGGAGTCTAGAGGACAGTGGCCCTCTTCTCACAGCTTCACTAAGCAGTGCCCCAGTAGCAACTCTGTGTAGGAGATTCAATCCCACATTTCCTTTCCACACTGCCCTAGCAGAGGTTCTCCATGAGGGTCCTGCCCCTGCAGCAAACTTTTTCCTGGGCATCCAGTCATTTCTATACGTCCTCTGACATCTAGGTGGAGGTTCCCAAACCCCAATTATTGACTTCTGCGCACACATAGGTTCAACACCATGTGGAAACTGCCAAGCTTTGGGGCTTGCATCCTCTGAAGCCATGGCCTGAGCTCTACATTGGCCCCATTCAGCCACAGCTGGAGTGGCTGGGACACAAGGCACGAAGTCTCTAGGCTGCACATAGCATGGGGATGGCCCGCGAAACCATTTCTGCCTCCTAGGCCTCTGGGTCTGTAATGGGAGGGACTGCCATAAAGACTTCTGATATGCCCTGGATACATTTTCCCCATTGTCTTGGGGTTAACATTTGGCTCTTCATTACTTACGCAGATTTCTGCAGCCAACTTGAATTTCTTCTCAGAAAATAAGATTTTCTTTTCTATCATATTGTCAGGCTGCAACTTTACTGAACTTTTATGCTCTGCTTCCCTTATAAAACTGAATGCCTTTAACAGCACTCAAGTCACATCTTGAATGCTTCGCTGCTTAGAAATTTCTTCCACCAGATACCCTAAATCAACTCTCTCAAGTTCAAAGTTCCACAATTCTCTACCGCAGGGGTAAAATGCCACTATTCTCTTTGCTAAAACATAACAAGAGTCACCTTTGCTCCAGTTCCCAAGTTCCTCATTTCCATCTGAGACCACCTCAGCCTGAACCTCATTGTCCATATCACTATCAGCATTTTGGGCAAAGCCATTCAACAAGTCTCTAGGAAGTTCCAAACTTTCCCACATTTTCCTTCCTTCTTCTGAGCCTTCCAACGTTCTCCAACCTCTGCCTGTTACCTAATTCCAAAGTTGCTTCCATATTTTAGGGTATCTTTACAGTAGCTCCCTACTCTACTGGCACCAATTTTCTGTATTAGTCCATTTTCATGCTGCTGATAGAGACATACCTGAGACTGGGCAATTTACAAAAGAAAGAGGTTGAATGGACTTACAATTCATGTGGCTGTGGAGGTCTCACAATCATGGTGGAAGGTGAAAGGCTTGTCTCACATGGCAGCAGACAAAAGAAGAGAGCTTGTTCAGGGAAACTCCCCTTTTTAAAACCATCAGATCTTGTGAGACTTATTCACTGTCACCAGAATAGTGTGAGGAAGACCGCCTCCTTGATTCAATTACCTTCCACTGTGTCCCTCCCACAACACGTGGGAATTGTGGGAGTTACAATTCAAAATGAGATTTTGGTGGGGGCACAGTCAAACCATATCCAAGTATCATGCTCAAAGTGACAGGTAGAAAAGCAGTTGATATGGTTTTGATCCAAATCCTCACCAAATCTCATATCAAATTATAATCTCCAGTGTTGGAGGTGGGGCCTGGTGGGAGGTGATTGGCTTATAGGGGCAGCTTCTCATGAATTGTTTGACATCATCCTCTCAGTGCTGTTCTTGTGATAGTGAGTTCTCATGAGATCTAGTTGTTTAAAATGTGTGGCACCTCCCCCCCTCCCTCACTCTTGCTCTGGTCATGTAATGTGCCTGCTCCCCCTTTGCCTTCTACCAATGTAAGTTTCCTGAGGCCTCTCCAGAAATGGAGCAGTTGCCAGAATCATCCTTCCTGTACAGCCTGTGGAACTGTGAGCCAGTTAAACCTCTTAAAAAAAAATTACCCAGTCTCAGATATTTCCTTATAGCAGTGTGAGAACAGACTAACAGAGTGGTAGAGCCAGGACTCCAACCTGAGATATGCTTGGTTTCAAAGCCCATGGGTTTGGCCATGATCTTATCTAAGAGAGAACCCCTGAGGAACCTGAGCCTAGTCACCACTATGCTGATGTGACAAACAACCCTTGGTGCCATCCATGGCTTTTTGTGTATGCCATGGGTCTCTTTTTTCCTGAGACAATTGAACTGGTGTGATGCAGAAGGTTTCCTATTCTTTACTTGTACTTTGCTTTATAAGCCTGGTGATAACACCTCACATTTAAGTTTACTCATTTATTCAAGAAATAACATGAACAAAATGTGTAGCCTGTAGGAATGAAAGATGAATATGCCACTGACTTTATGGAGCTCACATTTTAGTACATGTTGATCTTCTAACACTTCATTCTTAATTCTTTATTCTTGGTAATATTGTGGGAAAGGACAGAGGTTATCAATGAAGAAGGAGTGAAAATAATAGTTGCTTCATTTGATAAATTATTTTTCATTTTTATTTTAAAAATTTAATAAATTAACTTGATAAACAAAAATTACATATATTTATATGTATAGTGTATATATGTATATATTTATAGTGTACATGGTGTATTTATATATTTATATATAAACTTTCCCACATTTTCCTTCCTATATAAAAGTTTATATATTTATAGTGTACATGGTGTATTAACGTATGTATACATTGTTGAATGCTAAATCAAATTAATTAACATATGCATTACCTCACATAGTTATCATTTTTTTTGTAGTGAGAACCCTTAAAATCTATGCTGCTAGTAATTTTCAAGTATATAATATATTGTTATTAACTATAGCTGACATGGTGCACTGATGCAGTAGTGAATACTCTTCTCTTATGAGAAGTGGGTGGTATTAAAAAGTATCGTGCTAATGATGCATTGCTCAGAGCCGCGGAAAACTAACCCTTAATAATAGACTCCTGTGTTCCTTGCTGGACACTCTCACAACTTTTCACATCTTTTATTCTCACAGCACTGTGTGTGTAAAGGAGAAAACTGAACCTCACAGAATCTAGACAGTTACTGAGCAATAGAGCTTTGATTTGACAGCATGACTTTGGACCCTGGAATCTGTTACCATTAATTATGTCATAGTGCCTCAGGTTTACGCAGAAAATCAGCGATGAAATCAGGATTTAAAATCCATGTAGGAATCTCAGTAAAAGGTAGATCAAGGGGCCTTACAGAAATAGGGCCTGAATCTTTGTGACATTCAAGAAAATTTGCTCTTTCTAAGGAGGAGAAGCTTGGATAACATTTCTTGTCTAGTGCAGTTTGTCCTTGTATAGCCCTGTGGAGTTCCTTCTCACTCTATTCACTGTTTCTTGATCATCTACTGCATTTAATCCATCCTAATGAACATTGGTCGTGTAAGAGCTTATTAGATCTAGAGAATAAGAATTCTACACAGTAAATATATGCAAATTTTCTTCTCTCAGATTTGAGAAATGTTATATTATGATAAGAATTGGAATAATTTCAGCATCAAAAGTGTCCTTTGGAATTCCCAAATGTCCTTAATTACAATTCATTTCAATGTCAGAGTAGGGGTATCATAACTTATAAACTGCTAGGATATTAAAAAAAGGGTTAAACATCCATTAGGCTGGGTGTTAACAATAGATGTATATTATTTGTATTTTTCTCCATTGTAAAAAAGCAAAGCGTTTTCATTACTTTAGCACAGTTAATTTATTATTTTCAAGCTGGTGCCTAAACTTCTGAAACACAAAATTAATGGGCTCTTGGCAACCTTCTCTAAATTACTCCAAGTCAATAGTGGTTCTTCCCATCTGTCATCTTAATTTGCAGTATGCCTCCCAGAAGCACTAAAACAAAGATACACACTCCGTGATTTTCCATTCCCGTTGGCACTAAGCAAAAATAGCCATAAATTAATTCTTTACATGAAGACTCCCAAGCTGGAAGCCCTGATTTAAAATAAACTTGGGTGTCACTCAGCCCTGCCAACCAACTCTTTCAGACTGTAAATGCCACATATATTTATAGAGATATTTAGTGAATAATAGATAAAAGCTCAATGAGTTATTTTCTAAATTAGCAACCATAAATGTCAACTCCATAGGTTCTGTTTCATCTGCTTTCTATTGAAGTAATTAAACCTGGAAGTGATAAGAATATGTTAATATTTAATATTATACCCATTTTGTTCATATTGTGAGAGAAGACTCATTATTTTTATCCAGAATTATGGAATTCAATTGAGAATAATTCATGGCTCCCATATAGCTTTCTATGATGAGAGGGTAATTGAAAAGTTGGGTAAGTAATTTCAGCATTTTTTTGTTGCTTCATGCTGGAATTGGGCACAGGTTACCCTGGGAGAGATCTCAAATCATAGTTGAATGGTAACCAAGGAAGGAGCTAAAAGAACAACAACAGCAGTGCAATGTACAACAGATCCAAAGAGTGAAGCAAGACCACAACTAGGGAAAAATAATTGACAGTGAAGTCAGAGGCTGGAGAAAAAGAAAAGGTAGTAAAGTAGTTTAAGAATTGGTCAGAACTGGTGGTTCTATGGTCAACTATTTTGGGTAGTGCCAGCACTATCCTGAAGTGATAGTTGCACATTGAAGTGACAACGGGAGCGTGCAGGGATTGTAAAGCAAAAAAAAAAAAAAAAAAAAACTTAAATTGTCCTACTCTTTGCCCTTAATTGCTGTAGTTTCTTTAGTATTTATTCCATTTTTTTTGGCACAGGAGAGATAAAATAGTGTGACTATCCTGGTTTCCCTCACTCTGTCCTAGTCAATGACTGCCTTTTTAAGTTCTTAGGAATAACATCCCTTTTCACTCTCCCGAATGTGATGGTTTGGATGATAAACTATATGGTCACTCTAGCTAAAGCACAACATGAGAAGGCATGAGCAGTTTTATGCTTTGTAGATTATTATCCTATAAATCTTTGTAGATTCTTAGCTTATATGGGGTACAATGTATGTGTATATATCATATATAAAAAAATATAATTCTTGCCAACACTTGTTATCTGTCTTTTTTTTGGTAAAAGCCATTCTAATTGGTGTGAAGTGATTGCTCTATGCGGTTTTAATTTGCATTTCCCAAATAATTAGTGATGCTGAACATTTTTCTCATGTATCTGTTGGCCATTGCAGGTCTTCTTTTGAAAAATATTGTTCAGGTTCTTTGCCCATTTTAAAAATTGGGTTATTTGTTTTCTTGGTATTGAGTTGTTTGGGGTTACATATATATTTTGGATAATATATGTAAAATATATATAAATATATATACTTACGGGGTACAATGTGTGTGTGTATATATATGGCTATATGTGTGTGTATATATATACACACACATATAGCCATATATACGTATATATACATGTGTATATACACACGTGTGTATATACCTATATACACACGTGTGTATATACACATGTATATATACGTATATACACACGTGTGTATATACACATGTATATATACGTATATACACACGTGTGTATATACACATGTATATATACGTATATACACACGTGTGTATATACACATGTATATATACGTATATACACACGTGTGTATATACACATGTATATATACGTATATACACATGTGTGTATATACACATGTATATATACGTATATACACATGTGTGTATATACACATGTATATATACACATATGTGTATATACACATATACATATACACATATGTGTATATACACATATACATATACACATATGTGTATATACACATATACATATATGTGTGTGTGTGTATATATATATATATATATGGGCTAATAATCTACAAAGTCTGTTGAAATCCATCTAGAAAAGAAAGATTTGTTTGAGCATTGTAGCTCTGAAAGAAAAAGAGGGAGGAAATTGATTTTCTTATTTAGAAGATGGCAAGGTGTATGAGAAGGGATTAAATGTATCCCTGGAGACTGAACAAAAAAGAAAACAAACTGTAATTGAGAAATTGATTCTTAAGTATTCAAGACACCAAAGATCCACAGACCGTGAAGGTAAAGTTAGAAAAGTTGATATAAAGGAATATTGACATGCCTGGTAATTTTAAAGTTAGCCAAATCTTTAGGTCAGATAGAATTTGGCATTTGCCATAAATGAATTCTTAACAGTGGTCAATAAGAGATTGTTAATATGAGGATCTGCCTCTTCTTTATAAGTGAAATATTCTTTATTCAAAGGTTATTACTGTCAAAACCAGACACCACCTAGAGAAATCTTCAATAGGAAATTTCTGTAGACTTAAAGGTAGTTGGAAAAGTAAAAACATTAATGGGGATTTGAATTCGAAAGTTGAGATTAATTTATCAATCCTCATTTTACTCTTCATTGTGAAATACATGTTCTAGGGGAAGCCAAGACCTTTCTCATGAAAGTCAGTCAAGTACTCAGTTGGCCTAGGGCATTCTCATGGGGACTCTGACAGCAGAGGCATATGGAAATCACTTGATCACTTGAGTATTTACTAATGCAGTTAATGTGCTTCATTGTGATCCTTTCTGTAATTAGGAGATGAAAGCTGATTAGTAAGTGGAAGTAATTTGGAAGGAATTTACCATTTCGTACATGGTTAACTGTTAAATAGAACATTTGAGTCCCATATTCAATGTTTTCATAAACAATACATGTAGGATGATTTTTTTTTTTTCTGAAAAAGCCCTGTGACTCTCTTGTCCTTGGCATTTTCTAATCTAAATTCTTCTCAAAATCAGAGTGATTTATACCCATTGTTTCTACTCCTCACTTATCATTTTTTTCCCAACCTACTATAATCTGGCTTCACGCTCCTTACTCTACTTCTCCGATTGCTCCCATGGGTCATCACGACCTCCAATCACGCATTGGAATTCTATTAATTTTTTATTATGAATACTATTTTTGATTGAATGTCATAATTATATATTTATGGGATACAGTGTGATATTTAGATATATGTATATAATGTATATAATTAAATCAAGTGAATTAACATCTCTGTCACTTCACTTACCTATCAATTTTTATTGTAGGATATTTGAAGTTTATTCTTTTCATTACTTTGAGATATACTATACATTATTATTGACTATAATCAACATGAAGTACAATAGATGTCAAAAACTATTTCTCCTGTCTATATGAACCTTTATACTCTATGATCAATAACTGCTCATTCTCTCCCTCCCCACTACTCGATCAGTCCCTGGCAACCACTATTCTGCTCTCTACTTCTGTGAGTTCAACTTTTTTAGATTCCACATATAACTGAGACCATGTGGTGTTTGTATTTCTGTACTTGGTTTATTTTACTTAGCATAATGTCCTCCAGGCTCATCCATCTTTTCTCAAAAGACAGGATTTCCCTCCCTTTAAAGGCTTAATAGTATTTCACTGGGTATATACATAATATTTTAATGATCCATTCATCTGTTGATGGACATTTAGGTTGATTCCATATATTGGCTATTGTGAATAGTACTGCAATAAACGTGGGAGTACAGATATCCTTTTACCATATTGATTTCAGTTACTTTGGATGTATACCCAGACGTGGGGTTACTGGATCATAAGGTAGTTCTATTTTTAATTTTTTGAGGAACTGACATACTATTTTCCATGATGGCTATACTAATTTACATTCCACCAACAATGTGCAAGAGTTCCCTTTCCTCTGCATTCTTACCAACACTTGCTATCCATCGTCTTTTTGGTAAAAGCCATTCTACTTGGTGTGAGGTGCTAACTCTATGTGGTTCTGATTTGCATTTTCCAAATAATTAGTGATGCTGAGCATTTTTTTTCATGTACCTGTTGGCCATTTGTAGGTCTTCTTTTGAAAAATATCTGTTCAGGTTCTTTGCCCATTTAAAAAATTGGGTTATTTGTTTTCTTGCTATTGAGTTATTTAGGTTACCTATATATTTTGGATAATAATCCCTTATTAAATGTATAGTTTGCAAATATTTTCTACTGATCTGTAAATTGTCTCTTCATTTTGTTGTTTGCTTTGCAGAAAACTTTTAATTTGATACTGTCTTATTTGCCTATTTTTGCTTTTGTCACCTATGCATTTTTGATCATATCCAAGAAATCACTGCCCAGACCAATGCCATGGAACTTTTCCCCATATTTTTATTCTGGTAATATTACAGTTTCATGTCATACATTTAAGTCTTAATTCATTTTATTTTTGTATATGGTGTGGACAAGAGTCCAGTTTCATTTTTCTGTATGTAGATATCCACTTTTCCCAACACCACTTATTGAAGAGACTGTCCTCATTCCATTGTGTGTTCCTGGCACCTTTGTAAAAAATCAATTAACTATAAATATATGGGGTTATTTCTGGGGCCTCTATTCTGTTCCATTGGTCTATATGTCTGTTTTTATGCTAGTACCATGCTGTTTTGATGAAAACTGCTTTATAATGTGTTTTGAAATCAGGGTAATGCTGCTAGTTGTGTTCTTTTTGCTGAAGATTTTTTGTTGTTGTTATTCAGGGCCTTGTGGTTCCATACAAATTTAAAGACTGTTTATTTTTCTACTTCTGTGAACAGTAACACTGAAATTTTGTTAAAAATTTTGTTGAATCTGTAGATCTCTTTGGGTAAATATGGGCATTTTCATAATATTAATCTTCCAATCCACGAACAAGAAATATCTTTCTATATATTTGTGTTTTGTTCAATTTCTTTTGTCAATATTTTATAGTTTTAATTGTAGAGACCTTTCACCTTCTTGGCTAAATTGGTTCCTAGGTATTATTATTATTATTATTATTATTATTATTATTATTATTATTTGTCGCTACTATAAATGGATTTTTTAGCTTAATGTCCTTCTTTATTTTTATTTATTTATTTATTTATTTATTTATTTTTGAGATGGAGCCTCGCTCTGTCGCCCAGGCTGGAGTACAGTGGTGCAATCTCGGCTCACTGAAAGCTCTGGCTCCCGGGTTCATGCCATTCTCCTGCCTCAGCCTCCTGAGTAGCTGGGACTACCGGCGCCCACCACAGCACCAGGCTAATTTTTTGTGTGTTTTTAGTAGAGACTGGGTTTCCCCGTGTTAGCCAGGATGGTCTCGATCTCCTGACCTTGTAATTCGCCCACCTCAGCCTCCCAAAGTGCTGGGATTACAGGCATGAGCCACAGCACCCGGCCTTAATTTTCTTTTTAATAGTTCATTATTCATACATAGAAATACTACTAATTTTCATATGTTGATTTTATAAGCTGTAACTTTACTGAATTTATTGCTTATAAAAGCTTTCAGTGGAATCTTTATGGTTTTCCATATATAAAAACATGTCAACAAATTGGGATGAGTTACCTTTCTCCTTTCCAATTTGGATGTCCTTTATTTATTTCTATGGGTTAATTGGTTTGGTTTGGGTTTCCAAGACTGTGTTGAATAGGGCTGGTGAAAGTGGTATTCTTGTCTTATTCCAGATATTAGAGGAAAAACTTTCACTTTCTCCCTCTTTAGTATGATGTTAGCTGTAGGTTTGTCACATATGGCCTTTAGTGTATTGAGGTACATTCCTTTTATGCATAATTTGTTGACAGTTTTTACTATAAAAGAATGTTGAATTTTGTCAAATGCTTTTTCTGCATCTACCACAATGGTCATATGGTTTTTGTACTTCATCCCATTGATGTGATATATCTTGCATTGATTTACATATTTTGAACCATCCTTGCATCCCTGGGAGGAATATCATTTGATCATGGTGAATGATTTTATGAATGGGCTATTGAATTCATCTTGCTAGTGTTTCATTGAGGATTTTTGTGTCTACATTCATCAAGGATATTGGCCTGTGTTTTCCTGTTTTTGTTGTGTCCTTGTCTGGTTTTGGTATCAGAGCAATGCTGGCCTCATAGAAAGAATTTGAAGAATTACTCCCTTTTCAATTTTTTTGGAATAGTTTGGAAAGAATTGATATTAGTTCTTTAAATGTTTGGTTGAATTCAACAGTGAAGCCATAAGGTCCTGGGCTTTTCTTTGGCGGGAGACTTTTCTTTTTGTTATACTTTAAGTTCTGGGATACACGGGCAGGTTTGTTACATAGGTATATACGTGCCGTGGTGGTTTGCTGCACCCATCAACCCGTCATCTACATTAGGTATTTCTCCTAATGCTATCCCTCCCCTAGGCCCCCACCCCCCAACAGGCCCTGGTGTGTGATGTTCCCCTCCCTGTGTCCATGTGTTCTCATTGTTCAACTCCTACCTATGAGTGAGAACATGCGGTGTTTGGTTTTCTGTTCCTGTGTTAGTTTGCAGAGAATTATGGTTTCCAGCTTCATCCATGTCCCTGCAAAGGACAAGAACTCATCCTTTTTTATGGCTGCATAATATTCCATGGTGTATATGTGCCACATTCTCTTTATCCAGTCTATCATTGATGGGCATTTGGGTTGGTTCCAAGTCTTTGCTATTGCGTATAGTGCTGCAATAAACATACGTATGCATGTGTCTTTATAGTAGAATGATTTATAATCCTTTGGGTATATACCCAGTAATGGGATTGCTGGGTCAAATGGTATTTCTGGTTCTAGGTCCTTGAGGAATCACCACATTGTCTTCCACAATGGTTGAACTAATTTACACTCTGATGGGAGACTTTTTATTATTTATCTATTCACCTCACTCAGTATTGGTCAGAAAAGACACTTGATATGATTTTGATAATCTTAAATTTGTTAAGACTTGTTTTATTGCCTAATACATGAAAATGTATTATCCTAGAAAATGTTCCATGTGCAGTTGAGAAGAATGTATATTCTATAGCTATAGAATGGAATGTTCTGTACATGTCTGTAGGTCCATTTGGTCTATAGTGCAATTTAAATTTGATGGTTTTTTTTTCTGATTTTCTGTCTGGATGATTTGCTCATTTCTAAAAGTGGAGTGTTCAAGTCCCTTACTATCATTTTATTGCATTCTATCTTTCTCTTTAGATCTATTAATATTTTCTTTATATATTTTGGTGCTCCAATGTTGGGTGTATGTATACTTACAATTGTCATATCCTCTTGCTAAATTGACTTCTTTATCATTATATAATGACTTTCTTTGTCTATTGATATAGTTTGGATGTTTGTCCCTTCCGAATCTCATATTTAAATTTGATCTCAGTGTTGGACATGGGGTCTACTGGGAGGTTTTTGGTCATGGGGGAAGTTCTTCATGAATGGCTTGGTGGCTTTCTTGAGGTAGTTGAGTGAGTTCTTGTTCTATTTCACATGAGAACTAATTGTTAAAAAGACCTTAGTACCTTCTCTTCTCTTTCTTTCCTTCTCCTTTCTCAGCATGTGATACGCCTGCTCTCCCTTCACCTTCTGCCACAATTGAAATATTTGTGAGGCCTTCACTAGAAGCGATGCTGGTCCCATGTTTCCTGTACAGCCAACGGAACTAAGCCAGAAAAAATCTTTTCATTATAAATTACTCTGCTTCAGCTATTCCTTTTTAGCAATGCAAATGGATTAATATATCTATTTTTATAGTTGTTGCCAT
Source organism: Homo sapiens (assembly GCF_000001405.40). Classification (NCBI taxonomy): domain Eukaryota; kingdom Metazoa; phylum Chordata; class Mammalia; order Primates; family Hominidae; genus Homo; species Homo sapiens. The sequence continues at coordinate 124,622,899 of NC_000007.14, read as the reverse complement.
AGTGTCTATTTTACCTGATATAAGTATAGCTGTTTCTACTCTCTTTTGGCTTCTATTTACGTGAAATATCATTTCCATCCCTTCACCTTCAGTCTTTGTGTGACCTTACAGGTGAAGTAAGCCTTTGTAGGTAGTATACAGGTGAGTCATTTTAAAAAAATTATTTAGCCATTCTATGTCTTTTCATTAGAGATTTTATCCTTTTACATTCAATATAGTTATTGATACATAAGGACTTACTACTGCCATTTTGTTAATTGTTTTCTAATTGTTTTGTAGATCCTTTCTTACTATTTTTCTCTCTTACTTTCTTTCTTAGAGCTTAATTGATTATCTCCAGTAGTATATTTAAATTCATTGCTTTTTAATTTTTAGTGTATCTATTATAGGTTTGTGCTTTGTGGTTGCCATGGGATTTACAGAAAACAGCTTATAGTTATAAGAAGTTTTTAAAAATTGATAGCAACTTATTGATTACAAAAAAGCACAATAAATGACTCTTTAATTTCATTCACCTCCCTCATCTTAAATTTTTCGTATCATTATTTACCTATTTTTACATCATATATCCCTGGACAAATTATTGTAGTTATTATTATTTTTAATTATTTTTTTCTTTTAACCTTCATGATAATAAGTGATTTATACATCACCATTATTGGAATATTCAGAATTTGACTGTATATTTTCTGTTATAAGTGAGTTATATACTTTCAGATGTTTTTTGTGTTACTCATTACTGTTCTTTTCATTCATGTTGAAGAACTCCTTTTAGCATTTCTTGTAAGACAGATCTAACGGTGATGAATTCCTTCAGCTTCTGTTTGTTCAGATAAGTCTTACAGCATTTTATTTCTGATGGACAACTTGGCTAGGTATAAATTTCTTGGTTTACAGTGTTTTTTTCTTCTCTTTGAATATATCATCTCACTCCCTTTGGCCTTTAAGTTTTTGGTTAAGGAGTCTTCTGTTAGGCATATAGTGCTCCCTATAGGTGGTGCAAAAATAATTGTGTTTTTTGCCTTTACTTTTAATGGCAAAAACAGCAATTACCTTTGCACTACCCTAATTTATTATTTGCTTCATTTCTCTTGTGGCTTTTAGGATCTTCTCTTTGCCTTCAATCTTTGGCATTTTAAATATAATCTATCATGGGACAGTCTTATTTGGATTGACTCTGATTGGAGACATTTGACCTTCATGTACCTGGATATTTTTATCTTTCTCGAGGTTTGAAAATTTTTTTATTATTTCTTTAAATAAGCTTTGTCCAACAATGATAGACTGGATTAAGAAAATGTGGCACATATACACCATGGAATACTATGCAGCCATAAAAAATGATGAGTTCATGTCCTTTGTAGGGACATGGATGAAATTGGAAATCATCATTCTCAGTAAACTATCGCAAGAACAAAAAACCAAACACCACATATTCTCACTCATAGGTGGGAATTGAACAGTGAGAACACATGGACACAGGAAGGGGAACATCACACTATGGAGACTGTTGTGGGGTGGGGGGAGGGGGGAGGGATAGCTTTAGGAGATATACCTAATGCTAAATGACGAGTTAATGGGTGCAGCACACCAGCATGGCACATGTATACATATGTAACTAACCTGCACATTGTGCACATGTACCCTAAAACTTAAAGTATAATAATAATAAAATTTAAAAAAAATAAATAAATAAGCTTTCTACTTCTTTCTCTTTCTCTACTCCGTCTTGAATATCAATGACCCATATGTTAATATTTGCTCTTTTGATGCTATACAGTAAATCCTGTGATCTTTCTTTATTTTTTTAATTCTTATTTTTTCTTTTATCTCCTCTGACAGTATATTTTCCAGGATTCTTTGAATTCAGTTCCAGGATTTCTACTTTTTTTTAATTATTTCAATCTCTTTGTTAAATTTCTCTGATAAATTCCATCCTGCTGGAGGTGTGTGTTGTTATCTGGTGCCAGGGCTGGAGTAGAGGTTTTGTCCATGGGTACTGGTCTGGTGACAGGGACTGAGGGGTTCTGCCTAGTGTTGGGTTTTATTACAATGCCCCTGTACTAGGTTTAAAGGCAAAGTCCTATACTTACTTTTCTCCCCTTTCCTCAAACAGCTGGCATCTCTGTTCTGCATGCCTGGTGTTGGGGAAAGGGTAATGTAGATAATGTAAAATTGCCTTTTCTACTTTCTTCAATACGTCTTTTTTCTTTCAATAGTTTTTGGGTAATGGGTGGTATTTGGATACATGGATAAGTTCTTTAGTGGTGATTTCTGAGATTTTGGTGCACCCATCACCCAAGCAGTGTACACTGTACTCAGTGTATAGTCTTTTATACCTCACCCACCTGCCACCCTTCCCTGCAAGTCCCCAAAGTCCATTGTATCATTCTTACGCATTTGCATCCTCATAGCTTAGTTCCACATATAAGTGAGAACATACAATGTTTTGTTTTCCATTCCTGAGTTACTTTACTTAGAATAATGGTCTCCAACTCCATTCAGGTTGCTAGGAATGACATCATTTCATGTCATTTTATGGCTGAGTAGTATTCCATGGTATATATATTTTATATATATATAAATATACATATACATACACACACACACACACCACATTTTCTTTATCCACTTGATTGATGGGCATTTGGGCTGGTTTCATATTTTTGCAATTGCAAATTGTGCTGCTATAAACTTGCATGTGCAAGTGTCTTTTTCATATAATGATTTCTTTTCCTCTGGGTAGACACCCAGTAGTGGCATTGCTGGATCAAATGGTAGATGTACTTTTAGTTCCTTAAGGAATTTCCATATTGTTTTCCATAGTGGTTGTAATAGTTTAATTCCCATCTTGATAGTTACGTTTTCATCTTGATAGTCATGTTTTCATCTTGATAGTCTGGGTCAATCACCCCAGCCAACACTGTAACTACCTTCTTAGCCTGTTGACTTAAAGGTAGGAGAAGCCCAAAGTATACAGGTGGCAATCTTAACTTCCAGTTTAATGGAAACCTTGTTGTGTCTCCTGGTGGCAGTGTTCCTCTGAAATGAAGAACTCTAGGCTAGCAGAACATGTCCTGGGAACAGGAAGCAAAAATTTTGCTAGTGGATCACTAGGAGAGATGGTGAATGGTGCCATTTCCACATGCACCCCTTGATTCCTGGACCCCTGAATCCTGGCTGTGGAGAAACAGTACCATATATCAGACGCTGATTCAGAGCATACAGGGCCTTCTGGAGAACTTTGCCCCAGCCCTGCAAAGTATTGTCACCTAGTTGGCATTGTAATTGTGACTTCAAAGGCCATTTCACCGTTCTATCAATCCAGCTGCTTCAGGATGATGGGGAACATGGTAAGACCAGTGAATTCAATGAGCCTGAGCCCACCGTCACACTTCTTTAGCTATCAAGTGAGTGCCTTGATCAGGGGCAATGCTGAGTGGAATACCACGATGGTTGATAAGGCATTCCATGAGTACACGGATAGTAGTCTTAGCAGAAGCATTGCATGCTGGATAGGCAAACTCATATTCAGAGTAAGTGTCTATTCCAGTGAGGACACTCTCTGCCCTTTCCATGATGGAAAAGGTCCAATATAATGAACCTGCCACCAAGTAGCTGGCTGATCACCCTGAGGAATGGTGCCACATCCAGGTCTCATTGTTGGTCTCTGCTGTTGGCAAATTGGGCACTCAGCTGTGGCTGTAGCCAGGTCAGCCTTGGTAAGTGGAAGAGGTGGCTGGGGAAAAAGGCTGAGTGGGGTGTACAGAACAAGTCATCCTATCCACTTAATTATTAAAATTCTCTTCTGCTGAGGTCACTTTTTGGTGAGCACTCTCATGGGATACAAATATCTTCACAGTTTTTGACCACCCAGAGAGGTCAATCCACATACCTCTTCCTCAAATTCCTTTGTCGCCAATTTTCCAGTCATGCTGTTTCCAAGCCCCTGACCAACCAGCCAAACCATTGGCTATAGCCCATGAATCAGTATATAATCACATATCTGGCCATTTCTCCTTCCATGCAAAGTGTACAACCAGGTGCACTGCTTGAAGTTTTGCTCACTGGGAAGATTTTCATTCACTGCTGTCCTTCAGAGATGTCCTAGAAAGGGGCTGTAGCACTGCAGCTGTCCACTTTTGGGTGGTGGTTGCATATTGGGCAGAACCATCTGAGAGCCAGGCCCTAGTAGTCTCTTCCTCTGTCAACTGATCATAGGGAACTCCCCATGAGGCCATCGATGCAGGCTGGGGGAAAGAAGGCAGGGTGGTAGGAATGGAGGCCATGGGCATTTGAGCCACTTTCTCAATGTGCCTTTCAGGACCTGCTCGAGTGTGATCATGTATATACCACTTCCATTTGATGATGGAATGCTGCTGTGCATGACCCAATTTATGGCTGTATGGGTCAGAAAGCATCCAGTTCATGAGTTCATAATAGGCAGTTCAGGTCGCATGGTGACTTGATGACCCATAGTCAAACGTTCATTTTCCACCAAAGCCCAGTAACAGGCCAAGAGCTGTCTCTCAAAAAAAAAAAAAAAAAAAAAAAAGTAGTTATCTGCAGAAAATGGCAGGGCCTTGCTTCAAAATCCTAGAGGCCTTCACTGTGATTCACCTATGGAGGCCTGCCAAAATCTCCAAACAGCATCTGAATCTGCCACTGACACTTCTAGCACCATTGGATCTGCTGGGTCACATGGCCCAACTGGCAGAACAGCTTGCACAGCAGCCTAGACCTGTTGCAGAGCCTTCTCCTGTTCTGGACCCCACTCAAAACTGGCAGCCTTTTAGGTCACTTGATAAATGGGCTGGAGTAACACACCCAAATGAGGAATGTGTTGCCTCCTAAATCCAAATAGGCCCACTAGGCATTGTGCCTCTTTCTTGTATGTAGGAGGGGCCAAATGCAGCAACTTGTCCTTCACCTTAGAAGAAACATCTTGACAATCCCCACACCACTGAACCCCTAGGAATTTTACTAAGGTAGAAAGTCCCTGAATTTTAGTTCGATTTATTTTCCATTGTATGGCATGCAAATATCTCATCAATAAGTCCAGTGTGTTTGCTACTTCTTGATCACTGGATCCAATCAGCATAATGTCATCAATGTAATGGACCAGTGTGATATCTTATGGAAGCAAAAATTGATCAAGATCTCTCTGAATAAGATCTTGACTCAAAGATCCAGCTTTGAGTCAAAGCTGGAGAGTTATACCCCTGGGGTAGGAGAGTAAAGGTATATTGCTGGCCTTGCCAGCTGAAGGCCCATTGCTTCTGGTGGGCCTTATGGACAGGAATGGAGAAAAAAGCAGTTGCCAAATCAATGGCTGCATACCAGGTACCAGAAGATGTGTTAATTTGCTCAAGCAATGAGACCACATCTGGTATAGCAGTTGCAATTGGAGTTACCACTTGATTAAGCTTACGATAATTCACTGTCCTTCTCCAAGATCCATCTGTCTTCTACACAGGCCAAATAGGAGAGTTGGGCGGGGATGTGGTGGAAATCACCCCCTTGTGTCTTTCAAGTCCTTGATTGTGGCACTAATCTCCACAGTCCCTCTAGGGATGAGATATTGTTTTTGGTTTACTATTTTTCTAGGTAGAGGCAGCTCTAATCATTTCCATTTGGCCTTTCCCACCATAATAGCCCTCACCCTACCAGTCAGGGAGCCAATGTGAGGGTTCTGCCAGCTGCTATGTATGTCTATGCCAATTATGCATTCTGGCACTGGGGAAATGACCACAGGATAAGTCCAGGGACCCTCTGGACCCACTGGAAGTCAGACCTTAGCTAAAACTCTATTAATTACCTGACCTTCATAAACCCCTACTTAAACTGAAGGATCACAATGATGTTTTGGGTCCCCTGGAATCAATGTCAGCTTACAGCCAGTGTCCGGTTGTCCCTGAAATGTCTGATTGTTTTCCTTTTTCCAATGCACAGTTACTCTGGTAAAAGGCTAGAAGTCTCCTTGGGGAAAGATGGGAGAGAGCTTAACAGCATAAATTTTCAGTAGTATAGTGGGGTCCTTACTCAAGGGGACCTGGCCTTCCCTTCATTCAAGGGGTTCTGGGTCTGGCTCAAGTCTGGAAATTGATTGCGGGGCCATTATTCTGTTTTTATTATTCAAATTAGTCTTTTGTCCACTCAACCTGGAAGATTTCTGCTTATATAAATTAAGTAGGAATGCAGTAGGTTTTCTATCAATTTCATTTATAGGAATACCATGATTAATTAGCCAGAGCTCTACACAAGTCAGACTATTCTGATTGCTGCTTTGCCTCTGCTGCCCATTATAGTAGCTACGCCCACCTTTCCTTTGATGGTTGAGTGGCCACTTGGCCCCTGCCACCTTGGGATCCAATTATTCCCATTGCATTTAAATTTTGTAGTTGAGTGACTGCAGTTTCCATGTTAGATCTGACATACAGTGAAGAGCAATTATGGGGCTCTTCAAAGATGCATGTGCTGTCTTCATAAATCTATTTCTTAAAGTGTTGGTCAAGGGTATATCTTCTGGACCTTCCCAGCTAGGATGAGTAGGTCTAAAGTGACTAATCCACTCCAGCATCTCAATCTCCCTAAGACTTTGGATCTTTTCCTCTACATTAAACCAAGGGAGATCAGGTATTTCCAGTTGGCTCACAGTGGGCCAATTTTTAATCCATATTTCAGCTAACCAAGCAAATAAACTGTTAGAACATTTTTAACTCCCCAAGTTGCAAACATTAAATGCAGAATCCCTACTTAGTGGGCCCAAATCAATAAATTCAGCCTGATCCAACACTATGTTTCTTCCACGATTATCCCACATGCTTAATATCTATTCTTATGTCTGTTATCCAGATTTCTGCTTAAATAAATTAGAAAACTCAAGTAGTTTTTTTCTAATGTAACATACTTACTCATGGGTCACACTGTGAACCTCACCTTTAACGGCCCACTGGGACTTTAGTGCAGTTATAGATCTAGATGCAAACAAGGGCCTTGGGGGTGGGTCCTGAGGAGAATCAACATTGTCTTTCCTGGTAACTGCCTCAGGGGAGGCCATCACTGTTGCCTCAGGCAGCACAGGGTTTATCTATTCAGACAAAGGTGGAAAGGTTGATGGCAGTGAGGGTCGGCGAGAGGATGTTGCCACTACTGGGGATGGCGAAGATGTTTTTTCTGGCAAAAAGGTTCATCAGAATTTACAAGCTCAGTGTCCTCACACACAGCTCCATTTCAAATTGCAGCGTCCCATTCTTTTCCAATGAATGCCCTCACTTTAATAGTAGACACTTGGTGAGGCTGTGCACGCACCTTTCATTGCACGTCAGCAGCTAGCATGATAAGAGCTTGGGTCTGATTTTCCACAATTTCAGCTCATTCTCTACAAAAAATAAGACTCTCATTCAGGGCAATCTTAGCAGATTTGAGGCTCAGTATCTGCCTCTAAGTTAGGAGTTAGAATCCCTGAATTCATCATTTTCTTTCATCACTTTGTCCAGTGAACTTAGGAGCAATCAACCAACTTCATTATGTTCCTTGGTTCTCCACATATGGTCAAAGGTATTATGTATAGAGTCACAAAACTCCTTGCCTCTCACAAGCAGTGAATGAGGAGTGTCAGATGCATTTATTTTGCATGACTTTCTAAACAGTTCCTGCCAAAGACCATCAGTGTTTTTCATACTATTAGAAGTAGAGTCCTTTAGCATTTTTGGATCTAATCATATTAAGCAGCCAACTCCAGAAACCCCAAAAGCAATGAAAGAACTCCATCCTTAATATTATGTTCCTCTAGAACCACTCCTGGTACCAATATCTGTATTAGTCAGAGTTCTCTAGAGGGACAGAAACTAATAGGATAAATGTATATATAAAGGGGAGTTTATTAAGGAGTATTTACTCACATGATCACAAGGTCCCACAATAGGCCATCTGCAAGCTGAGGAGCAAGGAAGCTAGTCCAAGGCCCAGTGCTGAAGAATTTGGAGTCTGATATTTGAGGACAGGAAGCATCCAGCATGGGAGAAATATGTAGGCTGGGAGGCTAAGCTAGTTTAGTCTTTTCATGTTCTTCTGCTTGGTTTTTATTCTGGCCATGCTGGCAGCTGATTAGATTACACCCATCCAGATTAAGGGTGGGTCTGCCTTCCCCAGCCCACTGACTCAAATGTTGATCTCCTTTGACAACACCATCACAGACACACCCAGGATCAATACTTTGCATCCCTCAATCCAATTGAGTTGACAGTATGAGCTGTCACAGATGTGTTTTCATTTGTTTGTGTTGTCTATGATTTCTTTCAGCACTGTTTTATAATTTTCCTTGAAGAGATCTTTCACCTCTTTGTTTAGGTATATTCCTAAGAACTTAGTTTATTTTGCAGCTATTGTGAAAGGGGTTGAGTTCTTGATTTGATTCTCAGCTTGATCACCGTTGGTGTATAGCAGTGCTACTAATTTGTGTACATTGATTCATTCTGTATCCTGAAACTTTACTGAATTCATTATCAGATCCAGGAGCTTTTTGGATGAGTCTTTAGGGTTTTCTAGGTATATGATTATATCATTGGCAAAGAGTGACAGTTTGACTTCCTCTTTAGTGATTTGGATGCCCTTTATTTCTTTCTCTTGTCTGACTGCTTTGCCTAGTACCTCCAGTTCTATGTTGAATAGAAGTGGTGAAAAGTGAGCATATTTGTCTTGTTGCAGTTCTCAGGGGGAATGCTTTCAGCTTTTCCTTATTAAGTATAATGTTGGCTGTAGGTTTGTCATAGGTGGCTTTTATTACCTTAAGGTATGTCCTTTCTATGCCAATTTTGTTGAGGATTTTAATTGTAAAGGGATGCTAGGTTTTGTCAGATACTTTTTCTATGTCTTTTGAGATAATCACATGATTTTTGCTTTTAATTTTATGTGGTGTATCACATTTATTGACTTGCGTATGTTAACCCATCCCTGCATCCCCAGTATGAAACCCACTTGAACACAATGGGTTTTTGATATGCTGTTGGATTCAGTTAGCTAGTATTTTGTTGAGAATATAAGCATCTATGTTCATCAGCAGTATTGGTCCATAGTTTTCTTTTGTTATGTCCTTGCCTGGTCTTGGTATTGAGGTGATACTGGCTTTATCAAAAAATTTAGGGGGGATTCCTTCTTTCTCTGTCTTTTGGAATAGTTTCAGTAAGATTGGTACCAATTCTTCTTTGAATATCTGATAGAATTCAGCTGTGAATCTATCTAGTCCTGGACTTTTTTTTTTTGGATTTTTTTTTTTTTTTAATTACCATTTCAATCTCATTGCTTGTTATTGGTCTGTTCAGAATTCCTATTTCTTCCTGGCTTAATCTAAGAGGGTTGTTTATTTCCAGGAATTTAATAATCTCTTCTAGGTTTTCTAGTTTGTGTGTGTGAAGGTGTTCATAGTAGCCTTGAATGATCTTTTGCATTTCTGTGGTATCAGTTGTAATATCTCCCATTTTATTTCAAATTGAGCTTATTTGGATCTCCTCTTTCCTTTTGTTGGTTAATCTCACTAATGGTGTGCCAATTTTGTTTATCTTTTCAAAGAACCAGCTTTTTGTTTCATTTATCTTTTGTATTGTTTTTGTTTGCTTCAATTTCATTTAGTTCTGCTTTGATTTTTGTTATTTATTTTCTTCTGCTGAGTTTGGGTTTGGTTTGTTCTTGTTTCTCTAGTTTCCTTGAGGTGTGAACTTAGATTGTCTATTTGTGCTCTTTCAGACATTTTGATGGAGGCATTTAATGCTATGAACTTTCCCCTTAGCACCACTTTTGCTGTATCCCACAGGTTTTTATAGTTTGTGATACTATTAACATTCAGTTCAAACAAACTTTTAATTTCCATCTTGATTTCATTGTTGACCCAAAGATCATTCAGGCGGAGATTATTTAATTCCATGTATTTCTATGGTTTTGAGTGTTCTTTTTAGAGTTAATTTCCAATTTCATTGCACTGTGGTCTGAGAGAGTACTTGATATAATTTTGATTTTTTAAAATATATTGAAGCTTGTTTTGTGGCCCAGTATATGGTCTATTTTGAAAAATTTTCCATATGCTGATGAAAATAATGTATAGTCTGCATTTGTTGGGTAGAACATCCTGTAAATATCTGTTAAGTCAGTTTATTATAGGGTATAGTTTAAGTCCATTGTTTATTTGTTGACTTTCTGTCTTGATGACCTGTCTAGTTCTGTCAGTGGAGTATTGAAGTCCACACTATTATTGTGCTGCTGTCTATCTCATTTCTTAAGTCTAATAATAATTGTTTTATAAATTTTTGAGCTCCAGTGTTAGGTGCATATGTATTTATGATTGTGATATTTTCCTGTTGGACTAGTGCTTTTATCATTATATAATGTCCCTCTTTGTCTTTTTAAACTGCTGTTACTTTAAAGTCTGTTTTGTCTGATATAACAATAGCTACTCCTGCTTGCTTTTGGTGTCATTTTGCACAGAGTATCTTTTTCCACTCCTTTACCTTAATTTTATGTGAGTCCTTTTGTGTTAGGTGAGTCTCTTGAAGACAGCAGATACTTGGTTGGTGAATTCCTATCCATTCTGCCATTCTGTGTCTTTTAACTGGAGCATTTAGGGCACTTACATTCAACATTATTATTGAGATGTGAGGTACTATTCTATTCATCATGGTAGTTGTTGCCTGAATACCTTGTTTTTATCATTGTGTTATTGTTTTATAAGCCTTGTGAGCTTTATGCTTTAAGGAGGTTCTATTTTGGTGCACTTCAAGGTTTTGTTCCAAGATTTAGAACTCCTTTTAGCATTTATTGTGGTGCTCACTTGGTAGTGGCAAATTATCTCAGCAGTTGTTTCTGTGAAAAGACTTTATCCCTCCTTCATTTATGAAGTTTAGTTTTGCTGGATACAGAATTCTTAGTTGACAATTATTTTGTTTCAGGAGGCTAAATATAGGACCCCAATCCCTTCTAGCTTGTAGGGTTTCTGCTGAGAAATCTGCTGTTAATCTGATAAGTTTTCCTTAATAGGCTAAGTTACCTGATGCTTTTGCCTCACAGCTCTTAAGATTCTTTCCTTCATCTTAACTTTAGATAACCTGATGACTATGTGCCTAGGTGATGATTTTTTTGTGATGAATTTCCTGGCTGTTCTTTGAGCTTCTTGTGTTTGGATGTCTAGATCTCCAGCAAGGCCAGGGAAGTTTTCTTCAATTATTCTCTCAAATAAGGTATCCAAACTTTTAGATTTCTGTTATTCCTCAGGAACACTTATTATTCTTAGTTTTGGTTGTTTAAAATAATTCCAAACTTTTTGGAAGTGTTGTTCATTTTTAAAAATTATTTTTCCTTTGTCTTTGTTGCTTGGGTTAATTCAAAAGCCTTGTCTTTGATCTCCGAAGTTATTTCTCCTACTTGTTCAATTCTATTGTTGAGACTTTTCAGTATATCTGGCATTTCTCTAAGTGTGTCTTTCATTTCCAGAAGTTGTGAATGTTTTTTATTTATATTAACTATTTTTCTAGGCATTTTAACATCCATATTCTATATTATTTTTAAAATTTCTTTAAGTTGGTTTTCACCTTTCTCTTGTGCACCCTTGAGTAGCTTAATAATTGACCTTCAGAATTCTTTTTCTGGCAATTCAGAGATTTCTTCCTGGTTTGGATCCATTGCTGGTGAGCTAGTGTGGTCTTTTGAGGGTGTTATAAAACCTTGTTTTGTCATATTATCAGAATTGTTTGTCTATTCTTCTTATTTGGATAGATGATGTCAGAGGAAAGATCTGGGACTCAAGGGTTGCTCTTCAGATTATTTTGTCACACTTGGTGATCCCTTGATGTGATACTCTCCCACTTCTATGGATGGGGTTTCCTGAGAGCTGGACTGCAATGATTGTTATTGCTCTTCTGGGTCTAGCCACCCAGTAGAGTACCAGGCTCTGGGCTGGTACTGGGGAGTGTCTGCAAGGATTCCTGTGATGTGATCTGTCTTCAGGTCTCTCAGCCATGGATACCAGCATCTGCTGCAGTGGAGGTAGAAGTGGGGTGAAGTGGACTCTGTGAGAGTCCTTAGTTGTAGTTTTGTTTAGTGCACTGGTTTTCTCAAATGCTGATTATGCTAGCAGTGAAGTTGTCATGTTGACAGTCTCAGGACCTCTGGTTATCCAGGATGTTACAGGTGGTACAATTAGCTGTTGGTTTCTGTCCCTTTTTTTGGAGCAGGGTTGTTCTGTTATGAGTTGCTGTAATGGCTTGAATTGGTTGGCCTCCAGCCAAGAGGTAGCGCTTTCAAGAGAGCATTAGCTGAAGTAGTATACAAGGAAAAAGGCTTGCCCTAAGGTCGCCTGGATAAGTATTCAGGTTTCTCAGGTGATGGGTGGGGCCATAGAGCTCCCACATGTTTATGATTTTTGCCTTTGGATACCAGGTGGTAGAGAAAGACCATCAGTTGGGGGCAGGATTAGGTGTGTCTGAACTCAGACTATCCTTGGTAGTGGCTTGCTATGGGCGCTGTAGGGGATGGTGGGTAGTTCACAGCCCAACGGATTTATGTTCCAAGAGGGATTATGGCTGCTTCTGCTGTTTTGTGCAGGTCACCAGGGAAGTGGGAGAAAACTGGCAGTGACAAACCTCTCCTAGCTCTCACGCAGCCAGCAAGGCCAGTCTCACTCCCATGTGCTCCCCCAACAGCCAACAGAGTTGAATTTATATCCAGGTTTCTGGTACTCAGGGCTAAGATCTTGCCCCAGGATACAAGCCTCTCTGCTAAGAAAGCAAGCAGGGCTTTCAGGCCCCACGCCTCCTTGCCTGTCGTAGTTTCTGTGCAAGCATCTGTACTTCCTATTTGCCGCTCCACCCTCGACACCCTCCCTCTTCAGATTCTGCCCAGGAAAATTAGTGCTTGGTCAAAGTTATTACAAATTTCAGCCGGAAGTCTCCTTCTCCCATGACTTGTCTCCAATTCTACTGGCTGCCCTCTCCAAGGACTCCTGTGAGATAAGTCAGAAATGGCTTCCCTGGGGACCAGGAGTGCCTAAAGGGCTCTTCCTGCTGCTTCTCCTACTTTTATATTTTGCTATGCTTTCACAATTAATTTCAGTTCTAGGTAAGGTAAAATCCTTCTCCTGAGATCTAGATTTTCAGGTTCCCCAGTGAGGATGTGTATTGGGAAGCAGACTTTCCCCTCTCACACTTTGGCCACTCAGTTTTTTGGCAGTCTCATAGAGTGTGCAGCAGCAAGCAGCTTCTTTCAAAGGGTCTGTGAATTCTTCTGGTTTTTCTAGTATGTTCCTGAGGTGGTTCTTGGAGTACAAGTTCACAATGTTAGTTTCCACATGCTGTTCTGTCCATCTGAGTGGGAGCTGCAAGTTTTAATCCTGCCTCCTATCCACCATTGTCTCCTGTTTATCTCAATATGTCTTAATTTATTATTATGCTAGAATCAATGACTGTGATCTGTCACCTGGTTTTCTTGGCCCTTGCTAAATGTCTTTCCTGTATGAATAGTTATTCAAATTGATGCTTCTGTGGCAGGATGATTGCCAGAGAGTCCTAGTTTGCTATCTTTTGAAACATCATGCTGCACATGATAAATATATACAAGTTTTGTCAATTAAATAAATTAATAAAATTGAAGCACTAATAATGGAAGAAAATGTGGTTTTTAAAATAGAAATTATACCTTTCTTGGTGCAAAAGACAAATTCCTGAAAAATGCATGTGGACTTGTTTTCTGGCTTAAAATGGTCTTTTGGCTAGTAATCTCTCAAATTTTCACCAAAACACTCATGAATGAGAAAAAGTTGAAAATTCAAAGAAAATCAAGCTTTGTAGATTTGATTTTGAAGTCATGAGTCTTTGTTTGTTTGTTTGTTTGTTTGTTTTTAAAGTCAGTTTCAAACTTACAGGGTATTTGCAAAGGTAATACAAAGAATAGACATATACCTTTTGATCACAGAACATATTTAACTTTCTTCAATTGTTTCAATTATATTCATTACAGCAGAAGAATTAAATCTAGGATAATGTGTTGCATTCAGTTGCTATGTCTTTATAGTCTCTTTCCTTGAGGAATAATTCTTCAGTTTTCTCTTATCTTCATGATCTTGACATATTTAGAAGATTACAGGCCAGCCATTCTGTTTGCTATTCTCAATTTGGGTTTGTCTAATATTTTCGCTTTAGACACAAATTATGTATTTTTGATAGGAATGTCTCAGAGGTGATACTGTGCTCTTTCCACTGCAGTTTTTTCAGGTTGCACATGATGTAAGTTTAGATCACTTGATTAAGTTGGTATATCTGTGAGATTTTTTCACTGTAAAGATACTTCTTTTCCCCTGTGTAGTTATTAAGTTTTGTTTCCAGGAAGATATTTTGGGACTATGCAAAAATCCTATTGCTCATCCCACTTTTACCCACTAGTTTTAGCTTCTATTGGTATTTTATGCATGAACTAATTATTACTATGATGGTGCCAAATAGCAGTTTTCTGGTTTCATCATTCTTTGTACATTATTACTTGGCATTCTAGTGTAAAGATGGGCTTCTATTCTCATCTATTTATCCATCTATTGATTTATATCAGTATAGACTTACAGATTCCTATTTTTCCCAAGGTGTTAGGTTTTACATAATTTTAAAATAAAAAATTTTAAAGAAAGAACTGAAAGTAGAAATAAAATCAAACACATGGATCTAGCTGTGTACTCAGGGTAACATAGCCTCACAGTTTCAAATCACTTTAAAATGCAGTAATGTAACTATATAGTCTTGGTGGGATATATTAAGATCAAAAATAAAATTTAAAAATTGTATATTTTAGTATTTTAATTGTTGATGGCAGTGTTGGCTGTTGTAATAGCTGTTTTGTATGTAATGTGTAATAAAGCAAATAATTATTTGTAGTTTTACCCACTGAAAAGGATAGGACACAATGTAAATGTAATAACTGTGAGCATCCTACATACCAATTCCCACTAAAGGAAATCACAGTTCCTTGAAGAATTCATGATTCCAGCTCTGTGGCAAGAAATATCCAATATGAAATTTTGAAAAACTTGTCACATGAAAAGGGAAGAATAATTTCTAGGGTCATGTCCAAAGGACTCAGGGGCTGTTAGGATACTGACTCCCAGAAAACAACAAAGTAGGTAGCTGGGATGTGGATCCGGGGAGGTGAACCAGAAGTGACACATTGTACTCTGGGAGGTTTATCCTCAGTGTAATAATTGCTTTAGAGACATACTAATTATTCTAGAGAAAAGTAGAAACCTGAAGAATCTATATGCTGGAAATTATAGTTTTCATGCATTTCATGGATTTGAGCATCAGTGATTAGATAGTGGAATTTAAAAATACCCTAATATATTTCATTGGAACATACTGAATGAGTGCAGACTAAATTTAGCCATTGGAAACTGGGTAGGTACTATACCATTATAATCAGTTTTACATCTTATCATTTAAAGTCTGAGAGGCTTCCACAGACTTATAAGAAGACAGTGAACAAAGTAAAAAAAAAATCCTGTACTTGTCTGTTGGTGAATACTAGATCTGGAAACCTCTTCCCTATTCTAGGATGATTAAATAAAAATATTCCATGTAGAGGCTACAACAAAATATACAGATGATGGGAATACCTTTCAGAACAAGCGATGTGAGAGCATAACTCTGAACTTAATTTACCAAAAGAGCCGAAAAAAGAGTATCTTTTCAACATTATTGGTATTTGAGAAAGCATGTATTTGACATTTGTGCTGTCTACAACTGGCTATTTAAATTAACTCAAGCTAAGAAAAATTAAAAATTCATTTTCTCAGTCCTACCAGTGACACTTCAAGTACCATATAGCCACATGTGGCTAGTGGCTACTGGATTGGACAGAACAGATGTGGGACATTTCTGTTATTGCATAAAGCCCTAGTGGGAAGTGCTGCTCTATACAGAAACACAAAAAGTAATTGAAAATAAAAAAGCAATTAGATAAAAAATATTTTGAAGGTGTTGCAAGAAAACCATGAGAGCAACCGTATAATTAAAATCAAAATTACAAGCAATAGAAAATAGAATTGGAGCTGCAGAAGACTAAATTCAGAATTGCAGATGAATTACAACAAACTTCTATCTTAATAGAGAGAAAAAAAGGCATGAAAATAACATATGCTTTTGCTTTTTGTGTGAGAAAAAAAAGAGGCATGAAGATAACATATACATAAATATAAAGAACCAAGAGAAACCTTAGAATTTTAGATGTTTCTATGGAGGAAAGCAATAAGAAAAGAAATACAGACAAATCAGAAGGCAAATTCTGGAGCTGAGAGAAGAGCTTAAGAGCTTTTGCTACATTTAAGGCAAAATAAACATAAGGAATTTATTTATTCTATGACATGCCTGGCAAAGCTTGTGAATTAAAAGAACAACTTAAAGTTCTACAATCATCAAAGGAGAACATCACGTTACTAATGTAGTGAGATAGAACATTATGCTAATCAGAATTCTTAAGTTTGTTCTCTCTTTCTCTTTTGAAGAATACTTTGATGAGTAACCTCTCTCCAAAAGCCTAGGTTTTGCTATCTTCTTTCCTTAAGGGATTTTAGAACTTTATATTTCTTTTCTCTTTGTCTCTCATGTTTCTCCTCTTCCTCTGCACCTTATTTTTCAGAAACATTAACAAAATCCTTTTTGGTGTCCCCATTCTCCTGTAAGAACCATCTATATGCTGTTATTCATGAGATTATTCAAAGAAGTATTCTATTTTGCTGGTAGTATATAAATCAAAGCTAGGAAATCAAGGATAGGAATATTGTGGTAAGCACTGAAGTAATTAAAATGAAATTTTAAAACATATTTTTTGATAAGAATTTACAAACACAAGAAGAAAACAACAGACACTGGGGTCTATTTTAGGAGGGGGAGGGAGATGGAGGGGGGAGAGGAGCAGAAAATAACTATTGAGTACTGAGCTTAATACTTGGGCGATGTCATAATATGTACAACAAACTCCCATGACACATGTTTATGTAACAAACCTTCACATGTACCCTCAAACCTAAAATAAAAGTTTAAAAGAAGAAAAAAAAATTAAAAAGATGTCAATATGCTTATAAAATTGTATGAACAGATTAAGGATATATATTGTAGTCATGAGAGTATACAGTCAGCTTTCCATGTTGGGTTCTAAAACTATGAATTCAACCAACATGGATTGAAAATATTTGAATAAAAGAGTAAAATAACAATGCAACAATAACAAATAATACAAAGACAATATAATGTAACAACTATTTACATAGCATTTATGTTGTACTAGATAGTATAAATAATCTAAAGATGATTTAAGGTATATGTGCATAGGTTATATGCAAATACTTCACCATTTTATATAAGGGACTTGAGCATCTGAGGATTTTGGTATCCGATAGGGGTCCTGGAACAAATCCCCCATGAATATCTAGGGATGACTGCATGTTGAAGTCATGTTCAAAGTTACTTGCCTTCTAAACACAGAGCAGGTCTGTATTTCTCTGTACTTTGAACCCCTTGAAATTATGCATGATTTTATGAGTCTCTTTTACCATTGCAATGTAATTGGAAATAGTGAGTGTTGTTGTTTCCTAGTAGAAATGTTAGTGCATGATTTGCTGCATTCTCTTCCTCCTGCCTCGGAGTTTGTGCAAGTGGTATCTGAACAATCACTGCTCAGTTGACATATAATATAAACCACTTAGGTAATTTAAAATTTTCTAGTATCTACATTTAAAAAAGAAAAGAAAAATTTGACATTAATTTTAATAATATATTATACTTCACTAATATTTCTCAAATATTATCATTTCAACATGTAATCAATTAATAATTATTAATTGAATACTTTTATTTATTTTTTGGTGATAACTCATTGATATCTGCTATTTTACATTTAGGGTACATCTCAGTTCCAACTAGCCACATTTCAAGTGTTTGATAACCGTATGTGGTTTGTGGTCCAGATGGAACCTGAGCCAGTTCAAGCCTTTAATAATTACAATGAATAGTGACTCCAGTTGATCCACATTGGACAAAAAAATTAACTACTTGATTGAAATTATTGAGACGTGGGGGTTCTTCATTAGCAAGACATAATTTTGTCTGTCCTGATTGACACAACATTATTTGTAAGAAGTACTTTAATAATAATTAAATATTTTATATATTTCTCTATTAACTTTATATAACAAATATATCCATAGGCTGAAGAAAAAAATAAAAGCTTTAAATACCAAATCTCATCTTTCTATGAGATTGTTCTATTATTTCAGATATTGTCTGCAGGTTAGAATAAGAAGGATAAAGTTATAATAAATATTTTTTGTGTGTGTTTGGAAGTTCCCTTCCTTAAAATAAATTTTGCTGTGTGATGAAAGTTATTATTCCATTTTTAAAACGTTAACTAATATGAAATGTGTTGAGAAACTAAGTAAAATTTATGGAGTAAAAGCCCTTTTGTCTTACATAAGAAATAATGACAAGAAAATCCCACCTTCACCATCGAATGTGAAAAAAGAAGGCTGCTTTAACATTCTTGTTTGGTATGTACACAAATCACTTAAGAAAACTTTACATGACTGAACTAGTGAGAAGCACCTTTATATTGCTTCATGATACCTAGTTGTCAATTGATATTCACTGTAGTATTATTTGTAATAAAATTTTAAAATATTAAGAACTACTTGTCTTGTTCTCAGAAAGATGAGTGATATAACAAATCTATCACTTATCTATCTATGAATATGCATATATGTGTATATGTGTATGTATTTGTACATGCATACCTATACACAGTTTAATCACTCAATAGCTAAACGGATAGTTACTAGCAAATTTACAATCCATAATATTGAATATAAATCTTGGTATTTATATTTTTCTTATATTAATGTCAACTATTGTGTATATTATGTGTGTATGTTTATTTATATTTGTAGGACATATATATCAGGATAAAATAGGATATATCAAGATAAAAATATATATCAGGATAAAAATAAAACAGAAAACTCTTGCAACAAAAATTAAAAAATTCTATGGATAAGAAACAAAGTTATGTACAAGGTAAATGCACAAAAATGCATGCCATACAGTCCTGCACATCAAGTAGGAAGATGATTTGTTTCTGAGTTACCTAATAGTGGAAGCAAAGAAGAGAACAAAACCTATAAAATGTTCCATAACATCAATAAAATAAAAGAAAGTCAGTTACACTGGGTAAGACTAAAATACATTTTTCTTATGAATCCTCATAAATGAAATGCTGTACTGAAGAATGTTTTACGAATTTAAAATAAATACATTAGCAAATTTCAAACATTAGTTGATTGCATCATGAAAACTGATGATAAAATGTAACTTGTATTTCAGTAAAACAATTCTACAATATACAAAATGTTAACATTAAGAAAAGTGCTAATACTGAAAGTCATGTTCAAGTTTAGTGGCTCCTGAATTTGTTGGTACCTGTTGAATTTGTGAGTGACCAAGCAGTGCATTTGCAACACACTGGAGCATCTCTCTAACAAATGACAAACTGTGATTCAGCAAGGGCAAATCTGCCTTGGATTCCATCCAAAGAGTTTTATTATTGAATGTATCATGAGAAACTCATTACAACCTTGTCTCATCTGTAAGAAGCCAGCCTGAGGCTATGTCATAAACCAAATTCTCTGTGGATACAGTCTCATACTTGTCCAAATTTTGTAGATATCTAAGACCAAGTGTGCTAAATTGGTAGGCACTAAATGCAATAAATATTTCATTGACTAATTGAATTACTGATTGCCGTTCATGTCCTTTAGCTTCAGCCCTATCTTTTCTCCTTTTCTCTCTCCATGTCCCAGAATCTGCTATTGGCTTAAACTCTTAGATCTTAGCTTTCCAGAACTGTGTTGTTAAATCTAGTTTTGCCATCACTCTAACTTCTTCCCTGCTGGTTACCTTCTGGTCCTATTTTCCTCTAGATAGTAAGCTCCTCCAAGGAGTGGTGTAACATATAACCTTACCACATGTGTTTATGATTGTACTTATTTGATAATATACTTGGTGTTAATTGAGTTAGTTCCTCACCGAAGTGACGTACTTATATTTTAAATGGTATTTGATGGGGGAAGCCATTATAGTGAAAGAGGCAGTAGGGATAACTTCCAGCCTTTCAACAGGTCAGTAGAACCAACTGCTTGGGTGGAGAAAGCCATAGAAGCCTTACTACCTATCTGTCTGTGGGCTGTGCTGGTAGCCAAGACATGGTTCATGGCGTAGAATTTTGAAAACCGCTTTACCATGAGTTACCAGTACTATTTTAGTTGTTAATTCACTCGGATAACTGGGAGAACAGAGACTCACAATGTAGGTGGCTATTTTTCTTGGCAATTAAATGGCTACATACTTATTCAGTCTTAACCACTCCCCTCAAATGACAAAAATTACAGCTCAGTGCAATCAACGTCTTTTTGGAATATATTATAACCACTTGTGGAGTAAGTTTAGCATTCATTTGAACTACTTAAAAGGGAGCTTGTCTTCAATATGAGTGGGTTTTCACAAAACCCTGTGATCCAGGGATTATGAAGAACTGAGAGGAAATGTTAAATGTTTCCAAGAATAAATAATTTAAATTCTTTATAAAAATAAAACAACCACATGCATCAAATTACACCATTTCTCTTAGGGAATACATATTTGATATTGAGATCAGATTCAATTACATGAAATGCCAATTTATCAAAAGTTTAAAAATTGCCTGTATCACTGTTATTTAATTTGAAAGTCATCTACACCTTCAACTGTGGAACTCTAGGGTTCCAAGATGTCAAAAATTTGGAAAAAAATTAGAATGAAAAATTGTTAACAATGAGGTAAAATAACTTGATATGTTACATAAAACTTTAAAATACTAGTCTCGAGTACAAAAAGTGTTTTTAAATTTTCTTCATTGAATTTCTAATCCTATGTAGCCTAAATGATGAAGATGGAACATAATAACCAAATGTCTAATAGTACTAATACTAATGGATATACAGATGAATGCTTAATAGAGTAAAATAATGTGATCTAATTTTCCTAAGTTTTGAAAAATTTTTTTGTGGATGTGGTTGTTGAAAATGTCCAAACTGGAGGAGTTTTTCCATGAGATTAGTCCTGGGTTCTTACTGAATTTCCCATCTTGTACTATTGGGAACAGAATGCTGGGAGATGCTGATTCTTTAACAGGGACAACCCAATCACCTAAAGCCACACTGAGGCAGACAGACATCTGTCATCATGATTGTCACTAACTACCATATCCAAATAATCTCTTATCTCTTTCCACAAATATTAAAAGCTCCTCAGCACTATCCACTTTTAGTTTCACTGAATATTGTGGATATATTCTGGGTTTCAAAGGAATGGAGGACTGTGTTATGTCACTGGCTAGCTCCTTATGTCCAAGTCAGAAGAGATCTGCTTCTACTCTTCATTCTCCCCCCTGTTCATTGGTGTCCTGGTTCATTCTTCTCAGCCATTCTGCCTAACAGCACTCCAACAAGGACAGACCTGGGCAAAACAGACAGACATTTCTCAGTAGACTCTGGAAGATTTCTAGCCAATTTAGTAAATTTAGCAATTCTATTCTTGAGCTCCAGCTGTCTATAACTTTGTGTGAAGAAGCCAAGGTTTCCACACCTGAAAGTTGAGTCACTTCCTTGAATTAACAGGAATAACACTATCTCAGATTAAAAAGACACCACATACTCCATTTTAATCTTTTCCGCCATAAAACCTTTTCTTTAATTGTTACCTCCTGGAAGGAGATGCTTTGCCTTGGCTTGTCCTGAATCTCACCAAATGTAACGGATTTTACTAGAAGTCAAAGCTAACTGCTTTCTAGTTCTGATAAAATGGAAAGGGTACTAGGAATTTTAAAAGAGCTCTAGAAATTAGTCCATGCTTTATAGTGGGCCCTGGAGTAAATATATATTCACACACATACAATGAATATATTTATTCATATATGTATATACACATATATGTGTACCTATATACGTATATACACATATATGTGTACCTATATACGTATACACACATATATGTGTACATATATACATATACACACATATATGTGTACATATATATGTATACACACACACTCATATATATTCACATATACATTGCCCTAAAAAAACCCTGTTTTGCCACTATTTTCCTGTTTCATCTTGGACAATGTTACTTAGCTTCAGAGTACTAAACTATAAAACATGTGTTTATGAGACTAAGTAAGGAATGAAGTTTCTAATAAAGTATTTGGTGTCAAGGAATTTTTCGATAAATGGTAATTGCTAATGTTACTTTTGTTTTCTATTAAATTTATGCAGCAATACAAAGCCTTCCTACTTCCCAAGGTTGTCACAAAGCTCATGCAAGATAATTAATATGAAAAGTATTTTATGTATGGGAAAGTGTCATACAAATCAAAGGAATGATTGTTTTGGAAGTAGTGCTCAGATAGGGACTGAACAATAAAATGAAGCAAACAATGTAGATGGCACCTGCATTTAGTCAGAATGGAGAGGTGACCAAAAAAATTCTGACACTCGATGCTATAATAACAGTTGACCTAATCTATACAATTTCATTACCATAACAAACAAAACATCTCCAGTAATGTCCAAAGTGACTAGAGTAGTAGTTCAAAGCATTATGGCACCAATGTAAAGGCAGCACATACCATGTTATCAGATGATGGGATTTTTGTATGGCTCAGAACCTGGGAATAGCACCTAAATCATCTGATTTCATTACTATCTAGCTTGGTCTTTTCTAAGATCTCTGCAGCCTAGTTCTGGGCAGACTGACTTACCCACATAAAGTACTGGATCTACTATTCAATATAGTAGCACCTAGCCACATGTGGATTTTTATTTATTTATTTATTGACAGAGTTTTGCTCTGTTGCCCAGGCTGGAGTGCAGTGGCATGATCTTGTCTCACTGCAACCTCTGCCTCCCGGGGTTCAAGTGATTCTCCTGCCTCAGCCTCCTGAGGAGCTGGGATTATAGGCGTCCACCCCACCCAGATAATTTTTGTGTTTTTAGTAGAGACAGGGTTGACCAGGCTGATCCTGAACTCCTGACCTCAGGTGATCCACCCACCTCGGCCTCCCAAAGTGCTGGGATTACAAGCGTGAGCCACCATGCTCAGCCGCATGTAGATATTTAAATGTAAATTAATTAAAATTACATACAATTTTAAAAATTCAGTTACTAAATTATATTAGCCACATTTTAACCTCTCCAGAGGCCCATATGACTTGTGGCTGCTCTATGAGACAGCATGGATATAAACTCATCATTGAAGGAATTTCTACTGGATAATGCTAATCTAGATCCCATTCTTTGGCTTTGAAGATTGCAGTACTTGATTTTATTCGATTACATAGGTGTTATGGTGGCTTGTGAAACTGAATTATATTAACCTAATGTATGAGTGAATTTATCATCCAACATAGAACTTATTTAAATTATAATTAAAATAATATTATTTAATATTTAACATCAATATTGAAGCATAATTTACATATCACAAATTTCACCCGTTTAAAGTATACTTCAATGAGTTTTGCTGAAATTTTACCACCCTGCAGCTATCACCACAATCCAGTTTTACAACATTGCCACCATCCCTAAAACTCCCTAGTGCCAATTTGCAAACAATCCCCATTCCTACCCTGAACACTGGACAATCATGAATCTGCTTTATCTTTCTCATGGTTTGCCTTTTCTAGAAATGTTATGTAAACAGGACCCTACAATAGGTACTCTTCTGTGTTTGGTTTCATTCATTTGGCCTATTATCATTGAGGGTCATCTACGTCATTGCATATTTCAGAAGTTCGTTTTTATTGCTACCAGGTAGATGGACATTAGTTGTGTTTCCAGTTTTTGGTCATAATGAATAATGTTGTTATGAAAATTCACTTACACAGCTTTGGGGACCATATATTCTTATTTCTATTGAGTAGAGATACACAGATGTAGATTAGCTGGGTCACATGGCCAATGTGTGTTTAACTTTCAAAGAAACTGCCAAACTCAATTTCCAAGTGTCTATGTAATTTTGCATTCCCACCACTCATGTATGAGGTTTCCAATTTCTCCAAATCTTCGCCAACATTTGGCACTACCAGTTTTAAAAAAAATGTATTTGAATCATTCTAGTGGTTTTACATGGTATCTTGTAGCTTTAATTTGCATTTTCCTAATGGCTAACACTGTTGAGCATGTTGTCATTTGCTAATTTGCCATCAATATAGCTTCTTCAGTGTAGTCTATTCAAATCTTTTGAACATTTTTTATGGTTGTTTTCCTTCTTATCATTGAATTAAAAGGGTTCTTTATAATATTCTGAATATAAGTCATTTATCAAATATATGTTTTGAAGATGTTTTCTTTCTGTCTATGGCTTGACTTTTCCTTTGTTTTTATTATGTGTAGCTTTAGAATGCATTGAAGTAAAGAAAAATATAATAGAAAATTAGGTAGTAACTCGGTGAGCAAAAATTCTCAGAAAAGAGAGCAAAGATAGTTATATTGTGTCCTGGGATATTTTATTTAGACATTTTAGCTTCTTAAATATTAAATGGAATAATTTGTGGTGATCAGAATAATTCAGTTTATAAATACCTTGTCTTGTGATTCTTCTGAACTAAAAACCACAGCAGCAACAACAAAAAACATAAATTGCCGTCTTATCCTCCATTTTCTCTAGACATCTATCTTTTCATTTGATTTTGGTTAAATGGTTTCATGGTGACAAATTAAATGGTAAAATAGTTAAATGGTTTTAATTTCAAAGAATATCATTCATCTTACATGCCATGCCTACATTTTGTATTGGTTAAAAATATCATTCAATGTTTTTGAAAACTGTGCATATACTAAGCACTGTGCTAAATGGTGAGGACTTAAATATGATACAGCTTTTATTGCTGAAGCCCTTATTGTTCAAAAAGGGAGATGGTGAAATAGACTAACAAATTGAATACAATGTGATAGAAGAGATGTAACAAATATAAACCCTATATACAAAATTTTACTACAGCACAGTCTAGAGGAAAAAAGAAGTTGTTAATCATTGAAGGGAGTCAAAGGAAATGCTTATTCAATCAAAGAAAGGGAAGTTTGGGTGGGTGGTAAAGGGGAATTCTAGGTGGGGGTTATCTGAAGCTGAAGGAACAGCTTATGCAACAAAACAGAGATAGGAGTATATAATTCAACCAAGAATAAACAAGAAATTCAATTAGGCTGCAGAGTAGGGTGCTCTTGCAAAAGAAAATGGTAGGAATCAAAAATATGGCAGTAAGCAGGAGCTTCACAATGAAGAGTACTGAATGTTTTTTTCTGTGGAATCTGGGCTTATTCTCAAAGCAATGGGGAGATGTCAGTGGAAGATTCAAAGCAATGGAATGACACCCACAGATTTTCATTCAGAAAGATCGCTCAAGTGAATGTTTAGAGACAAGAGAATGGGTTGGGAGTTACATCATACAGTGTTCCCTCAGTCTCTGTAAGGGCTTTGGCTTTTATTTGGACTGAGATGGAGAGTTTGAGTGGAGGAATGACATAATCTATATCATTTTCAAAGGATAATTCATCCTTATAGAAAATCAACTATGTAGATGAGATGCAGAAAGGCCAGTTAGAGAACTAAAGCATTACCCAGAAAAGAGGTGTTGGCAACTGCTTGGACAAGGATTGTCGTGATGGTGGAGGATGGAGGAGGGTTCATTTCAGGATATTCTTAGAATACAGATATGACAGGATTTGATGCTGGCTTTAATATGACCAAATGAGATATGTAAAAATCAACTTCAAGATTTTTGGCCTGAGCAATTGGAAAAACAGAGTTGTTATTCCCCAAGATGGTGAAGAGACCTGTGTTGAAGGGAGGTGGTGATAGCATGTGTTCTGTTGTGGCTGTGTTAAGTTTGAGATGCCAAATAGGCATCCAAGTGGAGATTGTGAATAGGGAAATGAATTTATGAGATTGTATTTGGAGGAGACATATGGGTTGGAAATATAGATTTGGGAACCATCAACATATGAATGTTATTTTAAACCATGGATATGGATCATTTTCTTTGGGAATGAGGGCACATTGAGAAGATGAATGGAAGAACTATGTCCTGTGGCACTCTAACATTTGGTGTTTGGAACAAAAAGGAGCATCTGGGCAAAGGAGGATGAGGAGTAGCTAGCTAGTATTATTGGTAGGAAGAGAACCATGTAGTCCACCAATCAAATGAAGAATATAATTCAAAAAGAAAAGAGAAAATCATTGTACTAAATGCTATTGGTAAATGGAGGAAGAAAGGACTGAGGAGAGACCATTCATTTTTAATTTATAGATTACATGCTACCTTGACCATAGCGGTTTGAAGATGTGATAGAAGCAAGAGTCTAACTGAAGTAGGTTCCAGAGAAAATAAGAAAAAAGGAGGATGAGAGAATGGAAAAAGGGCTAATAAAGGCAAGGAGTTTTGTTCTAAACATAAGAGACTTGAGACAGTATAATTGCAGGGTTATGTGGGATCAATGGAAAGTTTTTAGTTTTTAAGAAGGATCATAATAGAGCAGGTTTGTATGTTGATGGAAATCAACAAAAGGGAAAAATTGATAATGCAAGAGATAAAAATGATCAAAGACCTTTAGTAACTTGAGGGATGGGATCTATTGTAAGACAGTTTAGTGTTAGGGAGAAGCATAGACAAATTCTTTCACTGTAAGACAGTTTAGTGTTAGGGAGAAGCATAGACAAATTCTTTCACTGTAACAAGAGGGAAGATGTACGTGAGTACAGATTCAAGTATGTTAGTATAATTGAAAAATTACCATTGTGCATGTGAGAAATGATGCTACTCTAGATTAAGTTACAATATGGAGAGAGAAAGAAGTATACAGATTCAGAAGATACTGAGAAAGCTGATTACACTGAAATTAGTGTTTATTTTGAAGTGGAAAGTGAGAGAGCCATCAAGTAAAACTATCTGACATATTGATCATCAAATAAATTATAATTGAGTTAGCTTAATCTGAGCAAAAGATAAAGATTTTTGAGTCACTAATTATGAAAGACAATTAAAAATGGGCATGTGATGGAAAAATTGTATATTTATATTTTATTGTGGGAGTTTCTTATTTATATTGCATTCAGAAACAGGAGTCAGTTGAAAGAACAAGGTTCAAGGTAGTGGATAATAGAGCAGAGAGAAGATAAAATTCTTTTGAAAGCTCAGTTTCAAAGCCCAGGTGGGTAGATAACTTTTTTTTTTTTTTTTTTTTGAGATGGAGTTTTGCCCTTGTTGCCCAGGCTGGAGTGCAATGGTGTGATCTCTGCTCACTGCAACCTCCACCTCCCAGATTCAAGCGATTCTCCTGCCTCAGCCTCCTGAGTAGCTGGGATTACAGGCATGCACCACCACGCCTGGCTAATTTTGTATTTTTAGTAGAGATGGGGTTTCTCCATGTTGGTCAGGCTGGTCTCAAACTCCCAACCTCAGGTGATCCGCCCACCTTGGCCTCCCAAAGTGAGCCACCGTGCCCAGCCAGCTAGATAACATTTGATTAGAAGGGAAGAAGCCATCTGAGGTTGTAAAAAGTTTAGGACGGGTAGATACACATATATGTTTATTGGGAAAATAAAGAGGAGATTGAAGATAGTTTCTGACTTATAGATCCCATACTCACGACCTTACATTACTGCTACATCAGGCTATGTAATCCTTTTCAATAACTCACTCTTGCTATTCATTACTGTTTTTAAGAAAATATCTTACAGATATTTCCTTTGTCTCATCTTCCCAGAGAATCTCATCATATTACTGAATGTTTATTAAGAATTTTAGGAGTATCATTATCAGTAGAGAATCATATAGTATTAAATTGTAAGCATGAACAATACTCTCAGAAACTCATGAAAATCAGAATCAGTCTCCTCAATGCTTATACATGTCTCAGCACCAATTAACAACTCATAAACAATGACCATATCCGGGTGAAACTGTTCTGGCAACAGTGAGAAATTGGAAGTGTGTCTTTGCCATCTAATTTCCCTTCTTCTCAGGATTCCTAATGACCTAATGTCCCTAAGCCTATGCTCCCAGGAAATGTCTCATATTGCAGAATTGCCACAATTCTTTTACCAGAGATTCTTCAGCCACACTCTCAGGGGTACTTCTAAATTAAGCTTATTTCAATGTGCATCTGTATCTAGCATGTAATTCCATAAACTAATTCTTCCTCAGGTATAATGGTTGGACATGGCTTAGTAAATTATAGAGTTAAAATTTGCAGGAAGATTCTGAAATCTCATTTCTTAAACAGAAATTTTCAGGGATATTTAAACTACTTATTTAAGTGGGATAAGAGAACAATTTGGGGGAACAACTTTCCAGAACCTGTCAAGTTTTTTCATTCAGTGATAGTCTATTAAGTGTATGGAAAACTCTGGCCCAGTTAAATAGCAATAAAAGTTAGACAAGATCAATCAATTTGCTTTCAGTATTTTGTAAAACCTAATTTGGCCAAGATACAAATAGGTTTGAGGAGTCCCTGAGGCACCGATCCTCTTTTATATCACCTGTGCTTTCCTAAAGAGTATGAGAAAAGTTGAGTCAGTCACTGGGTACTGTTACCAATAACTAAAATGTCACTTCTGAGAAAATAAATAAAAATGAAAACACAATTCTCATTATACACCTTTATGGCAATTGAGAGAAAAGAATGAAGCTAATTTATACTGGATATTTATCATATGTGAGACGCTACACCTATCTTTTGGCAGATACTGTTTCGGATTAGGATGCTGAGGTTCATCTGGTCAAGCAGTTGCTCTAAGGACAGACCAAAGTGTTTTACGTTTGAGGCTGGCCCTGGCCAAGTGTAAAGTTTTTTCCATGGCCCACATGCCTACTCTGCCTTTGTTCTTCCAAAACATTTTCAACTATTGAAAAAGAAATTAATAAGTGAGTAGAGTATGGTCTGTTTTGCTTTAAAAATAACAAAGATAATTTTCAAAGAATGAGAAATTATTTTTGCTATTATGAGCTTATTCTTTTCTCAGACAAGCAGCGTCATTCTAGTTTGTTGCCTTGAGCATCAGATTAAGTGTCTAAATACACTTCAGTAAATTTAACTGTTCTAAGTAAGCTCTTAGCATTTTTATTTTCTTTGACATGAAGGATAACTTTGAGGATGCGGAGAATTCTATGGGCAATCTTGAGAAAAATGCTCATTTACCTAAAATGCTGTGATCAGGTAGCCCCTAAAACCCTACCCTTAAATCCTCATTTAAAAATCTCAAGCATTTGTTAACAGTTTGAAAAAAAACTCATGGATTAGTTTCACACAAAACAAAGAGTTTTCCAAGTCTTTGCTATTGTGACGAGTTAATGGGTGCAGCACACCGGCATGGCACATGTATACATATGTAACTAACCGGCACATTGTGCACATGTACCCTAAAACTTAAAGTATAATAATAATAATAATAATAAATAAATAAATTTAAAAAAAAACAAAGAGTTTTCAAAATCAGCATGGATTTTTAGAATTGTTTATTACTAATAGAAGAACATGTTGCAAGAAGCTTTAAAGTGGTTATGAATTGATGACAACAAAATATTTAATGCAGTTTTTGTGCTGCTTAGAACAGATACAGAATTTTTGCTTATTAAATAAATATTGTATCTTTGCATTAAAAATTTTTTCGTGCTGAACTCTTAAGTAAATGTCTCTGAAATTCCCACAAGTAAATACCTGTTTTATCTTTTCAAAAGTTGTATTTGTACTATACAATGATCTTCTAATTTATTTCTTATTTCTTGCTTTTTTTGCTACAGCATCTGGTTAATACTTAAGTCTCACTGGACTTGAAACTTCTGCTTTTGCCAGGCAGCCCCTCTTCCTGGAGGATAAGAGTTAGTAATAGGAAGGAACAAATAAGCTTCATTTGTCAGTGCTCACTGGTCTTTATTAATCCTCTAGATCACACTCTGTGTCTCCACAGTTAGCTGTGCTGTTTTCCTAGATGTGTGAAAATAGTTTTTAATCAAAACTATGCCAACTCATTTCTGGGAACAGCCATTCATATATGGATAAAGATAACAAACTAGATATTGGGTACTATTTATGTTTGAATAGTAGTGAAAGAAAAATAAACAAATTTGTTCAGGAGCATCAGCAGAAACTTCAGGGAAAATGCTTACTGCTCCTGGCATTAGCGATGTTTAAAACCAATGATGCTTTGAGTCCAGGGACCATATCGACTAAGAGACATTAAAATTCCAAGCAGTCAGCTCTAGACATGCTTGGAGGGACTCAGGATCTTTCCTCAACAGAATAAGATGTGGAGAGTAAAATTATTTTTAAAAAACCATCTTGAGGTCCCTGACCTCTGTAATATCAGTAAACAAATAAGGAGATGACAGCTCCATGCATGTTACTGCCTGAAGACCTTCCAGTGGGACAAGATGTGGAAGGCAGTGATGTTGATGATCTTGACCCCATGTAAGCCTGAGTTAATGTGTGTTTTTGTGTCCTAGTTTCTCTTTTAATTTAAAAAGTAAAAAATATAAATTAAAAAACTTAAAAATAGAAAAAAGCTTACAGAATAAGGATATAAGGAAAAATATTTTTGTACAGCTGTATAAGATTTGTTTTTTAAGCTGTCTTATGACAAAAGTCAAAAAATTAAAAAAATTAAAGTTTACAAAGTAAAAAAGTTACAGTAAGCTAAAGTTATTATTGAAAAAAGAAAAACTTTTTTTCATATATTTAGTGTAACCTAAGTGTACAGTGTTTATGAAGTCTACAGTAGAGTACAGTAATATCCTAGGCCTTCACATTCACTCACCACTTGCTCACTGGCTAACCCAGAGCAACTTCCAGTCTTCAAGCTCCATTCATGGTAAATGCCCTATACAGGTGTACCTTTAAAAAAATATTTTATGCTGTGTTTCACCGTACCTTTTCTATGCTCAGATACATTTTTTGTTCTTTTATTACAGTATGAATCTCATTTAATTTTGTAAAATTAATATATCTACATATGTGTTTTTTAGGGAAATATATCAAATGAACAGTTCATAGCTAGTATTGCTGGGAATACTAGTTGTTTTTACTCTTTTTCTTTATAGCTATTTATTATTTCAATAGTTTTTGGGGTACAAGTGGTTTTTTTTGTTATACAGATGAACAAGATAGTGGTGAATTCTGAGATTTTAGTGCACCCGTCACCTGAGTAGTGTGCATTATACCTAATGTGTCACATTTTTATCTCTAGCTTTCCCCCACCTTCCTTCTTATGAGTCTCTAAAGTCCACTATATGACTCTGTGTGCCTTTGCTTACCCATAGCTTAGCTCCCACTTATAAAGTGAGAATATTCGGTTTTTGGTTTTCTATTCCTGTGTTACTTCACTTAGAATATGGCCTCCAGCTCCATCCAAATTGCTGCAAAAGGCATTCTTTCATTCCTTTTTATGGCTGAGTAGTATTCTATGATGTATATATACCACATTTTTTTTATCCACTCATTAGTCAATGGGCACTTAGGTTGGTTCCACATCTTTGCAATTGTGAATTGTACTGCTATATACATACATGTGCAAATGTCTTTTTCATAGATAGATGTGTTTAGAGACACAAATACCTACCATTGTGTTATAATTGCCTACGGTATTCAGTGCAGTAACCTTCTGTGCAGGTTTGTAACCTAGGAGCAGTAGGCTATACCATGCAGCCTAGGTGTGCAGTAGGCTGTACAATCAAGGTTTGTGTAAGTAGACTCTATGACACTTGCACAATGACAAAATTGCTGATGATGCATTTCTCAGAACATATCTGCATCTTTAAACAACATGTGACTATATACATGTACTAACACATCTATTGATTCAACATATACTTACTGAACACTTCCACCACATTTGACATGATAAGTGGCACTGAAGTTGTAAGAACGAACTACTCAGAGCTCCTGTTCACAAGGACCTAACAGCATAGTAAGAAAGTCATGTAAGTAGGGAATTACTAAATTATTAAATATTGTGTCAAGTGCAAGGATAGAGATACGCATTCTCAAGGCCAATGTACATATATTAGGCTAGAAAAATTTCTTAGCTAGGCAAGGAAACTCTACTATACTCCCAGGAAAACCTGGGGGGATGATATGTGGCCTTGGACAATTTATTAACTCTCTCTGAGCCTCCATTTCCTTTTCAGTTAGGTAAATATACTTTCACCTTAATTCAAAGAGTCACTTTTGAGATTAAATTAAAAAGTATACGTCCATGAGTTCCAATGTTCCTCAGAACAAAAGTTGTAAATTTTAAAAAATCTTGATTTCTTGATAAAACTAGGCCTGTGTCTTTCCCTTTTATAGAAGCACAGTGTACCTTAACATAGTCTCTGACTACTTCTATAGCAAAGACATTCCTTATAAATATTTGGCTAAATATATCAGTATTAGTCCATTTTCATTGTGCTGATAAAGACATACCTGAGACTGGGCAATTTAAAAAAGAAAGAGGTTTAATCAACTTACAGTCCCATGTGGCTGGGGAGGCCTCACAATCATGGCAGAAGGCAAGGAGGAGCAAGTCACATCTTACGTGGATGGCAGCAGGCAAGGAGAGAGCTGTGCAGGTAAACTCGTGGGATTTTTTTGTTTTTTTTCTTTTCTTTCTTTCTTTCTTTTTCTTTTTTTTTTTTATAGCCATCAGATCTCATAAGACTTATTCACTATCATGAGAACAGCAAGGGAAAGATCTGCCCCCATGATTCAATCATCTCCCACTGGTTCCCTCCCACAACCTGTGGCAATTATGGGAGCTACAAGATGAGATTTGGGTGCGGATGCAGAGCAAAACCATATCACTCCACCCCTAGCTCTTCCCAAATCTCATGTCCTCACATTTCAAAACCAATCATGCCTTCACACAATCCCCCAAAGTCTTAAGTCATTTCAGCATTAACTCAAATGTCCACAGTCCAAAGTCTCATCTGAGACAAGGCAAGTCCCTTCCACCTATGACCAAGTTAGTTACTTCCTAGATACAATGGGGGTACAGACATTGGATGAATACAGCCATTCCAAATGGGAGACATTGGCCAAAACAGAGGGGCTGCAGGTCCCATGTAAGTTTGAAATCCAGCAGGGCAGCCACATATTAAAGTTCCAAAATGATCTTTTAATACCAGTTCTCACATCCAGGTCACACTGATGCAAGAGGTGGGTTCTCATGATCTTGGGCAGCTCTGCTTTTGTGGTTTTGTAGGGTACAGGCTTCCTACTGGCTGCTTTTATGGGCTGGCATTCAATCTTTGTGGCTTTTTTTTTCCAGGCACACAGTGCAAGCTGTCAGTGAATCTACCATTCTGGTGTCTGGAGGATGGTGGCCCTCTTCTCACAGCTCCACTAGGTGATGCCCCAATAGGGACTCTGTGTGGGGGCTATGACCCCACATTTCCCTTCTACACTGCCCTAGCAGAGGTTCTCCATGAGGACCCCCCTCCTAGAGCAAACTTCTGCCTGGTCATCCAGGCATTTTCATACATCCTCTGAAATCTAGGTGGAGGTTTTCAAACCCCAATTCTTCTGTGCACTGGCAAGCCCTTCATCATGTGGAAGCTGCCAAGGCTTGAGGCTTGAACCCTCTGAAGCCACAGCCCAAGCTCTACATTGGCTCCTTTCAGCCACAACTGGAGTGGCTGGGACACAGGGCACCAAGTCCCTAGGCTGCATACAGCAATGGGGACCCTGGGGCCAGCCCACAAAACCACTTTTTCTTCTTAGGCCTCTTGTCCTGTGATGGGATGGGCTGCTGTAAAGGTCTCTGACATGTCCTGGAGACATTTTCCCCTTTGTCTTGGGGGTTAACATTCGGCTCCTTGTTACTTATGCAAATTTCTGTAGCCAGATTGAAGTTTCTCCTCAGAAAGTGGGATTTTCTTTTTTATTGCATTGTCAGACTGCAAATTTTCTGAACTTTTATGCTCTATTTCTTTTTTGAAACTGAATGCCTTTAACAGCATCCAACTCACCCCTTGAATGCTTTGTTGCTTAGAAATTTCTTCCACCGGATACGCTAAATCATCTCTCTCGAGTTCAAAGTTCCACAATTCTCTAGGGAGGGCAGGGGCAAAATGCCACCAGTCTCTTTGCTAAAACATAACAAGAATCACCTTTGCTCCAGTTTCCAAGTTCCTTATTTCCATCTGAGACCACCTCAGCCTGGACTTTATCGTCCATATTGCTATCAGCATTTTGTGCAAAGCCATTCAACAAGTCTCTAGGAAGTTCCAAACTTTCCCACATTTTCCTGTCTTCTTCTGAGCCCTCCAAACTGTTCCAACCTCTGCCTGTTACCCAGTTCCAAAGTCATTTCCACATTTTTGGGTATCTTTTCAGCAATGCCCCACTCTGCAGGTACCAATTTACTGTGTTAGTTCATTCTCACACTGCTGATAAAGATATACCTGAGACTGGACAATGTACAAAAGAAAAAGGTTTAATTGACTTACAGTTCCACATGGCTGGGGAGGCCTCACAATCATGGTGGAAAGCAAGGAGGAGCAAGTCACATCTTACGTGGATGGCAGCAGGCAAAGAGAGAGCTTGTTCAGGCAAACTCCCATTTTTTAAAAACCATCAGATCTCGTGAGACTTACTCACTAGCATGAGAATAGCATGGGAAAAATCCACCCCCATGATTCAATCATCTCCCACCAGGTCTCTCTGACAGCATGTGGGAATTATGGGATCTACAAGATAAGATTTGGGTGGGGACACAGAGCAAAACCATATCAATATCTTTGGTATTCTAGTCCATAATAACATTATTAAAATTTAAAGTATCCTACGAATAGCAAGAATTTAAATATGTATTTAAATATAATCTCGATTTTATATTTAAATATTTCTTATAATTATGTGCTACTTTATTTTGTATAGTATGTAATATATAACAAAAGTTTTATTATAGATGTTTATGCAGATATCTTTACTCTTTTCCTAAATTATAAACCACTTTAGTTGCTACATTCTGTTCTATTTATCTTTGTACTCCTCATTTTGGCTTTTAAATGTTTAGTGAATAATTGTATTAGGTTGGTACAAAAGCAATTGTGGTTTTTGCCATTAGTGGTTTTTTTTTTTTTTTTTTGAGATGGAGTCTTGCTCTGCCACCCAGGCTGGAGTGCAGTGGCATGATCTTGGCTCACTGCAAGCTCTGCCTCCTGGGTTCATGCCATTCTCCTGCTTCAGCCTCCGAGTAGCTGGGACTACAGGCGCACACCACCACACCTGCCTAATTTTTTTTTTTTTTTTTGTATTTTTAGTAGAGATGGAGTTTCATGTGTTAGCCAGGATGGTCTCGATCTCCTGACCTCATGATCCGCCTGCCTCAGCCTCCCAAAGTGCTGGTATTACAGGCCTGAGCCACCGCACCTGGCCTTGCCATTAGTTTTAATGGCAAAAACCGCAATTGCTTTTGCACCAATAAGGTAAATAAAACCATATAAGGATTTTCACATTTCACTTATTCAAATTATAAGCAAGATTGAATAGTGTAGGTGAATATATGCTTTTGTTGGCTTATTTGATAAATTTTTTAAAACAGTCTAATATTAATTTTATCAAATATTTATTAAACACCTACTAAGGCCCAGCACTATTCTGGATATTGTAGATATATTAAAAAATAAAACAGCCAGAAACACCCACATGAAGCCTCCACTTTAGCAGACAGAAAAAGATAATTTTTAAAAAAGTAAGTTGAATGATAGTTTAGAAATCAAAAAGTGTTATGGAGAAAATAGAGCAGGGAAAATAGATAGGATGTGTCAGGGATGAGAGTTTTCAGTTTCAAATAGATGGTCAGGAAAGGACTCACCTAGAGGGAGACATTTGAACAAAGACTTCAAGGTGATGAGAGAGTGATCAATATGGATATACTGGAGGGAAATATTGCAGGCTGGGGGGGAAGGAAGTGCAAAGGCCCTGAGGCAAGCATGGAATCTTCCTGGAATGTCAAGGAGGCCATTGGAGTTGGAGTGGGAGGGTGAGAAGAGCAGAGGAAATCTGAATAATAATGAGAAGCTGCTGTATCATATAAGGCCTTGTAGCCTGTTGTAAGGAGATGGGAAGCACTGAAGGCTTTGAGCCAATAAATGAGATAATGTGACCTGCATTTAAACAGGATCACTCTGCAATAATGGTGAAAGTAGACTGTAGTGACCTGCGTCTAAACAGGATCACTCTGCAATAATGTTGAAAGTAGAATGTAGTGGGGCAAAGTGGACTCAGGGAGACCAGTTAGACAAGACCTGATGGCAACTTGAATTAGAGTGGTAGCAGGGATGGTAACAAAAAATAGTCAGTATCTGGATATATTTCAATTTAAAGCCAATGTGGATTGCTGATGGGTTAAATGTGGAGAGTGAACCAAAGAGAGGAATCAAGGAAAATAACAAGATTTTTTTGAACTAAGCAAGTGGATTGAGATGAGGAAGACTATGGAGGAGCAGTTTTGTATACAAGATTACAACTTTATTTTGGAAGAGTAAAGTTGCCTAAGCCTGTTATACGTTGCCATAGTCCATTTTTTGTCTTAGTCCAGTTTTGCTATAAGAAAAATACCTAAGGCTGGAAAACTTATAAAGAAAAGAGGTATCTTTAGCTCATGATTCTGTGGGCTTAGAAGTATGAGGAGCATGGTACTGGCATCTGCATGGCTTCTGGTGAGGGCTTATATGCTACGTCACAACATGGCAGAAGGTTAAAAGGGAAGTGGACATATGTGAAGAGAGAACCAAGAGGAGGAGGAAACTCGCTTTATAATAACCCATTTTCTTGGAAACTAATCCATTCTGACAAGAATTAATTCAGACTCAAGAGAGCAAGAACTTCCTCACTACTGCAAGAATAGCATCAATCTGTTCATGAGGGATCTGCTTCCATGACCCAAACACCTCCTACGAAGCCTCACCTCCCAGCATGGCCACGCTTGTGATCAAATTTCAACATAAGTTTTGGTGGGGACAAACCAAACCACAGCAGACATCTAAGAGGAGGGAATTTCCTATAGTAGGAAATTGGGTCTCTAAGTCATGAGTTTAGTAGAACAGTCTTGGCTAAAGATCTAAATTAAGTATTCATTAATAAGTGGACAGTGTTCATAGTCCTTGGAATGAAGAATGCATCCAGGGAATGAGTGTAGTTGGAAAAGATGAGAGGTTCAATGACTGTGATTCAGTGATTGGAAAAATGAGGAAAACACTGGAAAGGAAAGGGGGGTTGAATGGCTGTGAGATAGGAGGAAAATCAGATCAGAAGACTAGTGTCTAGGAGCCAAGTGAAGAAAGTATTTCAAGACAGAGAGAACTGACAGCCTGATTGTGTTAAATACTGCTATAGGTCAAGTGAGATGCAACTTGACAATGACCACTGGGTTTGTTAGTGTAGAATGACATCGACAGCAGTGAGGTTAAAGGAGTGGTGGGGAAAGAGTTCAATTTTATATAAAGGAGAGAATGCAGAGAGAGTATCAAGTTTGGTGCAGTTTCCTCTCAAAGAAATGAGAGAAATAGGTAGTCGGAGGGACCTGAATCAAACTCTGTGTGTGTGTGTGTGTGAGTGTGTGTGTGTGTGTGTATGTCTGTATCTGAGTGCGTGTGTGAGACTATATGTATGTTTTAAGGAAGGAAAAGAGAAGTATGGTTGAATGTTGAGCGAAAGATACAGTAACAAAAGTATTGTCTAGGCCAGAAAGAAAGACTTGTTGGTGCAGTCCTGAAGTCCTTGAGAGGCAATCAGGGTTGGGATCCAGTGTCCAGGTGAAGAGATCCAGTATGTTCCTCTACCATTCTGGGAGCTATTCCAGGATCTCTGTCTAGTAGTAGGTGTTGCTCCAACAGTTTTACAAAAGAGAAAAACTGAGACTCAGCTGATTTAAGTAATTTGCAAACGTAATGTAGCTAGTAAGGTACAGAGTTGAAATTCAAGTTGCGTTCTATTCCAAATCCTATGCTCTTTCCACTACTGCATAGCTGGTGAGCCATTAAAATGACAGCTTTAACGTGGTATTTAATATTATGCATATGACTGGAGAAAAAGTAAGAAAATATGCTATATTAGGTAAATGTACTGTTTATGAATTATCTGGGGATCAATTTGTGAGTATTCATTCTCTCCTTGTTATTATTTATTTTGTCTATCCTTTGGCCTGCAAAACACTTTTGTCTCTACATGAGAGAGTGGGAGATGATTGGGCAGAAGCATGAAATAAAATGTGCTTCTAGAAAAAAGATTTATTATGGGAGGAGATCCATATTATAATTTTATTTTCTAAAATAATATTTTTGGAAATTATTAATGAATCTAACATGTTCTCTAACATAAAAGAGGTATTTGAAGGTGGATTCTACCTTCATAAGTCCTGTAGAATTAAAGGGAATTATATAAAGCATGATATTCTCAAGACAGGTTTTACTGAGAACAGTGTCAGGACCTTGCCCCCTAGGTGGTCACTGAGGTTTTGTTCTGAGACTTCTTCACTGTTGTGCTCTTAAGCCATGTCAACCATATTTGCAGAGTTTGGTCATGGGTCAGATGATCTCCAGATGAGAGTATAGGAGCAAATCAGCATGAATTTAGCCCTACAACTGTCAAAGGGGCCAAAAGGCAGGACCCATTATTGAGTACTAGCTCCTTTCCATATACAAAGGTCAGCATTACTTATATCCATCTAAAAATGTTTTCTGGAATGTTGGACAAAACCCAGCGCAGCAGTGCTTGAACAGCCTCATCCCTCAGAGATGGATTAGTAATAAGAGGGATAGAGTATTATTTTATTAGTTAACTTGCTCATTCAACACATTTAGTAGATACTGCCTATGTGCTAGTTAGCTTTCCTCCACTTTGTGTATTAATGTACAAAACTGTCAAAAGAAAAAAAAATCTCTGCTTCTGTGGCATTTATATTCTAGTGGGGACAGATAGACAATAAGAAATAAAGGCAACTGAGAAGTAAACAATATAGTATGTTACAGGCTAATAGGCACTATAGAAAAAAAATCCATCAGGGTAAGGGGGACTGGAAGTAAGTAGATTATATTAGTTATAAATCATCTCTTTAATGCTAACACTTCTAAAAAGGACATGAGTATTCTCAAAGCAGAGATTTTTTTTTTCAAATCAGCAGAAATCATTTTCTTATGTCTTATATATAACGCTTTCTGCTTTTAGTTTGAAGACAGCAGTACTGAATTCTGATGGCACTGTAGTTGTGTGGGAATTGGATGAACTTTACTGTCACCCTTTGAAATCCCTGTTTCTGACAGCTCAAATATTTCAAAATCTCTTGTTAAAAACATTTTGAGCATGTTCTTTTCTTGAGGACATTTTTATCTTTAATAACAACCAATTTAGAGAAAGTAGGACGGAACAACTAGGATTTTTTGAAAACAACAAAGAAATAGATGCTTCATTGATAATTGCTTGGCACTCTGTAAACTCTGAGTGTTCAAAAAGCATCAATCATATTTCTAAAATTTGAGTAAGGTTCCAGGCTAACAACGGCACTCTGTAAAACTCTGATAATAAAACTAATGAAATTGGAAACTGGTGATATTTTACAGGGCAGCAAGGGAGAAAAGAAGATCAGATAATTATTTTTTTCCCCATATTCTACACTTATCAATGAAATGTTATGGGGAGAGATTAGCTTATATTATTTTTGCATCTCCACATCTAAGCACAGCACCTAATATA
Source organism: Homo sapiens (assembly GCF_000001405.40). NCBI lineage: Eukaryota > Metazoa > Chordata > Mammalia > Primates > Hominidae > Homo > Homo sapiens. The sequence goes on along the minus strand of NC_000007.14, from coordinate 124,583,061 downwards.
AAGTCCATTGTTCTCAGATCCTACGGTTCCTAAGAATCACCTGAAACACTTATTAAGAATTATAAGATCTTGAGCTCCATTTTATGGGACACATTTTTGTTAACTTATACTAACAACATATGTGTTGTTTGTTGAAATTTAAATTTAAATCTGGCAACTCTAAAATATGATCAAAATTAAGAGTCGATGTCCTGTAGGACAGATCTCATAACTGTACAGTAAGAATTTTCCTAGGTAACAAAGTTCTATGGATGAGCTCATGTTCATATACTTGTAAACAGATCTATTTTCTTTGGATTAGCTCATGTTCATATACTTGTAAACAGATCTATTTTCTTACTTGGCCCAAATGTCAATTTGTCATTACTTTCTGTTCTGAGGCTAGAAATTAATCCTGGTTTCTCAGCTTGCAGATGATTGTGGTTAGTCATATAATAATGGGACTCAGTAGGTAAGAATAACTAGACACAATCTGTTACCATTATCAAAAAAATGGTTGTCAAATATCCTGATGGTATTATTGCAGCTTCATTTTTTATATATGAGGATTATATCATGATAAAGGAAGGAAAAATCTAGTTATTTCAGCCTGTTTGTGTGTGTGTGTGTGTGTGTGTGTGTGTGTTAAAGTAGAAGATGCTAATGATTAATTTATTTGGACAGAGATTGATATTTCATCTACCTTCTAGTTTCTAAAAATTTGCATATTGAAATGATCACAAAAATTTCTGCAGATTGGCTGATTATTTTTATTTCTCAGATTGATATTTCATCTACCTTCTAGTTTCTAAAAATTTGCATATTGAAATGATCACAAAAATTTCTGCAGATTGGCTGATTATTTTTATTTCTCAGGTGTGTTCACCTTTGTTTCATTTTAAGTTAAATTGATTTTCATTAATTCTGCTCCAACATCTGAAATTCCAAGCAAACCAGTCTTACTAAGTTGTGGTTACTGTGGTAAAGAAAAGGAATGGTTAGTTTAAGATCATCATAGAATAAGAAAAAAAAAGTATTGATTTTTTTATATTGCTATGTCACAAATCACCACGAATTTAGCTTCTTAAAACAACACCAATTTATATCTTACATTCTCTATGGGTCAGGAATATGGGCATAGCTTACCTGAGTTGTCTACTTGAGTTATCATAGGCTACAGTCAAGACGGGATCCCATCTGAGCCTCGGGATTTTCCTCCAAACTCATATGGTTATCAGCAGAATTTATTTCATTGAAGCTTTAAAATTTATGGTGGCTTGCTTTTTCAAGTCTAGACGAGAAAGAATTTCTGACTTCTACACCCTCTTTTAAGACACAACATACCAGAATCTCTGGGATACCTTCAAAGCAGTGTGTAGAGGGAAATTTATAGCACTAAATGCCCACAAAAGAAAGCAGGAAAGATCCAAAATTGATACCCTAACATCACAATTAGAAGAACTAGAAAAGCAAGAGCAAACACATTCAAAAGCTAGCAGAAGGCAAGAAATAACTAAAATCAGAGCAGAACTGAAGGAAATAGAGACACAAAAAACCCTTCAAAAAATTAATGAATCTAGGAGCTGGTTTTTTGAAAGGATCAACAAAATTGATAGACCGCTAGTAAGACTAATAAAGAAGAAAAGAGAGAAGAATCAAATAGACGCAATAAAAAATGATAAAGGGGATATCACCACCGATCCCACAGAAATACAAACTACCATCAGAGAATACTACAAACACCTCTATGCAAATAAACTAGAAAATCTAGAAGAAATGGATAAATTCCTCGACACATACACCCTCCCAAGACTAAACCAGGAAGAATTTGAATCTCTGAATAGACCAATAACAGGCTCTGAAATTGTGGCAATAATCAATAGCTTACCAACCAAAAAGAGTCCAGGACCAGATGGATTCACAGCCGAATTCTACCAGAGGTACAAGGAGGAACTGGTACCATTCCTTCTGAAACTATTCCAATCAATAGAAAAAGAGGGAATCCTCCCTAACTCATTTTATGAGGCCAGCATCATCCTGATACCAAAGCCTGGCAGAGACACAACCAAAAAAGAGAATTTTAGACCAATATCCTTGATGAACATCGATGCAAAAATCCTCAATAACATACTGGCAAACCGAATCCAGCAGCACATCAAAAAGCTTATCCACCATGATGAAGTGGGCTTCATCCCTGGGATGCAAGGTTGGTTCAATATACGCGAATCAATAAATGTAATCCAGCATATAAACAGAACCAAAGACAAAAACCACATGATTATCTCAATAGATGCAGAAAAAGCCTTTGACAAAATTCAACAACCCTTCATGCCAGAAACTCTCAGTAAATTAGGTATTGATGGGATGTATCTCAAAATAATAAGAGCTATCTATGACAAACCCACAGCCAATATCATAATGAATGGGCAAAAACTGGAAGCATTCCCTTTGAAAACTGGCACAAGACAGGGATGCCCTCTCTCACCACTCCTATTCAACATAGTGTTGGAAGTTCTGGCCGGGGCAATTAGGCAGGAGAAGGAAATAAAGGATATTCAATTAGGAAAAGAAGAAGTCAAATTGTCCCTGTTTGCAGACGACATGATTGTATATCTAGAAAACCCCATTGTCTCAGCCCAAAATCTCCTTAAGCTGATAAGCAACTTCAGCAAAGTCTCAGGATACAAAATCAATGTACAAAAATCACAAGCATTCTTATACAACAATAACAGACAAACAGCCAAATCATGAGTGAACTCCCATTCACAATTGCTTCAAAGAGAATAAAATACCTAGGAATCCAACTTACAAGGGATGTGAAGGACCTCTTCAAGGAGAACTACAAACCACTGCTCAAGGAAATAAAAGAGGATACAAACAAATGGAAGAACATTCCATGCTTATGGGTAGGAAGAATCAATATCCTGAAAATTCCCATACTGCCCAAGGTAATTTATAGATTGAATGCCATCCCCATCAAGCTACCAATGACTTTCTTCACAGAATTGGAAAAAACTACTTTAAAGTTCATATGGCACCAAAAAAGAGCCTGCATCACAAAGTCAATCGTAAGGCAAAAAAACAAAGCTGGAGGCATCACACTACCTGACTTCAAACTATACTACAAGGCTACAGTAACCAAAACAGCATGGTACTGGTACCAAAACAGAGACATAGATCAATGGAACAGAACAGAGCCCTCAGAAATAACGCCGCATATCTACAACTATCTGACCTTTGACAAACCTGAGAAAAACAAGCAATGGGGAAAGGATTCCCTATTTAATAAATGGTGCTGGGAAAACTGGCTAGCCATATGTAGAAAGCTGAAACTGGATCCCTTCCTTACACCTTATACAAAAATTAATTCAAGATGGATTAAATACTTAAACATTAGACCTAAAACCATAAAAACCCTAGAAGAAAACCTAGACCTAGGCATTACCATTCAGGACATAGGCATGGGCAAGGACTTCATGTCTAAAACACCAAAAGCAATGGCAACAAAAGCCAAAATTGACAAATGGGATCTAATTAAACTAAAGAGCTTCTGCACAGCAAAAGAAACTACCATCAGAGTGAACAGGCAACCTACAAAATGGGAGAAAATTTTCGCAACCTACTCATCAGGCAAAAGGCTAACATCCAGAATCTACAATGAACTCCAACAAATTTACAAGAAAAAAACAAACAACCCCATCAAAAAGTGGGTGAAGGACATGAACAGACACTTCTGAAAAGAAAGCATTTATGCAGCCAAAAGACACATGAAAAAATGCTCAAAATCACTGGCCATCAGAGAAATGCAAATCAAAACCACAATGAGATACCATCTCACACCAGTTAGAATGGCAATCATTAAAATGTCAGGAAACAACAGGTTCTGGAGAGGATGTGGAGAAATAGGAACACTTTTACACTGTTAGTGGGACTGTAAACTAGTTCAACCATTGTGGAAGTCAGTGTGGCGATTCCTCAGGGATCTAGAGCTAGAAATACTATTTGTCCCAGCCATCCCATTACTGGGTATATACCCAAAGGACTATAAATCATGCTGCTATAAAGACACATGCACATGTATGTTTATTGCGGCATTATTCACAATAGCAAAGACTTGGAACCAACCCTAATGTCCAACAATGATAGACTGGATTAAGAAAATGTGGCACATATACACCATGGAATACTATGCAGCCATAAAAAGTGAGTTCATGTCCTTTGTAGGGACATGGATGAAATTGGAAATCATCATTCTCAGTAAACTATCACAAGAACAAAAAGCCAAACACCGCATATTCTCACTTATAGGTGGGAATTGAACAATGAGAACACATGGACACAGGAAGGGGAACATCACACTCTGGAGACTGTTGTGGGGTGGGGGGAGGGGGGAGGGATAGCTTTAGGAGATATACCTAGTGCTAAATGACGAGTTAATGGGTGCAGCACACCAGCATGGCACATGTATACATATGTAACTAACCTGCACATTGTGCACATGTGCCCTAAAACTTAAAGTATAATAATAATAAAATAAAATAAAATAAAATAAAATAAAATAAAAAGGGCTCACCTGATGAAGTCAGGCCCATTCAGGATAATTTCCCTTTTGATTAACTTAAAGTTCACTGTTTAGGGGTTTTAATTACATCTCCAAAATCCCTTTACTTTTGTCATATAATGTAACATTATCATGGGAGTGACATCTCATTACTTTTGTCATATTCTCTTGGTTAGAAGCAAGTTATAAGTCTCAGCTGTACTCAGGGGAGGAGGTTATACAAGGGCTTGGGTCTTTGGGAGCCATATAAGAGATCTGCCTGTCACTTTTCTTACAAAAATAGCATTCAAATCTCAGCCACATTGGGAAATAGGTGAGATAAAAGATAATTAAACTTCCCTGCATGATACATAAATACATATTTAGAGAAATAGTAAGCATGAAAGAAAAGGAGGTGAAAAGAGATAGAGAAGCCAGGCCCAAAATCATGGTTCCAATAAAACCATGAAAATGCAGAGGCCAGAATGCTTCATAAATCTAAAATTTAATGTAAAATTGTTTGCAATAATGTTTTGGTATATAAACTGCACAGTTTTCCAGGACCTCAGAAAAGTCTTTTGCATATAGGTTACAGATAGAGACTGAAAATTGAGTGTAAATTCAAACTTGGAGCTATGAGTAGTTAAAACTTCTTGAATATATTGGATACATGGGTTTTCCACCACGTGTGTGGTCAAATCCACCATGTTTATGGATTTGATTCAATTTTTCTTAGATATCAGTGAATAAAGTGATCCTGGCACACTTGAAAACATTGAAGAAGTTAATTTATGCGTTATATACAATTCTGTCTTACAGAAGAACAGTAAATATAATTTAGGATTAATAATTAAAATTTAGAATTCAGAAGACTTAGAATATACAGCCAAACCTAAACTAAGATAGGCCAAACATCTGTAAAAGGGCAAGTAACTTCAGGGTTATAACAATCAACCAACCAACCAAACAAACAAATACTTACACCTTTGGAAAGAAGAACTTGGAAAAGTTTCCACTGAGTTTGCAAGTGGTTGCCGTCATTTGGCCTTCACAACCTGGTGTCACAAATTTAGTTACTGCTTACTTCAGCAAAATGCTGCCCTTCAGATAGATGACAGTTTATTAGATTTTTTAAATTGCACTTTTCATAATAAAATCATCTCAGGGCTCGAGTACAAAAGAAATGACATGGGTATATATGAGTTTGACTTGGAGATTAGAAGATGTAAAATATTAATGCTATTTACAACATTCAATACCTGCTGAATATGAATTTACACAAAGTCAGCATAAGATTCCTTCATTTTGTGAGAGGATTGGAATTATAAAATAAAACTTCAATCTGTCACATTTAGGAATTGGGAATGATTCTGGTATTTAACTTGGTTCTCAGGTTGGTTGAATACCAGGGACATCACTAAAAGAGACAATAAGGAAAAGCAGCATGTGGAAAGAACATTGAATTTTAATCAAAAAGTGTTCTTCCAATCCTGTTGATGTGACTTGTGTTTGCACTGGCTGAGTTATTAACATGTTATGTCTTCAGTTTTCTATTCAGAAAAATGGGGACAGCCTCACAGGATGAATAATAAATGTTCAAGGGGTTTGCAAATTATTAATGTCCACAATAACCCAAGTTATTATTTTGCAATGGTTCCAAGCTACCTACTATCCAAGTGTTTATTTCATAGGGAAGAGGCAGGCTGAAATGGCTCCAACAGTCAAATCACAGCATGGCATGTGGTAATAGTTTGTAGCAAAAAAAAAAAAAAAGAGTATTTATAAAATGCAATCTGGGACTTCTGATGCTCCGTGAGATTCTGCATTAGTATCCATTCTCACTTCAGCCAGACTCTTTAAATCACAGGAGGTACCTGTCTGTGGGAAATCACTTAATCAGCTTAAAATCTTTGTTTGACATGAAAAAGCCTTAAATGAAATAAACGGCAAGAAACGAAAATCTGGCCAAGGGAGATGGTCTCTGCTTGTTATTTGTGTGTACTAATGTCTTGCATTGAGCAGTACTTTAAAGTTAAGCAGGGTAGATGTTGTCCCAATTATACCAAAGATGAAGCTATCTTACGGAAGTTTTGCCAGCAAGATACTTCCAATTCACAAAATGAGAGATCAGAATAAGCCACAGAGCTAGTTACTAGAAATTAGACTTCATGGCATTACATCACAATCTACTCATTTCGTTTCTTCCTCCATACCAATCTCTCTCTATCTCTCCCTCTACCCTGAATTTATGTATCTAAAAGTTAAGTAAAAGAAAATATTTTGGCTAATAAGATGACATTTAAAAACACAGCACACAAAACAGAGATCTAAAGGGATGTTTTTAAGAGTTCTCTCAGGATCTCAAGAAAATCAGTGACACGCTATGAAAACAGCTCTATTTGGACAGAGTCCCACTCACTTAGTGGCATTAAACATACATTCACAAAAGGAGAGCAAGGTAAACTTTGTGTTTAGGCCAATTGCCATCTCTATTAATAAATTTCAGAGGTCAATTTTGCCATTTTCATGGTTTAGTATATCAAAATCCAGTAATTAATCTATAAATAACATTCTGTTATAGAAAAATTTCGTATTGAGTTCCCTGCAAACATTTTAAAATTCCCTCTAGATCCTTTCCCTTTGATTCTGCTGTTTCCACTGCTGCCAGAACTCTTTCTTAAACATTTTATCTCTAATTATGTCTAATTTTCTCTAATTATATCTAATTTTATCCTTTTGTTTGAAAATCTCTATTAACTTCATATAGCCTTTAGAAAAACGACTACAGCGTCTAGCTTGGCATTCAATGCCCCTCCTAATCTGACCCCAATTTATGTCTCTGACATTATTTTCATGCACATACCCCACATCCCCACCCATGTGGTTCTATAGTTCATGTTTCACTTTAAATAAATGTTCCATATCCTTTCATAATACTGAGTTATTGCAAATGCTATCCCTTTGCCTAGAATATCATTTCTTCTTTTATGCCCGGCAACTTCTGCTCAGGCTTCTGGACCAAATGTAACTTTTTGATTTTTTTGTGAACTCTCTCCTGAATCCTCTAGGCAGGCGGTCTTTGCTTCTTCTGGGTTCTGGGAGAAAAAAATCTATCTCCAAACCACAAGATGTGTTACATTGCCTTGCAGTTTATTCATTTCCATACCTGACTCATCTGTGGACTACAAAGTCATCTGGTCCCAGGACTGTCTAAATCATTATAGATTCCACAGCATATGGCATGGTACGGACCTAGCAGAAAATCAATAAATGCTTCCCAAAGTAAATCAAGGTTTCAGAAACACTATTCTTTTCATTGTACAAATTGCATGGAATGATTCTTGTTTCAAAAATATATGTATATTTTTACAAGTATTTTAAAAGAGTCTTGATTTTACCTTAGAGGTAGGATGTAGTAGATCACAGCAAACTAATGCTTCCACTATACTTTTATGTGAAAAAGCTCCATAAATTACAAAAATCATACTATTCAAGACTTCAAAAATCTATGGTATCAATAAAAACTAGGTGGAATAAGAAATAGAAATTTACCAGAAATAGAATGGTAAACAGGTGAGCTGCAGATCACCAGATATCTTTTCTTGTGGAGGAATTACCAATTCTGGGTTTGAGCTGATGCTCAGACATGGCCCATGTACAGAGCCTCTGCTGAGGAGAGAGAATCAGGGACACCTTTGCCATCGTGTGGGTCTGGAGCAACAAATCAGAATCTTAAGAGATCACAGACATAAGCAATTGACAATAATATAATCTAAGTTCACATAGCATATTTACTAAAATCGAATATCTGATGAACCATAAAAAGCCTCCAGAAACTTTGAAATATTGGAATAGCTTCGTGTATATTTCCCAATCACAAAGGAATTAAGTTAAATTTCAATAATAACAAGAAAAGTCACAACTGTCTGGAAATTAAATAACACATGTCTAAATAATACAAATGAGAAATACAAATGAGAATTAGTTTGAACTAAATGATAAAAAAATGCAACATATTTAAATTGGTGGGATGCAACTAAAGCATTGTAAAAGTAGTGCTTGCAGGGACATGTATACTTGTAAATGCCCATACCAGGAGAAAACAGTTGAAAATAAAAGATTTAAGATGTCGCGAAGCTAGGAGAAGAACAGCATATCAGACCCATGGAAAAAAGAATAAAAAGAAAAGAAAGATAACATCAGAAACCAATGACATAGAATGGGAAAATTAACTAAGCCAAAAGCTTTTGTTAAAAAAGATTAATAAAGCTAATAAAGCTCTAGGATGAATGTTTAACAAAAATGAGGGAAAACATAAATTGTCATTACTAGAAATTTAAATCCATTATTAAAAATCTTCCCATAAAGAAAATGCTTCACTACAGAGTTCTTTACCTATTTAAGAAAGAAATTAACATCTAATTTATGCAGCCTTTCCCAGATAATAAAATCTGAGGAAATTCTCCCCAGCTATTTATCTTAAATAAGACTAGCATAACCCAAAACCTGACGAAGACATTATGAAAAGAAAAATTAGAGACCAATTACTCTCATAAACATAGAGGTAAAATTTCTTAACAAAATGTTATTATTTAATTCAAGCAATATTCAAAATAGAAAATACAACACAACAAAATGGAATTTATTTCACCTGTAATTTCAAATTCAATGTAATTTACCAAAACAGAGAAAAAAAGAAAAATTACATGATTTTCTCAATATATGCAGAGTAAGCTTTTGAATCAACATCTGTTATCGATGCAATTCTTAGCACACTGATTCTAGAAAAGAACTCCCTTAATCTGACAAAGAATATTTGCAAAATACCTACAACTAACATTATACTCAATGGTAAAATATTGAAAACTTTCCCCTTAAAATCATGACTTTAAAAAGTATGCCCACTCTCACCACTTTATTTAACATTGTACTAGAGATCTTACTAAGTGTAACAGGTAAGAAAAAAATCCCTTAGGATTGTAAATAAAGACAAAAAAATCTCATGATTAGCAGATTATATACCTAGAAATCCAAAAGAATTTATGGACAAACTATTAAAATCAGTAAGTGAATTTAGAAAAGTCGTTGAATGCAAGGTCAATCTATAAAATCAATTGTATTTCTATATGCCAGTCATTCAAATAGTAAGCACATTTTAAAATATGGTATTTGTAATAACATGAAACTTTTAAATCAATTCAGGTAAAGTTGTGGAGGACCTGTAATTTGAAACTAAACAATACTATTGAGAGAAAGTGATATATTGCTGTCCAATATTGTAAAGATATTTAATCCCAAATTAATCTATTGATTCAATGAATACCAATTAAAATTGTAGCAGAAGTTTTTTTCCGGAAATTGAACAGGTTTAAAATTCATATGCAAATGCAAAGGACAAAGAATAGACATATTTTTAAGAACAAAGATGCTTCAAGGAAGTAAATACACCAAATATTAAGACCTACTATGAAGCTTTGGTAATTCAGTCAATGCAGTATTGGTTTAAAGTAGATAATTGACTAATAGAACAGAAGATATCTCATATTTTTATGAATTATATATATATTTTTATACTTCTTTGTTTACCTGACTGATGACGGTGATGACAACACAGTGTAGTTTGAAATATGGTTTTTTTAATCAATGATTCTGGTTCAATTGGATAGTTCTTTGATAAAAATGTATTCTGATCCCCTGTCTCACATCATACAGCAAATTCCACATGAATTTCAAATTTAAAGGTGAAAGATAAAAATCCATTAGAGCAATATATAGAACATTGTTTGACCCTGATTTGGCTGATTACTTAAAAAGAGCAGAATGCTATGCCAAAAAGAAAAAAAGTAATAACTAGGACAGTATAAAAATTACAAACTTTTGTCATCAAAAGAGAGTAGGTAGAAAGTGAAAATGAAAGTCACAGAGTGCGAGAAAATATTTAAAATAAACATCAAAAACTTGCAGAATATCTAAAAGTGTCCTACAAATCAGTGAAAGGTCAAACAATAGGTAAAACTGGAAAAACTTGGATGTGAACAAACCTTTCACAAAAGAGATATTGAAATAGCCTATAAACATGATGAGAGGCTCAACTTTACTATTCATGAAAGAAATGCAAATTGAATCCGTAATGCAATAACTTCACATATATACCAAAATGGCTGAAATCAAAATGAGGGAAAATGCTTAGTGTTGGCAAGGGTATAGATCAACTGGAAAGTTCATATTATGTGGTTGGGAACCTGAATAGGTACAATCATCTTTGAAATCTGTTTGACCGTATTTTCTAAAACTGAACATATGCACATCCATTGACCCAATAATTTGATATATGTTAATTAAAAATGTGCTGAAATGTTCATAGTACACTACTAATATTATTGAATAATTGGAAACTAAAATGCCTATCAAGAGTAAAGTGGATTAATATTAGTTTAACCATGTACAATTGTTGGTTTGGTAAGTCAAGTAATTCAAATATTGTCAATATCATATTTTTCAACCATACATTGTGGTATGTCAACACAATATCGTATAGCAATGAGAATAAGATTCACTGCCATATGCAACAGCATAGATTAAACTCATAAACATGAGGACAAGCAAAAAAAAGCCAGACACAACATAGTATATATTGAATAATCCCATTCAAATAAAGCAAAAAAAAAAAAAAGTTAAAACTAAGCTCTATCATTAGACGTAAATGTAGTAGTTATGTTATCCTTGCCAGGGTAGAGTAGTGAAAGGAGATATGAATGAGGCTTATTGGGTTATGGGTTAATGGTATCTCTTTATTCTTGATCTGGATGTACTGATGTGAGCAATTTGTGTAAATTAATTGAGTGGTATAATCATGATTGTTCACTTTTCTGTATGAATATTTTATTTCAATAAAAAGTTAAAAAATTAAGAAGCAGATACAGGAAAATATGAAAGTTATTATTTTGTTTTCTTTTTATAGAGATCACTGAAACGAGGTTGCAGTGAGAAAGAGAGGCTGAACTCAATTCCCTGGGTAATACTTTTCTTTTTTTTGATCCTCCTGCCTCAGTCTCCCAAAGTCCTGGGATTACAGGTGTGAGCCACCACACCCAGCCCCAAAATTACTATTAAACTATTGTTCTGTATAAAATGATGTTAGAAAATTATGTCTTAATCACTAATATAATCTAAAAATTATGTCTTATGTCTTTTTTTTTTTTTTTTTGGACGGAGTCTCACTCTGTTGTCCAGGCTGGAATACCGTGGCGTGACCCTGGCTCACTGCAACCTCCGCCTCCTGAGTTCAAACAATTCTCTCCCTCAGTCTCCTGATAAAAATAATGTCTTAATCACTGAATAGAATATATACTCTCTACTGAAAGCATTCAACGATAGTTGGGGCCTTTTCAAAACATTTTCAAAAGATTTTTTATGTTTCCATTTTTATTTAGCTGAACATACTTTTCAAGGTCTATCATTAAAACCTGTGAACTGTTGTGCCCAAGAGAATCAGGCACAATATTATTTACAATAGCCAAGATATAAAAACAACCCAAGTGCCTAGGAGTGAATGAATGGATAAAGAAAATGTGGTGTACATACATAGAACAGAGTATTCATTCAGCTATAAAAATTAAAGAAATATTGTCATTTGTAATAACATGGATGAACCTGGAGGACATTAGGCTAAATCAAATGAGCCAGATACAGAAAGACAAATACTGCATGACCTTGCTTATCTGTGGAATCTAAAAAAGTCAAACTCATATAGAGAGTAGGATGGTGGTTGTCAGCAGCTGGGGCACAGGAGAAATGGGGAGATGTTGGTCAAAGTGTCAAATTTTCAGTTATAAGATGAATATATTCTGGAGACATAATGTACAACACGGTGGCTATAGCTAATAATACTGTATTGTATAATTGAAATTTTCTGACAGTAAAACTTAAGTGTCCTCACCACACTCACACATACACATTCACGCATGCAAACATGCACAAAATAGTAACTATGTGAGGTAATAATGAATATGTTAATTAACTTGATTGTGGTAATCATTTCACAAGGTATACATATATCAAATCATCATGATTTTACATCTTGAATGTATACAATTTTTGTCAATTAAGATTAAATCAATCATTGACTTTGTACATATTTGTCAAATAGACATCGAATTTTGTGTTAAATGCATTGAAATGAAACTAATCAAGGCATATCACTTCTAACAAGAGCTTTCTCTTTCCCTTTGGTGCTGACACAACATCAAAGCCTGCACTGAAGTCTATTAGCATGAAAGTTGTTAGCATGGGGTTTGTAAATATCTCCTCTCAGAGGACTATGCACTAACACAAATAAAGAATATGTTCTCATAGGAGCAAAGTAGTAGTTTTAAGCCAGTGATGCAAATATTAACTGCTTTAGTATGGGTAAATATATGTTTTTAAAGAGATATTTGAAAAACACTCATTCATGAAAAATAATTTCTCTATGATATGAGCTGTTTTATGTCATCTGATGGGAATACGATAATAAGCATATTTTTTAGGACAAGCTTTATACAACATTGATTGCTAAAGAAGGCCTGTCTTATAAAAAAATACAATGCCTATACCCTAACTTCCTTATTGTAACATGAACAACAATAATATCTAGACACAAAGTTGGAAAGGAGCCTGGGGAGTCTTAGTGTCTGACAGCTTGTGCATCTGTTATAATTACTGAGATGTTACCAGAAATATGATTGTGTTGAAGGGAGGGAAGAAGGAGACAGTAATGGGATGGCCAGGACTAAAACAAAGGACAACACTGTTTCTTTGTATCTGGATAACTGTTCTTTGGATCATGAGGGAATCTGCAATCTTCGTTAACCTTTTTCCAGGTGCAAGAGACATAGTGGTGCTGCTAATATAGGCATTGGTACTTGATACTTGATATGCCTACAACACATCATTTTTATCTTGTATTGTTTTGGTTCAGGCTTCAGGGTCATAGAAAACATTTTGAATTTCAAACCATTTGATTCGACTTGATGAAATCTCCATCTGCTCTTTTAGAATACAAAAAGGAATGGTAGGGCTAAGTCACGTTTTCGGAATTCTGTCTTGCAATTTTGGACAGTACAAGAATGAAGTCATGGAGCTATGGAGGGCAAAGCCAGCCTCTTTGCCCCTGCAAGGTGGCAGACAGGTTCTCGTATACCCAAGGATCCCATAGGGGCTTTTGAATTCACCTTTATGAAGCTTTGGCAGGCTATCTTTTGTCCCCAGAGAAAAAAGGTAAACAAAATGGACTGGAAAAAATGGCCCCATATAAAAGGGAGCCAGGCATGCTCAAAGATTGCTTAGGTAAACGTCTGTGGAGATGAAAGAATGAGAATTATGTGGAGTCCAGTCCTACTGCACTGTACAGTTTTGAATTGCCTGCTGGAGTGTGCTGGACAAGCCTGACTTTCCTCTGTGCCCCTGGTAAGGCTGTGTACTCTGAAGGTCAGAAGAAAGATTAATAAGAGTAGACAGAAGCAGAGTTTCCAAATAACCTCTTTACCCATGTATCATTCGTACATTATTCACCAGTTCTTTAACTGTGCACTGAGAACTGAGATAAGCTCTGGGGACACAAAGACAAGTATGACATGGACCTATTATGAAGGAGCATCCAGTCTAGTGGAGGATGACAGGCAGGAAAACAAGTAAGAGCCATGAAGTATTGTGAGGAGTCAGAAGATCAAGGTTGATTGGGGGGAGAAAGGAGTCATGTCAAACTGGAACATGAATCTTTAAGCTTTTTGTCCCATGGATCCATTTGAAAGTTGGTGAGATTTAAGTCCCATTGCTTCTAATTTCAAGCAAATGCTCATGAAACATATTTATTAAATATATAATTGAAGATGACAGTGTTTGGACTGCAAGTTAAATTACAGAGCAATACTTACTGCCCTAACTCTTGAGCATATGAAAAGAAATTAACGTATATTTTTCTAGGTTACTCTGAAAATGCATGGTAAAGGGGAAAGAACCTGGGCCACTGGTTCTACCCTTAACTTTGAAACTGACTAGTTCTGTGATCTTGGCCAAGTCACTTAACTTTGGCCTCAGTTTCCCTGTGTGTTAAATGTAAAAGACCCTCATTCTAGGTTATAATGATTACACGAAAACTCAAAGTAAAGCCTAAAAGTAGAAAAAAAATCAAAAGTGTAAATTCTTACTAATATATTTTGGTGTATAAACAGACTTCAGAGAGCAATTAGATTAATTTGGACCACAGTGAAACTCAAATCAAATTGGAAGCCAGATGGCTATTACCCCAAATCCCCTCATGAGGTAACTCTCAGGAAGTCTATCTGCTCAAACTCCCCAGTTTCTGCATGGAAGTTGGTGTCTCTAGATATTCGTAATCTGGTGAATCATTTCATTTTTTGTTCTCTTTTCTCGTGAGTTCCCAAGAAAATGTATTGTCGGGATTGTAAAGAATTTAAATTCTGACTGGTATCCCTGGAGTATGCAATAAACGGTCCTTATCATGAATATCTGTAGAAAACTTGAAAAAGTACAAGGTAAAATTTTGTATTCAATAAATTAAATTCTATTCTCACCTATAGCTGCTCAGGACTTCTAAAATTAACTGAAAGTCAACTCCCTCCTTCTAATTTCCTCCCCTGTCCTCTCCATTTATAATGCACTACTGGATTAATCTTTTAAAGCATCTCTGCTCAATAGAACTTCCTGTGATGATGGAAATGTTTGGCATCTCTCTTGCCCAAGATAGAAGCTACTAGCTACTGAACACTACTGAGCACTTGAAGTATGGCTAGGGCAATTGAGGAAGTAAAATTTTCATTTTATTTAATGTTAGTTCATTTAAATTTAAACTTAAATAACTACATGTGCTGGCGGCTTCTGCAGTGAACGTTACAGTTCCAAAGCAAGCCTTGACTGTGTCTCTTCTCTACTCCAAACTTTCTGTAGCTTTGCTCTGCGTAAAATGTGCCATTCGAGTATCTTAAGCTGGCATTCAAGAAATTCCATAAACTGTTCTCAAACTTTGCTTTTTATACAATCAATATTTCATCCAAAGTAAATATTCACCATTCTCAAACCTATCTCTTATATTCTACCAACCATATTTTCCTTAGGGAGTTTGTTTTGTTTTTGATGAGAATGACATTTTATTCATCTAATTATATCTGATATTGAAACCACTCAACTCAATTTTTCCCACCTGTATAAAACTTTCTCATTCATATCGGTTAGTATCTCTCACACTCATAAAATCGCTTAACTCTTTCTTATAACATTTACTACATTTTACTGTATATTTTAACTATTTATGTACATATGTTAAACCCACTATTTAATTGTAATCTGCCTGAGACTGTTGGCTATGTCAAATTTAACCTTGTATTCATCCTGGCTCCTTTCACATACAAAGAATAGAAATTAATTATTAAGCACAAGCCAATCGAATGGGATTTAAATCCCAGTGACCTGACTTACTACCTGTGTAATTAATTTCCACAATGCCAGACACATAGCAGATACTCAATGAATGTTAACTATTAAGAAGTACCAAAGACCTACATTTACGACTATCATAGCCGACTGACATAACTACTTTTGACGCACAAGTTAAAAGGTCACATTCCTTTATTAAAAGAAAAACAAGATCAGCAAATATCTTGTCTTCTAAGGCTGAATGTTGTAGAAAGAAGCTTATTTGCCCTCACAGGAGGAGTTCTTGGTCTACATTCATCTCTCTCACCAGCACTGAAAAGTAGAGTTTAGGTCAGAATGTCGAGAAGACTTGAAGCTTAGCCCCGGGGCAGGAACAAGAGTAGGTCATCAGGAAGCTATTCCTTGGCAAAGGCAGCCCCATGTCCCAGGAAAACATGTGGTTTCCTGCCTTCCTGCCATCCACCTTGTTCCCATGCCAAAACTCACTGTTTGCAGCACTGGAGTTGAATGGCCTATTTTCTTTGGGCCTTAGTTTGAATGGAATTATAAAGATACCTAGGTAAAAATGGAAGAGCACAGATTTAAAGGAAAACGGCATTTGATAGAATTCTTTGTTCTCTGGTTTTGAGCACTAATCTTTGTGTTAATTATTTAGTCTGACTTTTTCACAATACCTGAAATCAAAGGCATTCAAAACTATAGAGAATTTTAAAAATTTTGCTCAGACGTGAAATTCTAGTAAACTATTGGTGATTATCTTAAATTACCCAGTTCTTGATTCAAAAATGTTTCTAAGGAAATGTCACTATTTGCATCTGCAAAAATCACTTGAACTAACTTGGAACTTACTTTTAGCTAATGATAGTAGCTGATCTGCTTTAATGAACTAATAGGATATAACTAACCTAGGTTTGAATCCCAGTTTCCTATTTGCTCACTACATAAATAATTCTTTTCTGTTAGAGTCAATTCCTTCAAGGTTTGAATCTGTGCTGGGCCATTTTAAAACTTTACATCACCCACAAGTTACTTAACTTCTCTAAGCCTGAGTTTTCTCATTTACAAATAAGCTACTTGATAATAACAATAATTCTCTCCTCACAAAAATGTGTTTAAGTTTGAACAAGAATAAGAGAAAATGAGTAAAGCATTTTTCCAGTACATAGCACATAGAAGACACTCAAACATACTTAACTGCCTTCTGTATGTCATTTGCACAAAACAAATGTTGTCTAATGTTTAGCAACAGTGCCTTCTCTGACTGGGCTCTTTATAACCTCTCCATTGTGACTGTACTATTTTTTAAACGTTTTATTTGTAAATGATTTAGCTTTGCTGAAATGTTGCAATGAGTACAAAGAACTATCATATGCATTTTACCAAGGTTCACCAATTAATTGTTAATATTTTGTTCCAGTTTCTTTATCATTTGTGCTCTCTCTCCATTATACACATTGACATGAATATATGTGTGTGTTTTGTTTTTTAACCATTTGAAAGAAAGGAAATTATGCATCTTTATCCTTAAACACTTCAGTGTACATTTCCTAAGAAAAGGACATAATCACAGTACATTTATTAACCTCAGAAACATTGACATTGATAAAAATACATTTGTCTAATCCATATGCCATACTCCAAATTTGTCAATTGACTCAGTTAAATTCTTTTTAGCACTTTTTTTTTTCTTTCAGTAAAAGATCTAACCCAAAATCAAGTATTATATTTCATTGCCCTGCCTCTAGTTTCCTTTAATTTGGAACTGTTCTTGAGCCTTTCTTTGTCCTTCATGACATTAATACAGGTGAAAAGCTTGTTCACAGTTATCCAAGCCTAGAATTGGCCTCTGTGGTAGACAGCCTTTAGGATGGCTCCCAGTGATCCCCACCCCTGAGTGTTTATGCCTCTGTGCAATCCCCTGCTCCTTGAGTGTGAGCTGTAAGGCCTTAGTGACACTTCTGACAAACAGAATATGGCTAAAGTTACGTGATGTCACTTCCAAGACTATGCTACAAAGAGCCAGTGATCCCTCTTTCTATCTCTCTCAGAGTACCTATTCTGAGGAAGAAGTAGTCTAGGAATTGCCTTATGGAAAGGCCCATGTGGGAAGGAAATGAGGTTCACAAGCAACAGCCAGAGAGGATCTGAGTCCAGTTTAAGAGCAATGTGAGTGAGCTTGGAAGTAGGTCTTCTTCCAGTTGAGCCTTGAGATGACAGTAGCGAGCCCTAGCTGACTACTTCATGGTAGTTTTTTAAGGAACCCTGAGCTAGAGTCACCCAACTAAGCCGTTCCTGGATTATGAAATCACAGAAGCCATGGAACGACATTATTGTTCTAAGCCTCTATGGTTTGGAGTAGTTTATTATGCAATAGTAGATAACTAATACAAACTTCATTTTACATATAAAAACATTTTTTTACAAAATTTTAATATACACAGGAGTTTGTAGGAATTCAATTACCTTATAAATCAAAAAGAAGATTATATTTTGTTTTCTTCAGGAGTTATTTACCATTTGGGAGAATTTTACTCTCCACAAAGTGACCTGTGGATTGGAGTAGATAACACATGGTTACCTTAGAATATTCACGTGGTTCTATATAAAGTGCAAACACCGGGCTAACTGAAGGAAGGCGTGATGGGTCAGCAAGATGGTGGAGTAGGAAGCCCTGGATCTCCTTTTCCCCCACAAACTCACCAATTAAGTAAAAATTCACAGACAGATTCTCTTCTTGAGAAATCCAGAAGCTAAGGGGAAATTTCCTGCACGCCAGGCAACCGCAAAACCAAACTTGGGGAAGCCGGTAGGGGGATTGGGGACACGCTCTCACTGGAGACCCTGCCCCTGCGCAGCACCTTAGGATCCAACACCAGACTAATAATGCATTCGGTCATCCCGTGTTGTCGTGCCCAAATATTTTCATATGGAAATAATACTTTATTATGTCATGTTCTTCTTATTATATTATTTTTAAGACATTATCATAATTTCTTTTAGATTTTGTGCATAGATAAGCTGTGTTTTACTATATGTTATTAATATTTGTCACAAAAAGAGAGCTGGTCGGGTGCGGTGGCTCACGCCTGCAATCCCAGCACTTTGGGAGGCCGAGGCGGGTGGATCACCTGAGGTCAGGAGTTTGAGACCAGTCTGGTCAACATCGTGAAACCCCGTCTCTACTAAAATACAAAATTAGCCAGGCATGCTGGCACGCGCCTGTAATCCCAGCTACTCAGGAGGCTGAGACAGGAGAATCGCTTGAACACGGGAGGCGGAATTGCCGTGAGCCGAGATAGCGCCACTGCACTCCAGCCCGGGTGACAGTGGAAGACTCCGTCTCAAAGAAAAAAAAGAAAGAAAGAAAGAAAACTAGATCATTTTGCCATAAATATGCAGATTTCATATGAAGACTTAGCCTCTCTGGTTCCACCCAGAAGCCATTGGGAGTTAGGAAGGGTGTTTGTGGTTGTCCCAGATATTTCCAGGTTTAGCAATGTTGAGGAAAGCCTCATGACAAAGATGGCATCACAGAAATATTCTGTGCTTGAAGCTAGAACCAAATACTGAGAGGGTGGGTTTGAGTATTTTGCTTTTAAAAAATAGGAATTAAGGCAGATATTAAGTTGAAGAAGTTAGAGATACTTATTCGAATGAAAATATGGTATTGATAGGACAGAGAATGGGGAATGTTGGAGTGTTTGACCTCTACAGGCAGTGATTTCTGGAAGAAATGAGTAGATATTTAATTGGGTACAATGGGTCAGAGGGCACTTGAAAGTTAGACGTCCTTCAGCATCTCCTCTGTTGTTGCTTGGATGTTAAATATTCTTTAAAAGAAAAGGGCATTATCTCCACTTTGTTTGAATCACAGTTTCTCTAATTTCAAGAGCTTAATTTAAAGAGAAAACTACTATGATGGCACTCTACCTCTTAAGGGCTTTAATATTGTGGTGAGACACCACGTTGATGGATAAGGTCAAGAAAACATGTGATCTTGCCATTCACCCCACATCCCTGCAAATACCCAGTTGGCCTCATCAGTAGGCCAATTCTCACTATGAAGAAATTTGAGATTTAGCCTTGTGCCTCGGAAACACCAAAGGCCCAAATATCAGAATATTTTCTGAAATTTTCCAAAGTTTTGTATTAATTCACCTGATCTTATTTTCACAATCATACTAGAATTTCTGCTTGTATCATTGCAAGTGACCAATTTTCAGTTCCAGTGTCAGAAACAGCACATTTTAAAATAGATCTATTGTTTTGTAACAAATTTTTGAAAGGTGTTATATACACAGACATAAGAGAAGCCTAACTTAGCCTTACCTATATTATCAGTCCAAGTAACTCATTTACTTAGGTACTTCTACCTTTTCAAGTGATTATCCCATTTTCAATTAGAATTTCTACCAAATCAAAACTCATGATTGTAAAAACACCATTCCCTTTACAAGGTATTTGCGAGTGGTACAAAAGATTTTTCCAGATACTAGGATCCAATCCTTTCTCCACATCTAGTCAATTTGCAGTTTCTGCCAACATACTAAGAAAACCCCATAGCTACATCTTCAGCTGCCTGGAACAACAGATAAATTTTTTCCTGTTTTTTGTATGTTTGTTTGTTTTAATTCATTTTCAACAAAAATGTGTGGTTCTCTTTTTTAAAAATTGAATTTTAAAAACTTTAAAAAACACTTTCTACTTCCAGATATCTCACCACTTGATCTGTTTATCCAGCACACTATCTCTATACTTAACCCTTCAGAAAAATACTTGAAGCACTCCCTTCTAGAAAGTAAACAGGTAGAGCAGTGTTTCCTAAACTTCTTAGTTTGAGGGCCCCTGTACCCTCTTAGAAAATTGTATCTCAAAGAGATTTTGTTTAGACGTGTTACAGCTATTTCTGTTTATCAATTAGAAACCGAAAAATATTTAAAATATTTAATAATTCGTTTAAAAATAATAATATTAAACCCATTAAATATTATCATAGATAGCATGAAATAAATATAGTTATTTTAGGAAAAATAACTATATTTTCTAATAATAAAAATAATGAATGTTAGTAAACAGAGTGGTGTTTTACTTTTTAATTCCTTAATGCGTGGCTTAATAAAGAATAATTAGATTTTCATATTTGGGTTGCAATCGACCCATTATGATATGTTCTTTTGGCTGAAGTATGAAAGGAAATCTGGCTTACGTAAACATGGAATTGGAAAAAGAAGTACATTAATGGCCTTTTCAGATAATTCCTCATTTAAGCTCAATAAATGGTAGTTTCTTAAAGGTTAATTGCAATGCAGATTTGAAGCCATATCTTTTAATAACCTTTTAATACTCTATCAATACACTTTTCATACTCTGTTACTTTAAATTCCACCAGCTTCTTTTGTACTTTAAATGGATCTTTTACTGATGCATGACTCTCTGTAACATCATTCAATGGTCATTTGAAAAATATTGGTTTACTGGGTTTTGCGTATCTTCTAAGTGTCAACACATTTCATAAATATATTTAAAAAACTGTTAATATCCTTACTATTCTCATTAGAAAAATCTAATACTGGGAAGCCACTAAGCACACAGCAGCAAGAACCAAATTTCTCAAATGTTAATTTTTTCTTGACAGTCTTAATTATGTATCACTGGCAACATATATTATTAGTTGTTTTTTTGAAGTGACAGGCTCACTTCATTCATTTCTGAGAAAAAGTCTGCCAAATACTTCTTTTTTAAATCAGCTTTATTGAGATATAATTCATGTACCATAGAATTTACGAATTTGAATTTTATAATTCATTGGCTTTTGGCATATTCACAAAATTTTGCAATCACCACTACAATTTTAGGACTTTTTTGTCACCTTAAAAAGAAACATCATAGTCATTAACAGTTACTCCCCATTTTAGCCCAACTCCCAAATCTTAGGAAATGACTACTTTCTGTCTCTACGGATCTGCCTAGTCTAAACGTTTTATATAAATAGAATCATCCAATGCATGGTCTTTTGTGTTTGGCATCTTTCACTTAGCATAATGTTTTCAAGTCTCATCCATGTTGTAGCATGCATCAGGACTTCATTCTTTTGTATGGCCAACTAATATTTCATTATATTGTTAGATGGACATACTATTATATGGATTATACATATGGTATATGGATATGACATATTATTTTTATATATATCATATTTTATTCATCAGTTGATGGACACTTGGAAATATGGCTATATCATATTTATTCATTATATTTTAAGGATATACTATATGTTATTGGATATAAACTTTATGGATATATCATAACCATTATATGGATATGCCATATTTTATTTATTTATTCATGAGTTGATGGACATTTGGTTGTTTCCACTCTGGGCTATTACGAATAATGCTGCCATAAACAGTACAACTTTTTATGTCGACATGTTTTCAGTTTTCTTGGGTATACAACTAGGAATGAAATGCTGAATCCTATAGTAATTCTGTGTTTAACATTTTGAGGAACTGCCAAACTGTTTTCTACAGTGTCTGCCATTTTACATTCCATTCCTATGAACAATGTATGAGGGCTTAATTCTCTTCATCATTGTCAACAGTTGTTATTGTCTGTCTTTTTTATTATACCATCCTAGTGGGTGTGAAGTGGAATCCTACAGCTTTTTCTAATTGACTAACAAAGTTCAGCATCTTTTCATGTGTTATTGGCCATTTATTTATCTTCTTTCAAGGCATGCCTTATTGGAAAATTTGCCCGTTTTTAATTGGGGTATTTGTATTGTTTAGTTTTAAGAGTTATTTATATATCTGGAAAATACACCCTTAGCAGATTATGATTTACCAATATTTTCCCTCATTCTGTAAGTTGTCTTTTTACTTTGTTGATGATATTCTTTGAAATACAAATGTTTTTAGTATTAATGAAGCTCAGTTTATCTATTTCTTTCTTTTGCCAATTGTGCTTTTGGTTATCTAAAAAACTATTTCCTAACCCATGGTCACAAAGATTTATTGCTGTGTTTGATTCTAAGTGTATTACAGTTTCAGCTTTTACACTTGGGTATATAAGCCATTTCAAGTTAATTTTTATAAATGATGTGAAGTAGGGCTCCAAATTCCTTTTTTTGCACCTGGATATCTAGTTTTCCTAGCATCATTTGTTGAAAAGACTCTTCTTTCCCTATAGAATTTTTTTGGCTTCCTTGTCAATAGTCAAATGACCGTGAATGTTTAGCTCTAGCTTCTGTGTTCGACTTCCTTGATCTATATGTCTATGCTTATACCACACGGCCTTGATTACTTCAACTTTGTAGGAAGTTTTGAAATCCAGAAGTGTGAGTCCTTTGTCCTTTTTCAAGATTATCCTTTTTCACAATTAGCTTGGTTCTTCAAATATCCACTTTCGAATAACCATAGTTTGTTTGTTGGTTATTCTTTCAAGTAAAACTTATGTTCTACAATAGAGGTGGCTAATTTAGCTTTCAACACAATCACGTAAGCGTTTTTCCTGGAGATAACCATTGCATTTCATAATATGTAGCAGAAGTGCTTTATACTTACTTATTTTATTACATAGAATATTAAAAGATATGTACTCAAAGGTTAATAATTGATAAACTTAATAAATTATAGTGCTTTATTAAAATATTTTTAAGAGAAACTTTTAAATGTGTGACAGTGAAGAGCACAATGACTACTAGTATGTTTTGGTGCCACTGACTCGATTTCTCTTAATAACGGCACAAGCAGTGTTACCCACCACTGATTTTGCATGATCATTTTAAATGGTAAAATGATGAAAAAGTAAATTTTTTTCAGCATATATATGATAATATCAAATGTGATTTAAAAAATTCTGTGATGTGTAAACTTTTAAAATGGGATTTTACTAGCCCCATAACATCAGAAAAATAACATCTAAAAATGTTTTTATTATATATACTTAAGGTGTGTGACATGATGTTTTGATATACTAATGTTGATACACATGTGCACAGTGAAGTAATTACTACAGTCAAGCAAATCAACATACTCATCATCAAAGTTTAACTCATGTTTTATCACATGTATTTTTAAAACTACCCACACTAAAAACAGTTGTCCAACTAATCTTGTCATAGTTATAAATTTTTAACTCTGATAAAAAATATAGTTGTTATTATTGGTGCTCTTATAACCTGGATAAGGATACTTTTTAAGTCTTTTAAAATATTTTTTGAATTGTAATAGTCTATGATTGTATAATAAAATATTTTCTACATGCAACCCCATATGTGGTTCCAGCATTTGAGACAGCGTAAAACATTTGAGACAAAGTATCCTTTCAATGAAATTTACAATTTTTCAACTAGTAATTACCAAATGCCAGAATTAATTTTTCTCAGATAATTATTCTTTTAGCATAGTTGACAATCCCAGGCATTTAACTCATTCATTAAAATGCAATAATAATTTCTCCAATGGTTTTCAGTATCGCTAATGACATGCGTTATTATGCATCACTAATTTCCACGAAGAACAATAAGATACTATTTTATCGGTATTTACATTTACAGGACTATACTTTGTTGCACACTTATGAGGAAATGACAGAAGAGCCTAGATGGAATTAACCTCAGGGTTTGCTTTTTTCTTAAAGAGTAAATATCTTGCTATATCGGTAGTTGATGTTAGAGTCACTACTGAATATTTTTATTACTGTGTAATTTTCATTATATTAGAACAAATGTATGGCTCATAAGTACAGTAATTTACTAAAGTGAATATATATGATGATAATTATGAGTAAATTTGGAACTAAAAAATTTAAAGTATTTCAAATTTAAAGTTTAAAGAAATTGTTCAGATTAAATGCTCTGAAGTTTTTTCTTTGATACTTTGCATTTGTTGTCACTGTTACCTTCTCCAGTTACTACTTATTAATTTAAAAACAAGTCAATTAACTTACTGAACTACCTACTTTAATTTCTTTCCTGTGTAAAATGTTTTATAGTGCTGGTGTTTCAGTGTTTACATTAGTACTCACTAAAATAACAACTACTTTTGATAAAGGTAAATCTCAGAAAACAAAGCAAAAGAATTCAGCTTTTCTCATTTTTATCTCAAAAAGTTATTTTCAGTTTTTTAAGCTAGAAATTGAGAATGAATACAGTACCTCAGAGTTTAAAGCTGAATCTCCAGCTTTTTTTTAAATCAAAATGTTCACATATGCTCATTAACTGAAACACTCATTCAGTTGGAAAATCACTAGTTGGCATGAAAATGTTTTATCAGATAAGGTGGACTTTATTCAAAATGATATGATTTCTCTTTAAGATTACAGGTTCTATTGCAAAGCCAGGCTATTTTAGCCCTGTTTGTAGGAAGCAACAGTGACATGCAGGGCCTATTAGCTTAAATCACAGATGTGTTTGCCTTAGGGAAGTAGCAGTAGCCTAGTTTTCCCCATAAAGGTGACAGCCAGGATTCAAATTATATTTAATCCAAAGCCACAACTCTTCTAATTCTAGTAGTTCGTGATTAAATAGGAATATAGGAAAGAGGAAAGGGAGATTGTACCTATAAACATTTAATGTCTGCATCTTTTTTCTAAGGCTACAATATTAATTCTGTGTATTGCTGAGGACTGGCTCGCTCTAAGCTGACATCATAAGCAACACATTTGTATGGGACTCGAAAATTTCATTTGCATCAGTCGTCAACACGTGGTTGCATAACGAGGGTGGGTATTTTTCAGGAAGAGAACACACATTTAATTTGACATTTTCTTGTTGAACTTGAGGCAGCCAGCTTCCCTGGTTTTGTTCCATTTTTCATCCCACCAAACTTTCCCTCCTACTCATCAAATAATCATGGCATTCTTCACCACAAAACATAGGCAGATGGGTTCTTGTGTCATTATTTGTAATCCAATTGAAAAGATCTGTTTTTGCTTCTGGCCCCCATTCCATAGTTCTCCAAAGTCAACATTCAGTTCTTCAGATTTACAAACTTTCTTAGTGATGAAATGAAGCTTATCAACAGCATTTTTTTTTTTGCAACTTTCTCATGTACTTTCTAGTCCTGCATAATTTGTGGGTAAAAGTAATTCATATAAAGTGTTGGAACTCTTGCTTAATTCAATAACAGTAGCACAGTTCTAAAATGTAAAGTACCAAATAAGTGCTATACAATAAGAGCAATTTTACTGGAGTCATCTACTCTTTCCCATAAATGTAAATGCTTCGTTTTCTAAGCATGCATTTAAAGATCATTTGTGTGCTTTCTATTTATGCAATACCATTTACTCTGAATTACCTCCTAACTGGATTATTTCTCATTTTCTTTTAAAAATTGCTTGAAGCATCTAAAAAATACTGTGTTAAGACGTCATTCTTTAAGAGTAGCTATAAGAATTTCTTGGAAATGTTTGTCTCAGTATCCAGGTTACATTTTTTCCCCCTATTGCTATGTTCCAAATTATTTGTCAATAAAGAGAAGGAAATACAATATTTTGTCTTTAAACTGCCCAATCAGTATTCAAGTACCCAAGCCTTTTTATTTCTTTTAACCTATAAAAACTACGTAAATCTAATGAGTACAAAATAAACAGAGAGCAAGTCCTGCTGGACATATGACATATGGGAAAATATGACAAAAATAAAAATCAATTTAATGCAAAGGAGCATTTTCTCATTCAATGTATTAATGCAAACCCTCATTATTTATCCTGGGGAACGTGACGCTGTCTTCAAAGTTGATGGCAGTGGATTACACTTAGTTAAATCTTTGCATAACTATGTATCTAGATTTTTAGCTTTACTGTAATGAAATTTATATTCTATCTTTGGCAGACATTCTAGCCTGATTTTATTATAAATTTTATATATATATCCTAGTGGGGAAGGGAAAAGGGAAGGTGAAAATTATATAAGGAAATCAGTTTTTCTAGCTCGTTAGCTTGTATTTATACCTTGCCCTTGGTCTACCATCTTCTTTTTATCTTTCCAATCCATCCATAAAAATAACTTGGAAAAAAAGTGCCTCATAAGAAATACAAACTTTACAGAGACAAGCAAAAAAAACATTGAAACTTACCAGTGTGTAATTTTCACCAGAGGACAAATACCCCATAACACTCTTTCAGACAGATAAACAAAATGCTGGTTATTATCGTCTAAATTGCCTACTGCATACACAGCACAGTGTATGGGAAAAGTTAATTCTAAAAAGGCAAAAAAAAATCTCTGCTTCAGAGATTTGACATTCTAAGAACAATTTGACACAAGTTATTTTTGATAGATAAATGATAAAAATGAGGTAGAAGTGACGTAAAGATTTTGACTTAACTGATAGATTTTTCTTTAAACGGATTATTATCTAGCATCGTGTAGTGAAAGATTCATCTTACTTGGGATTAGGAAACTGCTGATTTTGACTCTGGCTTGATTGGATGTGACCTTGGTTGTGTCACTGAACATCTCTAGGCCTCAAATTTATTGTCTAAAGAAAACAAAATTGATTGAATAATCCTGAATTCATAGTGATTAATCTGTATTAGTTCCTATGAGGAAAAAGTGTTCTTTTATGGACAAGTGTTTTCATATTAAAATGTTTAATGACTTCTTTTCTATCATATCTCTTTAATTTCTGTCTGGTACTTAAGATTCTTATATGTATAACATATACAATACATATTTATGGTTTTTTTTTTTAAAGTGAGCAATTGATTTTTTTCCTACATGGTTAAGCACTTCTCAGGATATCTATTTCTCACAGCACTCTGAAGAATTATAATTGTGCCCATTTTTTCAGGTAAAGTCTTGGAGACACAGATTTAGTAGTAGTAGCTAACTCAGGGTCAGGTAGATAGTAAATGGGAAACTGAGATTCAAGTCCAGACAGTCCGACTCTGCACTCTAGTGTTACAGCATTTCTGATTTCACTGTACTCTCAATATCTTTCTAAAACAGAGGTCTATGTGTTCATTCCTGACTGCAAGTCTACATCTTATTCACCACCCTGAATGCCTTTCTCACATATCTTTTCTCTAGACTTCAAATGAAACATTGCTCTGATTAGCACTAACTGATCAGAAGTTTATATCAGAAAGGAATCCTATGGCTCATCATTGTACAAATGGCAGTAGCTCCCACTACGTTTCAAAGTCCTGACTGCTCATCAGAGCACCTGTGCTATGCCATAGGCTCCTCAGTTTACATTTCATTTTTCCCCACATTTGCAATGTCCCTGTATTCCCTTACAGATAAATGTACCATTAAGAGTCTCCAAGCAAAAATTTTGGAGGAATTCTATATCACCCCCTCTCCCTCATTCTCTGTACCCGTTTTCCTCCTTTCTCCTAGTCATTGACCTTAGTCCTCCTCATTTCTCATCGGGATTATCACTATCACCGCCTTCCTATCTGCTCCCTGGGCCTCCTGCCATATCCTATTCCAGTACATCTAGCATAAATATGATACAGTAATCTTATCCTTCAGTTCTTCTCCATTGTTTTCAGCATAAAGTCAAAACTCTTTATTATAATTGCTAACGCCTTTCCTGATCTCCCTCCCTACTTTTTTCTTCTCCTGACGCTTTTCACCCTAAGTGAGGTTCAGCAAACTTTTCCAAGTCTTCCAGCCCTTCCTCTGCATTCCTTCACTAAAATTAACAGGTAGGGCACGTTCTCTCAATGCTTAGGGCCCCAACACCTAGCCAGTTTAATACGATAGTTAAGAACTCAGACTCCAAAGCTACACAGACCTGGTTTAAATCACTGATCCATCACTTACTAGCTTATTTGGGTGAATTTAGGCAAGTAATGTGACCTCCTTGAGACTGGTTCATCAAATGGGGATAATAAAGGGCTTACCTCGCAGAGTTGTTAGAAGGATTAAATAATTAATATAAAGCCCTTGTTATGATGCTTGGAACATACAGTAAGTGCTTATGATGAATGTTGATACTACTACTAAAGCAATGCGTTGAATTCAATAAAATAATAAAATATATAAATGCATTAAACATTAATGAATGAATAATGTGTATGGAATTACATCATGTACAGGAGCATACAATGTGTATAGGAATTTCTGTAGAGGAAGAGATAGATATTCTGGGTCAGAGATGGAGAGGTCTAAGGATGAGGCCAGGTATCTAAGCAAAAAAATTTCAGATTTTGTCAATTTTCTGTCTTAAAATTTGTTCCATAGTTAATATTAGTTTAGTAAAAAAGGAACAATCCCAAGCTTGTTTGGGGTCAGGCTTTCGTTTTACATTTCCGTTGCCAAGTTCTTGCCCCAAGAGAGGTACTTTTTACTACTTCCAAGATCGTAGTCTTTGTTCATCTCCAATGAATTAGAATAAGCACAGTGTGCCTTCTATTGATAGAGCCATCTGAGATTCCTGGCCTGGAGGGACACGGATGAAGGAAAGCTGGTGTCAGCACATTTAGGGCACATCAGGGAAAAATTGAGCAGTGTGCAGAGGGTGTGCAATTACTTGCTCTCATTAGATACTTGTTAAATGTTTGCATGCTTGCCAGTGGCAGAGATGGCAAACTTCAAGTAATTAATTGGGCAAAAAAATTTTATCATCACCCACAGTTCTATAAAAGTTAATCTTTAATATTTTCCTTTCTGAATGACTTTACACTTAACACCCTTGGTCACGAGTCAATGTCTGTGTATAGTCAGAATTTGGAGTCCTCAGCAGATGAAATGACAGGGATTAACACTCATTCCTCTAAGTGGCAAAGTAGAAACAGCAAGATAATAGTAACCAACATATTTAAATTCTTCCTAACTTACCCTGCATATTCCTATATGTGATCTCATTTGGGCTGTTGTTTATATAAGACCTCATATGGGTAGTGTGGGTATTTTTATTACTCTTTTACACATTTGGGATAAACAAGATAATAGACTGTCAGTTAATTGTTCAAATTCACTTAGTAGTAAATGGCATTCTTAGGGTCACTTACAGGTACTCTATTGCCTGCTCTTCCCTGCTCAACTCCAAACCATCATGGTGGGCGATTTTATAATGGATGTATAAAATGAAGAGGTGAGAATTATTTAGTAGAACTATTTAGTAAGATTGGGAAAACAGAAACATTCCCCTAAACTCCACTCACCCACCTAGCCCCTGGTAACCTCTACTCCTACTAGTTCAACTTTTTTATTGCTCCACATGTAAGTGAGATCACGTGGTATTTGTCCTTCTGTGCCTGGCTTATGTCATTAATGCTCTTTAGGTGCATTCATGTCACCAATTACAGGATTACCTTCTTTTTTAAGGCTGACTAGCATTCCATTGTGTACATACACCACATTTGCTTTATTCATTCATCTTATTTTCTAAAGTCATAATGTGAGTAGTTGTGGTCCTCTGAATTCTGCATATCTTACTTGCCTTTCACCTTTAGTGGTATATTCAATACCTACTTTAAACATCTGTCACGTGCTGGGCTCTGTAGTAGAGTCTAGAGGCACAAAGATGAATTTGAAATATTCCCTGACCTCACCATTGGTTAAGAGACATATCAATGTAGTTTCTAAAAAAAGGGAGATGAGTAAATTAGTGGTTGCATCATTGCTTACTCCTTTCAAGAAAACTTGGGTCTCTCTGTCCACTAGAAACAACGATTCCTCTAGGGAGCAAGGCCACAGCTGATGCTGGAGAGGCATTAGAAATTCCCATGCCTACACTCCATCCAATAGACTAAAGAGGTTTAATCCCGTAGCAACCTTGTGATAAATGTAACCTATTATGACTCATATTATTATCTTTGATCACCATCCAGTATATAAACTCCTCTGGCATCTGCTCTTTCCTGCAGCCTTACTCTTAGGAACTTTTAGGCTTCCTACCCATGATCAGTCCTTATGCTGTTCCTCTTCAACTGCCCCCTGGACTTGATGTCTGTAGTCTCCTCTTAGAAACTCTCTGTTCATAGCTAAACTTGTCTGTATTTTCTCTAACTGGTGGTCTTAATTGAAACTGAGACCTTCATTATGACAGCCCTTCTGCCATGTAAATGGGAAAATCTAGTATCAAGAAGGAGGCAATCATAAGAGTTTGTGTGGGTTTATGGCTCAACTATGAACATTCTAAAAAATAGTTATTTGTCTGGCATTGCTTTTAGAAGTCAAAGGGAAACTGAGAAACTTCCCCAGATATGTTTCCATTGATCTTGAGGTCTATCAGTAGTAAGCCTCTGACACCTGACCATATCTGCAAGTATCAGACCTTTAAAATAAGAGCAGAAGAATAAACCATTGAGTCAGGTCCAAGCTGTTCTTTACAATCCAGCTTTCTTTCTCTGATGAAGGATGTGTCTATCTTGCCTTAACATCATCTCAATTTTTAAAAATAAATTTCATATAGCTTTGTTTCCTACCACAACATATTCTCTTTTTTTCTGGTTTGTGAATGTTTCTATATTTTTAAACTTAATTACATTTTTCACCTTTGTAATCTATTTTTCACTTCTACTACCACATGAAGTAAAAAATTTACATCTGCTTCTGCTGGGTAAAGTACTAAAAGAAATGTATTCTTTCTCATAAATGAGTAATGAGGTATTCTGATTATCAAAAAAAGTCATGCTATGCACATTCACAAAATATGGCATAATAGAGTGTACCTAATAATAATCTTGTTCTTTTTTATAGCAGCTTAACTTTAATAACATACAAAAACTTTGCTCCTTTACAGCTTCTTTTTCATCTCTTTCAATTGTCAATATCACGAAATGATGTTCATACATTGCGTACCCCAAAACATAAGCTAATAATTTTTTTTGTAATTTTTTTTTGCATTAATCTCTTAAATTATGTAGAGAACAAAATATGAAGTTACAAATTAATGTTATAATACTAGATTTTGATCTAATAATGTTTTAATGTATTAGTCTCTTAAGTCATGTAGAAAATGAAAATGTAGCTACAAACCATTATAATAATACTAACTTTTATAATTGTCCAGGTAATTACATTTATTGAGATCTCTATTTCTTCATACAGCTTTTAGTCTTGTTCTAAGTCTAATTTATACCTTCTTTGGATGACTCAAAAGGCAATTCACTATCATACAGCAATATCAGGGATAACGTGGCTTATTATGGTAAATATGCAGAAGTGTCAACTAACAGAGATTTCAGATTCTCTGAGAAATATGCTTTGTGTTTAAGTGTAAAAATGTATGTTAATGTAAAGTACTTTATACATAGAATTATATAGGCTGTTTTTAAGAAAATGAAAGAAGTAAAAGTCTCACGGTCATTTTCTTGAACTGCAGAAACTTCTTGATGAAAATAAATCAGTAGTCTGTTTTCTGGATTTCATTAACTTCTTTCAAAGATGATATTGTTTTGCCTAGGCCATCAATATAGTCTTTAATTTGGCCTCCCATGTGCCAAGACAGAGCATCGAAGCAGAAAACACTTGAGCATTGAAATCATAACCCTGAGAATGAAATAAAATCTTCTACCACTTAGCAGTTTGTGACCAAGGATAATTTTTTTAAAAAACATTTCCCAGTTTTAGTTTCCTAATCTGCAAAATGGAGATAATTTTTACCACATTGAGGTCTTGCATGCAATCCATGGGACAATTTAGGTAAAGCATTTAGAATTGTTCCTGGCACATGCTCTATGTTTAGCAAATGCTTTCTGTTAATATTATCCATTTTTAAGTTAAAATAATAGTTCATAGATGAGGTCCTATTAGTTTCAAGATTTAGTGAACCCATCTTTGTTGACTTAAAATGGACTATATCATCTCTTAATGGTTGTTTTTTTTCCAGATGGGAGAGGCCTAATCCCTTTAATCTTTGCTCATCATCATCTCATTGTGGATGCAGCATCTGGCAGCTTAGGGCATGATGAAATACTGTGGAGGTGGAGGGAGGATTCAGTGTTGCCCTAGCCTCTCAGTTGGAAAGTTCTCTCTCTGATTCCGAAGTGAAAGTCAGCTTTCCTGTATCTTCCTTTCAATTTTCCTACTCCTGCTTCCTGGGCTGCATAGAATGTGTAATCATTCTGATCATTGGACAAAGCTTCTAACATTTTAAAACAGAGATTTGTTTCACATAAACATCTCTTTTCATTTCAACATCCCTGGTTCCTACAAGCTTTCCTGATAACTGTTTCCAAACATTTGTCATCCTGGTCACCCTCTTTTGTTCTTTGTGCCCTAAAGTGTTCTTGGAGCAGAACATGCTGTTCTAGATATTTCAAAGAATTGTGAATTTCTCTTCTTGTAGACACTATGTTTCCATTAATGCAGCATGAGATTGTACTCATTTAGGAAAAGCCTTGCTATGATAAGGCTTGAACTCAATGACAGTATTTGAATTTTTTCCTTCAAACAACCTGTTAAATAGGTTTCCTTGGTCATATAATTGTACTGATGGTATTTTGAACCTAATTCTAGGACTCTTCATTTCTATCTGCCAAATTTTACGTTATTACTTTCATCTAACTTCTTCAGTATATTCAGAATTTTCTATCATTGTTAGTATTTTATCTCAGCATTGAGGCATTTGATAATTTAATAGGTATGCCTCAATAGACAATATATAATAATGGGATCCTTATTGATAAAGAAGTTTATTACAGTAAGGCTCAATACACAAATGGCTGACATGCTGGACCCTTTGTTCATGTTAGAAATGAACAATAATTGTTCATTTTTAGTCTCTAGCCTTATCTTACCTCTTTCATGGTTAACAATTATTCTAATTGGGTGATTTACTGAATGAGACCAGTGAGTGTTTCATCATTCTATGATGTAAATCATCCAGGACTGTAATGCTGGACTCATACTCATATAAAGCATGTATGTATTCTCTTACCATTTCTACATGTTTTCTCATTTTCAAAGTTTTGCTTTGAACACACACACACACACACACACACACACACACCCCACATATGCCCCTCTTGTTTATTTTTAAATTTTTAAATTTTTATTATCTTATTTTATAATTTTTGTAGGTACATAATAGATGTATATGAGGCTGTGTCACTTTTTTTGTTTGTTTTTTTTGGAGACAGAGTCTCACTCTGTTGCCCAGGCTGGAGTGCAGTGGTGCCACCTTGGCTCACTGCAACCTACACCTCCCAGGTTCAAATGATTCTCCTGCCTCCAATTCCCAAGTAGCTAGGATTATAGGTGTTTGCCACCAGACCCAGCTGATTTTTGTACTTTTAGTAGAGACAGGGTTTTGCCCTGTTGGCCAGACTGGTCTCAAACTCCTGTCCTCAAGTGATCTGCCCACCTCGGCCTCTGAAAGTGTTGGGATTACAGGTATAAGCCATTGCATCTGGCCCACCCTCTTGTTTATATAAGATTGGTATCATATGTAATATGGTTTGGCTCTGTGTCCCCACTCAGATCTCAACTCGAATTGTAATCCCCATGTGTTGGGGGAGGGACCAGAAGGGAGGTGATTGGATCATGGGAGTGGTTTCCCCCATGCTCTTCTCGTGATAGTGAGAAGGTTCTCATGAGATCTGATGAGAATATAGACATGAAAGATACTAAGGTAGAGCACTGGAAGATTCTCTGAAGACATGGATTGGCAGGGAAAGAAGACCTGACATGGACATTTTACTGGTCCCTAATGAAACAACAGCCTAATGACTTTAAATTGCTGTTCACCACACAAAACCTCCAACCTGTTTTTGTTGGGTTTGTTGTTGTTGCTGTTGTTGTTGCCTTTTTTTTTACATTTGAAGAGGGGTGAAGGTAACCTGACCTCGGAGAAAACCTGCTTCTAAAAAAGCTTCATTCAAAGCAAGGGAAAGGGAATTTGGAAGAAATAAAAGCAATGCAGATAGAGAGTGAAAAATATAAAAATCTATAGATGTAATTAATAATGTATTCTTTAAAAAGCATGTTATATTCCAAAAAAAAAAAACATATAAAGAGTGAGAAAGAGGTCTTATCAATTAAAAATATAATAAAAACAAAACATTTTGTAGAAGACTTGTGATACAAAGGGCAATATCTCCCACACAATAATAAAAAAGTCAAATAAATGTATAATGAATTACAAAATATATAATCATGACAGTAACAAGCCAGAAGGTTTAATCTCCAACTAACAGGAAATCCAAAGAGATAATGGAGAAAAAGGAGAAACAATCAGTGGTTAAATAAGTAATACAAGAACATTTCTCAGAACTCCAGGAGGCATATTTTCAGATTCAAACATTTTATTTATAACCCAGCATTATGAAAAATAAGCAACACAATATGGCACATCATTGTGAAATTTTAGGCCATAAGATATAAATGATGCCGAGAGGGAAAAATAAAGGCCATATACCCAATGTAAATTTAAGAATATTACAGTAGCAAGAAAAGAGGAAATCACTTTAAAAGGCTGAAGGAATTCCTTACAGCTAAAGGATCATAACAAAGAATCTCAAAAGAACTTTTTTATCATTTCATGGCAGAAAAGAACACAAATACGTGAATAATTTATCTATATAATATCTATTGCACCTATTGCAAAGATGGAAAAGGTTTTGAAGCAAGTAATGTGGGCACAATTTTCAGCTAAAGCACAAGGATTTTGTTACATCTCTGTGGAATCTTACACTTGTTAAAAAGGAAGTAGGTTCTGTAGGCAACCAAATGATTTATTAGCTGAAATTCTGCAAGCAGATTTTTATTGGCAAGGAGAAAATGAGAAAAATAAAACTATCATCTATCTATCTATCTATCTATCTATCTATCTATCTATCTATCTATCTATCTCTCTGTATCATCTATCTTCATTATCATCATCTGTATCATCTATCATCATATGTCTATCTAACCCAACTTATATATAATTCAGCCATCTAAATGATTTTTGAGGAGTGATTTAATTTAGGAAGGGTAAGTTGCCTTTGTTTCCTCTAAAAGTTATTTGAAAAAGAATACTAATTTTTCAACAATACATTTTGAAGGAGTTCAGCAACAATTTAGTATCTTTATTTCTTCTTTTTATTTATTTCTTCTTTTGATTTCTTGATATTATGCTCCCATGCACTTTCAATGAAGAAATTATGTGAGGGTGTACAAAATGAAGAAACAATGATTTAGTTTGTATCTCTGTATCAATGGTCTGGGTTAATTTCCTGCAGGCCAGTATGCTACACATGTGCTCCATCAAATTTTTTCATCTTTACCATTTCAATGCAGTATAGTTTTGATTTGCATTTCTCAAGTTATCAGTGAGGTTGAATATCTTTTAATACTTTTGAGACTCACTTTTATTTTCATTTATGTGAATCTGTTGTTTCTATTGTTTTATTCTTTGTTTTTATGTTAATCATTTATTCATTGCTTATATTTTTGAGTCTCTGGCCCTTTTCTTATTGATTTGTAGAAACTTTTTCTATTAGGAGAGCACCCATATTTCTGCAAATATTATTACTGTTTGTCAGCTTTCTCTTTTACTCTGTACTTGTTGACTTTGCCATCAAGATTTTAAAAATATATTATATATTCAAATATATCAATCATTTACAAATGTTTCCTAAGCTTTTTATTACAGTTAGAAAGGCTGTGAAATCTAGAGAATTATATAAAAAGTTCAGTTATGATTTCTTCTAGATTTACAAATTTTCATTTACTAAATGTACATACATATTTATTAGGGATATTTCCTATTGTAGTATGGGAGATACAAATCCAATTTTAATTTTTTCAAATTAGATTCTACTAGAATTTACTAGTTCCAATATTACTTATTGGATAATCCATCCCTTTCCCCTGCCACACACTGACTTGAAGCACCAACTTTATAATACACTTAATTCCTGTAGGAATTTGGATAAATATCTAAATTTTCTCATAAGGGATTCTGCCCTATCAGTTTCAAAAATGGAAATTCCCCCCTACATATGAGAAGGATGTTTGTGGACACTGTTCCTTCATGTCCAACTTTCATTTCTCATTAATAATCTTTGACAATCTTTTATAGCAGCTTCCACTAGAATAGAGATAACTGGTTCAGAAATGTTGAAGACTCACCTATAATTAGCTATAGTTTTGTATATTCTCTACCAGCCAATATGAGATTGTAAAGACAGCTTCTAGGTACATCACATCATGGGATAAGTTAACCAGGTATATTAATGTATACATTTTCTCAGATATTGTAGATTCCCTGGAAAAGGTTTTACTACGTATATCTCTTCTAACTTACACTTTGAACTGAAAAGGTAAGCTATTCAATATGTAATGTTGTGCCAGGTGGGTGGTGGTTAATGTTACATATCTGTAAGAAATCTGAATTTTAAAATATTTGTAGGTCCACATTCAAGTATTTGAACTTTGTTACATACAGTTATCTGGGAAAAGTCCTTGTCTAAAGAATGAATGGGAAGATGGCTACGTTTATCTCCAAAAAAAAAAAGGAAGATTTCTGATGAACTTTCAATCTCATATGCTGGAAAAGCTTATCCTAATGATTTTGATTGCATTATCTGGTAAGCTAGATGTAATTAATTTTAACAGGTAAACTAAGTTTAGTAAGTATTGCTTTTCTTAACGTGCCTTTTCTGGAGAGAGAGGGTACATGTATATTTTATGGTCACTTGGCAAATAAATATATAAAAATAAAACTTGACTTTTCAGTCCAGGCTTTCATATATATTTTTTCTATGACTTCAAACATTTCAATATACTTGTTCTAGAAAGAAGTAGATTTTCTAAAACATTAGTTATTTATTTTTATTATGTGATTCCATTATACTTAAGGAGATGTAGTGGGAAATGCAGTATTATGAAAACCAATGAAGAGTAAATGGAGAATTTGTGTGTTTGCAGTGTTGAAACGTGAAAAATACATTAGTATTTTTTTAATCAATAAGAAAGAAGAAGGATAAGTATGGTTTTAGAAAAATAAACTTAGAGGAACTGTGACATGCAATTATGAGTATCCGTACAAGCTTTTACTAATGAACTTGTGAACAGGACTCCAGAGAAAAACACATTTTTTTTTTCTTTTTTGAACCGTTAATGGCACTGGACATGTTTTAACTACATTGCCATGTGATTTAGTGATTTACAAATCAAAAATGATGAAAAACTTGGCCGGATGTGGTGGCTCAGCCTGTAACCCCACCACTTTGGGAAACTGAGGCGGGCAGATCATGAGGTCAGGAGTTCAAGAACAGCCTGGCCAACGTGGTGAAACCCCGTCTCTACTAAAAATACAAAAATTAGCTGGGCATGGTGGCGCATGCCTGTAATCCCAGCTACTTGGGAGGCTGAGGCAGGAGAATTGCTTGAACCAGGACCCAGGAGGTAGAAGTTGCAGTGAGCTGAGATTGCGCCACTGTGCTCCAGCCTGGGCTACAGAGTGAGACTCCGTCTCAAATAATAATAATAATAACTTTCTGGTACTGTCATATTAGAGATGAAGGGAAGTAGTTATAAGGGAATGAAAATTAATAAGACTGTTAATAATTTGGGAAACATAATTTCCTATTAAGGTAAAATAAACCTTTATATGCAGGACACAGGACATAAATGCAAATTCTAAGAAACTTTTTTGTTTGTACTCGCCAAAAACATATGTTATAACTTTAATACTAAATATATCATCCATATTTATTTTCAAAAGATAAACATACTCAGATATTTTCAAACACCCACAAGCATTGTAAGATCAAGTATTAAAATTATATAGTTTATGAGCCAATACACATTCAACACACTTTACCTATAGCATTTAATTATAGATACCATTTTTAAAATTCACATTCCCACTAATAGTATACAAAGGTTTCTATTTCTCCACATCCTTGCTAACACTTACATTTTGTTTTTTTGTGTGTATTTTCTTTGTGAATAGCAATCCCAAAAGGTAGGAAGTAATATCTCATAATTTTGACCTGTATTTCCCTGATAAATAATGATGTTGAGCATCTTTTCATATACTTGTTGGCCATTTATATGTCTTCTTTGGAGAAATGTCCGTTAAAGTCTTGTGCTCATTTTTTAATTGAATTGGTTTTGTTTGTTTATTTGTTTGTGCTTTTGGGTTGTATGAGTTGCTTATATTTCATAAATCAACCACTTATCAGATACGTAATTTGCAAATATTTTATCTCATTCTGTAGTTTACCTTTTCATTCTGTTATTTTCTTTGCTGTGAAGGTTTTTGTTTGTTTATTTCATGTAATCCCTCTTTTCCATTTTTGATTTTATTGCCTATGCTTTTGTTGTTGTGTCTGAGAAATCAATGCAAAGACCACACTCAAGAAACATTTCTTCTATGTTTTCTTTGAGTAGTTTTATAGTTTCAAGACTTAGGTTTAAGTCTTCGATCTATTTTGAGTTTTTTTTTTTTTTTTGTAGATTATGTAAGATGGTCAAATTTTATTTTTTTTTACGTGAATACCAGTTTTCCCAACATTTGTTGATGAAACAAACTTTCTTTTCACCAGTGTATACTATTTTTGGCACCCTTGTCAAATGGTGCTATAGCTATGGAAAACAGTATGGCAGTTCCTCAAAAGTTAAAAATAGAGCTGCCATATGATTGATCAATTCCACTTCTGAACATATATCAAAAATAATTCAAGATTATCAAATCAGGATTTTGAAGAGAATTATGCAGCATTATTCACAATAGACAAGATACCAAAACAACCCAAGTGTCTACTATCAACAGATGAATAGATAAAGAAAATGTAGTATATCCATTACAGTGAAAGAAATTCTGTTACTTGCAATAACATGGATGAATCCTGAGGAAATTATTCTAAGTGAAATAAGCCAATCACAGAAGGACAAATATTGCATGATTCCACTTATATGGACATCTGTAATAGTCAATCTCAGAGAAGCAGAGAATACAATAGTGGTTTTCAGATGCTTGGGGTGGAGGAAATAAGAAATTTTTATTCAACCTGTATAAAGCTTCAGTTATGCTAGGTGAATAAGTTCTGGGGCTCTGGGGTACAATGAAGTGCCTGTAGTTAAGAGTACAGTACTGTGCACTTTAAAATTTGTTAAGATAGGTTTCATAATAAGTGTTCTTACCACTCAAATAAAAAGAAAGGAATAAAGCAAACAAAGAAAAAGAGAAAGGAAAAGAAAGGGACAAAAGGAAATTTTGAGAGTTGTTGGATGTCTATTACATTGATTGCAGTACTTGTACCATGAGTATTTGCTTATGTCCAAACTCATCAAATTGTACACATTAAATATGTGCAGTTTTTGTATATAAATTATACCTCAATAAATCTGTTCAAGATAAATAAAATGCAGGCACTTTATATGAGAAGCTTAGGCACATTCACTAATTACTCAAGAATTTTGGAAATGGAGAATTAACTTCATATTATGAATGAGAAATATATCTTTATTAGATGTGCCAGAACTCACATAATTCTTTTGGCATTGGGCTTATTCTTTACAGCCTTTTGATGATTATTTGTTGAGAACTCTCAGCTTGAGTGCACCATGTTCTTTCCAAATGTAATCCATCAAATTTTTTAACCCCATGTGAAAAGATTCCCTTATGCCAATTGAAAGAAATATTTTGAAATCAAGACAGAAATGTGCAGAAGGGAAAAGGTGGTATGGATTTGCTCTGCCAAATCATTTAATGCAGAGTACCTGAGTTATACTCGCACCTAAGCAAGCCAGGGTAGCTTGCAGGAATTTGGTTTCTGAAGATGGAAAAGACCCCCAAGGAACTGACTTGTATTTCTCATTTAATTCAATTTACAGAAATAGGTTTGAGGGGGGTTAGTAGTTTAATGCTCTATCAAACCACTCCAACACTCAATAGCTTAAGGCAATAAACACTCATTTACGTCACAAATCTCAAGTTTAGCTGGGGGGATCTACTAGTCTTAGCTAGGCTCTTCCATATGTCAGGGGTGGGCTGGAGTTGGGGAGGCTTTGAATGGCCTTGGCTGAGATATTTAAATTCCTTTCCATGTGTCTCATCTTCCAGCAAACCAGCCTTGGTGTGTCCTTCTTATGGATGATAGAGAGCTAAAGAGAGTAAGCCATATTGTACAAGTGATTTTTTAGACCCTGTTTGTCTGAGCTAGTCACATGACTGACCCCAGAATTAGAGGGGGAGGATCTTACAAAGCTATATGACAAAAGGCATAGATACAGGAAGAGGTGAAGAGTTAGTGCTATTTTGCAATATACCACTGTGATTGTCCTAGGATCATGTTTTCTACAATGAATATGCACACTTTATGTGTGCTCTAATGCTTCCAGAGAGTGGAACTACGTCAAAGCTATTAAAATCTCACAAGAGAGTGCAGGGTTAAAGCTGTATTGCCTTATGGCACCATGTCCTATAAACATTGCACTAAAATACTCAAAGCTCATACTGTTGACTAATAATAGGAAATATGCCATTTGGGAACATTATTCTGATACTGAAGCCTACTGAAACTTCAACCACAATGCAGTTCAGATTTTCATAGATGTATCCCTTAGGAGAAATAAAGAAAACTAATTAAATGTTGAATTATTGCTCCCAAGCAACCCATTTGTGAAGGATAATGATCTCACCTGAAAGATAAAAGTTTTCAAGTGATCAGCTTCTTCAGCCCATGAAGCATTATCAAACACCTGAGAGTAATATGTAAAAGGCCTTCCTTTAGTTCCTTGGGCTAATTAAGAGGAACAGTGTCTCTAAGGAGTCTTCATGCACCAGGCTTCCACAAGTGCCTCATTCTGGGGTTTTCAGTTATAAGTCGTGACTCGCAGCTGCTGGGTTTTGTTCAAGATCATGAAGTTTATTTCCAAGATGTGGTATAAATTTTTCTTGTTAGGCCCCATTGCCAAGCAAACACTACCACTATTCAGCTCATAAACTGTACAACACAATAAGTAATTGCATACATTTTTTTACTAGTTCTATTTTCTTCTATCCCATGAAAAGTCTAAAAAATTCCACTTACTATGACTTGCTATTACATGAATTTTGACAGGTTCTACCAATTTTATAGTCTTTTTGTGTCATGAAATTCTAAATTTCCTTCATCTAAAGTATGGTAACCTCACTAAAAATGAAAACATTGTAATATAAGTAAGTAATATTAATAATGGCTAAAATTTGTTGGGTACTTATTACTTGATTTTACATCTATATAATATATGTTATGTATCTGATGTATATTATATATATTATGTATATGTTATTTATATATAACAGATATAAATAAATATTTTTGTTATTTGATTTTTGCAGCAATTCTAAACAAGGGTATTATAATTATCAGGATATTTAAGCTCAGAGCAAACATGTTTCTAAGAGATTGGATCTTGTAGATCAAGGGAAAGAAGTGATTGTGCTCAGCTTGGGAGCCACTTCCTGTGTAACCTGGAAATCAGCTCCACATAAAAATCTAGGAAGATTGTAGGACTCATCTCCTTTGTTACACTTCTGTGTATCACAGCCCTGTACTGCCTCTTGTCCAATGTTTGAAAACTCTTGTTTTATATATTCCTTCCAGTTATTTATTTATTACAAAAAAATAAGTTCAGTACCCATTACTGGGGCATGGCAGAAGCCATTCAACTTTTTCAAATAGAAGGAATATGTAAAGAATTTCGAAAGGGCCAATTAACAGTATCTACCACATCTTACAATTCTGATTTTGTCTTCGAAACTATTTTTTGGATCACCAAAGACTACATAAATCTAATGAAATTATAAGAATTATTTCAGTTCATTAGAAAATATAGATATTTTGTTACCACAGAAGCCAAACTTAACTCTTAAATTAAAAATCAACATCAGACTTCCAGGTAAAAAATGCAGAGTAATGAAGAGTTAATTGTCTAATGCTCCGCAGCCCTTGGGGGCCATCTCACCTTAACATGCCAGGCTTAGCGAATACTAGTCCAGATCTTATGCAGGGGGTGATTTGGGGGCAGTCATTCTTTTTGTGCTTGTTAATATCTTCATGGTGCCACAATTTAGCACTATACTCTTCTCTCTCTCTTTAGCTTTGAATTTCAAGTTATCAAATTATACACCAATCCTTGGCAACCATTTCAAACCATCTTTCTCTGAAATATGCTGGGCTCTTTTCAGATGTCAATCTGAATATTCCTTCAACTTAGGAAATATTGTTAATATTATGTATTCAAATCATTTCTCTGCTCAATTTTTTGGTTTCTATCTGTTAGGAGAACCAATTATTTTTATGTTATCTCATTTTTATCTTGCTCAATGTCTACTATTTTCCCACAAATTATTCGGATTTCTTAGCCTTCTCAGCATTTTCTACAGTTATCTCAAGTCATTCTTCTATGTCATCATCTCAATTTTAAGGCATATTTCACTTAAGGAGTGAGAAGTGTGTAGCATTTTTTTACCTAGAAGTCTGATGCTG
The DNA here is from genome assembly GCF_000001405.40 of Homo sapiens. Lineage (NCBI taxonomy): Eukaryota > Metazoa > Chordata > Mammalia > Primates > Hominidae > Homo > Homo sapiens. The sequence goes on along the minus strand of NC_000007.14, from coordinate 124,539,740 downwards.
ATTTTTAACTAAGAGTTAAGTTTGGATTTTGTGGTCATAAAACATCTATTTTTCCTAAAGAACTGAAATGATTCTTATCATTTGATTAGATTTATGTAGGCTTAGTTGCCAACACGTTTAATACACTAGCTCTTCTAAACCTGATTTTCTGTATAAGCATCTATCCCCAAACTTGCATACCATGATGTTATTTTATTTTAGTGTTAGTGACTCCATGTACTTCTTGCTTTCAACTGTAAGCCAGCTCAAGTTCTGTTTGGAGTTAAGTAAAGTATGCAATTTAAAAACAAAATCACTTTCTTGGAAACAAAATGATATACCCTAAATCCCTATCATAACAACAGCTTCTCAGCCAACTGTCAAAATATTTTCTCCCACCATCATAAAGGGGCTCAAAATATTTTAATTTTGTGGCTTGTTAAAACCAAAGGAAATTAAATTAAAAAGTTAAAATAGGCACACATGATCCAACCAAGTAGTCACTTTTATAGATCCTTCAAATAGAAATTTAGTTGACAAGTGGAGACCATTACTATGTATTTTAAGTTTTTTTGATCTGGTCATTATGCCCTTAGTTTACAAGAAGAGATGGAAGAAACAGCTCTGTCAAAATTACTTAAAGAGATGTCAGTGAAGATGAAATTCATTCTGTCAATCTGATTTGTCTTCATGAAAATCTAAGGAAGAAATTTTGCTGAAGTTACAGTATTGACAAAGGGTGAAGCTACCTCTGAGAATAACATTTTAATCCTAAGAATTGAGACTCACAAGTAGTATGTTTCCCTTTCTGGTTTGGCTATTCAGAAATTCCAAACAACATTGTGACATATTTCTATTAACTATTTGGGATTGAGATTGTGTGCTGTATATTTCCAGTATTGTTCTTTCTCTGACTCCATTTTTATTCCCATTTCTCATTTTTCTTTCTGTAGTTTATTTACTTTTTCATTTGAAGGCTCTAACACATATAAAAATATTTAGAGTTTGGCCTAATAAATAAATCAAATACCTAGCCATTCATTCCATCACAGGTAGGGTAAGAATCTATACTTAAAATTTTATTAATGAAATGGAAAAAATTATAAAGCCGCTTCAATCAAAGCAAAACTTAAATACATGTGGATTCATCTCAGGCCCATTTAGAATACCATAAAAAAGAAACATCTTAATACACAATAAAGAAATTTTAAAATATACTACTGTTTTATGTATATCATTTCTTTCAAATAATATTAAATGATGAGGGCAAATTCCTATGATGTTACAAGTAACCTAATGAAATGCAAGAATCTATTATAATATAATCTTAATTTAGTTCCTATAATATGAATAGAAAATATCCTCAAGTAAATACTTCAAATGCTAAATGTTACTCATAATTGGTGTGACTGCAGATCATTTGTATTTTGTCTTGGTTTTGCAGTTTTCATACATTCTACCATGAATATCTATTACTTTTATTAATAGAAACATATACCATTTTAAGTCACCTTTTAATTTTCAGTTTTCTGCCATAATCTTGAAATATGTTTTGTGGAAACAGATATTGGTATTATTTATCACCTTAAGTTGTTTACTTAAACTCTATTCCTTCTATTCACACACAAAAAATGTCCACCTTGTTAAGCTTACTAAGGAAAATATAAGATCTTAACTTTCAAAGAAATTGTTGTTTTCCTGTAAAAATATCCAGAGATGGTTCTCTTTTTGTCACAACAGTCAGGGTGATTTCTTTGTCACAAAAGTAAAAATCTAAAGTGTCAAAGTCTTATGTCTAGGGACTCAAAATGATCACTTGGGGTCAGGAATTTTCTGTAACTTGTGAAATAAGTAAAGGTGACACAAATTTTGATCATACTGACTCTTTATTTTGGAAACCAGACTTATTTTATAGAATGCCAACACTAAAGAAATTGAACTTTTCAACACTATTTAATTTTATATTTTTACTTCAATGGCTTTCATATTCTGAAAAAGGTAGTGTGCAAAATCTGTTAGTGCAAGAGATATCATGATTACAAAGCTGCCATTTCCCCTCATGCATAATCATACTGATTCCATTTCCATATTATTCTCTGCTATTGACATTAATATCATAGCTCACATGTCGAGAACATAAAGAGTATATTTTATTTCGAAAGTGATAAAAACAAGAGATTAATTGTAAATGCTCATGTTGAGTTATGAGTAACTTTTTCTCCTCGGCAAAATGAGTACTATTTTTAGACCAGCTCCCCAGTTCATTGAACACTTGGTAATTTCTTTTTCTTCGTCTTAATGTTTTCTTCACAATAAAAAATATACTCTCTTCAGTGTGGGATGAATATGCTTTCTTCCTTTTGTTGTCTAGTCTACATTCATAACTAAATTATTGCTTTTCAAGGACTTTGTTTTAGCTGTGTGTGTGTGTGTGTGTGTGTGTGTGTGTGTGTGTGTGTGTTAGGAAAACAAGACCAAAGAATTCTAAACAAAAAGTGTGTTGTGACATCTAATTATTTTACTATTGCCAATAGTTTGAGACATCAAAATTTTAAAAAATTTTAAAAGAGTTATTGTTTTATCTATAACATTAAGTTGTTCTACTTTCCCTGACAGTTGATGGTGTGTTTGAATTCCCAGGTATGGGCACAGTGAAAACAATTCTAGTTAACATTTTTTTTTTGGCACTAGAATTAATAACAACTCTAAACAGTATTAGCTAATTACCACTTTTTTCTTCTTCACTTGTTATTGAAAGTCCCTGGACTTCTAATTCCATGAGAATACCTTAAGATTGTTCAATTTTATTTTATTTAAAAAATGCTATCAAACAGCATTACGTGCTAAAGATAAATCTTTTGTGAAAAGAAGAGTTAATTGATGTGGCAAACTTCATTCTTGTCTTCTTTTATGTAATTGCAACAGCCACCCCAATCTTCAGCAACCACCACCCTGATCAGTCAGCAGCCATCAACATCAAGGCAAGACACTTCACCAGCGAAAAGATTATAGCTCGCCAAAGGCTCAGATGACTGTTAGCCTTTTTCAGCAATAAAGCATTTTAAATTTAATTTCAAAAATATGCTGAAAACAAATTACACTTTTAGGGTTTTTAAGCTTCTGTAAAATAAAAACATCTATTGAAGTGATATTTGACTAGCATTTTCCCTGGTATGACTCACACAAAATGTAAATAAATAAAAATGAGGGAATTTCCCATCTTTAGGAATTCTTGGGCACTTAAAAAACACTGCTTCTAGTCTCAACCTTTTTGTCTCTTAAAATTCATTCAAAGATTTGGACTCTGCTTCTAATATTTTGTGAACAAAGGAAGAAGCTTAGCATGTTTGAAAAAAACAAAGGAAGAAGCTTAACGTGTTTAAAAATAGTACTCATTTTGCCGAGGAGAAATATTTATTTGCATGTTTGAAAAAAGGCCAAAGGTCAGATTGTGTTTATAAACTTTAAACCACTGCTCTTGCAATTACACAAACTGTTACCCCCCTCCAGTAGTAATGCTTCCTTTGCCTGAAAATTGGCTTTCAAAGATCTTACTATCTTTTATTTCTCTTTGGAATACAGATTCTTAAACAGATTGCCTTTTTTTTCTTTTTTCTTTTGGTTCATGAACTCTCAAATGCCCACAAATAGAGGAACATCCGTCTTATTTTCCCCATCTTACAAAAGGCAAAGAAAATGAAAACGTGCTATTCCTCATTTTCCTTTTTTTGTCCCTTACAACCAAACTTCCCAAGAAGTTTTGCTACTCACAATCTCAGATTCATAATGTCAAATCTCATAATCTTAAATAAAATTCACAAAATCTCAAAGTTTCTCCTTTTATTCTCTCTTGAATCATTCTAATAAACTGGCTTTCATCTCTACCATTCCACTAAAACTACTTCTGTCAAGGCCCTAATGACCTCTCCATAGTTAAATCCACTGTCTTCAACATGATTGACCTACCCGCGGCTTTCAACACAGCTGATCTTTTACACCAGGGGTGTCCAATCTTTTTGCTTCCCTGGGCCTCACTGGAAGAAGAATAATTATCTTGGGCCATAGGTAAAATACACTAACAATAGCTGATGAGCTAAAAAACAATCACAGAAATTCCCATGATGTTTTAAGAAAGTTTACAAATTTGTCTAGTGCTGCATTCAAAGCCGTCCTGCGCTGCATGCGGCCCACAGGCTGTGGGTTGGACAAGCTTGCTTTAGGCCCTAAGAAACTTGTCTTTTAGCTTATAGGAGTTTTACTAATACCTAGTTTCTTTTGCTAGCTTCTCCTCCTTTCTCTGACCACTAAAGAGTGGAATGACCCAGACTCAGCCCTTGAACCTCTTCTCTTCTCTCTATACCTTTTGCTTTTATGAGTTCATCTAGTTCATTTATTTAAACCCTTTCTATATACCAGTGATGCCCAAATGTATTAATCATGTCTGAAACTCTCCCTTAAATGCCAGACTTATATAATCTATTGCCTCATCTAAATCTCTCTGGGCTTCTAATGGGAAACTCAACCTTTAATGTCTGAACTTGCCCCTCTATAGTTTTCCCAGTCTCAATTAATGGCCACTCCATCCTTCCAGTTGATAAAGCCAAAAAAGCTTGGAGTCAAATTTTATACTCTCGTATTTCACATTCACTTCATCAGCAAATTCGATTAGATTTTCTCTTCTAAACACATCCAGTGCTATTTATAGGATCCCCAGCAGTCATTATCTTTTAGCTGGATCATCACATGATAACCTCCAAAATGGTCTTTCTGCTCCTGTTCTTGTGCCCTTATTTTCCAAAATGCAAGAGATCTTGTTAAAGTAAGAGGAAAACTATGTTGCTTCTCCATTCAGAACTTACTAATGGCTTTCCATCTTTCTTAGTGTAATAGAAAAAGTTCTTATTATGACTGAAAGATCCTAAAATTAGGCTACCCTGGCCTTCTTAACCTCTCTCTCAGCTCAGTAGCTTACACTGACCTCCTGGATTTTCCTCGGATACTCTACGTATGCTTCTGCAAAAGCAGACACATTTGCTTCTTCCTTTGTCTGGAATACTCTGCTCCTGGGTATTCACATGGCTTCCTTTCTCATCTTGTTCAGGTCTTTACTGAAGTGCCACACTTTCAATGTCACCTTCCCTGGATGTTCTATTTAAAATTTCATCTCCACAAGTCCCCTATCCTATCTCTCTACTTTATTTCCTTACTTAGCAGGCATCACCATCTAACATAGTATACATTTTAAAATTTGACTTGCTTGTCGGTCTCTCTCAAAACAATAATGTAAGTCTGAGTTTCATCTCTTTTGTTCACACCTGTATCAACATAACCTAAAACTGTTTAAAACATATTGGGTACACAATAAATATTTGTAGAATGATTGAATGAATGAATGCACACAAAACTATGACAAATGTAGCATACTTTTAAACTTTGAAGTGAATTGTGTTATTTTTGGATAGTAGATTTTTTTCTTCCAAAATATTTTGTATCAACTGATATTAAATTTAAGTTTTATTAGATTGTACTTCCATTACCTTACACAAAATACTCAAAACAGACACTTCATAACATTTCTTGGATTCATAAATTTTTTGCACACACATAAATGGAAATGAAAAGATGTGCTAGGAGACATGAACAGAGTAAGAATCATCAGATTAAAATTTTAAATTGTATCACATAATATAATGTAAAAAAACTGAATTAAATTGATAGGTAAGAGAGTGGATACAAAATATATAGGAACTCCCCTTGCCTTAGGCAATAAAATGGAATTGTTGAAGAGCTTTGCTCAAAGACAGCTTGAAAACTTTAGATGGTACCAAAACAATATCCAGAGAAGGAATTTCTTTATGAGTGTGCTGTCCATTGAGACTGTTTTCTAGGAAAATGTGAGACCTACTTGTAATTCTACACATATATTTTAAGTAATCTAATTTTTTTTTCCAAGAGAAGGGTTAACTAATGGCCAAGACATGCCCTTGTTCTGTTCCTTGGACCAAGATTCTGCCTTCTCTAGGCAGACTGGATGGGGCATTGTGGATTTGTTCTGGATCATTCAAGAGTATCAGTTGGCTAGTCTATGGAGAACATGGAGGGGAGTCAGGACAGGAGTTTCAGTTTCAGTTCTTTTTTCCCCTCCCTTCCTTTGTCCACCATGCATTCCTCAATATACAATGTTTGACAACCATAATAGTCTGTTAATGACACATTGAAAGTTGTGGGACCAAACTCATTTTGTATATGAAACAGCTTTTTAAGGTCTTAATTGGGAAATTATAATACGATTGTTTGCCAGGGATGTTGTAGAAAGGATTCTTGAATTGTGTAAGAGGTTGGACTAAATATCCTTCAATTTCAATTCTAAGCTTCTAGATTTGATTATCTTTAAAAGTTACTTATTTACACATTGCATTGTAGTGTTCATGCAAGGGAATGGAATTTCATTCCCTAACCTTATTTATAATTTCTTTTAAATGAAACCTATAGCAGAAAAAAACATTTTTTACTCTATGAATTTTGGATGAATTAAAAAATAGAGGCTGGAAGCAACTGGCAGTTGGTTTCTATAGGAAAAAATCTAGAATACTTTAAAATATAAATTACATGTCACAGAAAATGTATTAAAGACAGAAACTTGGCTCTAGTTGAAGAGCAATATAATGTGTCACTTGGCCCAGGTTTGTTCTCTTCTAAGAAAGAAGGTGGCAGAATATGAATTCTTCTCTGAAGATGTAGATTAAAAAGTAAAATGCATTTTGATGTGTACATATATCATCAGACTTATTAATAAAAACAGGAAACTAGCAATTGGACCCCTGAAAAAAATTAACATAGTGTGTAGTATTTGAGTCACAGCATGATAAATATAAAATAAAAGTTCATAAAAATCAGTCTCTGAGCATTATACAGATTTTGAACCATTTATTGTTATTCTTTGTAGATCTCACATAACATGAATAAGAAACTTTAGACATCAAAGCAAAACTAAATATATAATTATTTTAGGTTAAAAAGTGTATGTTGTTGCCATGCTAAGGACAAAACAACATGACTGAATTTTTACCTTTCCAATTGGTTAATTTGGATTTGTGTAGACATGACCAAAATTACTTGCAGCTAAAGGAATTATTTCCTTGTTTCTTGTCTTTTTTTTTTTTTTTTTTTTTTTGGCTGAGAAATTTAAGCTAAGCTATAATAGAAGTCAGCTATTTTCTACACCAAGAAATTTTTAGAAAGGAATGAATGTTTTATTCTAACCAAATATAAAATTGAGCCTGGTGAATTTTCTGAGGCAAAATCATTTAAAGAAGTGTTCCTCTGTTTGATTTGTTATGTATTGGTTGTGAGATCAGCAGATAAAAACATTATTCATTAAGCAAGAATGGTGACAGGCATGATGATGCATAATGAAACTTCAAATAATTTAATGTCTTAACAGTTGAAAAATAATGAATTCCAATCATTATTTAAGCATTACAGCTAACATTGAACTCAGCCCTTATGCAAGTAAATGCTTTACATGGTCAATATTCTCAGTGAATTCAGTTATCTGCATCTGAGAGTATAAGCAAAACATGTATACATCTGACTATGTGTATGTCACATATATTATTATGATTATTTAAAATTAATATAAGATAAATTTAAGTTAGAAAAATAATGCAGAAAGTGGATTAGTTGCATAAGACATTATCAAGACATGTATGTAATATCACAGAAGTAAATATATTCAATAAATTAAAATATGTAATTTTAGATCCCCTATGTTAATTTTTAAATGGATCTAGATTAGTCACACCTGAAGGATTTACTCCCAGGCTCTTGAGCAAATTTTTTTCTTTTTTTTTTTTTTAAATACCACTTAAGTCAGATTTTTATAACTTTTAACCACAAATCTACAATAAGCATATAATACTTCTGTTATATTAATCTATTTTAAGAGTATAAAATTGCCAGGCTATTTTATATCATCTTTTTTAGTCTTTTCTCCCCAGTGGACTATGTCTCCTAGCCTTATCCAACAAATGAATATTTAGAAGTGTTCAAAACATTGTTCATCTGCTTTTTGTTGAGAGGATGGGGACATATATCTTCAAGTAGAGTGAATTCCTCACTCTTGTTTGCAACACTGTAGATGCCTCTTTCGTATAACTTCACAAGATACTATAATTATTTATTAACCTCTCTATATGTCCCTGAATGCCATGAGCTTCCCAGTCAGCTGTCAGTGTCTGGCACATCTTTAGTACTCAGATTTTTTTTGACTACATGAACAAATAAATTGATTAATTTATTATATTTACTTGAATAAAGACTGACCCAATAATTAGTAGTTTTTGGATTCAGAGTAATTTTCTTAAGCATGGGATACCTGGTTTTATGTAAAAGGATGTTGATGTGTGGTTAAGAAATTTTGTGCAAGACACATGCAAAAAAACATTGCATTTATTAAATGGATAGTTTCTGTTTGCTAACCAAATTACAAGTCATTGACTTTTCACAGGAAAAAAAAATATTTTATGGTAGGTAAATTCTTGTGTCAGGAAAAACATGATGGGCCCTAAAAAGTCAATCACTACTTCCATAGGTTTGAAGCCTGGTTTATAAGCAGCAAAGAGATTGAAAAAAGGGGTAGAGTGGGAAACCGCAGGTACTTCTTGAGTCCTGCCAGAGGCAAGAGGGCATTCACCTCCAGTTCTGCATTCCAGAGCTCCAACTCTGCCAACCTCTTAGCAGACAAACTTCCTTGATATCATAGGAAGAAAATTTGTGGGACTCCATTTCAAGGAATAAGAGAAGTGAAGGTGATTTCAAAGTAAAGTCAATGGAAACTCAAGCCTGACCAATGACAAGTTCACAATTAAATGGTGATACTGTCTGTATATCTGTCCCTGCCCAAATCTCATGTTGAAATATAATTCCCAATATTGCCCAGTGTTGGAGATGGAGCCTGGTGGGTGGTGCTTTGGTCATGAGGGTGGATCCCTCATAGTTTGGTGCTGTCTTCAAGATAGTGAGTGAGTTATTGCAAGATCTGGTCATTTAAAAGTGTGTAGCACCTCCTCACCCCAGTCTATCTCTCTCTCTTGCTCCTGGTTTTGCCATGTGAAATGCCTGCTCGTGCTTTACTTTCTGCTATGATTATAAGCTTCTTGAGCATCATGCTGCTTGTAATACCTGTAGAACTGTGAGCAATTAAACCTCTTTTCTTAACCAATTATCTAATCTGGTGTATTTCTTTTTTTTTTTTTTTTTTTTTTTTGAGACAGAGTCTCGCTCTGTCGCCCAGGCCGGACTGCGGACTGCAGTGGCGCAATCTCGGCTCACTGCAAGCTCCGCTTCCTGGGTTCACGCCATTCTCCTGCCTCAGCCTCCCGAGTAGCTGGGACTACAGGCGCCCGCCACCGCGCCCGGCTAATTTTTTGTATTTTTAGTAGAGACGGGGTTTCACCTTGTTAGCCAGGATGGTCTCGATCTCCTGACCTCATGATCCACCCGCCTCGGCCTCCCAAAGTCCTGGGATTACAGGCGTGAGCCACCACGCCCGGCCTGGTGTATTTCTTTATAGCAAGGCAAGAACAGCCTAATACAGAAAATTGGTACCAGGGGTGGTGTATTACTATAAAGATACCTGAAAATGTGGAAGCAACTTTGGAACTCTGTGACAGGCAGGGTTTGGAGGGCTCAGAAGGAGTCAGGAAGATAAGATTTGGAACTTCTTAGAGACTGATTACATGGCTGTGACCAAAATGCTGATAATGATATGGACAGTGAAGTCCAGGCTGCCAAAGTCTCAGATGGAAATGAGAAACTTCTTGGGAACTGGAGTGTATTAGTCCATTTTCACACTGCCAGACATACCAGAGACTAGGTAATTTTTAAAGAAAAGAGGTTTAATCGACTCACAGTGCTGCATTGCTTGAGAGGCCTCAGGAAACTTACAGTCATGGCAGAAGGGGAAGCAGGCCAGTCTTACATAGCGGCAGACAAGAGAGAACATGTAATAGCAGGGAAAACTGCCTTACCAAATCATCAGATCTCATGAGAACTCACTCACTATCACAAGAACCACATGGAGGAACCTGCCGCCATGACCCAATAACCTGCCACCAGGTCCTCCCTGGACACTTGGGGATTATTGGGATCACAATTCAAGATGAGATTTGGGTGGGGACACAGCCAAACCATATCATGGAGCAAAGGTCACAAGTGTTATGTCTTAGCAAAGAGCTTGGCTGAATTCTATTCATGCCCGCAAGATCTGTGGAAGTTTGAATTTGAGAGTATTTAGGGTATCTGGTGAAATAGAAATTTCTAAGCAGCAAAACATTCAAGAAGTGACCTGGCTGCTTCTAACAACCTATATTCAGATGTAGGAGTGAAGAAAAGACTTAAAGTGAAAACCCATATTTGAAGAGGAAGCAGAGCATAAAAGTTTGTGGATAATGTGCAGGATGGCCATATGGCAGAGAAAGCAAAAGCTTTTTCAAGCAAGGAATTCAAGCAGGCTGTGGAGCAAACACTTGCTAGAAATATTTGCATAACTAAAAGGGAGCCAAGTGCTAATATCCAAGAAGATGAGGAAAAGACCTCAAAGCCATTTTAGAGACCTTTATGTCAGCCCCTTCTACAACAGGCCCAGAGGCCAAGGAGGGAAGAATGGTTTCATGAGCCAGATCCAGGCCTCAACTTCCCTGTGCAGTCTTGGGACACTGCTCCTCGCATCCTGACAGTTTTCAGCTCCAGCTCCATCTTCAGCCAGGGCTCAAAGAGGTTCTGGTAGAGCCTGAGCTGCCAATTTGGAGAATGCAAGCCATAAGCCTTGACAGTTTCCATGTGGTGTTAAGCCTGTAGGTGCACAGAATGCAAGAGTGATAAATGCTTGGAAGTCTATGCCTGAGTTTCAAAAGGTGTATGAAAAAGCCTGAGTACTCAGGCAGAAGTCTCCTGCAGGAGTGGAGCCCTCATGGAGAACCTGTACTAGGGCAATGCAAAGGGTAAAAGTGGGGTTGGAACCCCACATAAAGTCCCCAGTGAGGCATGACCTAGTGGAGCTGTGAGAAGGGTGCCACCATCCTCAAAACCTGAGAATAGTAGATCTAGCAAGAGTTTGCACCCTGTACCTAGAAAAGCCACAAGTACTCAACTCCAGCCCATGACAGAAGCTCTGGGCTGTACCCTGCAAAGCCATGGGGCTGAAATGCCCAAGACTTTGGGAGCCCACCCCTTGCACCAGTGTGCCCTGGATATGGAGGATAATGAGGCAAAAGAGATTATTTTTGAGCCTTAAGATTTAATACCACAGTGATATGTTTCAAACTTGTGTGGAGCTTGTAGCCCCTTTCTTTTGGCTGATTTCTCCCTTTTGGAATGGCAATGTTTACTCAATGCCTATACCTCCATTGTATCTTGAAAGTAAATAACTTGCCTTTGATTTTACAGGCTAACAGATGGAAGGAACTTGCCTTGTCTCAGATGAGACTTTGGAGTTTAAAGTTAATGCTGAAATGAGTTAAGGCATTGAGGGACTATTGGGAAGACATGGTTGCATTTTGCAATGTGAGAAGGACATAATATTTGGAGGGGGGTCAGGGTTGCAATGATATTGTTTGTATATTTGTCCCTGCTTACATCTTATATTTAAATATAATCCCTAATGTTGGAAGTGGGGCCTGGTAGGAAGTGTTTGGGTCATGGAGGCAGATCCCTCATAGCTTGGCACTGTCTTCACAATAGTTAGTGAGTTCTCATGAGATATGGCTGTTTAAAATTGTGTGGCACCTACCCTTCTTCCTTTCTTGCTCCTGTTTTCACCATGTGAACTGCCTGCTTCTGCCTTTCCTTCCACCATGATTATAAGCTTCCTGATGCTTCCCCAGAAGCTGAATGGATGCCAGCATCATGATTCCTGTGAAGCCTATAGAACTGTGAGTGAATTAAACCTATTTTCTTTATAAATTATCCAGTCTCAGGTATTTCTTTATAAAAATGTTAGAACGGCCTAATACAAATGAGAAACATTTCATATTCTCTTAGACATGACACTGCCTTTAGCAAATTTAAGATTTTTGACAAGTTATTCAGGAAACATAGCTATATTTGAAAGTAAGCTTTTGGCTTCATTTTTTTCTCCTGAAATACTGTTGCCTCCAGTGTTTATCACACAGAAAATATACATAGCTAACCGAGAAGAGTAAGGTATGGCACTTGCTTCAGTTGTAACTCAATTCACTCACCTGCCTTTCCCAGGGCTGGATTTGAGCCCTCCAAAGAGATAACCAAAAATTATTTTCTGATTTCCAAAAATTAGATTTCTAAAAATATCTTGAGAATTCTCCATATATTTTCAGTGTCAAATATTTTAGCCACTAACATAAATTTCTTTTAAACTATATTTTATGCCTTATTCTTGTCTTTATTATGCTTTCTTTTTTCTTTTTTGAAAACTTTTTTCTTGTCTATAGATTTACTTGAATTCAGACAAAAATAGGAATATTTGGACACTCAGCATTCCAAAATACCCGTGAGTGGTGCCAAAAGGACAAAAAAGAAACTTTTAAGCAATTTTTGAATCTTGTGGCAACCTCTTATTTCTGGGCTTCAAACAAGACTGTAGATAGAAAAACCAGTTAGGAGGCTGTTGCAGGTGTCTTGGTGATGAATTAAACAAAATTTCGTACAGTAGTTGAGCATGGTATGTGATGCTCATGTATTTTGCTAACTCATACAAGTACCAGAAAATAATCCATTAGGTAATGGCAATGTAAATGATTTCTTCCTCTTTCTTTCTTTATTTTTTTCTTTCCTATTTTTTCTTCCTTCCTTCAATCTTTCTTTTTTCTTTTTTTTTCTTTTTTATTTTTGGAGACAAGGACTCACTCTTGCCACTCAGGCTGGAGTGCGGTGGTCTGATCATAGCTGACTGCAGCCTAGAACTCCTAAAATTAAGCAATCCGCTCACATTAGCCTTCTGAGTAGCTAAGACTCCAGACATGCACCAACATGCCCACTTAATTTTTTAAACTTTCTTTTTTTTTTTTTTTTTTTGTAGAGATAGAGTGTCACTTGTTGCCCATACTGGAGTGATTTTTTTTTCAAAAGTTAAAGGTATTAATTAGATATAAGACATCAATAATGTTATTAAAATATTAGCTTATTAAGCCCTAGAGTTAATAAATTCAGGAATAAAAGTTTAGTGTGTTACCTTTACCTTATACTAAAATATAAACTGTAAGTAGAATGTAGAAATTCAGTCTCACATAAATTACATGTTTCCAAACCACATCATTTTTTTAAAAGAAAAAGACAAAATGAAATGCACACTCATCACAGTTGATATAAAATTAGCAGGTAAACTATGTTTTTTTTTAACTTTAAAAGATAAAACAAGTAACAGTCATCTAATCTACTTCCCTGTCATTGTTATGTCACTGAAGGCTAGGCTGCTCCCTTAGCTCAATTATCTTGGTTGCCAAGGCCAAGGTCTCAGAGGCAGCATGGTGCAAGGATGTCTCTCCACCAAAAATGTCCATCCACTCTGAATAGAGAAACTTCGGACCTCAGAAATGGACTGCCTTGGCAGAAGAATATGGAAACCTTTGCAGTTACTGAGCCTGAGAGAGACCAGAGAGCTTTCTGAACAGAGGGCAAAGATGGAACTGGGACATAAAGCAAAGGCATTCTTCAAAGAGGGAGGACTACTGGTCCATGCTGGATACCCCACAGTAAACAAATAGGAAGAACTCCAGGAATTTTAAAGTCAGCCCAAGTGTGCCCTGAGCAATAGATGCCAATATTCTTTATTCTGTAACTTGTGCCTATAGTAACCCTCCTAACACAGGATCCCAGAGCAGTGCTCACTCCTGTCCACCCTTGCCTGTACTTCTGTGTTTATTCTGATAACCCTTCCTTGGCACTGACCTACCATTCTTTATTGGAAATACTCTCCTTCCTGAAACATGGAAAATGTTCCCTGGGAAATGCCAAGGTCTATTTACTAATAATTTTATTTATGAATTTTAATTGTTCAGATGAAGTAAAAAATTATAAGGTACTTAAGTAACAGTTTTGTAACACTTCAGATATATTTTGCTCAATAATTTTTTTCTTTAAAAATAATGAAAGGATAGATGAGTTAATCTGTTTGTCCACCTTCATGGCCCTGCCATAGAGGATGATTTTACATTTAACCTTTTCTTTCTGACACTTGTGGTTTTTATTGACACTGTGGAGGTGAAATGCCAGCATATAAAATAGAAAGTCATTAAGATAATTTCATAGCAAATGATTGAAGGGAGGAGTTCCTTCTTCCAACTGAGGGCAAAGAATCATAATAATAATATGATAGGAATAGTACTAAACATTATTACTAATGAGTGCTAGTTATTTGGGGTGTATTATATTATCTAACTCTTTAATAACTATAGGACATAAGGCATTATAGATCAGAACTGGCACTTAGAAATTTTTGCTGTATGTGATAGTGTGCACTGTCACTGACCATCCCAACCCCACCAGTGCCCTGCGCCTGCAACACCACTGTGGCCACCAGTGTAAGTGCACATAGGAAAGCCACCACCCTACTCCAACTGGTACCCTGCCACAGCAAACACGTGTGCACCCCACCACACTGATGCAGTGGCTAGTATGTGTGAGAAAACATGGGTTCCACTGACACTACCCTGACAAAACACTTTGGCAAGCGTGTCTTATCATAGTGTTGTGGCCAGCAGATCAGGAACACTTTGGACCCTCCAGAGCAGTGAATTTCTAACCTTGAAGGTCCGGAGAATAAAGCTAGGGCACAATACAAGCCCCTGAGAGTTAGAGCACACATCTTCCTCAAATGGAGACAGTTGACTGAACCCACCATTTATCACAATCGAAATCCCAAGGGCATCAAAGAAGAAAAAAAAACCCATCCAAAGGACAGCAACTTCAAAGACTGAAGGAATATCAGCCAACACAAATGAGAAAGGATCATTGCAAGAACTCCAGTAACTGAAGAAGCCAGAGTGCACTTACCTCCAAATCACCACACTAGTTTCCTAGCAATGGTTCATAACCAGGCTGAAATGACAGACATAAAACTCAGAGTATGGATATAAATGAAGATCATTGAGATTCAGGAAAAAGTCAAAACCCAATCCAAGAAAACTAAGGAATACAATAAAGCGATACAAAGGCTAAAAGACAAAATGCCCATTTTAAGAAAGAACTAAACTGATCTGATAGAGCTGAGAAACTCACTACAAGAATTTTGAAATACAATCACAAGTATTAAGAGTAGAATATAATAAGCCGAGGAAAGAATCTCAGAGCTCTAAGACTCTAATCTCCAGGGCTCTCTGAATTAACTCAGTCAGACAAAAATAAAAAAGAGAATTAAAAAAAGAATGAACAAAACCTCCATAAAATACGGGATTACGTAGGAACCAAATTTATGACTAATTGGTGTTCCTAAAAGAGAGGGAGGAAAAGCAAGCAACCTGGAAAATGTATTTGAGGATATCATCCGTGATCATAACCCCAACCTTGCTAGAGAGGCCAACATTCTAATTCAGAACATGCACAGAACCCCTGCAAGATACCATTCAAGATGGCCATTCCCATGACACATAGTTATCAGATTCTCCTAGGTCAAAATGAGAGAAAAAATATTAAAGGCAGCTGAAGATAAAGGTCAGGTCATTTAAAAAGGGATGCAATCAGGCTAAAAATAGAGCTTTTAGTTGAAACCATAGAAGCTCAAAGATATTGGGGGCTGTATTCAGCATTCTTAAAAAAAAAAAAAAAAGGAATTCCAACCAAGAATTTCATATCCAGCCAAACTAAGCTTCCTAAATGAAGGAGAAATAGAATCCTTTTCAGAGAAGCAAATGCTAAGGAAATTTGTTTCCACCAGACCTGCCCTAAAAGAGGTTCTAAAAGGAGTCCTAAATATGGATAGGTAAGGCCATTACTAGCCATCACAAAAACACACTTAAGTACTATGCCATCGACACTATAAATCAACTACAAAATCAAGTTTGCACAATAACCAGTTAGCAACGCGGGGACAGGATTATATAAATAATAGGCTAAATGCCCCAATTAAAAGGCACAGAGTGGAAAGTTGGATAAAGAAGCAAGTCCCAAAAGATGGGTCTCTTATCTTCAATAGCCCATCTCACATGCAACAACACCCATAGGCCAAAATAAAAGGATGGAGAAAAATCTACCAAGCAAATAAGAAATTTTAAAAAGCAGGTAATGCTATTCCAATTTTAGACAAAACAGATGTCAAGCCAACAATGATCAAAAAAGACACAGAAGGGCATTACATAATGGTAAAGAGTTCAGTTCAACAAGAAGACCTAACTATCCTAAGTGTACATGTACCCAACATAGCAGCACCCAGATTTATAAAACATCTTCTTAGAGACCTACGAAGATACTTAGATAACACAAAATAGTGGGAGACTTCAACAACCCACTGGCAGTATTAGACAGATCATCAAGGCAGAAAACTAACAAAGATATTCAGGATGTGAACTCAACACTTGAGCAAACAGACCTAATAGATATCTACAGGAATCTCCACCCAAACACAACAGAATGTACATTCTTCTCACTGCCACATGACACATATATTAAAATCAGCCATGCAATTGGCCATAAAACAATTGTCAGCAAACTCAAAAGAAATGAAATTATACCAACCACATTATTGGATAATAGTGCAATAAGAATAGAAATCAATACTAAGAAGATCACTCAAAACCATACAATTACATGGAAATTAAACAACCTGCTCCTGAATGACTTTTGGGGAACCAGTGAAATTAAGGCAGAAATCAAGAAATTCTTAGAAACTGAGATGAAAGATATAATATACCAAAATCTCTGGGATACAGCTAAAGCAGTGTTAAGAGGAAAGTTCATAGTGCTAAAATTTCACATCAAAAGTTAGAAAAATCTCAAATTAACAACCTAAAATCACACCTAGAGCATCTAGAAAAACATGAGCAAACCAACCCCAATGCTAGCAGAAGACAAGATATAATCAGAATCAGAGCTGAACTGAATGAAATTGACATGTGAAAAACCATAAAAGATAAACAAATACAGAAGCTTGTTCCTTGAAAGAATGAATAAGATTGGTTAACTCCTAGCTACCAGTAAACACATGGTAGCTATGTGTTTATTGGTAGCTAATAATTTTTTTCTTTATCATGAAAAAAGAAGAGAAGATCCAAATAAACACAAACAGAAATGACAAGGAAAATGTTACTTCTGATTCCACAAAAATAAAAAAAAAATCCTCTGAGACTATTATAAAGCACCTTTATGCTCACAAACAAGAAAGTCTACAATAAATGGATAAATTCCTGGAAACATACAACCTCCCAAAATTGAACCAGAAAGAAATTGAAATCCCCAACCGACAAACAACAAGTTCAAAAACTGAATCAGTAACAAAATGTCTACCAACCAAAAAAAGCCTGGGAGCAGAGATTCACAGCCTATTCCTACCAGATGTGTAAAGAAGAGTTGGTACCATTCCCACTGACGCTATTCCAAAAACACTGAGAAGGAGGGACTCCTCCCTAACACACTCTATGAGGCCAGCATCATTCTGATGCCAAAACCTGGCAAAGACACAACAAAAAAATAAAACTTAATGCCAATATCTTTGATGAACATTGATGCAAAAATCCTCAACAAAATACTAGCAAACCAAATCCACCACAGTCGAGTAGGCTTTATCCCTGGGATGTAAAGTTGGTTCAACATACACAAATCAATAAATATCATTCATCGCAAAAACAGAACTAAAAACAAGAGCTACATGATTATCTCAATAGATGCAGAAAAGGCTTTTGATAAAATTCAACATCCGTTCATCTTCAAAAACCCTTAACAAACTAGGCATTGAAGGAACATACTGCAAAATAATAAGAACCATGTATGACAAAGCCACAGCTAACATCATATTGAATGGGCAAAAGCTGAAAGTATTCCCCTTGAAAATTGGAATTAGACAAGAATACCTATTTTCTCCATTCCTATTCAATATATTACTGGAAATCCTAGCCAGAACAATCAGACAAGAGAAAAAATAAAAGGCATCCAAATAGGAAGAGATGAAGTCAAAATATCTCTGTTTGCAGATTATATGATTTATATATAGAAAATCCCATAGCCTCTGCTCAAAAGCTCTCTGTTCTGATAAACAACTTTAGAAAAGTTTTAGAATACAAAATCAATGTACAAAAATTAGTAGCATTTATATTCACCAACAATGTCCAAACTGATAGCCAAATGAAGAATGCAATTGTATTGTCAATAGCCACAAAAAGAATCAAATACCCAGGAGTATAGCTAACCAGGGAGGTGAAAGATCTCCACAGTAAGAATTACCAGACACTGCTCAAACGAATCACAGGTGACACAAACAAATAGAAAACATTCCATGCTTTTGGATAGAAAGATTCAATATTGTAAAAATGGCCATACTGCTGAAAGCAATTTACAGATTCAGTGCTATTCCTGTCAACTACCAATGACATTTTTCACAGAATTAGAAAAAAACTATTCTACAGTTTATATGGAAAAACAACAAACCTCAAATAGCCAAGATAATCCTAAGCAAAAAGAATAAAGCTGGAGGCATTACATTACCAAACTTCAAACTATGATACAAGGCTACAATAATAAAAACAATCTGATTAGGGCATAAAAACAGACACATAGCCTAATGAAACAGAGCAGAGAGCCCAGAAATGAAGCTGCACACCTACACCCATCTGATCTTTGGAAAAGTTGAGAAGAATAAGCAATGGGGAAAGGACTTTCTATCCAAAAAATGGTGCTGAGATAACTGGTTGGCCATATGCAGAAGTTTAGAACTGGACCCCTTCATTACATCATATCCAAAAATTAACTCAAGATGGATTAAAGATTTAAATGTAAAAGCGAAAACTACAAAAACCCTAGAAGCAAACCTGGGGCATACCATCCTGAACATAGGCCCTGGCAAACATTTCGTGATGAAGATGCAGGAAGAAATTGAAACAACAACAAAAATTGACAAATGGGACCTAATTAAATGAAAGAGCTTCTGCAAAACAACAGACACTATCAACAGAGTAAACAAAAAACCTGTAAAATGGGAGAAAATATTTTCAAACTATACATTTGACAAAGGTCTAATATCCAGAATCTATAAGGAACTTAAATTAACAAGCAAAAAAAAAACAAAAAACAACAATGTCATTAAAAAGTGGGCAAAGGACATAAAGGGACACATTTCAAAAGAAGGCATACATGCGGCCAAGAGGCATATGAAAAAATGTTCAATATCATTAATCATTAGTGAAATGCAACTCAAAACCACAATGACATACCATCTCACACCAGTCAGAATGGCTATTTTTTAAAAGTCAAAAAATAACAGATGCTGGTGAGTTGTGGAGAAAAGGAAACACTTACACACTGCAGGTGGGAATGTGAATTAGTTCAGCCATTGTGGAAAGCAGTGTGGCAATTTCTCAAAGAACTTAAAACAGATATACCATTTTACCCAGCAATTCCATTACTGGATATAAACCCTGTATTAGTCCATTTTCACAATGCTATAAAACTCCCTGAAACTGTGTAATTTGTAAACGAAAGAGGTTTCATTGACTCACAGTTCTGCATGACTGGGGAGGCCTCAGGAAACTTATAGTCATGGTGAAAGGTGAAGGGGGAAGCAAGCACCTTCTTCACAAGGCAGCAGGACAGAGAGAGTACAGGGGAAACAGCCACGTTTAAACCATCAGATCTCATGAGAACTCCCTCACTATCATGACAACAGCATGGGGGAAACTGTTTCCATGATCCTATCACCTCCTGTTAGGTCCCTTTCTGGACACATGCGGATTACAATTCACGATGAGATTTGCGTGGGGAAACAGAGCCAAACCATATAATTCCACCCTGGCCCCACCCAAATCTCATGTCCTTTTTTTTTCTCCCTCCTGCTCTCCTCTGATGTCCTTTTCACATTTCAAAACCAATCATACCCTCCTAATAGTTCCTCCATAGTCTTAACTCATTCCAGCGTTAACTCAAAAGCTCAAGTTCAAAGTCTCATCAGAGACAAGGCAAGGCCTTTCTGCCTATGAGCCTGTAAAATCAAATACAAGTTAGTTACTTCCAAGATGCAATGGGGGTACAGGCATTAGGTAAATGTTCCCATTCTAAATGGGAGAAATTGGCCACAACAAAGGGTCCACAGGCCCCATGCAAGTCTGAAAACCACCAGGGCACATCTTTAAATCTTAAAATTTCAAAATAATTTCCTTTGACTCCATGTTGCACATCCAGGGCATGCCTATGTAAAAGATAGGCTCCCAAGGACTTGGGCAGATCTGCCTCTGTGGCTCAGCAGGATACAGCCCCTGCAGCTGCTTTCACGAGCTGGCATTGAGTGTCTGCAGCTTTCCTAGGTGCACAGTGCAAGCTGTTGATGGATCTACCATTGTGGGTGGTGGCCCTTTTCTCACAGCTCAACTAGGCAGTGCCCCAGTGGGTACTCTGTGTGAGGGCTCCAACCCCACATTTTCCCTCCACATTGTCCTAGTGGAGGTTCTCCATGGGGGCTCTGCCCCTGCAGCAGACTTCTGCTTGGGCATCCAGGAGTTTTCATACCTCCTCTGAAATCCGGGTGAAGAATCCCAAAGCTCAACTCTTGTCTTCTGCACACCTGCAGGCTCAACACCATGTGGAAGGCACCAAGGCTTGGGGCTTGCATCCTCTAAAGTCATGGTGCAAGCTGTAGCTTGGTCCCTTTTGGCCATGGCTGGAGCTGGAGCAACTGGAACGCAGGGCACCATGTCCTGAGGCTCCACAGAGCAGTGGGACCCTGGGCTCAGTACACAAAATTATTTTTCCCTCCTAGGTCTCCAGGCCTGTGATGAGAGGGGCTACTGTGAAGATCTCTGAAATGCCCTGGGGGCATTTTCCCCATAGCTTGGCTATTAACATTTGGCTCCTCATTAGTTATGCAAATTTCTGTAGCTAGGTTGAATTTATTCCCAGAAAATTAGGTTTACGCTGTCAGAAAAAGCCAGGTTTGGTTACCTTCTTTTTTTTTTTTTTTTTTCTTGAGACTGAGTCTTGCTCTGTTGTGCAGTGGTGCAATCTTGGCTCACTGCAACCTCTGCCTCCCAGGTTAAATCAAGTCTCCTGCCTCAGCCTCCTGAGCAGCTGGGGCTACATGCACATGCCACTACGCCCAGCTAATTTTTATATTTCTAGTAGAGACAGAGTTTCACCATATTGGACAGGATGGTCTCGATCCCTCAGCCAGGTTAACTCTTGAATGCTTTGCTGCTTGGAAATTTCTTCCCCAAGGTACCCTAAATCACCTCTCTCAAGTTCAAAGTTCCACAGATCTCTACAGCAGGGGCAAAATGCCGCCAATCTCTTTCCTAAAGCATAACAAGAGTGACCTTTCTTCCAGTTCCCAATAAGTTCCTCATCTCCATCTGAACCATCTTATCCTGGATGTCATTGTCCATATCACTATCAGCATTTTGGTCAAAAGCATTCAACAAGATTCTAGGAAGTGCCAATCTTGCCTGAGGCAGGAAAATAGGGTCTGGAGGCAGGGAACATAAGGCCAATTCACACTTCAGCTATAACAGGAAATATCCTCTCCGTTAGGGCATAAATGACTTTGTAATTTCACTTCATCCTCTCCATTTACATAGGGCATACCCAAAGCAACTAATGGAATCCTCTGGGGGTATTTAAACTCTCAAAAATTCTGGAATGGGGCCTTTGAGCCCCTATGCTCAGGCCTGCTCCCAGACTGCAGAGTGTACTTTCATTTTCAATAAAACCCTTCATTCCTTCCTTGCTTTGTTTTTGTGTTTTGTCCAATTTTTTTTTATACTTTCAGTTCTAGGGTACATGTGCACAATGTGCAGGTTTGTTACATAGGTATACATGTGCCATGTTGGTGTGCTGCACCCATTAACTTGTCATTTACATTAGGTATGTCTCCTAATGCTTTCCCTCCCCCCCTACCCCCATCCCGCAACAGGCCCCGGTGTGTGATGCTCCCCTTCCTGTGTCCAAGTGTTCTCACTGATCAGTTCCCACCTATGAGTGAGAACATGCGGTGTTCCAATTCTTTGTTCAAGATGCCAACAACCTGGATACCCTCTACCGTTAACATTTCCCACATCTTCCTGTCTTCTTCTGAGCCCTCTTAACTGTTCTTACCTCTGCCCATTACCCAGCTCCAAAGTCGCTTCCACATTTCCAGGTATCTTTATAGCAGTATCCCACTCTCGGTACCAATTTTCTGTATTAGTCCATTTTGACACTGCTATAAAGAACTTCCTGAGACTGAGTAATTTATAAGCAAAAGAGGTTTAATTGACTCGCAGTTCCCCATGGCTGGGGAGGCCTAAGGAATCTTACAATCATGGTAGAAGGTGAAGGGGAAGCAGGCATCTTCTTCACAAGGAGGCAGGAGAGACAGAGAGAGAAGGAGGAACTGCCAAAAACTTTAAAACCAAGAGATATCTTTAGAACTCACTCACTATCATGAGAAAAACATAAATAGCCTTCATGATCCAATCACTTTCTACCAAGTCCTTCCCTTGACACATGGGTATTATAATTTGAGATGAGATTTGGAGGGGACACAGAGCCAAACTATATCATACCCAAAGGAATATATAAATTGTTTTACCATAAAGACACATGCATGCATATGTTCATTGCAGCACTATTCACAATAGCAAAGGCATGGAATCAATCTACATGTCTTCACAGTAGACTAGATAAAGAAAATGTGGTTCATATACACTGTGGAATACTAAAACAGCCATAAAAAAGAACAAAATCATGTCCTTTGCAGCACTATGAAGAAGCTGAGTGCCATTATCCTAAGCAAACGAATGCAGGAACAGACAACCAAATAATACATGTTCTCTTTTATAAGTGGGAGTTAAACATTGGGTACCCATGGATACGAAGGAGGAAGCAACAAACACTGGGGCCTACTTGAAGTTGGAGGTTGGGAGGAGGGTGAGAATTGAGAAACTGCCTATCAGATATTATGTTTATTATCTGGGTGATAAAATAATCTGACACCAAATCCCTGTGACACGCAATGTACCTATATAACAAAACTGCACATGTACACCTGAACATAAAAGTAAAAGTTAAAAATATATATAGTATAAATTGCATCAAATTTCTGCCATACACACACACACACACACACACACACACATACATGTGTATATATATATGTGTGTGTGTATATATGTGTATATGTGTTATATATATGAGTGTGGGGGGGATAGAAATTAGAATTAAAATCTTTTTATTAAAAACAAAGGGCTTTGAAATTAAAAAATGAAAAGAAAAAATAGAAAGATTTATTAATTTGGTATATTTAAGCAATCAATATTTATCAAAGATTGGATACAAAGCATGAATTTCTGATCCTGAAATATTAGGAGTTTAGCATCATAGCATACTATGTGCTTGTTAAACATGTCTTGCTTGGCTTGGACAAATGAGAAAGTAGCATGGGGTATGGAGGTACTAACAGCATGTCTGTCCCTTGCTTGTGGCCCTTGGTCCAGCAAGGGGAGAACACTACAGGATAGTGACATGTTAAAGGTATGATCATTCTATATGCTTTCAAATCAGATTCCCTGATATGAAATTCAAGCACACACAACCAGGAAGAAAACATAAAGTTTTATAACCCACTTAAAGAAAAATGAATAGAAAGAATTTTGATAAGGGGTGATTGATTGAAAAGAACAGGCCCATCTCCGACTGACAAACCATAGAACACTTTTGTAATCCCGAATTTGTTCTGTCTTCTCGGAAGTTATTCACAAATGATGATCTCTTGTTTTCCTCTCTCTTTTTTTTCATGTTGTTTCCTATGCGCTAGTTATTAGAAGCTACGTAATGCCCCATCAACGTATTTAATTGTCTGCCTTGTTCACTAAAGTTCTCTCACATCACCAAGGCTTAGTCTGTTCTTTTGTATTCTTTGGGAACATTTAATTACTCCCACATCATAGATCCCTTCAAAAGCAACAAGAAAGACACAGAGAGAAACTGAAGGAAGTTGATTATTTTCCTTTTGCTCCATTGCCTTTGGGGTGAAACTGTCTCCACAACATTTTCATTGATTTCAGGACAATGGAGATTGTCCCTGCCTTAAATTCCATGCCTGGGCTTATATCAGGCCAAGAATAAATGCTGCCAGAGAGTTGAGCTATTTTCTAAACAGCTTCAGCTTATAAATCTTTAAACACATCTTACTGAGTGTTTCTCAATCTTTGGGAAAATTCAATGATATGTTTGCTTCATGCACAAGTGATAAATGTTCCTAATGGTGGAATTTAAAACTATTTGTTTCACTGAGCATATTAAGAGTTGTTTAAGTTTTTGTGTATTTTTTTTTAAATGTGCTTTCAACGAGCAAATCATTTCCAATATACATAACAATCTGTGCCTGATATGACTGGAAAATAAGTTTGTTAATACATACCCAGGCCTAGTCACAGCTAGTCCCTCCTGAAAAAATAAGATTTACTGCAAGATCAAATCAATCTAGCACATAGTCCATTTGACATGATGAAAATCTGTGGCAAAGGGTTGAGGAAACAAAAAGATGATTATTTTATAGCCCTTAAAATAAGTCTTTCGGGAAGACATTATGGAGATCAAAGTCAGCCCATTAACCCTCAAAAGCAGAAAGTCTATGTAGTAGGCAGAATTCTAAGATGGCCCCTACGTTTCCTACCCCGATTTACATGCCCTGTATCCTCCATTCACCTTGGATGTGGGCAGAACCCATGAATATGATGGGATGGTCACTTCCTTAGGTTATGTTTCCTGATAAAGCTGAAAGAATTTTATGTATATAATTAAGGCCCCAAATCAGTTGACTTAGGAAAAAAAAAAAAAACAGAAAAAGAGATTGTCCTTAAGCAGCCTGATCTAAGCAAGTAAGGCTTTAAAAAGAACTGAGCTGTTCCTTGATGAAAAAGACTCAAATAGTGGTAAAGATCCTACTGCTGTCCTTGAAGTAAGTTGCTATGATGTGAGTGGGGGGGACCATATGGCAAGAACCCAAGAACGGTCTCTAGGAGCTTGGAGTGGTTCTAGCCAACAGCTAGCAAGAGAATATCAGTCACACATCACAAGAAATGAGTTTTGCCAACAGCCTTAGAGAACGAGAAAGTAGATCTTTCCCTACTTGAGCCTTATGTGAAGATGCACTCAGTTAACACATTGATTTGAGCCTTGTGACACCCAGAAGCAAAGGATCCAACAAATTTATGGTGTATTTCTGACCCATTGACATAGTAAGATAATAAATTTGTGTTATTTTAAGCTGCTGAGTCTTTGGTAATTTGTTTTGCACTAATAGAAAACTAATGCAGTCTATGAAGTGGAGGTGTTTCATACTTGAAGGACTCCTGCTTCTACTTTTTCTACAGAATCTAGTCCATACTTTCTGGTTAAATTCTTCACTATGAGGTTCCAACCTGCTTTTGCAACCCCCTTGTTTTCTGCATGCTTCTCAACACAAAGCTTTGCCTTCCAGTACATGAAAGGTTTCTCTGTGTCCTGGGTAAAGCCCAGTCTTATCCCTGAATCTTGTAGCACACGATCCTCTTTGTACAGAAGCCCTTCTTCCCTTTTACATCTGCAAATTCCTACTCATGGCTCAAAATCCAGATCAAATGTCATTTCCCCTCTGAAGACTTCCCATGACCCCCATTTCAATAATCATTCCATTATATTGTCACAATTAATAACAATTTCTTCATGTGTCTTGTGTTTGATATGCCTTTGGATCATCAAACCATGACATGATGACTGGCACATACTAGACTTTAAGCAACTAATGAATTGCTGAACAAACAATAAGTGAATGAATAAACAGGTATTTGTCACCACCAAGATTAATCATAATGAGAAAATGAGAGTGGCTATATGAAACTATTAAAATAGGTACATTGCTGATTTTATTTTTCATCTTACAACGCAAGGAACTTTCTGTCTTTTTTTTTTTTTCTTTTGAGACAGAGTTTTGCTCCTGTTGCCCAGGCTGGAGTGCAATGGCACCATCTCGGCTCACTGCAACCTCTGCCTCCTGGGTTCAAGCGATTCTCCTGCCACAGCCTCCTGAATAGCTGGGATTACAGGCATCCACTACCATACCCGGCTAATTTTTGTATTTTTAGTAGAGACGGGGTTTCACCACATTGGCCAGGGTGGTTTCGAACTCCTGATCTCAGGTGATCCACCAGCCTCAGCCTTCCAAAGTGCTGGGATTACAAGGGTGAGCCACCGTGCGTGGCCGAAACTTTCTGTCTTACATGGCTTGAAGTATCGCCAATAAGTTAAAATTCAAAAAATGTCCAGTCAAAAATTGTCATAAATTTTAAACTCTGCTTTAAGCACTTTACATGTATTAACTTATTTAATCTTTATATTAACCTTTATAATAATGCTTTGATGTAGATTCTATATCTTACAGATAAGAAAACAAAGTGGTTAAGCAATGTGGCCAAGTCTTTCTGACAGTAAATATCAGAGCTAGAATTTGAACCCAGTCTGTGTGACTGTAATGTCTGTGCTCTTGGCTACCATAAAGAGGGCATGCTGCCTCTTTAGTAGTGAAAGCAGTGGTGATGGTGAAATGCACTTGTTCCTGTGCACATCTTTATTTGATGGAAGGAGAACTAGTGCAGAAGACCCCATAGCCTTTTCTCAACCTAAACCTGCTTTACTTGGCAACAGCTTGCTTTTCCCAGGGCACTTGCAGAGCACATCTTACCTTAGAATTCAGAATATTATTATCAAGCATTGCAAAACCACTGTCAAAACTTTCTGTGCTCTAGAGTGGAATCTGCTTTTTTATTTCTTCCTAATGAAACAAATTCATAAAGCTATTGCTTTGTTGAAAAGTTTACTCATTTAGACATGACAATTTTTAAATTACTCCTGTGGACTCTGATTATGCCGTTCTTCACACTTTCTGGCTAAAGAAGGAAAAAGCATTCATTTTCAGAGCCAGAATATTTAAATCCCTTCATAGAGTGAAAAGTTGATGGAGAAGCAAGGGTGTGATTTTCTGAGCTGTTTCCCATGACCCTGGATCAGCAGTTGGAGTGGTTTTCCAGACACGGATTATCATCCTTCCTTACGGTTCTGTTCCCCTTGGCAATTCTCTTATGAGACAAGAACAAATGCTATGGAGCCAGGTCTAATATCTCCTTTATACTGGTGATTTCAATAAAGATTTGAAAGAGTGCTGATTTGTGCATCAAAAGCCAAATATTATAGAACTGAAAAGACCTTTCATAGACAAAGGACAATCTTAATTCAGCAAACTCATCCCATTTTGCATCTGACAGTTTCAAAAACACACATTTTGGAGTTGCACATGAAATAAAATTTTCTAGTGTTTTCTCCTCCTTGACAAAGCTCAGAAGGTGTTTCGTTGTGTTTGCTGTTTTTAAATAGACTATGTTTTAGAGCAATGTTAGGTCCATAGCAAAACTGAGCAGAGAGTGCAGAGAATCTCCACAGATTTCCTGCTTCCACACAGGCATAGCTTTCCCCATTAACAACACCCCACACTAGAGTGGTACATTCGGTATAATCAGTGAACCTATACTGACACATTGTTATCACCTAAAGGCCATAATTTACATTAGGGTTTACTTCTGGTATACATTCTATGGGTTTGGATAAATGTATGACATGTATCCACCATTAAATTATCACACAGAATAGTTTCACTGCCCTGAAAATCCTGTGTGCTCCACCTATTCATCCCTCCCTCCCCACTATCCCCTGGCAATCACTGATTTGTTTACTGTCTTCATCATTTTGCTTTTCCCAGAATATTGTATAGTCAGAGTCATACCATATGTAGCTTTTTTAGATTGGCTTCTTTCACTTAGTAGCATGCATTTAAGCTCTCTCCATGTCTTTTTGTGGCCTAAAAAAAGACGGAGATCACACCACTGGACTCCAGCCTGGGTAACAGAGTGAGACTCCATCTCAAAAAAAACAGAGAGATAACTCATCTCTTTTTATTGCTGAATAATATTCCATTGTTTGGATGTACCATAGTTTATCCATTCACCTACTGAAGTATATCTTGGTTGCTTCTAAGTTTTGGCAATTATGAATAAAGCTGCTATAAATATCTGTGTGCACGTTTTTGTGTGAATGCAAATTTCAACACCTTTGGGTAAATACCGAGGGGTGTGATTGCTAGATCATAGATCATATGGTAAGAAGACGTTTAGTTTTGCAAGAAACTGTCTTCAAAAAAATGACTTTACCATTTTTGCATTTTCATCAGTAACAAATGAGTCCTGTTGTTGCACATTCTAGGCATTGTTGCTTTTGTTGTTCTTTTTTTCGTGTTTTTGTCACCCTTATCCACAATCTATAGAAAAATCACAAAGCTGCTTTTGTGTTTGATACACATTCAGTTACATATACTGCACAGAATTGGCAAGTTTTTAGGTATTTCAACTGTAAGCAATTATTACAAGTATTGAAGGGTGACTCTCTCATGCTGATGTAGGAGATTAGCAGGACTTGTTTTCTGGTCACAATCCTGCTGACCAAAACAGGATCTGGTCCAGAAAGGATAAAGTGAAAAAATCAGCAGGAACCAGCAGATGGTGATCTACAAAGGTGATCCCTAGCTGCCCTCATTGCTCATTAATATAAGATCCTTCTACCAATGCCATGACAGCTTACAAATGCCATGACAACAACCCAGAAGTCACCACCCACTTCCATGGCAATGACCCAGAAGTTACTGCCCCTTTTCTGGAAAGTTCTAAATAACATGACCCTCAATTTGCTTGTAACTGAAAGTGGGTTTATGTGAGCATAAAAACAGTTGCCAAGAAATCATACATTGCCGGACTCTGGGCACACTGCCTATGAGTTAGCCCTGCTCTGCATGGAGCAGCTCCAGTTCAATAAAAGACTGCTGCTTAACACCACTGGTTTCATCCTTGAATTCTTTCCTGAGCAAAGCTAAGAACTCTCATGGGCTAAGCCCCAATTTGAGGTCTCATGTGTCTTGCATCAATGCTATCATGGTAATTTTCAGCAGTATAGCAAACACACTTTTCCTAAAATTCAATGTGAGCAGTGAATTTGTTTATAGAAGTTCCAACATTCATATAGAAGATCAAAGGTCTCCAAAAATAGCAGAGACAATATTCAAATAGAACGAGAAGGGGGTGCTTGTTTTAACAAATAAAAAGACTCACTGTAAATTTATAGTAATCCAAACAGTGTAATACTAGTGCAGAGAGAAAAAAACAGAGCAACCAAATAGAATTAAACATAAACAGATATAGGACCCAGATGTATAATAGAGGAAATGTGGCAAGTCAATAGGGAAAACTGGATTTTAAAAAAATGGATTGACAGAACTGGTTTTAATATAAAAAATTGATAATATTATTGAAACTACCATTCACATACTCCAAAATGGATTAAAGTTTTAAATGTAAAAGGTACTGTAAGAGAATATCCCTATTATGTCAGAGAATGAAGGAGTTTCATGATAATGAAAAAAAATAATCAGTCATTTCCTACCCCCAATTTAAAAATGTCTTATGGATGTATAATAGACATAATAAACTGCACATATATAAAGTGTACAATATTCTAAGTTTTGAAATATGTATACACTGGTGAAGCCATCATTATAGTCAGGATAGTAAACATATCCATATTTCCCAAGTTTACTAGTGTCCTTTTATCAGCCTACATTCTGTATCTCCATACTACCCCTGACTCGTACAATTATAGATTTGACTTCTGTCACTATGTATAGTGTTACTATACAAGCTAACTTGCAGCGTATAAACACACACACACATGCACACACACACAGTGTGTGCAAGTGTGTCTTCATTACACATAAAAAATAATTCATACTGAGATTCTGAGCCAGATCTTATTGAATAACATTCATCTGATAAGCTCAAGGCAAATCTAAAAGAAACTTATTCAATTGATTATGCATAATTATGCTCTTGATTGAAATTTTAGAAAATATAATTGGCATCTAGAAAGCACTTTCACGGTAAGCCCAGTAGAATGTTGAAACTTCTAACTGACTACTTCAGATCTCAAATTCCACGATTGAAAACAAGACATCCCCTCAGCCTCCCAGCCTGGCAAACACATCTCATAGTTCATCAGCTAATGACTCATTTCTCTACTTTCTTAGGCCCAATCATATGCAGTGTTATATATCTATGGGCTAATGCTGTTTCTGAAGTTGGTTTTGTTGCTTTGGTATCAGAACTATGGGATATTCCTTTGTTATTCAAGAAGCCATTAGCCTCTCGACTAGGTCCGATTTATTTGTAGCATCTGACTCTAGTTGACCTAGCTATTGTTCCACCTGTTTGCATGCTGTTTGAGAAAGGGGATCAGATCTTATCCAACTTTGAATGTCCTACAACATTAGGACAGATAATAGGTATTTTAGTAACTATTTATTCAGTTAAATAAAATTGAATAAATCATATTAATAAGGCATTGCAAACATTGTTTTTAATGCAATTTTATCTGAGGCCTTAGGTTCCAAATGAACATAATAAACAAAACTGTTGGGCTTTGCCAATGTAAGAGAGACCAAACAAAGAATATAATTGAATTGGGGTTTTTTTTTTCCCCAGGACTTTTAAACTATAAGCCATTCCTTAATTTTTTTTTTCCTATTCCTTTTGGGCCATTGGTTCTCAAAATTAGTTGCACACTAGAATTACTTAGGGTAACTTTTTGTTTGTTTGTTTTTCTGTTTAAGATAGAGTCTCTCTCTGTCACGCAGGCTGGAGTGCAATGGCGCGATCTTGGCTCACCGCAACATCCGCCTCCCAAGTTCAAGCGATTCTCCTGCCTCAGCCTCCTGAGTAGCTGGGATTACAGGTGCCCGCCACCATGCCTGGCTAATTTTGTATTTTTAGTACAGATGGGGTTTCTCCATATTGGTCAGGCTGGTTTCAAACTCTTGACCTCAGGTGATCTGCCCACCTTGCCCTCCCAAAGTGCTGAGATTACAGGCATGAGCCACCACACCCGGCCTATTTGGGGTAACTTTTAAGGTCTTTGATGCCCAGGCCATGCTCAGATCAATTCAATAAGAATTTTGGGGATGGCACTCAATATTCTGTAATTTAAAAAACTCCTTAAGTGATTCCAGCATTCATTCGACATGGAGAACATTGCTTTAGATGAAGGTAAATAGTAACTTGACAACCACTCTTCCCTTTTTTTTCTTCCTTACATCTTGAAGCAGACATCAGCCCTCCAATAGTTTGACGTGACCCTGCAAATAAACCACTGAGTTTCCAAAAGTTAAAATGTGGCCCAGGCCACTGATGGCAATTGTCCAACAGTGGGGAACACTTGGTTCCCTAACTTTTTAAAATAATGAATTTTAAAAGTAAGCATCTTAACCATTAAAAAAACCTAAAACAATTTTTTCCTAACAGATTGTGTTTCAAATTAATTAAACTTTTATCAGCATATGGAAGTCACAATTTACAGATTCCTTTTCCTTCCGGCTCCTTTTCTTACTCATTCTGTTCACACATATCTTTGAGGTGAGAGAGATTAATTTACAATGGTTCTTCATAAATTATCTTTCAGTTATTATTATGTTGGGCTTTGATTACAGGATTTAATTGTTTATTTGTTTTTTATAATACAATACAATATAGTTCTTTTAAATAGGATAAAGGGATTTACTAGAAATAATTACAGTATCTCCTTGAGGTCGAATCAGTTCCCTTGCTTTACTGGTACATTTTAAAACAACAATTCAGTATATGTTATAGATACAAAGTATTTCTCTGGTGATTCTTCTTCCTTTTATCTAAACCAGCATATTTATGAGATTCATCACTGGAAAACTTGACATTACTAAAAATGTTTCAAATCATTTTTTTAAAAGAAGCTTATGACAACACTTTTTTTAACATTGAAAGCTAACTTTTAGCATATATTTATGCTACCTCCCTTCTCTCTCCAATTTATTTTATTTTAGATATTATTATTTTTTATTTCTTAGAAATAAGAATTGGCTGTAGACTTAAGAAAGAATGGTTTTTGTTTACCTATTATCTGGTTGAGAAAGTAGGTTTTATGTAACATAGTACATAATCACCTGAAATTATATCTAAGAAGAATAGTAATTGTTTTTAATTTCAAGAGAAATATCTTCAAGGACACTCTTCTAATAGAAACACTGCTTGCAATTTGTAAGAGGGCATTAAATGTTTTAAGCAATAGTGCTATGTATGTGGTGCTATATGCGTGTGTGTACATGTGTGTGTGTATACTATGCTATACAACACCACAAGTAGGCAAACACATACATATATATATAACTATATATACATATATAAAGACCTAGATATTTATTCTTTTATTTATTTCATAAGCATTTATTAAGCATCTGCATTATTCCAGGCATTTTGTATTATAGATAGGAAAACTCAAGCTTAAATATGACAGAGTTTGTGCCCTAAGTTTACAAAACAGTACAGTGTACTATTCACCAAACTGATAGGGGCAGAGAGTCCTCTTGTAACACTGTCTGTATACAATGACATTCTGTTCACAATTTTGCTGCTATTTTGTTTTCATGTCTGTAACAACACTTGACATGGAGTGCACATTTCATGTATCATTGAGTTTTACATGTATAGGAAACTTTTATTAGATTATTTTGAATATTATAAAAGATACGTTTTTCAAAACTTTTTAAAATTTTAAAAATCTGTGTTTTGCAGAGCTCTAGATGGTAAAATCTTTATATAATACTCTGGAATTTCATCAATGGTGACAGCATATTTCTAATACATGGACAGTTTTTTTTTCTCTATAGCATGTTAGTGGGTATTGGGTAAAAATTAAACAGAAGGTGTTTTCCACAGTGGTTTCAGAACATAAGTATTTTAAAACAATAATTTAGAAGAAACTTCAAAGCATCCAGTACAGACATGTTTATGGGGATGACAAAATCCCATAACCCTGATGCTCTATGGAGAAAGCTAAGCTTGGTATCATTGAGAAGAGGTGAGGAGGGAAGGTTCAAGAAGTCAGTAAACCTTTGCTGATAATATTATTTTACTTGATTGTTTGTAGCTCAGGAAAGTTCATATTCCAAGACAGAATCTAAACTAGGATGTTCTCACTTGAAAGAGTTAAGTCATTTGGTCTTTGCGTCTGCTCCACCACAGGAACAATAAGCCCTGTCATTTTCCTATGATGGCTGGATCCCCTGCAGACTTCAGTGACACCTTGTACATCACACAATGTTGGCCCACTAAGTCCAGATGCAAAATCAACAAGGGGTCTTCCGATGAGCCAAGACCACGCACATGCCACTGGTTGCCAGATAATCTATGTGTCAAAGTGTCGAACTTTTCTGGGTTAGAATCTGGTAGACATCATTCTATGAATGACTTGAAAATATATGATGACCGTAGTAGCTCTGAACTTCAGATCAACTCCTAACCATCTAGTAAGCAATGCATTAAAGGAATAGAAATGGTAATAGCTAACACACAATGAATGACACGCCAGGCACAGTTCTAAATTCTTTCCATAGCTTAACTGATTCAATCTTCAACACAATTCTGTGAGGTTGTTACTATTAGTATATTCATTTATAGATGATGAGACTGGGACAAAGAATGGTCTTGCTTAGGCTAGATTTGCCTATGTTACTCAGCTAATGAGTGGGGAAGTAGGAAATTAAATGTAAGCAGTCTAACTCCACAGAGTGCGTAATTAACCACTATTCAATACTGCCTCTCATCTGAAATACTGCTAACATCAATTTACTTCAACTTTAAAATAAAATGTTCACAATTATGACATCAAGTAGTTCAGTACAAGAATAATAGTTAAATGAAAGTAGTTGGAAGGAGGTAAGGAAGAGAGACAATGAATTAATAAACTTGCTATTATGCCCTTGGGGAAAATAATTTAACCTGTAGAATATTTTTGTTTAATCCTAGAATCCTAGCAAGAAGAGTACAGATAACTTTATAAAAATGCCATCTATGCAAGATTTTAAGAAGGTGTAGAGTGTCACAAAAATCAACAATAGGGCATTAAAACTCCAAAAGTGTAGGAGTTATTTACTTTTGGGAAAATATTTCTCTCTCTCTCTCTCTCTCTCTCTCTCTCTATATATATATATATATATATATAGAGAGAGAGAGAGAGAGAGAGAGAGAGAGAGAGAGAGAGAGAGAGAGGCTAGAGTGCAGTGGCACGATACGATCTTGGCTCACTGTAACCTCTGCCTCCTGGGTTCAAGCAGTTCCCAGCCTCTCCCGAGTAGCTGAGATTATAGGCACCTTTCACCATGCCTGGCTAATTTTTGGATTTTTAGTAGAGACAGGGTTTCGCCATTTTGGCCAGGCTGGTCTAGAATTCCTGACCTCAGGTGATCTACCCACCTTGGCCTCCTAAAGTTCTGGGATTACAAGGGTGAGCCACCATGCCTGGCCTCAATGTTTCTTTAAGAGTGAATGCATCTCAAAATGAATGAGGAAATGGTTTGGGGGTAGAGAATAAGATTATGACTGCAATGGGGCATCCTTAAGCTAAAATATTTCAGGATGTGTCTTCCCAGTGTACTTGTGGAAATTTTTTGCTCTTATTACTACATTAACTTTTTAATATGATAGAAGGAAGTGAAATCCTAATATTGTCTTGGCTTTATCTTTTCACCTTTTGTTGGGGTTGGATAAAATCATTTAGCTTTTCTAGGGATTCGGACTCTCCATATGTTAAATGGGTTCAAAGGATCATTTTGTACTTTCTTATAGAATGCTTTGAAATGAATAGATTTTGGCACTTTTCAAAAAAAAAAGGATAGAAAACCCATGAGAGTAACATAATTAGTGAGACATTTTAGAATGATTTAGAGTTGAGGAAGTAGTTAAATAATTTCAAGCTTCGAGTTTTTATTTGATTATGCTATATTTTGACATTGCTCAGTTTATGATATAATCAAAACTGACATTACAAAATATTATGTTTTCCAACCCTTCTGCATGAATTAACCTTTGGGGGCTATCCTTCCTGGTGATCTCTCTAGAAAAAGATCTGAGGTCTTTTTCTGCTTCTTCAGAGCATTTGTATCCTGTTTGTGTAGCAGCACCTTTTAAGAGAAATGCAAAACATTCCCTTCAAAGTTTACATCCATTTCTAATTTCTTGCTTATTCCGGCTGCATTGATCAAGACTTTTATGAAATCCACAATGCAACTTCCCATTCTTCCTCCTATTCTCAAGAGAGACATTCCTGGTAAACACTGCTTCATATAGTATTCCAGGCCTAGGTAAAAGAAAAACAAGTACCCACAACTTACTCTCTCTATGGGTGATAAATGGTGGCTAAAAGCAAGGCTAGTAAGGAAGACAACCTTCCTCTCTAGAAGGTGGCCACAGGCTATCTTTAGAGTAGTAGGGGCAGCCAAATGCCTAGGCAGATGGGGCGGGTCCCTGGTGAAATCCCACCTCCAAGCTGAAGACAGTAAAAGGTCTGAAAGCCAAGCAACAAATTAAATCCTCAGACCAGATTGAGAACTTGTCTTCCTGTTTGGGATGCTCTCCTCTGATTGGTCCTCACCCTTCGCCAATTTTACATATACCTACCCATTCCTAACTGGTTTTTCTACACTGTTGTGCCCACCTTGGAGTGATGTCTTTGCTTTAACTTTTTTTGCATACTCACAAACCAATCAGCACACAATCCCCATTCTTAGTCCATAAAAGGCCCCAGCCACACAGCGGGGACCTTTCCTGCCTTTGGGTAGGGGAACCATTCCACCCACCCCCCATCTCCTCTCTGCTGAAAACCATTTTTTATCGCTTAATAAGATTCTTCTCTGCCCTCCTTACCCTTCAATGTCTTGCATATCCTTATTCTTCCTGGGTGTGGTACAAGAGCTTGGGAGCCACCGAATGCAAATACAAGCTATAACAAGTGAGCTGGGGCATGGTAGCATGGCCGAGCTAGGCCCAAGTGGGACATCACTGGTCGGGACTCCCTGGCTTGCAAAGGGACTGAGAAGAAAAATCCTACATCACTGGGAGTCATGTCAGTGCAATCAGGACACGTCTTGAATAAAGGGAGAGAAAACTTGGACCAGATTATACGAAGATGGAAACTACTTACTGAAGAAATGTTGAGAGGTATAGGGGGAATGAATTTGTACGGAGCATTTAGACTTTGATAAAATTAGAAAATAGAAAAAGGTGAGTCTTCAAGGGATTTTATTTACTCTGTATTCTTCTTATGTCTTTCTGTTTACAACCTGATATATTTTCACTGAACTCACCTCACATCCAAATGCATCATATAGTTTAAAGTCTTATGCAGGTGTTTTAAATTTGCTATGATTATGGTTTAATTTTTTCTTGAAGCCACCTTATACCATTTTGTTATTTGCACATAGTAATTTAGCTAAATCATTAGTAATCAAGTTAACGCTTTTTCAGTTACTTTTTCCTTCTTCTCCTCTCCTTTTTTGCCCCTCTCTCTTCCTCTTCTCCTTCTTCCCTCCCTCCCTTTCTCCCCCTTCTTCTTCTCTTCCTTTCTCTTTGTCCTTCTCACCTCTGCTCCTTCCTTTTTTGAGACAAATGTCCTCTTGAATGAGTGGATTAAGCTGAGTATCCATACCTGTCTGAGGCCTCTCTAAAACTGTTGTAGAATATGTATCACACAAGTTATAACTTTAAAAAACAGTATTTCTAAGAGTTTTTGAATTCAACACTATTTTTGTGGAATATATAAACTGTGGAAATCATTATAATTTCTTAGTCTTATCTAAATAGCATTATTGAAAAGGACCCTTTTGATTACTTTTAGTTTTGTATACTCTTTCAAAATGCCGCTTGGATGAAGCTTTAGAAGACACAAATCAGGGCTAAGACAGGGCCAGTCTTGCAGTTGAACACAGGAACTTTGAAGTAAGAAGCCCAAGGTGTGAATTCCTGCTTCATCTTGCATAGCCTGTGTAACCTTTGGTGGATTAGTTAACTTCTCTAATACCCTGGTTCTTCATCTGAAAAGTGAGATAATAGCAGTTCCTACTTAGTAAGATTATTATCAGGGTTAAATTATGTTAGTAAATATTTGTGCAGGGTGCCTAGCATGTACCAATGTATCAAACTTTTATAGCTGTACTTTGTAGTTATATTGTATGACCTATAAATTCATTCCGTTTTCTTTTTTTGCTATTTTTTTCCTTTTCCTTAGTTGTTAATGACAACAACAACAACAAAAATAAGACAGTTCCCGTATTCCCATATATTGAAAGAAAGATGGTAGGAGTAAATAACCTGTAAGGCCTATTGAAATCTGTGAAAACTTTGGTGTTCTTTTTGATGGCATCTAAACACTACAGATGAAAATACAAGAGAGATGCAAAGAAATGAACTCTATATAGAGGATTTAGAAATCACCAAATATCACCAGAATCGATCCATAAAGAAACACACCTAGGAGTAAAATTGATAATGGTTTTAGGAGATATTATTACAAGGAAAACAAATTTAAAACACAAAAAAAACTGAAAAAATGATGGTGTGAGTATGTACACACATGCATATTTGTGGGAAAAGGAAAAATAAGAAAGGGCGGAAAGAAGTAAAGAAGCAATGGTTATTTAAGAATTCTATATGAACTGTTTTTTGCATTCGTATGTATGGCCCATATAAACTTATACACTGGTAAAAGTTTTCTTTATGTAATTTCTCTTTTTAGAAGTTTATAACACCTGCATATTACCCCGAATTTATATTTAAAACTGTCTTAGTCTCACAAACTCTACCCTGATACTGTCATCATTACAAATGTCTAACTTGCCCCTATCACAATCACTTCCATGAGCCATTCTGGCATCCTTGCTGTTCTAAGGATCTATTTTACTTGAGAGAGTATCTATGACTTTGCTAAAGGAATTATTTTTACCTAGAAGGCATTCCCTCCACCTAATATTTATATGTAGAAAACTTATATCTTCTCTAGAATTTCTGTTTTTTTATGAAAAATCTTATTTGTACATTTTAATTGCCAGAATCTGTTAATTATGTTTTCTATTGTTTATGCTTATCTACTTCCTTTAATTGGATTTGAGGCTTTGCAAGGTAAAGAATCTTATTTTCTGCTTCAGTTGTCTCTTCTAAAGTAACTAAAAGAGAAGTGGCTCAATAAATTGTTGATTGACCAACATTTTGTAGTTCCCCATGTCTCCACATTTAGTCCTATTTTCTTTAGCCATTTACATGTACAGTAATTGTTTTTCATTCATGCAGTAATTTACCAGCACGAAAATGTGACCAATGCAACTCAAGTTTACAATATTTTGTTTAGATTTTTTTTAATCCTTTGAGAATGCTTTTCTTTGCATTTTGCCATGCTTACGTATGTGGGCTCTATGAACATAAAAGATAATGTTTCTTTTTCATCCACAAAGGCATCCTTTCAATCATCTAATTAGGTCCTCTTGATTATCCTCTGAGAACTATTTGTCCATGTCAGGAATTAAAGAATATTTTGTTCTCATTTATCCTACCAGGTTCTCCTTCATTAGTTTAATTTTAGATGCATTCTTGCAGCGAAGCTCTTTGATCTTTAGTCATGCTTTATTAAATCTCTCTACTGAAATGCACAATCCCTTCAACTTACATCATGGCATGTGTGTTTCAAGATCCATTTCATATGCTACTTATTTCATGACATAATTCATAATTCTTTTATCTCTGGTCTTCTTCAGCACTCTGATTTCACCTGTACCGTTGGACATCACATTTATGTTTTCCATTCACTGAAATTCCTTGAGCTCCTTTCGTTTGTCAGGCTGTATACTATGCCATGGAGACACAAAGATGAATGAGACAAGGTCTCTTCCCTCAAGGATGCTACACACTAGTGGAGGAGACACAAAATTTTATGTTAGGTTTAGAAATGAAACTACTCATATCAGAGTACAGGAGGCCAAAGGAGAAAAACTTTTTCAGTATTTGGGCCCCAGAAAACCCTACAAAGTAAGCTGTAATATACGTGAAGTCTTTAAAAATGAATTGGGGAGTTGGAGAAGGTGGGTAGAAGTATTTCAGATAGTAGGGAATGTTGAACACAATCTGACAGGGCATGACATGCAGACAATTCCATATTCTTTGGGGTTTGGGGGTAATATACAGTATGAGGTGAGAGGGGAAAGGAATAAGATTGAAACGGACAGGACCAATTTTAGAGGGTTTTGTCTTCTAGCAAAAGGGCTTGGGCATGATCTGAGAGCAGTGATGCTATTGAGCTTTTTGTTGTTTTTGTTTTTGTTTTTGTTTTTGTTTGCCAAGGAATGATATGGTCAGAGTTGAATTTTTAATAAATTATTTTTGAAATTATACCAAGAATGGCTTTGAGGGCACAAGACTATGGACAGAAAGACTGATTAGGAAGTTGTTGCAAGATTCCTGGTAATGAAAGATTATTGCCCAGATTATGATATTGCTAACAGTAATGGAGGGAACAGTTTGAGAGATACACTGGAGTTAGAATCTGAAGAACTTGTTGATTTATTGTATTGGAGGGTGAAGGAGAGGAAAAAATCAAGGATACCTCACAGGGTTTGAGATTTATAGTACATCTATAGTTTTCTAGGTAAACACAAAAGGGGAGAGAGAGTAATGCAGACATACAACCAAAGGATTAGAGGCTTTTACAGGAAAAGGTCATGAGAGTGGATGAAAGAAATGAAAAAGATACAGTCCAGAGGTCAAACTACTGAGAGACTTCCCATTTTGAGGTCTTGGATAAGACTCTGGTGATGTGATTACCTGTGTCATATATTTTGTAAAATTTGCAAAGGTGAGTTGTTTTAATAGGAATTAATTAAAATTTGTGTTATTGTTGTTTTTCAGTCCCACTTCCCTTCTGTCAAACTTCTGCTTTTGTTGAGTGGTGTTGGGGTAGTAGCCACAGATATGTGAATTTTATTTAGGGATACATAAATTTGAATTTCCTAAGATATATTTCTGTGTCCTATAGTTACTTTCATGTATAATTGAGTTATAGCTTTCTCAGTGCAGTGATAGTTTCCAGGAACACTCTCACCACAAACTGTGATCCATTCACCCCTTCTGTCATGGTTACATTAATGACAAAGTACCTTGCTAAGTATCTTCACTTCAAAATATATTTCAGTTTAGTCATTGTGCAAGAAAACTTACAGCCCATGCATAAAAGAAAATTGATAAGGCCAGCTGCAGTGGCTCATGCCTATAATCCTAGTTCTTTGATAAGGTGGGGCAGGAGGGTTTCTTGAAGCTAGGAGTTTGAGACCAACCTGGGCAAAATAGCAAGATCACATCTCCCCAAAAATAACAATAAAAAAATTAGCTGGGTGTGGTGGCGTGCACCTGTAGCTACTTGGGAGGCTGAGGTTGGTAGGATTGCTTGAGCCCAGGAGTTCAAGGCTATGGTGAGCTATGATCATGCCATTGAAGAAAGAAAGAAAGAGAGAGAGAAAGGGAGAGAGAAAGAAAGAAAAAGAAAGAAAGAAAGAAAGAAAGAGAGAGAAAGGGAGAGAGAAAGAAAAAGAAAGAAAGAAAGAAAGAAAGAATGAAAGAAAGAAAGCAAAAGAGAGAGAGAAAGAAGAAAAGAAAGAAGAAAAAAGAAAGGAAGAAACTTGATAAAAGTTTGCCCAAATTTTAAAACAATTGCATATTATTTATAAGACATCAGCAACAATAATTATGAAGCTGAAAGAAACTTTCCTAACCTATCAGTAATAAAAAAAATTCTGGAATCATGTACTTGAGTCATAAAAAACAAAAATATAAACAAAAACAAATTTCTACCAAATTTTTCAGAAGAAAATATAAAATATTATATTCCCACTATAGAAAAGGAGTTGCCAAGTCATTGAATTAGGAACAGGTAATCAGAGTGTGCAACTGTAAATGTAGAAAAAATAATCATAATTTTTTTTTTTTTTGAGACAGAGTCTCACTCTGTCACCCAGGCTGGAGTGCAGTGGCGTGATCTCGGCTTACT
The DNA here is from genome assembly GCF_000001405.40 of Homo sapiens. NCBI lineage: Eukaryota > Metazoa > Chordata > Mammalia > Primates > Hominidae > Homo > Homo sapiens. Next base: position 124,498,589 of record NC_000007.14, on the reverse strand, counting down.
GCAAATTCCGCCTCCCAGGTTCAAGTGATTCTCCTGCCTCAGCCTCCCAAGTAGCTGGGTTTACAGGCACCTGCTACCATGCCTGGCTAATTTTTGTATTTTTAGTAGAATAGGGTTTCACCACGTTGGCCAAGCTGGTTTCAAATTCCTGACCTCAGATGATCTACCGCCCACCTTGGCTTCCCAAAGTGCTGGGATTACAGGCATGAACCACCATGCCCAGCCTATAAAAAGTTTACTAAGCAGTTAGTTAATTTAAATATTGTTATTTTAATCCTTTTACACAATGTGGTTTTGGATAGCTTTTTAAGATTTGTAATTTGTTGTGAATTTATTTTCTTATACTTCGTGCTATTTTTGCATTTGTAAACTGAACTCTTGTTTTTAAAGAGGGCTTGTAACATGCTTCACATCCCACAAAACCTGGGTCAGCTCTTAAAGTCATTGAAATTTACCAAGAATCTATGAAGTAAGGGTGATGGACCAAGTGTCAACAGAAATTGAAGACCCTCAGGAGTATGGCTAGACTTTTAGTAAGAAGGAAGGCTGAGAGGTAGACTCCATAATCTAAAGTCGATCCTGATTATGAACAAGATGTGCATTACAGAGATTATGAGAAGAAAGAATGGAGCTGCTGAAAGCCTTGGCCACAAAGACTTTTATATCATGCTCACTTGTTTATGTCTGCATTACTGGTCTGTATATTCCTGGAAGAGGATTTTGCTCTTCTTTGTCCATTTACTGCATCAATACTGTGCATTGCACATGGTAATAGATGTTGTGGAATTAACCTTGATCAAAGACATTTATTTCATAGTCAGAATGTCATTGCCTCAACGTAAACATTTACTTGTACCTTTTTAAAAAACATCATTCAATAAACTATACATTTTCTTTCTTAAACACAAAAATCATTTTTGATCTTCTTTCTTTATTTTTTATATCTTTTAACTATGACTTCACTATTTTTCCACCATATGAATAGCTTCTTTGTTATCTAGAATTTGACCTCATAGAGTATATAATATGTCCTCATTATACACGTAAGCTTTTTAATTAAAAAAAAGTTTTTGAGTTGTGAGTGAGAACTTGGTACAGAATAAAACAGAGAAAGGTCTAGTCCCTGCCCTTGGGGCTCTGGACTTCATTATATCGTGTTCACTGTGCTTAAGTGGAGTCTGGGCTTCTTGCCAGGGGTTGTCACCTGTGCTGCCTAATACCAGACTAGGTATGACTTCTTTCATCCTCAAGAGTGGATGCACCCCTGTCTATCTTGTAATGTCACTACAAATAACACTGTCCTCCATCCTCAACTTTTTTTTTTCCACTAACACTTTTTGTTGGTCCACCTAGTTAAACAGGTAAATGTCAGAGAAAAAAAAATTAAACTACAGGAGATTAGAGAAGGGCGGTTACGAATCATGATGTTTTCTGGTGTAAGTCACTAATGCACAAAAACAGTGGATTTGGATTTTGGTGGTCTAAGAATTATGAAGTCTGCTCACTCAGAATGATAGCAGGACATAAGGCAGAGAGGGAACAATGTGTGTTGTAACATTAGCTTGAAATTTATTTTTTTAAATAAAGAGCCCTTAAGGTATGGGGCAGGAGTTACATTCATTTTATGGTATAACATATTATATGTAGAATTACTGTATGGAGTGAGGCTTAGGGAGCACTTAATAATTTGTGGTAAAAGGTTTCTATTGGCCAGTGTGGTGGCTCACTCCTGTAATCCCAGCACTTTGGGAGGTTGAGGCAGGTGAATCACAAGGTCAGGAGTTTGAGACCAGCCTGGCCAATATGGTGAAACCTGTCTCTACTAAAAATACAAAATTTAGCCAGGTGTGGCGGTGGGTACATCCCAGCTACTTGGGAGGCTGAGGCAAAAGAATCTCTTGAACCCGGGAGGTAGAGGTTGCAGTGAGCCAAGATTGCGCCACTGCACTCCAGCATGGGTGACAGAGCTAGACTCCGTCTCAAAAAAAAAAAAAAAAGGTTTCTAATACAATGTGGTGTTTACCATGTTAACCAAATTGATTAATCAATATTTGGGAGGACTATTGGGGTGGGGGCCAAGAAAAAGGATACATAGCCCATTTACTTCATTTGTTCAAAAAGTTGGTAAGTATTTAATTGCGTTAGGTGCTTTGCAAGTAGTAAAATTATGGGATACACTCTCGATAGCCTGATGGTTTTTTAAATCAGTAATTGTAGTAGATTCTCATAAATTGAGAGGAATAATTTCTTTCTTTGCTCTTGCCTCACTGTAAGGAACAAATATTATCAAAATCCTAATGATAAAAATTTGTCTCCCATTCACAATTGCTTCAAAGAGAATAAAATACCTAGGAATCCAACTTACAAGGGATGTGAAGGACCTCTTCAAGGAGAACTACAAACCACTGTTCAATGAAATAAAAGAGGATACAAACAAATGGAAGAACATTCCATGCTCATGGGTAGGGAGAATCAATATGAAAATGGCCATACTGCCCAAGGTAATTTATAGATTCAATGCCATCCCCATCAAGCTACCAATGACTTTCTTCACAGAATTGGAAAAAACTACTTTAAAGTTCATATGCAACCAAAAAAGAGCCCGCATCGCCAAGTCAATCCTAAGCCAAAAGAAAAAAGCTGGAGACATCATGCTACCTGACTTCAAACTATACTACAAGGCCACAGAAACCAAAGCAGCATGGTACTGGTACCAAAACAGAGTTATAGACCAATGAAACAGAACAGAGCCCTCAGAAATAATGCTGCACATCTACAACTATCTGATCTTTGACAAACCTGACAAAAACAAGAAATGGGGAAAGGATTCCCTATTTAATAAATGGCACTGGGAAAACTGGCTAGCCATATGTAGAAAGCTGAAACTGGATCCCTTCCTTACACCTTATACACAAATTAATTCAAGATGGATTACAGACTTAAATGTTAGACCTAAAACCATAAAAACCCTAGAAGAAAACCTAGGCATTACCATTCAGGACATATGCATGGGCAAGGACTTCATGTCTAAAACACCAAAAGCAATGGCAACAAAAGCCAAAATTGACAAATGGAATCTAATTAAACTAAAGAGCTTCTGCATAGCAAAAGAAACTACCGTCAGAGTGAACAGGCAACCTACATAGTGGGAGAAAATTTTTGCAATCTACTCATCTGACAAAGGGCTAATACCCAGAATCTACAATGAACTCAAACAAATTTACAAGAAAAAAACAAACAACTCCATCAAAAAGTGGGCAAAGGATATGAACAGACACTTCTCAAAAGAAGACGTTTATGCAGCCAAAAAACACATGAAAAAATGCTCATCATCACTGGCCATCAGAGAAATGCAAATCAAAAGCACAAGGAGATACCATCTCACACCAGTTAGAATGGCAATCATTAAAAAGTCAGGAAACAACAGGTGCTGGAGAGGATGTGGAGAAATAGGAACACTTTTACACTGTTGGCGGGACTGTAAACTAGTTCAACCATTGTGGAAGTCAGTGTGGCAATTCCTCAGGGATCTAGAACTAGAAATACCATTTGACCCAGCAATCCCATTACTGGTTATATACCCAAAGGATTATAAATCATGCTGCTATAAAGACACATGCACACGTATGTTTACTGTGGCACTATTCACAATAGCAAAGATTTGGAACCAAGTCAAATGTCCAACAATGATAGACTGGATTAAGAAAATGTGGCATATATACACCATGGAATACTGTGCAGCCATAAAAAAGGATGAGTTCATGTCCTTTGTAGGGACATGGATGAAGCTGGAAACCATCATTCTGAGGAAACTATCGCAAGGACAGAAAACCAAACACCGCATGTTCTCACTCATAGGTGGGAACTGAACAATGAGAACACATGGACACAGGAAAGGGAACATCACACACCAGGGCCTGTTCTGGGGTGGGGGGAGAGGGGAGGGATAGCATTAGGAGATATACCTAATGTTAAATGACGAGTTAATGGGTGCAGCACACCAACACGGAACATGTATGCATATGTAGCAAACCTGCATGCTGTGCACATGTACCCTAAAATTTAAAGTATAATAATAATAAAAAAAATTTAGATAGCCAAAAAGAAAAACAATTTGTCTAAGAAAGCACAAATACTAAATTCTAAAATTCAATAACATGGAAGAATCTCTGAAAGCCCAAGTTTCCTACAAATGACCATTGCCGATTGTTTAATAAACTGTCTCATCTTCTTTGTACAGAAACTCTGCCTCAAACAAAAATTTTATAGTGATAAAAGATGTGCAAAATTTATATAATTCCAATGAACTTCAGTGACCTGAGATTTTAGTAGAATTATAAGATTTTTATAGGCTGCAATGAAAAACATTAACATTAAAATATTAGTAATTATCTGTTTATAAACTCAAATTTTGTAAATGACATTATTGCCTGATAAAATGCTGAATCCAGAACATGGATGAATTTAACTATTTTTATTTTTATTAATTTATTTTTTAAAGTATTTTATTCTTAATTGACAAAAATATATTATGTAAAACATGTTGTTTTGAAAATTTATACACTGTGAAATGGTTATTTCAGGTTAGTTAAAATAGGTATTACTTTACATATCATTTCTGTGGTGAGAACACTTAAAATCTATTCTCTTAGCAATTTTCAATAATGCAGTACATTGTTATCAGCTATGGCCAACCTGTTATGTAATAGATTTCTTCAAGTTATTTCTCTTATCAACAGATTAATGGATTTAAAAAAATGTGTTATATATACACAATGGAATACTATTCAGCCTTAAAAAGGAAATCCTGTCCTATGGAACAACATGAAAGAACCTGGAGGACATTATGCTAAGTGAAATAAACCAGGCACAGATGGACAAATACTGCATGATGTCTCTCATACACTGAGTGTAAAAAAGGTGAACTCATAGAAATAGAATGGAATGGTGGTTACCAGGAGTCAGGGGTGGGGAGGGATTGTCAGATGTTGTTCGAAGAATACAATATTCCAATGTTTTTATCTGAATCACAATAAATCAAGTATAATTCTGTTCAATAATCATCCTGTATGTCTATTGAATCTTTACAGTCAAGTCAACTTATGTGTAAGAAAATTAACAGATATATCTCAGTATAAGGATATTTTATGTTCCACCTATCTTTAATTTTTTTATCTAGAAGATTATCAACAAATTCTTTTTTTAACATTAACTCAAGTTTAATACCTGTGATAATGAGAGAGGAAAATAAGGACTATACCGTACAAAATACAGATAGCTTTTTAAATTCTGCACTAAAGCATAATTGAAAGGAACAGAAGAAAATTCTTCATAAGTTCCTCATACTATAAAAGACAACAATGTAAGTACTAATTTGACAATATTCTTTTTTTAGATTTATATATATATTTTTTTAATTATACTTTAAGCTCTGGGATACATGTGCAGAACGTGCAGCTTTGTTACCTAGGTATACACATGCCATGGTGGTTTGCTGCACCCATCAACCCATCGTCTACATTAAGTATTTCTCCTAATGCTATCCCTCACCTATCCCCTCACTCCCTGACAGGCCCCACTGTGTGATGTTCCCCTTCCTGTGTCCACGTGTTCTCACTGTTCCACTCCCATTTATGAATGAGAACATGCGGTGTTTGGTTTTCTGTTCCTGTGTTAGTTTGCTGAGAATGATGGTTTCCAGCTTCATCTATGTCCCTGCAAGGGTCATGAACTCATCCCTTTTTATGGCTGCCTAGTATTCCAAGTTGTATATGTGCTGCATTTTCTGTATCCAGTCTATCATTGATGGGCATTTGGGTTGGTTGCAAGTCTTTGCTATTGTGAACAGTGCTGCAATGAACAGCACTTTCTATTATCAATAAATTCTTTAAAGTCATATTTATTATACAGTTTGGTGAGTCAGAGCAACTTTCTTACTCTGTTTAATATATTGTGAATTATATTATAATAAATGTATCATACTTGGGTCTGAATAAGTATGAAAGGAATAAATACTAGATTTTATAAAAACCAATCAAGACGATATTTAAGATAAACATGGGGACCTATAATCAAGGTTAAAAATATACTCAGATACTGCACTTAGGTAAGACCTAACCTGATAGCAGATATTTAAACTATAAGCTCAGTATGAGCAAACATTTGTGATTGGATACTGAAAGAAGTTAATAGACATCAATTCGCTATTAGGCTGCAATTGCAGAAGCACATAATTTGAGTGGAAGGCAAAAGTCCCATTTTTTCCATTGCTCGCCACTATCATCAGACCACTTAAAGACTATTATATTCAGGTGGAGAAACCTCATCTTACATTTAAAAGGTAAAAAAACAACTTAAAAATATGAGAAATATTTGAGGAAACTTAGGATGGTCAACATGGAACAAACAAAAATTAACAGGAACATGATATGAGTTTCTAAAAAATAATTATCTGTATCATTCTTACTTAGAGGCAACTAGAACAAAAGGGTGGATATTACAAAGATATACATTCAGGTCAGGCACAGTGGTTTATATCTGTAATCCCAGCATTTTGGGAGACCGAGGCAGGAGGATAGCTTGAGGCCAGGAGTTCGAGATCAGCCTGGGCAGCATAGTAAGTCCACGTCTCTATAAAAGATTAAAAAAAAAAATCTGGTTATGGTGGCACATGCCTGTGATCCTAGCCACTCAGGAGGCTACTCAGGAGGGTCACTTGAGCCCAGGAATTTGAGGTGACAGTGAGCTATGGTCACTCCATTGCATTCCAGCCTCAGTGACAGAGTAAGACCCCATCTCTTAAAAAAGCAACAACAACAAAGATACACATTTCAGCTTCATGGTTAGGTTTGCCCAAAATTAGACTAAGGAATGGGCCTTATAAAAAGGTCAGTTCTCTGTCACTAAAAGGTTTTAAAGAGTCAAGAAGAAGTTCTAGTAGGAGTTTCTTTGTGGGTGAGATTGAGACAGATAATCAATAATGTTACCTTTAGTGTTTAGGTTTGGGGACTTCCATAAAGCAAATTAGATGTATTCCTGATTTTTTCACGCAAATTTTCTGAGATTATGCCCCTAGATTTGTCGTCACCTCTAAGGCAGTGAGAAGTGATGGATTTTTTATAAGCATATTCATTACATTGAACGCATTATTTTTTAATTTACTACCACTTATTAAATATTTATTATGCTTCCAAATAAAGTGCCATGCACTTTCTAAGTAATATAATGGATTAAACAGTGTCTCTACAAGATACAAATTATTAACTTCATTCAAATTTAGAAAAGTTTGGTTTAAAGAAGTCTGGTAACTTTCCTAAAATCACACCGCTAGTAACACAGAGCTGTTATTCCATACTAATCAGTAAAATAATAAACATGGAAGTGATACAGCATTGTGATTTAATGTAAGGATGGCTGGATCACAACTGTTGCTTTGACGACCTGAACAACTTCCCTTTTTTAGTACCCAGAGGTATCCAAGCTTCATTCACATTTGCTTGAGGCAGAAGCCAGAAAGCCAAAATATGAACAATCATATATATGTGTGTGTATATATATATATATATATATATATATATATATATATATATATATAACCCTATATACATTCTAAATATATTAAATATATAATAAAACTCCTTACTCTTAGGCACTTTGGAAAAATAATTGATAGCCATTTTATTTATTTACCGAGAGAAATGATAGTCATAAGGCATGCGTATAACAGGATGATAATCAATACATTTTATCTTGCTAGGTTGTTCGTTTCACATATTGACTGAATCAACAAAGAAATGAAGATAGACCAACATGGAATTATGCACATGTTGGAGACCATGCAAACTGAGAAAGAAGAATTAAATCAGTCAAACACTTCATGCTTAGTGTAAAATACTTGTGCTTTCATTTCTGATTGACAAACTGTCTTATATATATTAACATATTCAATTTACTAACCAGCAAGTCTTATGGCCAAGACTGCAGCCTTTTCCTGTTAAGTTGTTGACAATGTATATTCTAACCCATAGTGTTGATATTACATCTTAAAACTCAGAGGACAAATGTATAACTCTAACTTCCGGTTTGTACAGAACTTAGAAATAAGTGCTGATCAAAGAATCAAAGTGTGACTCCAAATCCCAGTGAAAGCCACGTAAGTCAGGAATAAAGTAATTATAAACTATCTTTGCTGAATTAAAGAATATTTACTCTGGGTACAACTATAAATTCTTAAAATGGCAATTTCAAGGGGAAAATGGAAATCTCTAAATCACTACTGTGGCAATAGAGTGAACTTGGATGATCAGTCCAAGAAATTAAAAAAAAAAAAAAAATCAGGTCTTTTGGAAGCACCGTAAATTAGGCTGTTAAATTGTGGCTGGATTCTAATGCAAATCCAGGTTACCCAGGCATAAAAGACAGCAGCAGTTGGCAAACACTGTGTTATTTATTTTGTAGATAAGCCATCTATCGAGCTCTTCTTTTCCTCCGTGAAATGCACTTTCAAGCACCATGGAGAAAAAGAAACTGGTAGTGATAGGAGTGTACCCTGGGAGCTTCTTTTCTGAACTTTGGTGAAATCAAGTGAAAACTAAAGTCCTTTGTAAATTAATAGTTTGCTTGCTTGTCTAAATCAAACAAGAGGAAGATATTCATCTGGTTGCTAAGTAGAGAAGAGAGGTTACTGAAGTGCTTCATGCTGTTTGACCAGCGTCTCATAAAAACACCAATTTGAACCTCAAAGTTACAAAAATGGCAACTCTCATCCTGAAATTGCCAATTCTCCCAAATCTCATAAGAATAAAATGAATGGAGCAACCACTGACTTAAAGATACCTGAGCCAAATGATGAATAGTAGAGATTTTTCCAAAGTCTGGAGTGGTGGGATTTAGCAATAACATAATTTCAAGTCAGAGAATTTCTGTTTCATAGGTTATTCCAAAAAAGAAGAGTGAGTATTTCTTCATCACTGTTTTGTTTAATATTTAACAGAAGATTCAGGAGGAGTAGTGAGTATAAATCTTAATCCACAATCTTGACTATAAGAGAAATATTATTTTCTTTAAGTCAAATTAAATCTTTTAAAACCTCTATCCAGACATTTGATGAGCATTTAAATACATTTTGGGGATATTCCTCTTGCCACACCCTCATTGTAACATGGGATCCAGAATTGCCTGGTGCCAGAGGAATAAGCAAAGGCCTTTCACGTGAATTTATTATGATAGTTACAGGTTTGATAATTGCCCAAATCCACAGAGATGCCAGAAGGTTGCCGCTCTTCTATCCCCTCATCACGTGGCCGAGTCTGAAGTCCAGAATCTTGGTTGGAGCTGGGAATTTCAGTGCCCTGTAGTCACCCATGAGAAAAAAAGACCAACAAAGACGTAGTCACACCTTGTAAAGCATTCAGATAGAAGAAAAAATGCCTCTTTATATATCAAAAATCAGCAAACATCAAACACAAACAAATAAATGAATATATCAGTACATTATTCCTACAACAGAATTTTTGTCTACGATTTTTGCTTGAGGCCCAGGATTATTTTTTAACTCTTATTTGAAATGATTTTAGATTTAACAAAAAAACTAAATAACAGAATTTCTATATTCCCTTCTCCCAGCATCCCCTAATGTTAACATCTTATATAACCACAGTAAAATGATCAAAATCAAAATTAACATTGGTACACTACCATTAATTAAAACACAGACCTTGTCAAATTTTACTGCGTTTTCCACTAGTCACCTTTTCCTCTTCCAGAATTTGATCCCAAGTTCTACGTTGCAATTAGTTATCCTGTCTGCTTAGTCTCTTCCTATCTTTGAGCATTCCTCAGCTTTTCATTGCCTTTCAGGACTTTGATACTATTGGAGAGTATTGGTCAGTTAATTCATGGAATATTTCTCACTTGGTTTTGTCTCTTTTTTATGGGATTATGTATGTTTGGAAAGAAGGCTACAGAAGTGATTTTGTGCCTTTCTCAATGTACATCAGAGGAACGTGATGTCAGTCTTATTAGCTACATTACTAGTGATTATTTGGCTAAAGATCTATCTGTAGGTCTTGAGTTTCTCCATACTTTTCCAATTTTTAATTAATAAGAACTTGGTAAACATATATCAGGTAATGCAAATATCCAATTTCTCCTCAAATATTTACTCACTAATCTTAGCAACCATTGGTGATCATGCCTACAATAATTATTATTATGGTATTTTCTCAATGGCTATTTTGAATTCATTTCCTTATTCCTTCAACATTTCTTAATTGAAATTCTTCAATAAGAAAAAATAATCCTTTTCCCTCTTTTATTTATGTATTTGATTGTTTATATCAGCACAAAATCATAGATATTACATTATTCTCTGAGTTAGAATCCAATAATATCAAGGACTCAGAGTTTTCAACTGTAATAATACTTAGTTCTTTTTCAAGTTCCACAGATTTCTTTTTCTACTTTAACTGTATTTGTCTTTCTGGCTCACTGCAACATGTCTGTTTATTCTTCTTTTATATTTTTCCTTTTATCTTCCATCTAACCAAAGGAAAATCACCAAATTCCTCCTTTTAAAAATTCTGTCTCTAACACTCTGTCATTTTTTACTTAAACACTTATCTTTTCTCACCTCTCCTACCCCAATTTTGTTTTGTCCCCATTTATCTCCTTTATTTCTGTTTACTTTATGTGTAGGGGCTGATGGGTAGAAATATCCTGTTTGGTATAAACAGAGATAAATTGCCTCTTCCCATCTTTTGAAAATAGTCCATTCGTCCTTTTGACTTTCAAGATGAATGTGAGCAAATTAAAGTAGTCATGCCTCTATTTTGGCCATCAATTTTCAAGTCACCAAGTCAGGTAACTGCTAATGAGATTGGTAATGGTTTGCACCTCTTTTTGTTCTATTATTGTGGCTGACTTCAGAGAAGAATTGACAATACTTTTTGAAGATCAACTAGTTATATCAATCTTTGTATTAAAAATAATTTAAAACAACACTTTTATTTGCATGAAAATTAAAGCAAAATTCTGTCTTTTGTATCTCTATATGACAGTCACTTGCCCATATGGTCTTACAATTAGAACCACATTAAATAAATAAATTTTCCCTACTATAATCAGAGGTTATAAATCTGAGTTTGTTTTTCAGGTACATCAAAAAATATATGCCCATGATATGTATTTTATTGTGATTGTAGAAGAGAAATCTTAAAAGGAGAAGAACAGAAACATAAACATGCTATCTCTTTCTCTCTCCTGTATTCTTTGGAAAATTTTAACCAAAGCTTATTCAGAATGTTTTCTAAATTGTAAAGTGATAAAAAATATCTTTATAAGGATGGGCAATGTGAATTATAAGTGAGTGAGATAGCAACCAGCCAAACACAACATGATTAATCTAATTGCACCTACATACTCAATTTAAAGAGTAGTCTAGATCTTTGAAATTCTGAATGGTTCATTATACTCCAAAATAATGAGTAGAAAGCAGAGACCTTTCAAACTAAAGACGTTGCAAATTTAGCAGTGGATGACTTAAAATGCTTGAATGCTCTTTTAAAATACCACCTAAATTATTAAATAAAAATAAACCTTATAAATGTATTTCAGAGTATAATTAAATTAATGTTTACTTTATTTAAAAACTCCCTAAATGAAAAAAACCTGAGGCCATCATTTAAATGCTAACAACCCAGAAATATGTATTCTAATATTCTTTCCCATTAAAAAGTCTTAGTAATTATAACTGAAAACTCTTTTCATTCCCAAGAGTAGAAATAAGAATATCAAAGAATAACCTAAGAAAGAAATGTGAAGCATTTATGGCTAGGAGGCAAAGCATAGCTAATAAATATTAATTACTAATAAGTAAATATATGGATATCATAATCTGATATAGGAAAACACTATTGTATAATTGTAATAGCTACCTCAAGTTAATCTACACATTTAAACACATTACAGGCAAATACTGCTTGAACTTAATGAAATAAGTTTATATGGTAGGAAAATTTCTATGGGAGGAAAAGGTATTTGAGAGGAAAAACGTACATAGAATTAATCTCAGTAAAGAAACATCAGATGCAAGTGGTGGAAACTGCCTGATCACTTAAAAACTGCATTTTAAAGTCACAATAGTTAATACATCCAGTCTATTCCTGTCTTAAATGTATTTCTGTAAGAAATGGGTATTTTGACTCATGCTAGGATGCTCTGAATTCAGATATATGGTAGTGTGGCATCTATGCAGTAAAGACAATTATTTAAGAGCCTGCTTCTTATTCCCCCACCAGTATCAAAGGATACATCACTGTTAAGAAAGAAGTTGTTGTGAATTAAGCAAAGTGTTTTTGCACTTTCGTAAGTGCAAAAACAGCACTTGCCTAATGCAAGCAGTTTGTTTTCAACACTATCCCTAAGACATGTTATTTAGTTGGAAAGAGTATAACTTTCAAATAGCCTAAGTAGTATAGGTGAGTGATATTGATTCTTCTAACTGTAACTGAAATATTTTTGTAGGTCACATATTCTCAATACATATTGTTTAAAACTCAGAGGTAAAACTTTAATACAGTTTATTTCAGATTTGGTACACATTATTCGGTAGGATATTTAGAACTATTTTGTCAGGTATAATGAAATATTGATATCAGTTACTAGTTATACAAATTTTATTTTGTGTTATTTTATAATGTTTTAGTATTTTCTGCCTCTTATTAACAAAAAATAAAATGAAATGCAAGTTGCCAGATTAATCAGATTTTAGAAGTATATACTTTTCTTTTTCCTTTTTTTAACATACAGGAAAACTTTGATTATAATATTTAATCAATTCAATTGAATTATGTCTGATTTTTATATTTGATTTATATTTATTTCCAAAAGCAGAATCCAGGGTGGTAGTGGGCTGAATTATTTGCCTCCTCTCTTTATTTCTTCCTGCATCTGTGTCCTTAGTTAGTTATGCAACCATGCAGTGTGCTCATCTTGTGATCCAGCACAATTTTCTGTCCCAGGGTTTGGCCTTGTGACCTGCTTTGGCCAATAAAATGAGAAATGGTATGCTAATTTTCAGCCTAAACCTCAAGAGGCCTAAGTGTTTGGAAACACTTGCTACTTTATGATTCTGCTACCACCTTGTGAAGGATATGATCAGGCTAAACTGCGCATTTTAGAAAAACAATGAGAGACATATGCGAAAAAGCCAGCCCACCATCTTAGCCCAGCCTAGATCAGCTGACTCCCAGACAAGTTAAGAAACCTCACAAAGAATGGAAGAGCCGCCAAGTCCAGTCTGGACTAGATCAGCTGACACTAGGAATATGTGAGAAATGAATATTTATGATGGGAAACCGATGTTATGTGGGTGGTTGTTATGCAACAATATTAAATCAATGGGTAGCTGATAAACCATCACATGTACTAAAGGATCATCAAGTCTTATATTACACCTCTTGCTTTACATATTTTAACAGTTTTACTAAATATTTAACTGAATTATTCCAAATTAAATAATTTAAAAGTCATACTGATTTTTATATTGTTTTCATAATGCATTAATTATTCTTGATGGGCATAATTTTAATATTAATAACTACTTACAGCAATCACTTTAAACACAATTTATTTCCTCACAGGTTTTTTACAATAGCTCTTAAAAAGTGTATTAATGCTTTTTATTTAAATTGAAACAAAAAGTCAACATTTCTTTCTGACAGAATGTAATTGTGATAATGTTGGGCATACTTTGCTGATTAGGTTATAAAGTAGACATTCTCCATAAATTAAATGTTAATTTTGCAACACCAAAGTGTTGATAAAAAATATATCTAAAATATATAAAATAAAAAAATTTAATACAAGAATATTATATTGAAAAGAACATAATAAAATAACATTTTGATTTTTTCTAATCCTTTTTGTGTATATTGTATTAAATATGATGCCTCTAAATAAAAGAGCAACAGATATAATTTACACTTATTTGGTATGTCTTTCTAAATTATTTTGGCTTACACCTAATATATTGAGAAAGTATGGACTATAATAACTAGGCAACAAATTTTCAGGTCAGGTGGTTTCCAATTCTTTGCTTTGCCAATTTGAAGTGGGATTTAATTAAAACTGGCTAAAATAATTTTTTATGACATATTACTGTGATTTTTGGCCTTCAAAGATGTGTCAACCAGTCTACAATAAAAACTAATTTCTAGGCCAGGCACAGTGGCTTACGCCTGCAATCCCAACACTTTGGGAGACAGAGGCGGGAAGATCACATGAGGTCAGGAGTTCGAGACCAGCCTGGCCAACATGGTGAAACCCCGTCTCTACCGAAAATACAAAAAGCTAGCCGGGCATGGGGTGGCATGTGCCTGTAGTCCCAGCTACTCAGGAGGCTGAGGCAGGAGAATCGCTTGAACCCAGGAGACAGAGGTTGCAGTGAGCCGAGATGGTGCCACTGAACTCCAGACTGGGCGACAGAATGGGACTCCATCTCAAAAACAAAAACAAAAACAAAAACAAAAAAAACAAAACCAAAATACTACCTTAAAACCAAAAACTACTTTCTGATGATAGAATATTATGATATTTAGCATTTAAAGACTTGAGTGGTACTCTTATAAAAAAGAAATAAAACTTCCTTTCATTCCTCTCCACTGATTTTTGTGAAGATAATTTCTTAATGTTGATATCTATAAAAATGAAACAAAAATTATAATACAATTCATGCACAACTCTGTCCCATTCTAGCAATTTCTTATGTATTCACAGAGACAAGAACTAATTGAAAAATACCACTAATCTCATTAAGAGATGCATTTCTAGTACAATTTTACTTTTAATGTTTAATAATTTTATGGCAATATTAATTTTATATTTATGATGCACACTAATAATACTGATGACTCAAGCCAAGATAAAAAAAGTTAATGTTTACAACCCTTCAGCCAAAAATATTCCATTTTTCATGTTTTTTACTTTGCAAAGAATGATGGTAGCATTATTAATAAGGCTTTATAAAGCATAAAATAGATTAAATTAAGACAAAGTGTTATAGTAAAATATGGAATGGAAATATGATTTTAAAGGGGAAAAGCAAAAGATGTAAAATTTCTGAATGTCAAGGAATAAATTATTGTTGCATTGTTTTGAATGTTTATATTTAAATTTTGCTATATATTTAAGAGTAGTTAACCTTATTTTAAAACATTCATATTTATCAAATGCCAAAAAATATACTTATTTAAACTCATTATGAAAAATCTTAGATGTCAAGTTGAAAATGTGGAAAAGAAAACATAGTTGTTCAAAAATTGTTTTAGAAAGTACTTAATGACCACTGATTTAGGCTCAGATCCTCTGGGAGGCGGCCTGCCACTGCAGTCATATATCCAAATCTTTCTCTCTTGCGTTATGCCAGCATTCTTTTTGAATCTTTTATTTCTGCTTTTAGCACTTCCTGGGACAATCTTTATTCACAAGCCTTGGGTTGCCCACAAAAGAACAGAGTATGAAAAGTACACACCTAAGAAAAAGAGGCCAACTCATAAGATAAATCCCAACACATTATCTTTATGAATAGTGTCTAATTTTCACTATGCATTTATCATACTGCAAAGTTCTATCCTATCTACATGAAATAACTCATCTAATCTTCACACCTACCACATGAGGAAGGCCAAATTATCATTCTCATTTTACAAATTAAAACTGAGGCTCAGAGAGGCTACTTAACGCACCTCCAGGTTATGTAGCTAGTTAGAGTGAGATAGGTGTAAAAACACAGGAAACTAATATTATATTCCTCCACGCTATGGGAATGGCCCCAATCTTTTCCCTTTTTCCTTTCCTGATAAACTTTTTCCCCTTCCCATGACCCTTTTATTAATGCCTTCCCACCACTCACTAAACTCTGTGTCCATAAATAAGAGACAAGAAGGATATACATTAAAGATGAACCCTGATCATCTCTGGGAGGTAGGTTAACCACTGATTTTTATTTTTGCCTTTCTTAATTCCTGACATTTTCTAAGTTATGGAAAAAAATGTGGCAGATGAGCTCATTGTTTTGGCAAATATTTACTCTATTTTCCCTACCTCCATGGAAAAGCATACATCCTGGCCCCGCCCCATAGGAGCTGGGCTTGACCTGGTAACTTGCTTTGTCCAGAGGAATGCGGGAAGAAATGACTCTGCCAGCCTCAAAACAAGGCCTTAAGGAGTGTCTCTCATTTATAGCCATCCACCTAGGAGCTCCTGACTTGTCAGAAAAAGATGCCTCATATAACTGAAGTCCTCCAGCCTGGTCCCACCCACAGTTTGTATGCAGAACAGAGATACCCCAGTCTACATGTAGACATGTGAAAAAGAAAGACATGCTCATTGTTCTATTTTGGGGTTGGGTTTTGCAAAGTAATACAGTAACACAATATATGCCTATTGCACTTAAACTCTCTTTTATTATCATACATCATATAAATTCATTTTCCTCCCCAAATGATAAACTTACGGACTGTCCCTCATAATACTTATGAGTTCTTAACTATTAGCATTGCTTATTAAACTCCAATATATTTTTCCTGTGAGCAACTACTTTATTAGTATCTGCTTGATTTTACAAGTAAATTTGATGTTGATGCAATGAAGAAGAGCTAGAGCTGGAGCTCATTTCCTGAAGCACTTGCATTCTGCACTTTACCTCTGCACAGTCTTTTCCTTACCCCATATGGAGAAAGCTGGCTGTGCAACTCCTCTCCTGTCTTCACTTAAAACAGTCAGGGATTGCCAGGAGAAAGCCTGCTGGCTGCAAACAGTGAGGTGAGATTTCAACTTTCCAGCAGTTAGATGTACTTGTTTAATAACCTTGCACACCATGGCACTGTTTTTCAATGTGCTTCCATTAGGAGTAAAATACAGGCTTTTATTATTTTTTTTTTAATCTGCTTTTGTTATTTATAAAACCTTGGAGACTTATCACTTCTCTAACTAGCATAAGGTAGTCATTTTCCTAAGTGAGGCACAATCAAGGTCAGCCTCTCTTTTGTAAAACTAAGGCTATGATAGTTTGGGAAATAAGAATCAAGCTGTAACTAAAAGGTTGGTTGGTTGTTTTCCCCTTTATTCATTTTCCTGACCTATTTATTTATTTATTTTCAGGCCTAATTCACTTTACTTTTCTTGTATAAAACCCCCATGTTGTAGCCACAGCTGGAGCCTGGGTCCTCTGCACGTAGACTCTGGTGTGGGTCTTGACGAGGTGGTCAGTGAATTCCTGATAGGGAGACTTGGTGAATACAGTCTCCTTCCAGAGGTCGGGCGTCAGGTAGCTGTAGGTCTTAGAGATGGCATCAAAGGTGGTGGCTTTGGCAAGGTTGCCCAGGGTGGCAGTGCAGCCCCTGGCTGAGGTGTAGCAGTCATCGATACCAGCCATCATGACCAGCTTCTTGAGCACAGGCGCAGAGACGATGCCAGTGCCCCTGGACACGGGGATGAGGCGCACTAGCACGGAGCCGTCTGTCACCTTGCAAGGGACACTGTGGGGCTTGCCGATCTTGTTCCCCCAGTAGCCTCTGCGCACGGGGACAATGGAGAGTTTGGCCAGAATGATGGCCCCGAGAATGGCAGTGACCACCTCCTTGGAGCACTTAACACCCAGATCGACGTGGCTACTGTAGTCCCCGATGGCAACAAACGCCTTGAACCTGGTGCGCTGGCCGGCGCGGGTCAGCTTCTGCACCGGCATAATCTTCAAAACCTCGTGCTTGAGAGAGGCCCCAGGAAAAAGTCAATGATCTCAGATTCCTTGATGGGCAGGGAGAAGAGATAGATCTCCTTCAGGGATTTGATCTTCATGTCCTTGACCAGGCGGCCCATCTTGGTGACGGGCATCCACTCCTTATCTTCGGCCTTGCCTCCGCTAGCTCCGCGGCCTCGGCCGGGTCCACGGCCGCGACCCTGGGCCCCGGATGCTACTGACGAAACCTCCCCGGAAGTCACCGCTGTTCCCCATCCCAGGGCCTCCGGAATCCCGGACCCCGCCCCTGCACCGGCGTCATCCGCCATTTGGTGTTTTCTCGGAGTAGAACTTCCCGGCCTATTTATACAAGTAGGTTCATAAAAACAATAGAGATACCCATCAGGAATTTGAATTAACCTAAGAAGACATCTACAGCTTTAAATACCAGGAATCCATTTGACTGATACAGAGGCTGGAGCTAATAAAGGATTGCTGGTTGCTAACAGATGTATTTCTAACAAAACAGGCAGATTGGGCTGTGTTGACATCTAAGGTTTAAGCTCTTATCTGTTACTCTCACTATGACTGGTTATTTTCACAAAGCACCCTTAAAAACCATTTGTCACTGAGAAGAGTCCATGATAAAGCTTCTAAGACGTTGCCTTCTGTTATTTAAAGAGGAGCCACTTAGCACTGGCTGTTGATTAGAAGACACTTAAGTGAAAAATATCCTTTCTTCAGAGGGAGTCTATGCTTTTAATCATCTCATCTAGTAAACAGTCTTGAAGCAGTTAAAAGATATTTTTACCTAGTCTACAATTGTTCCAATAATATAGTATGTATTGTTATACTACTTGCAATATGTTACTAGACCTCAATCATTAGTGGGCAAAAGTCTAGAGAGATGAAAAATAGTGAATACATATTAAAGGTGAAATTAATGACCATTTTAAAAATTCTATTACTTATTTTTGACAGAAGTAACTTTTTCAAAAGAAAATAACATTGATGAAACCTTTCAGATTTGACCTTTCAGTGGCAGTAAAATTGAGTTACATAAATTCTATTAATGGTAATGGCTGCTTCCCAGCAAAACCTCTCTGATATTGTGGAAACTGGTGTTACTCAGGATTTTCAGAATCACCCTCTGCAAAGAACTTTTGAAAATGGGTTAAATCAGTGAAGTCAGTTAACTGAGATGATCAATTATCAAGCTACAACAACAAAATAAGTTAAAAACAGTGATGATGCTTGGTCCTAGTATTTTATGCTCTTGAATGTAAAATAACTACCAAATAAGATAATTAGTTTCCAACATCGAAGGCATTTTTTTCAATAGGTATCCAACACAGTGCCTGACAAAGAATACTCCCTTCGCCAAGTTTTTGTAAACTAAATTGATTATACTTCTTTAATTTTTCTAATTAGTTGTTAGGGGAGCCATTAATTTTCCTTCTGATCTCATTCCGTTTTTTACCCTATAATTATTTTCTTGAATGTCTAATTTGGGAGAAGACAGCATCAGCTAAAAATAAAAAGGAATGCCTAATATTTAGTGAGAAAAGTTCACTATTTAATATTTGCCTAACTACCTAATATTTAGATACATGGTGAGGAAAGTTCACTACTATTCAGTGAGAAAAATTCAATTAAATAGAAATTTGACTTGGGGTGAGAAGATGTGCATGGAAAGGGGCTGGCAAGTAGAATCACAGCCAAAAGTGTTTTCCTGGATGGAAATTTCTGCCAGCTGGAAAGAGGTACAGTGATCAAAGGCTCTGTCTCTCTTTTTCTTTTTCTTTTCTTTCTTTCTTTTTTTTTTTTTTTTTTTTTGAGGCGGAGTCTTGCTCCGTCGCCCAGGCTGGAGTGCAGTGGTGTGATCTCGGCTCACTGCAAGCTCTGCCTCCCGGGTTCATGCCATTCTCCTGCCTCAGCCTCCTGAGTAGCTGGGACTACAGTCGCCCGCCACCACGTCCGGCTATTTTTTTTTTTTGTTTGTATTTTTAGTAGAGACGGGGTTTCACCGTGTTAGCCAGGATGGTCTCGATCTCCTAACCTCGTGATCCGCCCCTCTCGGCCTCCCAAAGTTCTGGGATTACAGGCGTGAGCCACCGCGCCTGGCCGAAGCTCTGTCTCTAGACACATTCTGCCCTTGGTAGGCTGTGATGTTGGGCATGTTATTTAAACTTTAAGTTTCAGATTCTCTGAGCTACCTAACTCAGAGAGATTTTGTGGAAATAAACTAAATAACATTTATGAGGTGTTTAATAAAAGGCCCAAAATGGAGTAGTAATATTTGTCTTTCTAGTTTCTAGGGAAAGTTCAGAAGTTAACTTTAGAAACCAAGTATTGAGCATCTGGAATGCAAAATTTAATCCAAGGCCATAAAAAATGCCATCTGGCCGGGCATGGTAGCTCACGCCTGTGAACTTTGGGAGGCCAAGGCAGGAGGATCAGGAGCATCACTTGCCGTCAGGAGTTTGAGACCAGGCTGGCCAACATAGCGAAACCCCGTCTCTACTAAAAATACAAAAAAATTAGACAGGTGTGGTGGCACACACCTGTAATCCCAGCTAATCGAGAGGCTGAGGCAGGAGAATCACTTGAACCCCAGTGGCAGAGGCTGCAGTGAGCCTAGATGATGTCACTGTGCTCCAGCCTGGGTGATAGAGTGAGACTCTGTCTCAGAAAAAAAAAAAAAAAAAGACAAAAAAAAAAGAAAAGAAAAACAAGAAATGCCATCCTTTGGTTCTGCTGTTCAACTCACTGGAATGGATCTGTCACTGGTCTGACCCAGTAGAGGGTACGTAGAGAGGCTTGAGTTGACAGGGACGAAGAGAGTGTTGGGCCATGGTGGGCATGGCCAGGTCTAGGAGACTTACTGAGAGGTTCTACTGGCTATGAAAATGACATAGATAATAAGTGGACAAAATACTTTGCCTAACTTTGGTTTTCTCCCTGTACCTAGCATGATGCATGTATACGTTCTTCTTGGGTAACGAATCTGTCAATTGACGTACCATCTCCTAACACACTGGTGTCAGGGTTTTAAGAGCTTCCCTCTACTATATCCAAGTTAGTTTTAATGATATTAAAATCTCTGCCATCCAGGGAGGGGAACTGGGGGAGAGGCAGATGTGTAGAACTGCTGTGGTGTTCTTTGCAGATCCTGGGAACAGGATTTCTTTCTTTTTTTTTTTTTTATTTAAATTTTTTATTTCATTTAATTTGATGACCTATTATTTGAGTAGATAATTCCAAATTTTACAATAATATGTAGTTCATTATCCAACTTGGATTTTACCTATTAAAGTGAGCATTAGTAAAAAAGATATAATCTATATGTGAAAACATTTATTGGTTCAAACATGTAATATTATACTCTTATTAAAGAAGAACAACATTTAAGTTAATATACCACACTCCATTGGTCTCAAATAACTTAAAAAATTTAAAAATTAAAAAAAAAACCACTCAAATTGAGAAAAGGAAGTCTATTTAAAAGGTGCTTATCTATACAATGTTATTTATCTGCTGAATACCCTTAAACAAATCATTTTTCCAGCAGTCCATTATCAGCTCCATTTGCTCATCCGGAAAATGCAGTCATGGTGGGATAGCTTCCTTGTAGAATAATATAAGCATTAAATTAGTTATTGTATGTAATGCATGTAGAACAATGCCAAGCATTTTTCAGTGCTTTTAAAACTGTTAGTCCTTCTCATTTCCCATAAAATATTTTCTTGGTAATAGTCTCTTTCCAGGTGATATGTACAAAAGTAATACAAACAGCACTCAGTGGAAGGTCTTTGTAGATACTTCTCACAATCAATCTGGACTAAAGTCCCATGCCTAAGTTCTTACCGAGGAAGGAGACAAAGCCAGCCCAGATCTTCAGTAGAAGCAGACGGTGTGAAGAAAGCTTTTTCCTGCCTTCTCCTCCATTTGCAACAGCAGCTCCTCCAGACTGTCTTCCATGTCGTCGGACTGCTGCAGGCACTGGCAAATCTCACAGATGAGGAAAGCTCCCAGGATGGCACCTTCCAGGGTATCTTTGATGTCCATGTTGATCACGTGCACAGGCTGAAAGGTCTGCTGTTCTCTGGAACACAGATCTTCCACCACTGTGTCATAGACACGCTCCTCACAGGTAAAGATGACATCAAAGAATTCAGTGCATTCCTGAAATCTTTCTGGGCCAGGCTTGATTCTCTCATTTCTTCCCAAGATGTGTAAGATTCCATTGTGGGTGTAGCATTCTCTATCTTTCCTGAGGAGGTCATTGTACATCTCCTTATATGTTGTTGCAAAATCGTAAACTACAGGATGATTGGGTCTTCGTCCTGGTAGCCTCACATGAGATTCAGTTCCGAAAGACCGGACACTTAGCCCTTTTCTCCTGAGGATGCTGTGGGCCTCCATGCTCCTGTTGATGTTGCTCACACACACCACAGCCACCCTGAGTGGGGAGGAGAGCATGATGGTGGCCACTGGGAACAAGAGAGACACAGGCACCTCAGCTGCTGCAGGGACTCTGAGCCAAGGAGACGACCACCTATACCCAGGTCTTCCAAATGAGCTAATGTGGAGGCACAGGAGGCAGGTTTATATTGAGTCACCTTAATTAGTGGGTGGAGACTTCCTGACTTCTGGATTGATTAGGTTGTGATAATGGATTCCTAACTCCTGACAAGAACAATCAAGATGATTAAATTACCTAAAGCAGTAACTGTCAACAAAGGTGGCACCACCCAGTCGGGATTCATTTAAAATCTGGAGTTTGCTCTGGTGGTTCTCCCAGTGAATGGGGGCTGCTATTGAGAATGGCCAAGACAATTAAGCTACCTGCAAGCATGTCATAGGACTCTCCAGTGACCTTCAGACATGAAAGCGGATGATAAACATGCTGACAATTTCCAAGGCTGTACCCTATTTAATTATAAATTACAAGTATTGTTGCTTGTTTTAATTTTCATAATGTTTGAGAAATGCAATTGCATAAATCACAGGAGCATTGTATATAGTTTTGTCCAGAAATTCACAAAATTTTTCACCAATACAAAAAAAATCCCATTCTGAACAACATATCTGCTTACGGTATTTTAAGAGTTATTCAACACAGCATTTTCTGCATTTGATATTACTGAAATCATAATGATTCTTCAGGGAATGCAGGAATTGATGCAATCCTCTGCCTCCAAGTACAGCTGTGTTTGAGCTTTTCTATACTTAAATGCAATGTTTAGAATTTTTTAGTAGTTGTGTAATTTATTAAGAAAATAAAAGAGATTTTAAAATTATGAATGGGGTTTCAAAAAATAAGATAATCATGTCACTTTATAATCAACCACTTTTGGATTGATTAGATTATGATAATGGACTGCTAGCTAATTACAAGAACAATCAAAATGATTAAATTCCTAATCCAGTAACTCTCCGCAAAGGTGGCCCCACCCAGTCAGGATTGATTTATAGGTGAGCTCTGTTGGCTGTCACTCACTGATTTACCAAATATTGGGTAAAGAATCTTTTTTTTTTTTTTTTTTTTGAGAGTCTTGCTCTGTCACCTAGGCTGGAGTACAGTGGCACAATATCGACTCACTGCAACTTCTACCTCCCAGGTTCAAGGGATTCTCCTGCCTCAGCCTCTCAAGTAGCTGAAGACTACAGGCATGCGGCACCACACCCAGTTAATGTTTGTATTTTTAGTAGAGATGGGGTTTCACCATGTTGGTCAGGCTGGTCTTGAACTTCTGACCTCAAGTGATCTGCCCGCCTCAGCCTCCCAAAGTGCTGAGATTACTGGTATGAGCCACCTCACCTGGCCCAATTTTACTTGTTTTTATTAATCTTTCTTAAATGTACATATAGCTCACATGTATTTCAATATAAATCAGATCAGGGACATCACTTTTGTCCTTGGTGCAGGGACAAAATCTATAAAGCAACATGTTGTATTTTTCTATGTCCCTCTTAAGGTGATGTTTTTTTAAATTTTATTAATATTATACTTTAAGTTTTAGGGTACATGTGCACAACGTGCAGGTTTCTTACATGTGTATACATGTGCCATGTTATTGTGCTGCACCAATTAACTCGTCATTTAACATTAGGTATCTCTCCTAATGCTATCCCTCCCCCCTCCCCCGACCCCGCAACAGTCCCTGGTGTGTGATGTTCCCCTTCCTGTGTCCATGTGTTCTCATTGTTCAATTCCCACCTATGAGTGAGAACATGCAGTGTTTGGTATTTTGTCCTCGCAATAGTTTGCTGAGAATGATGGTTTCCAGCTTCATCCATGTCCCTACAAAGGACATGAACTAATCATTTTTTATGGCTGCATAATATTCCATGGTGTATATATGCCACATTTTCTTAATCCAGTCTATCATTGTTGGACATTTGGGTTGGTTCCAAGTCTTTGCTATTGTGAATAGTGCCACAATAAACATACGCGTGCATGTGTCTTTATAGCAGCATGATTTATAATCCTTTGGGTATATACCCAGTAATGGAATGGCTGGGTCAAATGGTATTTCTAGTTCTAGATCCCTGAGGAATCGCCACACTGACTTCCACAATGGTTGAACTAGTTTACAGTCCCACCAACAGTGTAAAAGTGTTCCTATTTCTCCACATCCTCTCCAGCACCTGTTGTTTCCTGACTTTTTAATGATCGCCATTCTAACTGGTGTGAGATGGTATCTCATTGTGCTTTTGATTTGCATTTCTCTGATGGCCAGTGATGATGAGCATTTTTTCATGTGTCTTTTGGCTGCATAAATGTCTTCTTTTGAGAAGTGTCTGTTCATATCCTTTGCCTACTTTTTGATGGAGTTGTTTGTTTTTTCTTGTAAATTTGTTTGAGTTCATTGTAGATTCTGGATATTAGCCCTTTGTCAGACGAGTAGGTTGCAAAAATTTTCTCCCATTCTGTAAGTTGCCTGTTCACTCTGATGGTAGTTTCTTTTGCTGTGCAGAAGCTCTTTAGTTTAATTACATCCCATTTGTCAATTTTGGCTTTCATTGCCATTGCTTTTGGTGTTTTAGACATGAAGTCCTTGCCCATGCCTATGTCCTGAATGGTATTGCCTAGGTTTTCTTCTAGGGTTTTCATGGTTTTAGGTCTAACATTTAAGTCCTTAATCCATCTTGAATTAATTTTTGTATAAGGTGTAAGGAAGGGATCCAGTTTCAGCTTTCTACCTATGGCTAGCCTGTTTTCCCAGCACCGTTTATTAAATAGGGAATCCTTTCCCCATTTCTTGTTTTTGTCAGGTTTGTCAAAGATCAGATAGTTGTAGATATGTGGCATTATTTCTGAGGGCTCTGTTCTGTTCCATTGGTATATATATATATATATATATTTCTTTTTTTTTTTTTGAGACAGTCTCACTCTGTCACCCAGGCTGGAGTGCAGTGTCGCGATCTCAGCTCACTGTAACCTCCGCCTCCCAGATTCAAGTGATTTTTGTGCCTCGGCCTCCTGAGTAGCTGGGATTACAGGCATGCACCACCATGTCCAGCTAATGTTTGTATTTTTAGTAGAGACGCGGTTTCACCATGTTGGCCAGGCTGCTCTTGAACTCCTGACCTCAGTCGATCCACCCACCTTGGCCTCCCAAAGTGCTGGGATTACAGGCATGAGCCACTATGCCTGGCCCAGGATTTCATTTTTAAGGTAGTATGCATATACTATGTTTCTAAAAAAAACAGTGGATAGAATTAGTTAAGAGAATAATTTTACAGAGGTAAAATGGGGCTTTGACATGTTAAGAGCTTCACTTAAGCCATTCCATAAGTGTCTGTCAACATTTACCAAGAACTTTCATGTATAAGACTTTGAACTACAGTGGAAAGAAGGTATAGATCAAGGGATATAGAATTCAGAATGTGTTCCAAGGAATGTCAAATGTAAATATAATGATAGAAAAAAGTTTCTAGTCATTATGTTTTCCTAGTTCTCTTTTAATAATTATGACCTTCAATTTTTTATGAATTATTCTATATTGCTGTCATAGTCTAACTAGGGTAACTGCATTATTAGTCCTTTTCACTGCTTCCTGTGAGCAGCATTTGGTATTAAAGAAGATGGAAATTTCAGGAAAGCAATGAGGTGTTTTTGAGGAGGACCAAGAGAGGAGAGACAGATAGGTAGTAGCACAAGATGTAATAAGATGCAGTAGTGGTATAGCACATGAAGGAAGGTCCAGTTGGTTCGAGCTAATTCCAACTCTGAAATGGGGCAAAGTGTTTTCTTCACAACTCCAATTCCATCTAAGTTGCCCATATTTTTAACTCTCTGCCAGGATCTTAAAAATGGCAGGGTACTTGGTTGGTACATTGTCTGTAGGCAGTGGTTCAGTGAAACTCATGCTCTAGGACAGTTCAAGTGTTAAATCCCTTACACACCCCCTACCACCCACCCTCTGCCCTGATCCTTGAAAGAGAAGATTCTGATTCCCCTCCACTCTTCCCGGAACCTAGCTGTTCCACTGCTTTTTCGTTTTGAGTCATACACAGCAACCTCCGTCTCACTACACACACACTCCACCCACAACACACACATTCTAGGCAACTGCCTTTCCATTCCCATCTTGTCTAATATTTGGAAAATAAAAAACTCATTATCTGTACATATATCCATATATTTTCTGAGTGTTCTTTTTATTCATCTGCTTGGTATGGGGAGTGATGTCTTTCAGATCCTTGTGAACAAGTAGTAGGTGGAGGAAATACATTAAAGATATGCAGAATAAAGTGTAGATATATTTTTGCAACATAAAGTTAAACTATGAAATTTTTCCACACAAATTTCTGTTCATTTCGCTTTTATATATTACCTATCAAACTTCTCTCTGTATCTCTCTCTCTTTGTCTCTCTCTCCCTCCCCCTCCTCTCCACATCATGGTGACTGTCAATAACTGGGAAAGCAGGATGACACAATCTATAGCACACAGGCTTTCTCACCTGGTTGATGGCCGGCAGCTTTCTCATTTGTCTCTCTCTGCCTAGAGCTCAGCATTCTCCATACTGTAGGCTGGATGCTTCTCTAAATCCATCAGGTTATTTCCTCCTTAAAATCTTGCAATGTTCTCATCAAAGTTGGAGGAATAGAAAACAAATTTACTCTCTTCTCTGATATAGTAACATAAGAAATAGAAAAAAATATATATAAAACAATAACTTTTCAGGATACTGAACATTAGGGAAAACAAACTAACAAACAAACAAAAACCCCAAACCAGAAACCTCTAAGAGATGGGAAACTAATGAGGTGAGTCCTACAATTAACCCAGTTTTACTGACTTAAAAGTGCTTCCAGGTTTCAGTGTAGAAAGGGAGAACCTAAGTGCAGCTCAGCAGAATCCTTGTGTTAAGGAGACAAAGCTGTGAGTCTGGGGAGACCACAGTGGCTAGCATACACAAGATAGTACCAGGAAGTAGACAGCACAGAGAAAGAACTCTAGAGATACGTAGAGTACCCTCTGCTGTGAATATTCAGCTGAGTACTGATCAGCACATGCTTCTGAAGAAACTACCAGAGGCAAAGGAAAGAGCTACTTGAAAAGGTGAGTGAGAACAGTAGTTAGAGCTCACATGGGGCTGGGAATAGTGTGTATTTCCACCAGGCAGACTGAAAAAACTCATAATTCATGGAGCCTGGGGTAGAGTAATCAGAAGGGTCTTCTTTAATACTGGTGAATAATCAGCCATAGACTGAACTCTGCTCTAAGCAAGCTCAACAAATGCTAAAAGCAAGAACAAAATGAATTTAACCACAACCCAAACAAGGCTCAAAAATATGTGTAAAGATACTCAAATATCCTGCACCCAACAAAATCAAATCCATAATTCCTGATGTATAATTTAAAATTACCATACATACAAAGAGGCAAGAAAACATCATCCATAATAAGGAGAAAAATTAATCACTTGAAATGGAAATGGAATTGACACCCACATTAAAATGACCAAATGAGGATATTAGGAAGGTAATTATAACAGCATTTCATATGCTCAGGAAGCTAGGGGGAAGAATGAGTATGTTAAGCATAGATAT
The DNA here is from genome assembly GCF_000001405.40 of Homo sapiens. Lineage (NCBI taxonomy): Eukaryota > Metazoa > Chordata > Mammalia > Primates > Hominidae > Homo > Homo sapiens. The sequence goes on along the minus strand of NC_000007.14, from coordinate 124,470,785 downwards.
ATAAGATACAAAAAGACCCAAATATAACTCTAGAGATGAAAACTACAATGCCTGAGATGAAAACCACACTGGATGAGATTAATGGCAGAATACACATTAAAGAAGAAAAGGTTAGGATATATGAAGACATAGCAATGAAAATCACCCAAAATGAAACACAGAAAAAAAGGAAATCAAAAAAAGTGAAGGCTTCAGTTAGTTCTATAAGGACTCTTGAAGCTAGAACTTTCACTCCTTATGCTAGGGCTCATTATTTGTCTTATAGTCCATTGTTCACTTAAGTGTTGTGTTATAGCTGTGGATAAAAGTACTAATGTCTTTGTCATACAGACCTTGGGAACCCCGCCAGGCACCACGAATACATACAAACAACGGCAAAACAGTTTTCTTCCTCTCACTCTGGGGATAACCCCTATCCCAAATATGCCCCCTGTCAGCAGGAAGAAGTTAGAGCAACCATCTGCCTTTCCCTATCAACATAACACACAACTAAGGATTAAAGTGTACTGAAACCCAAGCAGGGATTGAAATTGCCTTTGCAAAGATTATGACAGTGAAAGAAATCTGACATGGTTGACTCCATCTTGTTTCTAACCTCTAAATTGTCCTTAGTCATTCCTTGATGTAGGCAAAGCTAACTTCGGGAAGAATTTAGTTTATAGTTTAATCTTAAAGCAGAGATGATGATAGCCCTTTCTAAAACTAACCACTTTTGTAAACCTAATGAAAGGCCACCAGGTTAGGATTATGAGAAAGGCCTGAATTCTGCTAAGATGTAGGCATAGTTAAATGATAACCAACTATTGTCGTAGAGGTCACAAGATTTGTAACTTCCCCAATTACTCTTGTAGAAAACATCACTATGGTAAAACCTAAGATTGGCCTTTTGAGATGTATTTTCAGACTTCTGCATTTCTGGAACACAAAGACTGGCTAACTCCACCTGGACTAGTGACACAAAACTCAACTGGTTTTGTGGTCCCCCCACCCAGAGGTGAACTCAGTATAGGAAGACCATTTTCCACACTCCTGTGATGCTATCCCCAACCAATCAGCAGCACTCATTTCCTAGTACGCTGACCAACAAACTATCCTTGAAAAACCCTAACCTCTGAGCCACTGCGGAGACTGATTTGAGTTATAACTCTCTATCATGTAGTGTGGATGGCCTTGTGTCAATGAAATGCTTTCTCAACCATGAAGAAGAAAACAGTGAGTGAATAGACCATCACAGAGCTGTGGGACAACTTCAAGTGACCAAATGTCTATGTAAATGAACTTTCTGAAGTAGAAAAGATGGAGGGAATGCAAGAGAAAACAATTTTTTTGATAAAACAATCACTAAAATATTTTCCAAATGTGATCAAAACTAAAAACTTAAGAGTTCCCAAAACCTCAAAAAACACCAAGCATAAAACACATGAAGAAAACTACACCAAGACACATCAGAATCAAGTTGCTTATAACCTACGAAAATACAAAATCTTAAAAACGTGAAATATTTAAGGAAATGCAAATGTGAACCCCAGTAAGATACTACTATGCAAATATTAGCCAAAATTAAGGAGATTGACCATGCCAACCTTTTGTAAGGATTTGAAATAGCTGAAACTCTTATACACTGCTTGTGGGGTTGTACAATGGTAAAATGACTTTGGAAAACATTTTGGCAGTTTTGTACAAAGTTAAATATACACCTTCCATATGGTCTAGCCATCCCACTCCTAGGTATTTACCTAAAAGAAAAGGAAGCATATGTCCACACAAAGACTTGTACATGAATGTTCTTGGTAGCTCTATTTGTAATACCTAAAAAAAAAAAAGCATCCCAAATGTCCTTCTATAGGAAAATGAATAAACAATCTGTGATACATTTAAACATGGGAATACCACTCAACTATAAAAAAGAATGAAATAGAAGATGGCCGAATAGGAACAGCTCCAGTCTACAGCTCCCAGCGTGAGTGATGCAGAAGACGTATGATTTCTGCATTTCCAACTGAGGTACCAGGTTCATCTCACTGGGGCTTGTCGGACAGTGGGTGCAGGACAGTGGGTGCAGCGCACCGAGCATGAGTTGAAGCAGGGCAAGGCGTCGCCTCACCAGGGAAGTGCAAGGGGTGAGGAAATCCCCTTTTCTAGCCAAGGAAAGGGGTGACAGATGGCACCTGGAAAATTGGGTCACTCCCACCCTAATACTGCGCTTTTCCAACAGTCTTAGCAAATGGCACACAAGGAGATTGTATCCCGCGCCTGGCTTGGAGGGTCCTACACCCACGGAGCCTCGCTCATTGCTAGCACAGCAGTCTGAGATCAAACTGCAAGGCGGCAGCGAGGCTGGGGGAGGGGCACCCGCCATTGCTGAGGCTTGAGTAGGTAAACAAAGCAGCTGGAAAGCTCAAACAGGGTGGAGCCAACCGCAGCTCAAGGAGGCCTGCCTGCCTCTGTAGATTCCACCTCTGGGGGCAGGGCATAGCCAAACAAAAGGCAGCAGAAACCTCTGCAGACTTAAATGTCCCTGTCTGACAGCTTTGAAGAGAGTAGTGGTTCTCCCAGCATGCAGCTTGAGATCTGAGAACAGACAGACTGCCTCCTCAAGTGGGTCCCTGACCTCTGAGTAGCCTAACTGGGAGGCACCCCCCAGTAGAGACAGACTGACACCTCACACGGCCAGGTACTCCTCTGAGACAAAACTTCCAGAGGAATGATCAGGCAGCAACATTTGCTGTTCACCAATATCCACTGTTCTGCAGCCTCCGCTGCTGATACCCAGGCAAACAGGGTCTGGAGTAGACCTCTGGCAAACTCCAACAGATCTGCAGCTGAGGGTCCTGACTGTTAGAAGGAAAACTAACAAACAGAAAGGACATCCACACCAAAACCCTATCTGTACTCACCATCATCAAAGACCAAAGGTAGATAAAACTACAAAGATGGGGAAAAAACAGAGCAGAAAAACTGCAAATTCTAAAAATCAGAGTGCCTCTCCTTCTCCAAAGGAATGCAGCTCCTCACCAGCAACGGAACAAAGCTGGATGGAGAATGACTTTGAACGAATTGAGAGAAGAAGGCTTCAGACGATCAAACTACTCTGAGCTAAAGGAGGAAGTTTGAACCCATGGCAAAGAAGTTAAAAACCTTGAAAAAAGATTGGACTAAGTGGAATAACCAATGCAGAGAAGTCCTTAGAGGACCTAATGGAGCTGAAAACCATGGCACGAGGACTATGTGACGAATGCACAAGCCTCAGTAGCCAATTTGACCAACTGGAAGAAAGGGTATCAGTGATGGAAGATCAAATGAATGAAATGAAGTGAGAAGAGAAATTTAGAGAAAAAAGAATAAAAAGAAATGAACAAAGCCTCCAAGAAATATAGGACTATGTGAAAAGACCAAATCTACGTCTGACTGGTGTACCTGAAAGGATGGGGAGAATGGAACCAAGTTGGAAAACACTCTGAAGGATATTATCCAGGAGAACTTCCCCAATCTAGCAAGGCAGGCCAACATTCAGATTCAGGAAATACAGAGATTGCCACAAAGATACTCTTCGAGAAGAGCAACTCCAAGACACATAATTGTCAGATTCACCAAAGTTGAAATGAAGGAAAAAATGTTAAGCACAGCCAGAGAGAAAGGTCGGGTTACCCACAAAGGGAAGCCCATCAGACTAACAGCTGATCTCTTGGCAGAAACTCTACAAGCCAGAAGAGAGTGGGGGCCAATGTTCAACATTCTTAAAGAAAAGAATTTTCAACCCAGAATTTCATATCCAGCCAAACTAAGCTTCATAAGTGAAGGAGAAATTAAATACTTTACAGACAAGGAAATACTGAGAGATTTTGTCACCACCAGGCCTGCCCTAAAAGAGCTCTTGAAGGAAGCACTAAACATGGAAAGGAACAACCGGTACCAGCCATTGCAAAAACATGCCAAATTGTGAAGACCATCAGGGCTAGGAAGAAACTGCATCAACTAACAAGCAAAATAACCAGCTAACATCATAATGACAGGATCAAATTCACACATAACAATATTAACCTTAAATGTAAATGGGCTAAATGCTCCAATTAAAAGACACAGACTGGCAAATTTGATAAAGAGTCAAGACCCATCAGTGTGCTGTATTCAGGAAACCCATCTCACGTGCAGAGACACACATAGGCTCAAAATAAAGGGATGGAAGAAGATCTACCAAGCAAATGGAAAATAAAAAAATGCAGGGGTTGCAATCCTAGTCTCTGATAAAACAGACTTTAAACCAACAAGATCAAAAGAGACAAAGAAGGCCATTACCTAATGGTAAAGGGATCAATTAAACAAGAAGAGCTAACTATCCTAAATATATATGCACCCAATACAGGAGCACCCAATACAGGAGCACCCAGATTCATAAAGCCAGTCCTTAGAGACCTAGAAAGAGACTTAGACTCCCACACAATAATAATAGGAGACTTTAACACCCCACTGTCAACATTAGACAGATCAATGAGACAGAAAGTTAACAAGGATATCCAGGAATTGAACTCAGCTCTGCAAGCAGTCCTAATAGATATCTACAGAACTCTCCACCCCAAATCAACAGAATATACATTCTTTTCAGCACCACACCATACCTATTCCAAAATTGACCACATAGTTGGAAGTAAAGCACTCCTCAGCAAATGTAAAACAACAGAAAGTATAACAAGCTGTCTCTCAGACCACAGTGCAATCAAACTAGAACTCGGGATTAAGAAACTCACTCAAAACCGCTCAACTACATGGAAACTGAACAACCTGCTCCTGAATGACTACTGGGTACATAACGAAATGAAGGCAGAAATAAAGATGTTCTTTGAAACCAATGAGAAAAAAGACACAACATACTAGAATCTCTGGGACACATTGAAAGCAGTGTGTAGACGGAAATTTATAGCACTAAATGCCCACAAGAAAAAGCAGGAAATATCTAAAATTGACACCCTAACATCACAATTAAAAGAACTGGAGAAGCAAGAGCAAACACATTCAAAAGCTAGCAGAAGGCAAGAAATAACTAAGATCAGAGCAGAACTGAAGGAAATAGAGACACAAAAAACCCTTCAAAAAATCAATGAATCCAGGAGCTGGTTTTTGGAAAAGATCAACAAAATTGATAGACCGCTAGCAAGACTAATAAAGAAGAAAAGAGAGAAGAATCGAATAGATGCAATAAAAAAATGATAAAGGGGATATCACCACCTATCCCACAGAAATACAAACTACCATCAGAGAATACTGTAAACACCTCTACACAAATAAACTAGAAAATCTAGAAGAAATGGATAAATTCCTCAACACATACACCCTCCCAAGACGAAACCAGGAAGACGTTGAATCTCTGCATAGACCAATAACAGGCTCTGAAATTGAGGCAATAATTAATAGCTTATGAACCAAAAAAATTCCAGGACCAGATGGATTCACAGCCAAATTCTACCAGAGGTACAAGGAGGAGCTGGTACCATTCCTTCTAAAATTATTCCAATCAATAGAAAAAGAGGGAATCCTCCCTAACTCATTTTATGAGACTAGCATCATCCTGATACCAAAGCCTGGCAGAGACACACACAAAAAAAGAGAATTTTAGACCAATATCCCTGATGAACATCGATGCAAAAATCCTCAATAAAATACTGGCAAACCGAATCCAGCAGCATATCAAAAATCTTATCCACCATGATCAAGTGGGCTTCATCCCTGGGATGCAAGCCTGGTTCAACATATGCAAATCAATAAACGTAATCTAGCATATAAACAGAACCAACAACAAAAACCACGTGATTATCTCAACAGATGCAGAAAAGGCCTTTGACAAAATTCAACAACCCTTCATGCTAAAAACTCTCAATAAATTAGGTGTTGATGGGAAGTATCTCAAAATAATAAGAGCTATTTGTGACAAACCCACAGCTAATATCACACTGAATGGGCAAAAACTGGAAGCATTCCCTTTGAAAACTGGCACAAGACAGAGATGCCCTCTCTCACCACTCCTATTCAACATAGTGTTGGGAGTTCTGGCCAGGGCAATCAGGCAGGAGAAAGAAATAAGGGGTATTCAATTAGGAAAAGAGGAAGCCAATTGTCCCTGTTTGCAGATGACATGATTGTATATCTAGAAAACCCTACCGTCACAGCCCAAAATCTCCTTAAGCTGATAGGCAACTTCAGCAAAGTCTCAGGATACAAAATCAATGTGCAAAAATCACAAGCATTCTTATACACCAATAACAGACAGCCAAATCATGAGTGAACTCCCATTCACAATTGCTTCAAGGAGAATAAAATACCTAGGAATCCAACTTAGAAGGGATGTGAGGGACCTCTTCAAGGAGAACTACAAACCACTGCTCAATGAAATAAAAGAAGATACAAACAAATGGAAGGACATTCCATGCTCATGGGTAGGAAGAATCAATATCCTGAAAATTCCCATACTGCCTAAAGTAATTTATAGATTCAATGCCATCCCCATGAAGCTACCAATGACTGTCTTCACAGAATTGGAAAAAACTACTTTAAAGTTCATATGGAACCAAAAAAGAACCCACATTGCCAAGTAAATCCTAAGCCAAAAGAACAAAGCTGGAGGCATCACGCTACCTGACTTCAAACTATACTACAAGGCCACAGTAACCAAAACAGCATGGTACTGGTACCAAAACAGAGATATAGACCAATGGAACAGGACAGAGCCCTCAGAAATAATGCCACATGTCTACAACTATCTGATCTTTGACAAACCTGACAAAAACAAGAAATGGGGAAAGGATTCCCTATTTAATAAATGGTGCTGGGAAAACTAGCTAGCCAGTTTCAGTTTCAGAAAGCTGAAACTGGATCCCTTCCTTACACCTTATACACAAATTAATTCAAGATGGATTAAAGACTTAAATGTTAGACCTAAAACCATAAAATCCCTAGAAGAAAACCTAGGCAATACCATTCAGGACATAGGCATGGGCAAGGACTTCATGTCTAAAACACCAAAAGCAATGGCAACAAAAGCCAAAATTGACAAATGGGATCTAATTAAACTAAAGAGCTTCTGCACAGCAAAAGAAACTACCATCAGAGTGAACAGACAACTTACAGAATGGGAGAAAATTTTTGAAATCTACTCATCTGACAAAGGGCTAATATCCAGAATCTACAATGAACTCAAACAAATTTACAAGAAAAAAACAAACAACTCCATCAAAAAGTAGGCAAAGGATATGAACAGACACTTCTCAAAAGAAGACATTTATGCAGCCAAAAGACACATGAAAAAATGCTCATCATCACTGGCCACCAGAGAAATGCAAATCAAAAGCACAATGAGATACCATTTCATACCAGTTAGAATGGCGATCATTAAAAAGTCAGGAAACAACAAGTGCTGGAGAGGATGTGGAGAAACAGGAACACTTTTACACTGTTCGTGGGACTGTAAACTAGTTCAACCATTGTGGAAGTCAGTGTGGCGATTCCTCAGAGATCTAGAACTAGAAATACCATTTGACCCAGCCATTCCATTACTGGGTATATACCCAAAGGATTATAAATCATGCTGCTATAAAGACACATGCATGTGTATGCTTATTGTGGCACTATTCAGAATAGCAAAGACTTGGAACCAAGCCAAATGTCCAACAATGATAGACTGGATTAAGAAAATGTGGCACATATACACCATGGAATACTATGCAGCCATAAAAAATGATGAGTTCATGTCCTTTGTAGGGACATGGATGAAGCTGGAAACCATCATTCTCAGCAAACTATTGCAAGGACAAAATACCAAACACTGCATGTTCTCACTCATAGGTGGGAATTGAACAATGAGAACACATGGACACAGGAAGGGGAACATCACACACCAGGGACTGTTGTGGGGTGGGTGAGGGGGGAGGGATAGCATTAGGAGATATACCTAATGTTAAACCACGAGTTAATTGGTGCAGCACACCAACATGGCACATGTATACATATGTAACAAACCTGCATATTGTGCACATGTACCCTAAAACTTAAAGTATAATTTAAAAAAAAGAAAGAAAAGTGCAATAAAAATATACTAAAATATGCTAGTAGGTCAGAAAATTAATATTAAAATTGAGATATTAAGCAAAAATGAAAAGACTGGTAATGCATATTGCTGCCAGGGACATACAGGGAAAGAGAGTACTTCCTCACATGACTGGTGAGACTATGAATGAATTAGTAAAGTCTTTGGAAAAAAAATCTGGCAACGTCTTAGTTTAAATTTAGAATCCTCATATATTTGAACAGAACCAATTCACTCTTAGGGAGTCCTCCTATGTAAATAGAAGTGCCATTAACCACAGGAAAAAAAAAGGATGAGATATTGATGCATGCAACAACATGAATGAATCACAAAATAATTATGCTGTGTGTAAGAAGCCAGACAAAAAAAAACAAACTTTTGTGATTTAATTTGTGTAATACTCTAGAAATGCAGGATAATTTATAATGACAAAAATAGTATTAGACTACCAACAACATTCTTCATAGAACTAGAAAAAGCTATTTTAAAATTAATGTAAAACCAGAAAAGAGCCTGAATAGCCAAGGAAATCCTAAGCAAAAAGTACAAAGCTGGAGGCATCACATTATCTGACTATACTGCAGGACTACAGTAACTGAAATAGCCTGGTACTGGTACAAAAAACAGGCACATAGACTAATAAAACAGAGTAGGGAGCCCAGAAATAAGGCTTCACATCTGCAGCCATCTGATCATCAACAAAACTGACAAAAACAAGCAATGGGGAAAGGATTCCCTATTCAATAATTGTCACTGGGATAACTGGATGGTCATATGCAGATGATTGAAACTGGACTCCTTCATTGCACCATATACAAAAATCAACTCTAGGTGGATTAAAAGCTTAAATGTAAAACCCTAAAATATAAAAATCCTGGAAGACAACCTAGACAATGCCATTCTGGACATAGGAATTGGGGAAGATTTCATGATGAAGTCACCAAAAGCAAGCAAAACAAAAGCAAAAATTGACGAATGGGATCTAATTAAACTAAAGAGTTTCTACACACCAAAAGAAACTATCAACAGAGTAAACAGACAACCTACAGAATGGAAGAAAATATTTGCAAGCTATGCATCTGACAAAGGTCTGGTATCCAGCATCTATAAGGAAATTAAACAAATTTACAAGAAAGAACCCCTAACAACCCCATTAAAAAGTGAGCAAAAGACATAAACACTTTTCAAAAGAACACATACATTCAGCCAACAAACATATGAAAGAAAGCTCAATATCACTGATCATTAGAGAAATGCACATCAAAACCACAAGAGGTGCCATCTCACACCAGTCAGGATTACTATTACTAAAAAGTCAAAAAATAACAGAAGCTAGCGAGGTTGTGGAGAACAGAGAATGCCTATACACTGTTGGTGGGAGTGTAAATTAGTTCAACCATTGTGGGAAGCAGTGTGGTGATTTCTCAAAGAGCTTAAAACAGAACTACCATTCAATCCAGCAATCCCATTACTTGGTATACATCCAAAGGAATATAATTAGTTCTATCATAAAGACACATGCAGATAGGTGTTCGTTGTAGCACTATTCACAGTAGCAAACACATGGAATCAACCTAAAGGGCCATCAATTGTAGACTGGATAAGGAAAATATGGTATATATACACCATGGAATACTAAGCAGCCATTAAAAAGAATGAGATTATGTCCCTCGCAAGGACATGGATGGAGCTGGAGACCATCATCCTTAGCAAACCAGTTCAGGAACAGAAAACCATGTACCACATATTCTCACTTATAAGTGGGAGCTAAATGATGAGAACACATGGATACAAAGAGGGGAACAACAGACACTGAGGCCTACTAGAGGGTAGAGAGTGGGAGGAGGGACAGGAACAGAAAATACAACTATTGAGTACTAGGATTAGTGCTTGGGTGATGAAATAATCTGTACAACAAACCCACGAAATGAATTTACCTATATAACAAACCTGCATATGCACCCTGAACCTAAAAGTTAAGAAATAGATCCGTGTTTACCTTAGGATTGGGGAGGGCTAGGAGAAAGTGTTTAAACAGAGGCCTGTGTAAACCTTTGGGGTGACAAATATGTTTCAGTGCCTTGAATGTGGTGGCAGTTTCATATATATATATATATGTGTGTGTGTGTGTGTGTGTGTGTGTATATATAAATATATTTAAGTTTATCAAATTTTATATGTTAAATATGTAGTTTATGATGTGTCATTATACCTCAATGATTCAGTTAAAATTTTTAAAAATCCTTCAATGGAATGCTTTACTATGGCTCTGCCACTCTTATGTTATGCACTCTAAATTGTACATACATTGAAAATCTTTCAGTGTCTCATATACTATCACTGCCCTCAGGATCTCTAAAGCCAGTGTTTCCTCTCCCTGAAATATAACTCACTGCCCACAACCCAGCTCATCCTATTTATCTTTTAGTTCTCAGCAAGAGATCATTGCCTTTATAGACTCCTCCCTAATCCCCGTAAATGGATTTGGTCATCCCTCCTTGGATTTCCCCTGCTGTAGCAAATATCATAATTTATTGCAAATACTTTTGTTTTTTAATAAATCCCACCAGAGGATTGTCTCTACATGATCAGGTACTAAATTATCATTGTATCCTCAGCAATTAATACTATGCCTGACAGAGTGGAAACCTGAAAAATATTTGCTGGATGAATGAAAAGACTTATGAAAGTTGTCTTTGCAGTGAGGTCAAGTGTTCCAGGGCACTGGTGGTGGTGAGAATCTCTAAATCTCTGAGATATTTATGTGGGAGCTTTATTGGAGAGTGTTCTTAGGACCTACACTTGTGAGAAAACAGGATTTGGCAGAAAGAAAAGTTGAACTGCACTACATTTCGAGCAGTAGCTTCAGTTGAATCCATACACTGCTGGACGTGGGATGGACCTGGCAGTTATTCAAACAAAAGCAAGAGAACTGGAGCTTCATATCTCCATATCTACTATACAGTGGATTGAGTAAAGCCTTGAACCAGGAAGCTCATTTCTGCAAAGTGCAATTCCTAGAGCAGGCTCAGGTATGAGCTCCCAGCTTCCAGCATACCCAGAAGCTGGGAGATGGGAACCTTGAACCGGAAGAGGGACCTGGGCCATGCAAAGATGTACCGCATGATGAGTGAGGCAATGCATTTCAAAATAAGCCAGAGGCCTAGAATTGACAAATCATGTGATGGACTAGGAGTCTGGGTGGGTAAAATGTCATGTTCTGAACTGTTTCCTTATATGAAGCTGCTACTCTCAGAAGTATTTGTAATATGCAGTGGAGAAAGCATTAAATTAACCTTTCGAGTTAAAGATAAACTAGAAGTGTCAAACAACGTGTGATTTAGAGTCTTCTAATAGAAATAAACATTGGCTCCATTGAGAAGAAAATGTGCAAGACATCTGTTGGACTAAGAGGAATGGCATTCAGCTGCTGAAGAATTTTGCAATTCTGTAATTAGGCATATGAATTTTAAGAGGTAAAAATCTCTAGGGCCGTGAGATAGATGTGAGTATATTTCTTTCCTCTCCCACAGTCCATGTGGAGGCTCAGCATTCTTTAGTGACATCGGGATTATTTCACAGGAAAAAGGTAATTTTGTTGACTTGTTTTACCAGTTTCCACAACTTTCTGTTAAGAAATCTTTTTCACAGTTTAGAGCAAAATTTTCTCCATAAATCATTTAAAAGCTTTTTTTATCATTTAAGCTGAATTTCTCACAGATGGTGATAAAATAACCCTTTTAAAATCTCTCTTCTAAAAGGGAATACAAGAACACTGTACCAGTGGAATGGTTTCTATTTTATTGAGCTTTCATCTCCTTCTGCTACTCCACTCTCAATCTGGCCTTTGCATGGAGAACAGAGGATGCAAAATATAGTACCAGGAAAATAAAGGGTATTGATCAAATTTTATATCTGATCAAGTAATAAATTGTAGATCAAACATTTAAGTTTTTACAAAAATGAGAGGCAGATTTCAGTAAGACTTGAACAATAGATTTATTTGTTTAATATTACTTACAGTGATTAAAAACTAGCAGTATATCATAAGGGTTGAGAATAAGTATCTGACAAACTTGTTTAACTCCTGGCTTTGTTACTTACTAATTTTGTGACTTTGGGCAAATATCCCTCTCAGAATTTTCAACTGTAAAGGGGAAAATAATAGTACCTATTTTATCAGGTTGTTTCAGAATTAAATGTGGTGATATATACAGAAACAAACTGTAAACTATTGAAAGCTACTGTATTTAAAAATAAGGGACCTAGAGAAAGAATCCTGTTCTCTAGACCAGTTATAATTGCCCATGTATCATTTAAAAACCATATTAAATAATATTTTTGGACTTTATAAATACAATCAAATAAAATATTATATATCAATATGGTACTAAAATAATGTTTTGCCATTATCTGGCAGGGAGGTAGCTATTAAAATAGATTTTCTTATGCAATGAGGTTACCATCAGCTCAAATAATAATGTTGTGCTGACATGGGCTCTAATATGAACAGATCCTCACCATATTAAACTAGATGAAACATTTGTTAGAAGCACACTATAATTACTATTCAGAGGGTCTTAACCGGGAGAAGGTATTAGAATCACCTACTGGGTCCAAGCGTAAACCTGGTTCTGCATTTCAAAATCATGTTCAGTGGTTTTGTTGAGTCATAGGAATTTGTTTCCTTAAAAAGCTTCCACCAACTATTCTGATGAGAAATTCTATGTAAAAATGACCACAAGGATATCAAAGTTCCTTTTTCCTTTACTTTGCTCTTGAAGTAGAGTTACGGTATTTGTCAAAACCCAAAATGTCATTCAGCTACAAGTTTTAGAAGTTGACTACTCCTACATCCATGTGATGGGCTCCCTTTGAATAGCACTTGGCATTTTCTGGGTTAAGGACTCTTTTCACACTTAAAAAAAATCTCATTAGGTTAGTATACTCTGGAGTATTTTCTTAACTTGGGAGGAGGTATCTATTCTTGTCTTCCCACTGTACCTTAGAACCTTGCTCTTTGAAGTGAGGACCACTTTCATCACCTGAGAGCTTGTTGGAAATGCAGAATCTCAGCCCTACCCAAGACATGCAAAATAAGATGTCTTGGGTAAGGTTGAGATTCTGCATTTAAAAAAAAATTCCCAGTTGATTTGTATGCACATTAACATTTGAGAAGCGCTGTGATATAATGCCAAGTATCACAGAGAGGAAAGATTATGGAGTACATGTTATTTACAAAGAAATTCTATTTACTCTTTTCACTATGTTTATCTTCTAAGGTATGTTTAATTGAATGATTTGGCACTAGAACTAAAAATAGCAGAAAAGAGTTGAAGACATGAGACCAGAGGAGGTGAAGAATGTCTTGAAACTTGTTATCTGTCCCTGACTCTAAGAAGGCATATTAGTGCACATTGGGACATTGGCCTTGTCTTTTTTGCAAACATCTCTGCGAGTCCTGGTGAGGAGGCGTCAGCTAGCTGATGACTTTGTAATTCATAGTTTCAGCCATCAGAGACAGAACCAACATTAAAAATGGGAAACTACCTGCATTTGTATTCTTTTTAATAATAATATATTTAACAATAAACCATTTTGCTATTTTTTATGACCAAAACACCCCCCATTATCGCTGTTATCATTGGCAAAAAGCACTCTTACATCAATATTATAAGGATGGTTTATTCTCCCCCTATATCATTGGCTGGGAAAATTAGAAAGTTTGTTGCAAAATCATATTTCATTGTTTTTTAACTGTTTCTTTTTATTTTATTATTTTTAAACTCTCAACTCCGTTGACATTTAAAGGTATGAAACAATAAAATACAACTCCAGTACCACGATTCAAGTAGATAAGTGTAAACTTTACTTTGTATAAATTACAAGATAGCTTAAATGGTACCAAATCCTGGGCAGAGAGGATGAGATTAAACCAGTGTGGGCCGCATGTCTAGTTCTGATCAATCAATTATGGTTTTAAGGTAGGACATACACATTATATATAAGGATAAGGAGGGCCTATATTTGTGGGTAAGGTAGGAAGCTCCAAAGTGAAGGAACTGAGAAGATATTCAAATGGGTAACACACACCATCCATCCGTAAATATAAATCATCCTTAATGGATTTGGCACCAACAACATACCAAGTGAATGAAGAATAAAGATGAGCTTATGTTGTAAGTCCTATAGCAAGCATGATGGAACACGTCAAAGATAGATTTGTGTTTATATCCTTAATATCATTGTCTATTAAGGCATTTTTGCTTTGTGAGTATTATCAGCAGAGCAATCAAAGAAACACTTTTTCTCTAATCATTACACCTTCTTCCCACCTCATATCCTTTTGTGGCTTCCTAGTTGCTATGTGAATTTTTCTGCCGCTCAACAGTCCTAGCTGCAAATGTTTGCAATAGTATCCTGCTATGATGGCTCAGGGCTCTATCAGTTCCTTTCAAATGTTTTCAGCTGTTTCTTTTCCAAGTGACTACAGTGGAAAAATACCACATTTGTCTCATATTGAAACATTTTAACAAACTACTTTGTCTTTTTAAAAAGTCTTTTGCCAAATTGCCAACATTCTTCCATAAAATAATAATTTTTTTCCCAAATACTTTAGAAATTAAGGCACACTTGATTTTTAGATGCCCATACCCGTGATATCTTGGACAATTCCTGCAAAATAGATGCTGCCCTATGTGCAATAAAATGGCTCTTTTGAGGTTTGCATGTTTTTTCACTTTTGCCTCCTCCATTTCATTGTTGGAAAAGAGGTTTGCACAGATCCACATCTCTCACCTTCGATTTCTGACTAATAACAAGAGTTAGCTAAACAACTGGCTGGATTTAGGGGCTGAGACCTGTAGCTATGGAGCCAATAAAATTGATTGACAACAGCAGGAATAGGAGACGCAACTTCTTTGGTCATGTCAGGGGCTTATATAACAAGGGTGTCTCTAGGCCTTGCAGAGACAGCCCCTGGATAGGCTCTGCTAACTCAGCTCAGAAATGCCACAGTATTCCCCTTATCAGAAGCTAGAGTTTATAAGGCTCAAGTATGGTCCACCAGGGCACTCAAATCTAGTCCCTTCTCAGGATTCCTCCTCCTATTTAGGATATGGTGTCATTGTTTATCCATTCATTTACTCACTTGCCATATTGGGGAACACATATAGAAAGAGACATCAATAATCATAACAAATAGAAAAGGAGAAAGAAAGAGTAATCTTCAATGTATATTTTCCCCACAGATCCCACTTGCCCCATGGACTTAGAAGCCAGTGCTCTGAAATTGTTCCAGTGTTATACATGCTAAATTATAAGGATGGATAAAGTAATCTGACTGAAAAATCACCAAGGTGATCAGAGCAAGACATCCAAAGGAAACTATAGAAATCTATCATCTGAGTGGCCAGTTTGGGGTTAGATGTGGCAAATTTAAGACTGTCGCCATTAGTGTAAATTGACCTTTGTTAAAGATTCCTGCGCCAGGGCCTTCTGAATCTGAAGGACTGGAAATAGGTACCAAGAGTGTGTATTTATTGTAAAGCTCCCAAGGTGATTCTTATGCAGCCAATCCTACAATTGTCCTTGGATTAAAGTTTGGGAATGATATTATCTAAAATTAATATAATCAACTCAAGGTGGCAGAGGGGAAATCAATCAAACCAATTATTTAAAGTTAATATATAAAGAGATACACTGGTTTTGGATGAATTTCTTTTTTAAAAAATATTAGCTTTGTTGGTATTATTTATACAAAAAGGGCCTTTCTTCTTCCTTAAATAAAAACAATCAAAAAGACAAATTTGGTCAGTTAAATTACCAATATTAACAGCATTTGAAGAAACATTAAGAATTGTGTCAGCCAAAAAGATATTCTTTCTGTACATTCTTTCTACTCATTTCCTCTAAATAGAAATAATATTTATTTCATGTCTGCCCTGCTGGAACATATAAATTACCTTCTTAGATAAGCAGCAGAATATAAGATTAGTGGCCCAAAATATAAATTATTACAACAAGTTGCCTTCTTGCAGGATGTTGAAAGAGCAATGTCACAGATCTTTATACTCTGGAAGGTGGCATGGATTGTCAGGGGATGAGCAGGTGATCCAGGAAGTTGAATGTCTAGAAGACAGGAACACTCTTTCTTCTATATTGCAACCTTACCTATCAAATTTTAAATGTCTGGGTTTTCTCCAAAGAGATTTCACTTTTCATGATATTCCCCAGAAGGTTAAAGGAAAATGGAAGTTAAGTCAAGAAGGCAAAGGATGAAATAGACTGGACCCCTTCCTTTCTGATACCCTAGGGACCTCTTGTGCATGGAGTCCTCCCCCACCAATAAGAGATTATCCCATTAGGACTGGGATAGCCATGTGTGATGGTTAATTTCATTTGTCAACTTGTCTAGGCAGCAATGCCCAGATATGTGGTCGAATACTATTCTGGATGTTTCTGTGAGAGTTTTAGGGGATGAGATTAACATTTGGATTTATGGATTTTGATTAAAACAGCCTGCCCTTTTTAATGTGAACTGGACTCATCTCATCAATTAAAGGCTAAACAAAGCAAAAAAAAAAAAAAATGGAATTCTGCAGCAAAGGCCTTTGGACTTGAACTGCAGCTTTAGCTCTTCCTGGGTCTCCAGCTTGTGTGCCCACCCTGTAGATTTTGGACTTTCCAGTCTCCATAATCCTATTAGCTAATTCCTTAAAATAAATCTCTGTCTGTGTGTATATACAGTACGGAGACTAACACAGGGGGTCAAAGACACTCCTGCAAGTGTTCTCTTGTAGTAGTGCATGTGTTTGGGGATTGTTAAGGTGTCAGAAGAGAAATGTGGTTTCAAGAGGGATTCTTAGAAAGATTTCACTGTACTTTTGTCTGGAAAGGGGTCTAAAATATTACATTAGGAAAACTAAGTTATAATAATTTTATTAAATAAAAATTTTCATAGGGTCACTATGAGTACTACTACCATGACTTCCACCACTACTACTGTATTAATGGGTATCGCTTACTAATAACAACTGTGTACCAAGCAAGGGTCCAAGAGCCAGCAAGTCTCCTGAAACCCTCTGACCCTACAAAAATCCAGAAATTAAGTCTTATGCAGGCTAAATTCACCAGTAGTCCTTCAGGGAGCCTTGAGGGAGGCTGAATTTTAACCTAGATCTGTTTTTTACTCCAAATGTTTAACTATTTTTGCTTGCCATGTATTATCATTTTCCAAATAGTAAATGCTATCATTTACTGAGTACCCACCAAGGACCAAGTACCCACCAAGTACCACCAAGGACCAAGCACTTCACATATTTTTTAATGCTCATAACAAGTCTATGAAATAGGTATTATTTTATCCCTGTTTTTCCAAAGAAAGAAATCGAAACTTATAGAGATTAAATAACTCACTCAAGGTCGTATAGTTTGTCATTTGCAGAAATGGAAATGTCTGACTCCAAAACCCATTCATTTTCTGTTTTCCAATACAGTGTAGGTATGCTAGAAGCAGTAGTGGGTGTCTGGCCTCCTTCCTTTGGAAAACACATTTCTTTAAAACGGTTTCATAAATAACAAAGCTAATAAAAAGTAAAAACACTGGCTTTTCCATCATTTCCTTCTGCATTCCTTTTGTTGCCATATCAAAAAGGATTCTTTTATTCTTCCCAATTAACTCTTCTATTTATGTTGAGAGATGAAGGCAAACTACAGACAGAGAAGAAAAAGAAGAGATTTTCTTTATGTTTAGCTACAGAAAGGCCAATTTTGTCTTAAAGACTTTTAAGCCACCCCTCCCTTTTCATGAGCAGAAAATATTAATTTAAATGCCTGCAGAGGAAAAATTAATAGTTATGCCTATGGGGAGCATGTAGGGGTTTCTACTAGAGGATGTTTATTTTCCCATTAATTTAGTGGAAACTCAAAGCAAGGAAAATATTTGGCAGATAAACTCCATGGTATTGCACTATAAATGTATGAAAAAACAAAACATAAAATAGAAAGAAACACAACATAAAATTATAAAAAGAGTAGAGTCATTATTGTCAAGAAAGTGTAAGTTTGCCTTTTGCCTCATAAATGTGATTCTATATTCTGTCTTCTTTAATAACCAACATAACAGCTCTCAACCAAAGTGGATTGCTTTGCTTAGGGCACTTGGGGAGAACTATATGTCTTTTTCTACATTCATTGCACTAAAGAAAAAATCTGTAGGAAGTTTTTGAAAACTTGTTTAAAAAGTTAAGTGTTGGATAATTCCAACAGTTTAGAGATATCTGCCATCGGGAAAGCAAGAAGACCATCTGCAGCTCAGTAAATGTGTGGTGAGAGAATTCCGGAGTGACGTGAGGTGAGATTTACAGGCTGTTCAGTACATATCACAAGTCACAGCTGTAATAGTATTTTTTGTAATAGTAATTCCTTTTCTGATATTCATAGGATAATGTCAAGAAAGAAAATGTCCTTACTTCCCATAGCTTCTGATTAACGTATCTTATCAGCATATCCTCCTTTCCTGAGAGTAAAAAAAAGGGTCACGTAAATGAAAAAAAATTGTTTTCCATCCTTACTGAAGAAGAAGGAACACAAATTCTTGGCTCCGTTAGGTTTATTGCCTTGATTACCAATCTAAACTTCACATTCATGTTAAACAATGACAAACTTGTTAAGGGGATCACCTGTCAGCTTCCATTTTGTTCGTGAAATTCCTAAGCTCCTGGAAAAAAACTGCAGCTCCAAACTCAGTTAGAGCTGGCTTAGCTTAAATTTGTTAAATAATTGCATTTCTACATTTGTATTTTTTCTCTCTTTCTCCCTCCCTCCCTCCCTCCCTCCCTCTACTGTATATATGTGGACGTGTGTGTGTGTGTGTGTGTGTGTGTGTGTGTGTGTGTGTGTCTACTGGGTATGGAGGAAGAAACTATCAGTTTTTAAAAACCCTGAAAATATACTCTTGCATCCTCCAGTGAATAGTGAATATGCAATTGTTCATATATCACTTAGTAAAAATGTCAGTTTCCATGTGGGTACAGAATATAGAGCATTGTATTAAAGTAGAGTGGAATTTCCCCTTTAAAAATATGAAGTATATTGTTATTATTCCAGTTCTGAAATTAACACGTAGCAAGCCCTTGGATCTCTCTCTCTCTGTCTCTCCCCGCCTCTCTGTCACATGCGCGCGCACACACACACACACACACACACACACACAGACAACAAATGTTCTGATTCCTCTCCATAAAATAATGAATTTGGCTACTGTTTACAGCTTGAGTAGAATCACTTTTTGTTCAGCAATAATCACTCCTCCACCTACTTCTTTGGGAAGAGTATGTTTCTTCTCTTTGGGACTTGCTTCAGCCAATAGAATTTGGGAGAAGTAACCATGTGTGAGTTTCCAGGGCTAGAATTTTGACTCTAAGCTGTAAGAAACATCACATGCTTTTATTTACCAATCTAGGATCTTCCAAACTCTGTCATTAGAACATCCCGAGATAGCTGGGGTAATAGAAGGAGACTCATGAGGCAGACTTCCGTCAATTCACAGCCTGATGCAGAATATTAGCGGTCCCACACTTAGTAAACTGAAGCAGAGGCATGCCGAGTGACCTAGTAACATGAGAGCAAATTTTGTCATTTTATGACGCTGAGTTTTGGGGTGTTTTGTTACACAGCATTAGAGTGGTAAAGGGGGAGCAACACAACAGCATACCTTGTAGCATTAATATTCTGTGATTCTAATTCTATGATTTACTCTAGATTATGTCTATCAGCTATTTAATTATCTTAAAATAGCATAAGGTATGCCTATGAGTGATATATGATTTCTTGGTAACTTTTAGAATTTTTGTTTTCCATGTATTTTCTGTGTGTGCTTGCGTAATACAGGTTTAATTCAGTGATTTAAATATTGATAAACCATCTTCTGTGACAAATGCATATTACAGAGTAAATTGAGAAGTTATTTTCCAAGGAATGTCCTCATCTCAAACCCTTTACATCATATTCTGACAAAATTACCTGATTATTTAGAAACTCTGATTAAAAGCCCATTTAAATATCTCCTTGTATTCCTCTGACTTAGTGTAGGCATGAAGGACTTTGAAACTGTGACAAATGTACAAGTAGCCTATGAAAAATCTTGGTGGTGATTAGAATGGACATATCAATATTTTCTCTTTTGCTAGTTTATTGTGTGAATATAGATGACTAAAGCAGCAGATAATTTTGATGCAAGTGGTTCTCTAGATGACGATCTCGGAGGGTTTGACCCTTTGAGGATTATGCAGGTAGAAGTGGACCTTCAGGGTAATAAGTGGTAATCCCCAAACAATGTTGGAAAATGCTAAAATTCTTGGCTTCCAATGTTAACTCCTCCCATTCACAGGTCGCTTCTTGCACTGCACCAAAAAGTGGATCCTAGGACCATGTATTTGCACCTGCCCCAAGGAATTAACTTAGCTGCTCTCCTTATTAGCATACTTTGTACACTTCATTACCTCAGAGACCTTGCTGAAAATGTGACCCTGTGTAGTTGTTGTTGCCTTCTTTGTGAATTGAAAGCTAACCAAACTTAGAGCTAGATTAAGTGGCATGGAAATTTAAGAAGACAGCTGGTGCCCTGCTCGCAAATGGAAATACCACATTTAGATCTGATATTGCATTCTTATGCAGTGGATATATATTAGGGCCCAAGAGAAACAGCACAATAGAATTCTTTCAGGCATCAGTAATATCTTTCTCTTACTGTTTAGTCTTTGGAAACTTAGCTTTAAATTACCATTGGTCATTATAATTGGTATGACAAGGAGGAAAATTATCTGTCTGTCTATCTATCTATCTATCTAGCTAGCTATTGAGACAGAGAAGGAGTAGCTTGCTTATTTTCTGAGATTAGGAAATAAGGCCCTAATTTAAAAATCAGACTAGTTACTATGAGTTGAAAATCAGATTTTCTCTTATTAGTGCTGATAGTAGCAAAATGCATTATAGTCACTCATTGATTGTTTCTTTGCCACCTGATTATTCTGTACAGGAAAATAAATTCTTTAAGATTCATCCTCCATGAGCTAAAACCACAAATGACTTTTAAAATAACAGAAATTAGCACACATGGAAGTGTGCTTTCATACTGGCTATTTTAAATATTCATGAAGAAGTCTGCTCATTTGCTTTTGACTGCTCTCTACATTTTTTGACATGGAAATTTTCTGTCTGAACGCATAGTTTACTTCTCAAGAAAGAGAATGGACAGTGGAAAGGAAATAATATTAACTGATTACTTACACCATCAGGATTCTGCTATGAGAGCAATATAGGATTTTCTCATGTAATTTTAAAAAACTTAAAAATGGCATCCGTCAGGATAGTAATTATATGTTGCATTATTATGCAACTATTCATTAAATTATTATGCAAGTATTTAAGGAATCTGGTTACTTCTTATTTCACCAGATTATATCTCTATAAAATACATTAGAATGATATTATTATTTCTTTATAATTTCAAGAAGGAAGAATCAGAGTTTTAGCTATCCTATCCAAAATTATGTAATATTTAGTGATTGAGAAAGCTTTGGAATGGTGTCTAGATTTTCCAAGTCATGCTAGGTGTGTGGTATCCAAAGAATTTACCTGTTTTCCCATTTAGAAAAATGCTTAATTTTCTTATAACTTTCACTGATCACAGATTTAAGTTGCAATCAGGGTTTGAACTCCACTATTTCTCATAATAAAATGAATTGCCATTTCCTTTGTAGTATACCAAACTCTTGTAGCCAAAATAACAGTAATAGTTTATATCATTCTCACTTTTTAGGCCAATTTTAAATTTGATTACCAAAAAACATTTCCCTCAACTCCACCATATCTATTAATTAGGCCACTCCTATTTTTGCGTTTCATAGCATACTTGGTTACTTATTCATGTCTTATTTATTATTTATAAATCTAATCAGTGTTTGTCTTTTCTACTGAAACACAAAGAGATCAGGTATTGTCTATCACGGAAAATAATAAACTCAGTACACAGCAGAATTTTGTGTATATAACAAGTATTTAAAATGAATAAATTCCTAGTCTTCAGCTAATCTCTGGCCTCTTATTATTTGTGTTTACTTGACAAAACCAGCTAATCAAGTAGAAACTTTCATGCTGCCAACCTGTTGTAATGAAAGCCCACACATTTGATGTAATTTTTCTAGAAATTCTAGCAGAGCTGTTGCTTTTCTTCATTTATGGTACACTGATATCTACATTTAAGTGCCAGCAAGCTTCTACCACATGTATATGGCAGCATCTATCATACAGCCATCATTGCATTTTCCTTCTTGTCTTTGCAAAATTATGACATTTTCACTCATTTGGTTTTTGTTGTTGTTGTTTTGTTTTTGTTTTTGTTTTTTTCTTTTTTTTTTTTCAAGGACCAAGTCCATATCATCACTAATTCTCTCATATCTCTCTGAAGGTATATGTGGGGGAAAAGAATGTCTCCTCTGCTATTCTCAAGATTAGTTACAGCTTAGACAAATGATTCTGAAAGATGGAATTTCCCCAGACTACCTTTTGAGACCTGTATTTAGTTTGTCTGTAAAATGACCTCTTTTGTCAATCAAACAGAAATTTTCCTGATGAAAGCATTGATGCTGATGCAAGTTAAGTAACTAAACCAATATTAGACATTATGAAATTGATGTGATATAGTCAAAGTTTGGTTTATCTGATTCCATTGACTTAGTACTGGCTCATAATTTACACAGTGAAGGTCACAATAGCACCTGATTTGGAGTTTGGTCACATGGATTATATTCAAATAGGTCAAGGTCTGAGTACAATGTCTTATAAATTTTACATTAAATAAAATAGATTATAGTTGGACATAACCCTACCAGTCATACGCAATGAGTGAACCTGAAGTAGGACAGAAACATAGGGGTAAAATAAAGGAACACTTTATGCCGGTCAGGGATTGTTAACTCCTTTTGTATGCAGCAAGTTACTTGTTGCATACCAGAAAAGACAGTACTGATTGTTGTTCATCAAATATGTGGCAATTTTTTTTTTTTTTTTTTTTTGAGAGGGAGTCTCGTTCTGTTGCCCAGCTGGAGTGCAGTGGCACAATCTCGGCTCTCTGCAACCTCCGCCTCCCGGGTTCAAGCAGTTCCCTGCCTCAGCCTCCTGAGTAGCAGGGATTACAGGCGCACATCAGCATGCCCAGCCAACTTTTATATTTTTACTAGAGACGGGGTTTCACCATGTTGGCCAGGCTGGTCTTGAACTCCTGACCTCGTGATCCACCTGCCTTGGCCTCCCAAAGTGCTGGGATTACAGGAGTGAGCCACCGCACCTGGCTAAAACAATGTTATCCTCATTACCTCACTTCATACTCAAAATAACTCTGTGAAAACGTTGTGGAAAGTTGTATCATGTGTCCTTTCTTAAAAAATAATTAAACATTTATACAAAAAGTTGTTAAAAGTTAACTGACCTATGAATTATTTAAAAGTGTATTTTAAAATTTCCAGTTATGTGAGAGGTTTTTCTAGATATCTTATTTTGACTAATTCCTGATTAGGGTCTGTTATGGTCAGAAAATGGGATTTTTTTAGTGGCTGGGTCTAGTGGTCAGTGAAAATTAATTAGATTTAAGCCATGTACTGATTTATGTTACCATAGGACAACTGTTAAAATCTTTTATTAAAACTGTGAAATTGCCTAGTTATTCTTTTAATTAGATAAAGTTTTGTTTTATTCTTAATGTATTTCAAAACTCTGTAATTAGGTACACATACATTCACAATTGTTATGTCTTCCTGATACATTGTTTCCTTTATCATTATGAAATAACCCTCTTTATCTCTATTAATAATTTTTGTCTTGGGAACCATTTTATCACATGTTAAAAAGTCACTCCAGTCTTCTTATTCTTCCATTGCATATGTATCTTTTCCCATCCGTATGCTTTTAAACTACTTATATGTTTATATTTAAAGTGTACCTTTCCACCCAACATATCAGATCTTACATTTTATCCATGTATCAATCTCTGTCTTTTAGCTATTCAGACCAGTGCTGTCCAATTCTGTCAAACTTTTAAACTTTCTACTCTTTCATGGACACCAGTTTAAAAAATCAAGAGGTAAGCCTCAGACTAGCAGAATGTGTTTGCAATACACATTTCTAAGAATATGTTTAAAAAAAGGCCTTACAATGCAATAATAAGACAAAAGAATCCAATCAGAGAAGAGGCAAACGATTTTAATATACACTTACCAAAGAAGATATATGGCAATAAAGTACATAAAAAGGTGCTTAACATCATTAGTTACTAGAGAAATGCAAATTAAAACTTTAATGAGATATCACTACACACTACATACCCACTAGAATGTCCAAAATTAGAAGGATTGACAATATCCAGTGTTGATATGGGTGTGGAATGATTGGAACCCTCATGTTGCTGATGGGAATGTAAAATGTCATAATCCCTTTGGAAAATAGTTTTGTAATTATTTATATAGTTAAATATAACTCTTACTTACCAAATGTCCTAGTTATTTCATCTTAGGTATTTCTGCAAGAGAAATGTGATCTTATACTTACACAAATGCTTATACACAAATGTTCATAGAAGCATTATTTATAATAGCTGGAAACTGGAAAATAACCCAAATGCCCATAGACACATAATTGGAGAAAACAAATTGTGACCTATCCATAAAATAGAATATTATACATGATAAAAGGGAATGCACTAGTAATATACATAACAATGTGAGTGAATCTCAGAAGCATTGTGCTGAGTACAAACCTGATTCAAAAGAATACTTCTCCTAAGATGCCATTCATGTGACATTCTAGAAAACCAAAGCTATCCAGTGTGACAAAAGGTCTATCAGTGGTTCCTTCTTTAGAGCTGGGTGTGAGGGCTGAGGGGAGAAGGAAGAGATTGATAGTAGGTGAGCAGGATAGAACTTACAGGTGATGAAATTAGTCTATATACTGATTGTGGTGGCATGTATATTATTCTAGGTGCATAACTGTACATTTGAACTGGGTACATTTTATGTAAATTATATCACAGCAAAGTAAATTTTTTTAAAAAGCAGTAAGTGAGGCTGCAACAGGAGAAATCTGGGGACAAATGTGACTTCATCCATCCAATCTATTATTCTCTACATGGTAACTACAGTGATATTTGAAAAATATAAAAATTGGTTTATGCCTAAAATCCACCAATGACTCCTCATTATCCTGAAGATAAAGTCAAAAATTTCAACATATAATACAAGGGCTTTGACTCTTTAGTGCTTGAATGTCATTGGAAAATCCGCTGATCTCACCCTAATTCTCCAGATCTACTTTCAGTTCTCTAAACACTCTAAGCTCTGTTTTGCATCCAAGCCATTGTACATCCTATTCAATCCACCCAGAGCTCCTTTCCCTATCTCAAGCCAAGATGAATATTATATATTCCTGCCTACTTAAGCACTGGGCTATGAGGCACTTGAGTAGGCTTTCAAAAATGTTGAATAAATGAAAACATAGATATAGGAGCTTGGAAGTGGCTGAAAACAAACGGGCTGTTTGTTTTTCCTGAAAAAAAAAAATTACTAGAAACCTTATATTCCCTGGTATGATTTTTAGCATTTCAACCTTTGGGTTCAACCAAAAATGTAGTATTTTGAAAAGTAAGACCATTAATACTATAATCTCTCTTTTCATCCAAGGTTTAGGAGTAATTTACAAGCATAATCCTGTATAGGGGGAACAATAGTTCAGAGTCCTGCCTTTTATAAATACTTTTCATTTTAGAGAGCAGGCACTCCCCTAGAAATAGACTTGGAATGTTCTTCTCCTGGGGGTGGAGGACAGAAAAGCAAGGAGGCTTTTAGGAGAATCTGGATAATTTTAAGGCACTTTATGGTTTATGGAAAACTTTCACAGAGCTATCTTTGTAACTACTAACAGCACTGTGATATAAATAGTCAAGTATTAACCCATTATTGTGTGAGAGAACTCGAAGACCCAAAAAGATGAAGTGATTATCCTATATACATGCTAGAAGACCTAGGACTGGAACACTAGTCTTCTGACTTTTCATAATTTCATTTTACTAAAAATCACATAGAATGAATTATATTAGTAATTTTTTGGAGGACACTTGTGCTGTCCATGAAACTTTGAATCATTTAGCATATGGTTTCTTGGAAAGAGATTAAACAATCCCATTCTAGAGAGGTCAAAAAGATATGAAGATTGGAGTGATATATGCCTCACTCCTTATTGGTTGGCTTGCTATGGACAAGTCCCTGACACTCCCTAAATATCAGCTTCTTCCTAAGTTCAATAAGGAAAATAATAGCAAAGATGCCATAGAGTCATTGTGAGAATTCTTGTAATTAATGTATGTAAATCAACTGTTAAAGGGCACATTGCATAGTAATCGCTCACATTACAATTAGTCGTTTTAATTATAATTGCCTGGGGAGGAATTCAGCAACAGAGACCTCTGCAGAACACTGAGCATGAGAAGAAGCTGTAGAAAATAAGGATCATTTTCTTCATGTGAAGTTATTAAGGACTCACATATTAATGTCTTGGTCACTAGGTGTGATCAATAGATCTACAAGTGATGAAACTTCAATCAGATAGGAGAGCTGCCATGGAAGAAAACTCTTGGCAGGACAACACTGTAAATGCAGAAATGGAGCTCAAAGGATTTTACTGAAACCCTGAAACAATCAGAGCTTTTGTGGACAGCTTTTGCAATGTTTTCTTGTGTTCTCACTATCTAAATGCTTCCAAAGACTGTCAACATTTCATTGTTATTTTCTTTGTTGCAAAAGTAATTTATGGTCATTGTAGAAAAAATATACATAGAAAGTCTCTTAATACACTTATCTGTATACAGAATTAATATTTTGGGTTCTATTATTTATCTATCTTGTTCATTGCTAAGGTCCAAATGTCCTCCAAAAGGAATGTGTAGAGACAATCACTAGCATGATAGCATTAAGAGGCGGAGCCTTTAGCAGATGTTTAAGTCATGAGGACAGTGCCCTCATGAATGGGATTAGCCACCTTCTAAAAGGTTTAGAGTAAACTAGGGAGGTCCCCTTTTTGTGTGCTGACACCTCATGCCATATGAGGAAACAGCAAGAAGGCCCTCACTAGGAACCAAATACTGGTGCCTTGATCTTAGACTTTCCATCGCCAAAACTGTAAGAAATTAATTCTGCCATTTATAAATTATTCAGTCTCAGGTATTTTGTTAAAACATCACAAACAGACTAAGACACTCATATATCTTAAAAATAGATTCATCAATGACTTCTTATCATCATTAAATTCGAGGACTGTTCTTTGTTTCTTCTCTCACTCTAAAACATTTATGTACATGTTAACCCTCCCCTCATTCTTATTGGTTGTTGGAAACCACTGTGGCCAAATCCCCTGACCTCTGTAAGAAGATTCTGTTTGTCCTGTCTCTAGGTTCTCCTCATTGCAGTCAGCCTGAACATCTAGCCAGAGTCACTCTGGAAAATATAATTCTAATCACTTAAAACCCTGCTTAAAACCCACAGTGACCAAGAAAAGCCCTTGCCCTTTAGCATGGCACACCAGGCCCTTACCCTCTGGTCTCAGCTGACTTTGTTACCCTGTTTTCCACCAGTCTCTTTCACATATCTTATGTCCCAGAAAGACCAAACTCCTAGCTATTCCCTATGTGCTTTATACATGATCCTACTCCAGGCACTTTTCTCATAATTTTTTTTTCCATTCAAATATTGATGTACTCCACAATCATATGTTAAAATATCATCCACCTTCCATGGTTCAAACTAAGACTGTCTTCTCTATGAGGGCCATAAAGGTCTCATTTAGTTATTTAATCATTCATAATTTTTAATGTATGTATTTGCATGTATAAAATACATTTTCTGCTTCATTGCACCCCACCCTGTTCTGTTCCTCACTTCTTCTTATTCACATTATATCTCAAAAATATTTCCATATAAGAACATAGGAAGCTTTCTAATTATTACCTTTAGCTTTTTTTTATTTTGGAAAATTTAAAACTTAGTATACAGGAAAATTAACCCCCATATAACTTCCACTCAGTTTGCACTATTATTGATAATTTGCCAATTTTAAAATCAATTCTATATTAAAAGTATATCATTTTATTAATAAATATTTCCATATATACTCTTTATTATTATTTTTAATGTATTACAGGTACTCTGATATAAAGTCATGAGCCATAATTCATTTTACCAGTCCTCCATTGATAGATATGTATGTTGTTTCCACAGCACAATTTTTAAAAAATAATTGGAATAACTTAGAAAGTGTTATCTTCCTTTTGTTTTTCCATGGTATATTCTTGCCAGCTATCTACAGAACTTTTCCCTTTCTGTGTAGCATGGCAAGTAATTAACTTATATATTTGAATACACTGAGGAAAGTGAAGTTTGTTTACATGTGAATCCTCTAAAATGCACGGTAAGGCTGAGTGCAGTGGCTCATGCCTGTAATCCCTGCACTTTGGGAGGCTGAGGTGGGCAGATCACTTGAGCCCAGGATTTTGAGACCAGCCTGGTCAAGATGGCAAACCCCTGTCTCTACAAAAAATGCAAAAACTAGCCAGGTGTGGTGACACACATCTATATTCCCAACTACTCAGGAGACTGAGGTGGAAGGATTGCTTGAGCCCAGGAGGTCAAGGCTGCAGTGAGCCAAGGTCATGCCACTGTACTCTAGCCTGGGTGACAGAGTGAGACCTTGTCTCAAAAAAAAAAAAAAAAAAAAAAAAAAAAAAAAAAAAGAAGAAGAAAAGGAAAAGGATAAAAAAAGAAAATGCACAGTAAATTGTTCATTATCAAGATTCATTAAACACTTGCTGAATGAGTGAATTATCTCTGATGGGCTAGTGTGGAATTAGTAATTAAACTTTGTCTATGATTTTCGTTATCACAATGTTTTCATGTCAACATGCTTTATAATAAAGAAAAGGAGCGAAGTTTACTTTTTAATATTGATTTTGTCTGCTTTACTGTAGTAGGTCCAGGAAGAAAGTACATAAAAGATAAAAGTCATTGGAGAAGAGTTCTCTGCTTTATTTCACTGGTGATATCAGTGAGAATTATGCAAAAGATGTGTTGATGAGAATCAGTCTTCACAGTGATATCCTCAAAGCACTGTTTCATCATAGCCTTAGAGATGTTATATAAAGAGGTACCAGCTGTGCAACAAGGAATGGGTCTCTCTATTAACATAACCATTCTCCATTGGCATAACCTGAGATAAATTAAAAGGGCATTAGACTAAAATTTCATTTTGAAGAATTTTCATGGCCAACATGTTTTCAAGTCTGTAGGCTTTGTACTATTCATATATTATTTTATTAATACCCACGTGGGATTTTGAGCCATGAACAGATGAGATCACTAAAATATAGCCTGAACCTTGGAGCGTAGAAATATTTAATATAAGAGTTATACGAGCAGTAATCAATAACCGTGTTTAATACTGAAAATACACAAACCTGAAGTCTTAGAGTTTTCTCAGATTCCCCAGGTGGTAAGCTGAGAATACAGGACAGTAAAATAAATGTTGTTCTAATATCCTAATATCTGACAATTCCTCTATCTTTCTTCTTTCTTCATTACAGCAAGAGATTGACGAAGTAACACATGTCCTGACTCTCTCTTTATCCCTGCGGGCTTTCTATGTTGATGAAATTGCTGTGGAATAAGCAGGAGTTTTGTGTATCAGGGATTTATCTGGGATAGAAGAGGGAGAGCCGTCCCAATATATACCATGCTAAATAAAAGATGTTCTTCTTGGGAAACATTTTTAGAAACTCAATAAAAGAAATCATTAGGAACTAAGGATAATTTTGATAGAAAGTGACTTTTCTTGCAGTCTTTTAGTCTCCCCCGTATAAATTACTCTATGGACTACATGTGCATTTATTTAATCAAAAGGAACTTCTTAATAAAGAGCCCCCTTGGCTATATTGGCTGACATTTTCTAAATCCTTAAGAACTGACATTTTATTCCATCAATGATAGAATAAATGCTTAAATTCTTTTAAGGTCACAGAATAGAATTTAGGCATGTGGATTAAAATTATGCTGTTAAAATCTTGCAGGTCATGACAAAAATTTTAAAAGCAAAAGGAATATTATAAAGTACTACAATGTTAATAATTCTGTATCTTAATTTATCTTTACTTCTAAAAGCTTTGGATTTTAATCAAGATGATGTTTATGAATATTAGAAAAAGAAAAACAGTAACAACAACCCTCTGATATAATCATGATCATTTATATCTCCCAATAGCCCATCTGGACAGAAAATAAAATAATGGCAGAATCTGTGAGGCAGTGTGTAGGGCTGCTCCACACTAAGCTTAGTATGGTTGAATCTATTATGAGTCATAAGCCAAATAAATACAAAAGCTGACTGAAGCCTCTTTTCTCTAAAACTGGTTAGGATTAATTTTGTTAATATGCCAGATTTTGAATGAATATTTCATAAAAGTTCAAAAGGTTCACGTACGTATTTGCAATCAAGGAAATATAAGGTAAAAGGTAATGTTTTATTCACTGAGATGGAAAAGAAACCCAAAAGAATGAAGATGTCTGATTTTGCCAAGTGTAGAAAAAAGAGTATTGTCAGATTCCTTTGGTAAATAGACCTTTACACCTTTGGTGGTGGAGTAAATTTATATGGCTCATTTGAAATTTTAAAAATGTATATACATTTAAAATGTGTTCCATATAAGTAAGCAATTCAATCACTGTAACTTTGTTTTATTAAAATACATGTTAAAACAATAGTCATGATAATAACTAATACTGATTGAGTGTGCAAGTATGTGCCAGCATTGATTTACATGCTTTATACACATCATCTCCTTCAAGAAACTGAGGTTCAGAGTAATTACCTAACTTGCCCGAGGATACACAGTAGAAGAACCAGGATTCCAACACTGAACCCAGTGTTCTTAGCCATTACATCTCATTACTTCTGTCCGTAGAGCCACCTATATTGCACATGGGCACAGAGCATTGCTCACTGTAGCCACTGTTTGCAGTAGCAGAAAACTGGAACCAAATTATCTACCAAGAGGAAAGTTATATTACATTATAGTATAGTATAAAATTAGAGTATGATGTATATACTTCTAACACTTAAACTATGCTGTTTCAAACTTTCATCTATGGCAAATCTATAGATGTACTCAAAATATATAACACAAAATTTGTGTGTGTGCTTTAGGTGACAAGGATTGTGCTAATCTTACTTTTCACTACTTGGCACATTATTATCTTTGGTCTTCACAAGGCTCAATTTTTGTTTTGTTCATTTGTTTTCTTTTCTCCTCCCTATCCCACCTTTGTTTCCTCTTTTCCTCTTTACTTTCAATGTGTTTGTTGAATAGACAACAGTTGGTTTATTCTTGTAGGACATGAGCAGTGGTTTGTGTGCACACTTAAAAGTACACAAAAGTACTATGTTACATATCTTGTGATTTCTCCTTTGTTCTTCTAACAATATATTTTAAGAGCTATTAAATTTGCTGCATATACAACTAGTCTATCATTTCTACTGATGCATTGTACTCCAAAGTGGACCATGACACATGTTACCATCTACTGCCCTTGTGGTGGATGCCTGAACCGGTGGCAATTTCCTGCCAACAAAAATAACGTTGTAATAAGGTATCTTATATGTGTCTTCTTGTAGGTGCCCTGGGCCTTTTTTTGGACAGGGGAGGGAATCTATATATAGGAGCAAAATGGTTAAGCCTCATAGACTAGGTATAAACTTATTGGACTAAGGTCAGACATTTCTACAGAACTGCACCTGTATTCACCTTCAGCACATGAGTACTCCTACAGCCCTATATCCCTGCTCAGACCTGGCATTATCTAATGTCCTCCTTATTGTCGGACTAATAGAAGTGACATGATGCCCCAATGTTGTCTTAGTTTAATTCTGAAAGACAAATTAAACATATCTAAACATAAATGTTAAAATAGGACATTTGGTGGCATAAGAAACAAAAGGGGAAACCCATGCCAGAGTTGGCAGTCTGTTGGTCCATCATAAATTGAACACATACATAGGCTCACCTGCATGGGGATATAAACCTTGAGTTTCATGAGCTGAAATGAAAAGTTCCATATCTGATTTGAGACCCCGTGTTCTATTTTGAGTTCTTCTAGAAGTAGGATGTAAAACAATCGTTCAAGTATGAAGAGTGTAAGTAATACCAATAGGAGAAAGAAAAACTGACACAGGAATGGAAGGGAGGCAATTTACGATGCATTATTTAGCCAGTATTTACAATGGACAACTGGCAATAAAATAGGTAAATAGATACCTTAGAACTATCCCACCGAAAGTGCCAGATAGTTACAAAATGTACTCATGAACTCCAAAGAGTCGCTGATTGAGAGCTGCTCTTAGGAGTGCTAATTCTTTTGCACTTTAGGCTTCCTAGCCTGTCAGAATGGCCACTCTGCAGACTACAATGCTTTATGAGAAAACTCTTTTAGGAGAAAAAATAATGCATAACCACATCTTGAAGAACAGTGCTGTAGCTCATAGGCTTTCATGAGTGTCATCTGTGCCTGCTGTGTGATAGGCGCAGAGATGCACATAAAGACATTGAAGTCCACTAGAGTCCAATCCTGGAGATAGATGATGCACTGACAGAATCTGTGAGAGCCCACCGCTTGTACCAGTCTGACTTACTTGACCCAACATTAACTTTACTCCAGTCTATCACTGCTTTTTCAAGGTGATGTCCAGTTACAATTTTTCAAAATAAACTTACAACAGATTTAGTGGGAAAAGTGACAGTCCTGAGGCCAACAGTGATACGCATTATCTCCCTTTTCTCTCATCCTTTCTATAATAGATTCCACTAACTCTTGGATGGCATTGGTGCTGGTGAGAACTGTCAGCCCAGTGATAATACCCAGACCTTTATGCTTGAGGTTTTTCGTTCTTGTCAGGCCATAGTTATTGCAGTGGCCCCTTTATGATTATTCCTGGAAATGGAAGCAGCAGATAAAGTTCTTCTGAGTTCCAGACATATGCCTTTCTACTGGCATAATGAGCATCAACCCTACCTCCTCATGATAATTTGTGTCGATTAGTTCTGCCAATATGGTAGTAGCTTACTCCTTTTCCTATTCACCTGGTGTAATGAAGAGCTCAAAATGACAGGCAGGAGATTTAAACCTTAGGTTTAGTGAAAATATTTACTATATCTTCTGGTAGAAACATCCCTCCTCTGGGAAAATGATCCCTAAATGAGCCTGACTTGTGGAGAGGCAACAGGAAACAAAAGTTCACCAAGGGAGCAGGCTCCCTTCTATCCCCATGTTTGGTTCCTAGACTCATGTATTGAGTATCATATGATTAACATTGGTTAAAAGCATAAACCTCAGAAACATGATTTCTCTCTCTCCAATCCCCCTTTTCTACCAAAGAGAAAACAGAGTAAGACCAATTTGTGTGCAAAATAAATTTCAGGCTTATTATACTTGGCCCTATTATTTGCATAAAGTATAGCAAGAATTGATTGGCCATACAGGCTCTCTTTAAGTTGGCTTTGCTGGAACATTACCTGAGACTATGTTATTCTAGCCAAAGTATTGGTAAAACAACCAGCTTCTCCAATTGTTTCCTGTTTCAAAAGAAAATAGATTCTTACTGAACATAAACGCCAACTACTATATTACCGTAAAATAAGAATACTGACGAATAGCTTTGGAATTTTGGAGAACTTGAGTAGAGGAAAAGGTAAATTCTTCTAAAAACAAAAAAACAAACAAACAAACAAACAAACCATACTTGTCAGAATAGCAGCTTTCCAAACATGTTGTTTGTTCACCTTGGAACTACCACCCACAAACCAAGCAGCTGTTTGTCAGTCAGGTGACAGATGTTTATTGGGCATTGTGTAGTCCAGCAGCTCCTCACACAGTTCCAGAGTCAGTCCTAGAAAAAAGAGGCCCCACGTTTGTGAATGTCTCCTTTTTGCATCCCCAAGTAGTGTGATCCTATATAACCATTTCCGTTTTGTTATGGAACTCTGGGCATTTCTTCTGAGCACTGCTATCTCTATTAGAGTATTTCTCTGACATCTCCCCAGACAGCCTAGGTATTTCAGATACCAAATCAATTCAAGTCCCTCAGTCATAGGGGTAGGTTCAGTTAAAGTCCCAAAACCAAGCAGTAAATGCCCCTCAAGCAGAAATTCTCTAGTCCAGAGTCCCAAGAGTTGTTGGGAGGTGTTCACAGGTTTAAGCCCCAGTAAATTATCCCAAAGTGCTATCAGGTGGAGAATCTTTTCCTACTGGCACCTCCACTTCTACTCTACACTCTGTGGGCTCAGGCAGTCTTACTGTTTCCCATATAGCAAATCCAATTAATATTGCCTGAAGGGTAGATTTGCAGGCCTTCTGTTTTGCAGTTCTAGGTAGGAGAAATATCACACTAGTTACCAGATTCCATCCCTGACCTTAGCATTTGAGTGCAGATTGAATCACGAATTATTTCTTGGCTACAATATGCCTCTAAAAAAGAATCAGGTTATATTTTTTCTTCATGATATTTTGAGTTGTCCCTAATGGGATAGGGTTCTTTTCCATTCTGACACACAGATTCTCTTTTGAATGTCAAATTATTAATGCTATTTATTTCCTGTTGTTTTACTTCTTCTGAGAAAACTAGAATCATGGTGATAAGATTAGGCTTTGTGTTCCCACCCAAATCTCATCTTGAATTGTAATCCCCATAACCCCCATAATCCCCATGTATCAAGATAGAGACCAGGTGGAGGGAATTGGATCATGGGGGCAGTTTTCCCTTGCTGTTCTTCTAATAGTGAGTGATTTCTCACGAGATCTAATGGTTTTATAAGGGGCTCTTCCCCCTTCACTCAGCACTTCTCCTTCCTTCCACCTTGTAAAGAAGGTACCTTGCTTCCCCTTAAACTTTCTCCATGATTGTAAGTTTCCTGAGGCCTCCTCAGTCATGCTGAACTGTGAGTCAATTAAACCTCTTTCCTTTATGAATTACCCAGTCTTAGGCAGTTCTTTATAGCAGTATGAAAATAGACTAATACACATGGTACTCTGCAGACTAGAGATGATTGGGCAAGGCCTGCAAATCTCTCTCATTTGGAATCTCATGGTGTCTGGTCTGTTTTCTTTCTACCACCCTGTTGCAAAAACTACAGAGGCACCCTCCTTCTAGGTCCAGGGACTATTGCAGAAGAGGTTGGTGCCTGAGATTATAAGGAATAGTTTTGAGGAATACAGTTAGTTCAGATCCTCCAAGTCAAGAATAGGCACACAGGTGCTTACACAGCTGCCAGCAAATTGAAGGACTTTGCCTCCTGGGCCATTGTGTAGCCCCTTTCCATTCTATTTTCACCATAAAAAATTTCCTGCTTCCCAAAGATTAAAAGAGAATTACCAAGAGGATATCAAGATACCTGGTGATAGAGCCTTTTGGTGGATAGAGCCTCCAGCAGATCTCGACAAAAAGAGGAAGA
This sequence comes from Homo sapiens, assembly GCF_000001405.40. Classification (NCBI taxonomy): domain Eukaryota; kingdom Metazoa; phylum Chordata; class Mammalia; order Primates; family Hominidae; genus Homo; species Homo sapiens. The sequence continues at coordinate 124,435,119 of NC_000007.14, read as the reverse complement.
ATGTAAACTAAATATAAAATTCTAAGCTCCCCAACTGACAGAACAGACCATCTCTTGGCCAAGGAGGCCTGAGAGTAAACCTGAAAACTGAGTTGTCAGCCATGACAGGACATGTGGGTCAGACTCACCTCGTTATATTTCCCTCCCTCATTAACCATGATTCGGTTTTCTTCTGTAAGGGCTAAAGAGAAACCACCTTTTTCAAAAGACTCCACCGTTAATATCAACTAATGCCTTGGTGCTGCCACTCCTTTTTTGCCTGTTAAGAGACCAACAACCATGGAGTTGTTCTGGCCAGTCTATGGAGAAAGTGCACCAAGGGTTTTTTGTGTCACCTGCCTCACCTTTGGATGTCAGAAAGACAAAAACTCCCCCTTGGATTACCACCTTTTTTGTTGAAGATGGAGAAGCATCAAGCACAATTGTGCATGGGCACGTTTCTCCTTTCATAAATATTCATTATGTCTCCTATAGCTTATTAAGTACATATATTCAGCCACCCTGCTCAGCATAAATTCCTGTTGTCTTTTTCCCTCCCTGGAAGTGTTTGCTTCTTGCTTCTGTCTGGAGACTATGCCTCCTAGCCTGTCAGAATGGCCGCTCTGCAGACTACAGTGCTTTATGAGAAGTAAAACTCTTTTAGGAGAAAAAATAATGCATAACCACATCTTGAAGAACAGTGGTCTAGCTCATAGGCTTTCATGAGTGTCATCTCCAAGCTGGCCCCTTTGCTGTTCCATCAAAAGGCAATTTCATCTACTCTGAATCTGGCAGCTCCTGGGTGAGGCAGTTTATGGTAGAGCCAATGCATCTCATTGTTACTTGCTCATTGCTGCACCTGCTTCAGAGTAAATGAGCTGTTTTAGTATAAGACAATATTATGTGGGATTGCATGATGATAAATGTGACATTCTATGACTTATAAACAGCACATTGGTAAAAATCAAGTATTAGTTCACAAAGCCTCAAACTATCAAAAAATCAATATAGTATACACTGTTTTCTGAACACAATGCAATGAAACTAGAAACAAGTAACAAAAGAGCAAAAATATTATGCATTTGAAAAGTGGAAAACATACTTAAAATAATTTATGTGCCAAAGAATTAGTCTTAATAGATATTATGAAATAATTAGAACACAAGGCAACAGAAGTAGTATATATGTGGAAAGCCATAAAATAATACATAGAAAAATTTCCTGAAATGCTGATAGGGAAAAAAGAGAAAAATCAACATGTTAAATTAAGCTATTAACCAAATCCAAGCACTAAACAATTCAAAATAGTAAATCTAGAGAAGGTAGAATGAATGTAATATTAATTATTAAAATAAGAAAAGCACTTAAAAAAACTAAAGAAATTGTAGAATCATTGGAATCAAATATTCTTTCTTTGAGAAGACTAATGAAATACCTAATTTGCTGACATTATTGATCAAGAAAAAAAATGGGACCATAATTACAAATAGAGAAATTTATAATTAACTATAGTCCAAACATAATAAATGTTAAAACATGGATAAAATATGTCACAACAGCAAAATTGATTCAAGAAGAAATAGAGTAATATTTCTAATCAAATCATAAATTCTCAGAAAACTAGAAGTGAAAGATAGCTCCCTTTACTTGATGATGGATTCTTACCAAAAACCTACAATAAAAATATCCATTAGGATTATTTCCTTTAGTGTAAGAGGCCATAACCAGATTCCTTCAATCATTGTTCTATTTAAGACTTTATTGAAACTTATTGACACAAAATTGGATTAGGAAAAGAACAAGAGACATATAGATTTGAAAGGAATATATAAAATCATTACTCACAGACAAAAAATTATCAACATAGAAAATTCTACAAGAATCTATTGACACATTGTGAAAATTACAGTCCCACAAATTTGCAGTATTTGAGATCCATCTATAAAAATCACTTTCCTATACAGGAGCAACAGCCAATTATAAACCATAATTTAAAAAAATAGATCCTTATTTACATTAGAACAAAACACATAAGAGAAAAAGGGTTTTAAATAATTGAGTAACTACTTTATTAGTGATTGTATTTCTTCTCCAATTTAGTCTATAAACTTAATATACTTTATTTTAATTTGCAATAGGAAACTTTTTAAGATGAGAAGCTTATCCTAACATTCACATGGAAGAGGAAAGAGTAAAAGTGGTTAAGAACATTTTGGAAAAAAAGAATGGGATGAGTATAGGCTCATACTATTAAATGTGTTGAATTTTTATATAGTCATGGTAATTTAACCTGTGTGGGAAATGCAAATGAACAAGTGGAACGGAACAGTAATTTGGGAGCTTTGCATAGAAAACTTAAAAATCATTATTAATCAATGGGAGAAAAGTTTGAAAAAATTATTTACATTAAAACTTTCTATATCAACAATAGCAGAATAAAAGAAGTAAAAAGGCATGGCTGAAAAAATCAGTGATACAAAATTAGTAGCTAAAATATACAAATATTTTTACATATAAATAAAAAATGACAAATATCCAAAAAAGGAAAATTGTTAAAGCCTGTGAATAGGCAATTCACAGAAAAAGAAGCCTGAACAACCCTGTAGAGGATTGCATTACTGGCCAAATTTTTCATTCCTCCCTGTATCTAAGCCCTTTTCCACATGACTTTGCAGTTCCTCCCACTAAATGGAAAGAATATATTTTCTCACCCTTTGACTTAGGGTTGGCCATTTGCTTTGGCCAAAAGAGTGTGGTAAAAGTGAACACACGCCAGTTCCAAAATGAAGCCATAAGAAATTGTGCAAGTATCAGCCTTAAGAGATCTTTCATGTTGCTGGCTTGTGCCTCTGAATGACCACACATGCCCAATTAATTAATTGAGCAACTGAATAAATAAGCACAAGTCCAAGCCTCAGCAGGAAGACAAACCCAGTTGAGTTGCCCTGCCAAGCCCAGTCTAGATCAGCTGACTGCCAGCGAAACAACAGACTGAGAATGATTAATCAATAAGAGTAGTTTTAAGCCATTGAATTGTGAGTGACTTGTGATGTAGCATTAGTGGGGCGATAGCTAACTGATACAACCGTCAACTTTACTAGTAGCCAGGGAAAGGCACGCTAACAAGACAGGAAACTCATATTCATAAATGGCAATGATTTAAAGTCTGATAATAACAAGTATTGACGTTGATAAGGATACAGGAAAACAAGAATTTTCACATATGGTTCCTGGAAATATGAATTAATTTAATACATTTGAAATACAATCAGGTAGTATCTGATAAATTGAAGCCATTTATACCCTGTGACCAATGGTTCTGTGATTAAGTATTACAAACCCTGGTTTATGTTGGCAAGGAGAAACAAGGATATTCATCACAGCATTGCTTGTATCAGTAAAAACTGAACATAAAATAAATTTCTTATTTTAAGAAAGAAATTGATAAATCGTGGTACATTTATAAAATGGAGTAATAACTAGTAGCTAAAATGAATGAACCATGTACATATATATCAAAGTTATGTTAGAAAAAAAGCAAGGTGCTAAAGTGTGCATAATGTTTGTTATCATTCATGTGACTTCTAAATGCATAAAAATCAATACTGTGTTATTTCTGGATTAATACATATGTAGCAAAAGCACAGTATATAGATGTACAGGAAACATAACTGCTTCTGGATAGAGGTTGACTTTTGAGTCAGAGTAAGAGGATGATTAGACGGCAGGAGACTGTACAGTTATATCTATAATATTTTCATTTTAAAAATATCTAAAATGTTATATGGATGATGATTACATGAGTACATGTACTATGTTTGAATCAGATCATAATTTAAAATAAAAATACATTATGGAAAATTCATATGGTAAAAGCAAATACTATGCCATTGCTTAAGCGATGAAGTAGATCTGTAAAAAAGCAGGTGACAGAACATCTTATAGAGCTGTTTCTCAACATTGGTTCTATTAATATTTGGGACTGAGTAATTATTTGCTGTAGGGGGCCATCCTGTACTTTGTAGAGTGATTTCCAGCATCTTTGGCCTCTAATAAATGCCAGTAAAACCACCTACCACCCCAAACTGTGAAAATCAAAAATGTCTTCAGGTATTGCCAAATGTCTCCTGGGGACAAAATTATCTTTGGTTGAAAGACATGTGCAAAGTACAATTCCATTTACCTAAAAACAGAATCTATGTTTATTTTGTGCATACATGTGTTTATCATTAACTGTGAAGAGTACATTTGAAGTATACACCTGAGATTATATACCTATGGAAGGGAATATAATTGTAGATAATGAGAGATATTAAAGAAAGAAATAAAATGCTTACTTTTGATATGTTTGATTTTTATAATATAAAAATGCGTTTCTGTTATAATACAGAATTATACAATTTTAAATGTAAAAAGAATTAAATTATTATCAATTTCAGCAGATAGAACGACTAGATTACCTTTATCTTCAATTTTATCAAGAATGTTTCTATCACTAGACATTTGTAAGGTCCATGAAGGACATTAGATAATGGGAAAAGATAAAAAACCTTCATTGACTTTTTTTTTAAAATTTATTTGTCCAGGAACTATTTTTAAAATCTAACACAAGTATTGTTAATGCTATTCTTTACTTGTTTCTCCTCATCTGAGACCTGATAAACAGACTGATAATGGCCAAATGCAGAAGCTTGCCAGGCTGAAAGGGATCCGAGGTTGCCTGGTGGTCCTGATCCACCACCCAGCACTCTGGTTGATGGCAAGTCTAAGCTTGCATCAGAGATCTCACTTCAGACCTTCTTCTTGCTAATAATTCTTTGAGAATTTCACCATAAGGAGAAAAGAGGTGTGCAATTATACTCGTAGTCAAGAACTGGTTGCCATGATTTGTCCTAATTACAAATACGGTTTTATAATAATTATTGTTGGCATTTATTATTGTCTGTAGCACCAACTACATTCAATATTCCATGAGACAGACTATTCCTGGCACAGTGCCACACAACTCAGTAAATATCGATTGAAAGGATGGGTGAACAGTACTAAGTACAACGGGGGTGGGAGGAAAGTAAAAATGAACACATTTAGTAAAGTAGTTCAAACTTAGGAAAGGCAACAGATTTGCATACATTTAATCAACATTCAGTGTAAGGAGGACTGTAATAGTGTTTGGAATGATTTAAGGAAGCTCACTAATTAAGTCTGGACAAGTATACTGATTTATATTCCCCAGTAATGAGAAGTTGTGCCTTGGGCAAGTTTCCTAATTTTTCTCCATCATAATATTTCACATTTATTAAATAATAATGATACCCACCATTTTTTCTTATTTCCTGATATTCCAGAAAGGAAAAGTCTTAGGGAAACTTTAGGGAGAATCCCATAAAGAAAAGTCATGCCCCTGTTTCTATTTGTATAATTTTAGCCAGAGGAGAGTGAAGCTCAGTAGGTTCTTTTAGTGGGGTTCCATCCCGCCACTAGAGAACAGCTGACCTTCTTTCCCATTCAGAAGGGACAGTTCTGGTGGGTTTTGACTCAGCTCCCTTCCTCTAAAGCTGTAGTGCAAAACCATGAGTTTTTCTCATCAACATCTTTCTTTCCAATCCTGAATTTCTCTTTCTCCTATTATTACAAATTTTTTCCATATAAAATTTATAAACGAATTTGACATATTAAATATAAACTGTAAAATGCCTAGCATAGTACCTGGAGTTTAGTAGGAATTCAGTAAACAGTCATTTATTTAGGTTTTCATCATTACCTAGAATGACAGTATATTCTGTGATTAAAAAGAAAAAAATAAAGAGTAGTGATTTTCAAGGAAAAAAATAGAAGTCAGAAGCCTGATTTCTCATCAGAATCTCTGGCTCCCTCTAAGAACTGTTTTTCATTTATAATAAATTCAAGTCCAAATATTAGCGCTTTCTCTGTATTTACACGGAGAAAACCTTAGGTGAATTAGATATCTCCTATTTAGGGCCCAGTGTGGTTTTGAATCGTATAACCTATACAGTTTACGGAGTTGAACTTATGTGATTGGGTTTGAACTTAGTTGATTTTGGAAGGAAAGAGGAATGATTTCTTTTAACGCGAAGCAGGGAGACAGGCTCCCAGATTCCCTGTGTCCATAGAGGCTGAGTCTCTTGCCAGGAAGATCAGTACAACATAAATGATGTTTCCAGCTGGTGCCTGAGACACAATCCCTTGTGCAAGTTCTCAGCAGGAGACTTTACTGATGACTGAGTAGGGTGTACCTCAGACAGAGAACAAGGTTACGGAAACAAATTTGGGAAGCTTTATTACACAGTGGACTGAATCTCGTGATGCTCAACAAATCTAAAAGCTTCCGCACCTGGACACTTAATTGCTTCACCTTCCCGGGGTGATTGAAACTGCTCTTTACAGGCCATAACTTTCTTTTTTTAAATTTTAGATTCAGGGAGTATATGTCCTTCTTTGTTACATGAGTACTGCATGTATAATGCTGGTGGTTGGGCTTCTATTGTACCCATCACCCAAATATTGGACATTGCACACAATAGGTAATTTTTCAACCCTCATTCCCCTCCCACCCTTTCCCCTTTTGGAGTTCCCAGAGTCTACTTTCTCCATTTTTATGTCCATGTGTATTCTTTGTTTAGCCACCACTTGTAAGTAAAAACTTGTGATATTTGGTTTTCTGCTTCTGTGTTAGTTCATTTACGATATTGGAAAGGCCACACATTTCTAGTAAATCTGAAGACAATGCATCTTCATTTCTAATCCCACCCTGGTATTCCTATTTTTAAGGTTTGACCCTATAATCATTTTTCCATGGACCCATTCTCATTTGCATTTTAAAATGTACAGTATTTAGGATTACTCCTAAGTGGCCATTGATTTTAGTTTGTTAATGGACTCCCAAGTAAATCTGTGATTAAAAATAGTTCTCTGCTTCAATGCCAGCCAAGAGAAATATGAGTCTTTATTTATCATGATGAGTTCTATAGAGACACTTATTTTTATTATCTAAAAATTGGTCTACTCTTTCATGACAGTTTTTTAACCATGAAATTGGAAATACATAAAGGAAGATATTTCTCAGGCAGACAGATCTAATGACTGTGGTGTTAAACCCACAGGCTAGGATTATAGGATATGGGGGAACACTTTCATGTTGCTTGCTTATCTGTATTTTATTGATTTGTCTCAAAAAATGTACAAATTTTATAAATATAGCATTTTAAAATATTTAAAAGACAAACTCCTTTTCTTCACAATTCAATTTATCATAAAATAAGGTACAATCTCATATTTTAAAATTTTTCTACGGTTTTCAGCTCTGAATTGGTTATATTTCTAAACAATACAAGATGAAATTATTTATTCAGATGTTACTCCCAAATGGCCCAATTATTGTGACTTCTGATTGTTATAATATGATATGGTAAGTACCAAGCACATATTAATAGTTCGGCATTGACTGGAGTCCAATAAAAACCTGATTGAGAGATAACAAAAATTTCAGAATAAAAAAATCAAATCATCTCCTAACAATCACTAAAATGAAAGAAAGAAAAAAGAAAGCTCCCTGATTAGTGGAATTTTTTTACCATCTAGTAATTCTTTTGACGTTGAAAGCATTTTAAAGCATAGATGTATTTTTACACTTTAAGGAGAAGAAATGGCATATGGTAATCTAAATACTGAAAAAGAAATGATAATTATATGAATTTTTGAATGTACCAATTAATACTACAGTTTCCACTAAATGAATATAATGAAGTCTTATATAATTGAAATTATCTGTGGTATTTTTCTCATGGACATTTATATATCTTGCTGTGACAATTATCTAAGGCTATAGTTAAGTACCTGACAATTAAAATAAAAACCATTAAGACAGTAATTTTTATCTTCTCTATTTCTTTATTAACCTCTTGTTTCTAAATAGCACTATCATTTCGAAAGAAAAAAATGAAAAAAAAATATTATATGCTTAAAGTCCCCCAGCAGAAGGAAGCAGAAGGAAACCTTTAATAGAAGCCAGAAAATTCATAGCAAATATGCTATCAATTCTATGAGAAGCTACACCTAAATAGAGGTCTATGAGCACTCAAACAGAGGACTTGATTCATGTTGAAAGCATATTTCCTGGTCTTGAAAGAAATGAAGATCTTAACAAATTTCACCAACTGCATGAGAGAACCTAGTCATCCACTTTAAATTGGGAGTCTTTAAATTTAGTAGCTGTATTCACTACAGTGCCATTTGTAAAGACATTCCCCTTTGAAAAAAATACATTTTGACAGTGACAGTTACATTATTTTTAGCTTTGCATAACAGCTGCAGACTATAATTAAAACAACTAAAATTTGTATATGACATTTGTCTTCTTATAATATACCATGCTGTTACCCACACAAACTGTTGTTCTGTGTCCAGAGCCTACACCCAGGGCTCTTTATGCACTGCTGGGATTTGGGTTAATACTATTTCCAGGAATTCCTTGTAGTAGCACACAAGGGCTGCAATATCCAGGAATCAATCTCTAAAGCTTTAGAGGCCTACTGCAGACTCTCTGCCTGGATACTTCTTGCTTTACCTTATTTCCCAGATGATTAATTTCATACTATTTCAAGAGCTGCTGTTGCTGTAATCTCTTCAGATCTATTTTTGATAACTTCATTGACTTACTAACTGAAATGTTCTAAATCCCCACAGCAGGTATCATATTATCTTTTTTTAATCCTGACAATTTCTTACAAAAATGTAAAAATCTGCCATTGATTGATATGACAGAATCACTGGGAAAGGAAACTATATAAAATAGAATTACCTCAAAAAGAAACTTACATTCAGCCTTTAGTAAAATAATGTGAATTGTTGGGATTGAAATTCCATTAACAAGGAATTTTAAAACTATAAACAATGATCATAATTAGAAGAAGGATAAGAAGAGAAAAAGAGGAAGAGAAAAAAGTAAGAAAACAGGGAAGAGAAATGGCATTGGAAAGTAATAAAACTGGTTTTCAGACACTTTAAAAAGCAAAATAAAGGATGTCTGGATTCCAAGTAAAGAAGCCTAGTCCCAGGGGCATCTCCTCCAATCTCACCTGGCATCTATTCTCTCTGGATGAATAAAATACTTAGGAATAAACTTGACCAAGGAGACGAAAGATTTGTACACTAGACACTATGAAACACTGATGAAAGAAATTGAAGGAGACACAAATAAATGCAAAGACATCACATGTTCATGGATTGGAAGAAATAATACTGTCAAAATGTCCGGATTACCCAAAGTAATCTACAGATTAAAGGCTAGCCTTGAAAAAAATCTCAAAGGCATTTTTTTAAAGAAAGAGTAAAAACAATACTAAAATTCTCTCTCAATTTTGTGAATCTTTATTACTCAAATGAGTATTCTCAATGTAAACACAGATTTCTTTCTTCCTACATTGTTTTTCCAATTTTCTGCCAAATTTTTCATTTTATCTGATTGCCTATGGATCTTTAGCAGGCTTGCCACTGTGAAGTGATACAGTAATTAATAAAATAAGAATATAGAAATCATCTTTCTTCATTCCCATGAATATCCTTATTTTCACCCATCAGGCAGTCTTCTGAGATGAATAAAATTTGAAAAGTAGGCAAATATCATCTACACTGATGCTTCCAGCCCCTTATTTAAGACCTTCTTTTGGATGATGTGACTAGTGTTAAGTGTGTACAGGGCACATTTCCTGGGCCACTTGTTATAAGGCTTGCCTAGACTTTCCTAATATGACTTATTGTGCAGCACTTTTATATAAACAATAGTACAAGGCATGCCTCTGCTCTTAGCCACATCAGCTGTCCTTCAAGCCTCAGATACTTGGGAGTTCTGCCTTGAATCCATCCTCAACTCTAAATCCTTGATATCCTTCTCTTGATTTGAAGAGGCACCCTTAGAACCTGCCTCTGCTTTTGAGTCTGCATTCTAAAATACTTCTGCTGTGGCTGCCTCTCTTTCTGGCTTAAAAATAGAAAGCTAGTATGTAACATATACTCATTACTTAGGTGTGAATAAAAAGAAGAGAATATGTGATCATAGAATGGTAGAGATAAAAGGGGTTCTTGTGTGCGTCAAGTTCAGGTAATTTTATTTTAGGAATTAACAAATACTTCAGAGATAAATGATTTGCCTCATGGTAAACTCTTAGGCTGCCATTGGCAAAAACGCAATTACTTTGGCACCAACCTAATACAACAGGTAAATGGCAAAGATGAGGCATATACACATGACTTCTGATTCCAAATGCAGCACTTTCTGCACTTTGCTATAGTGAATTGGATGGAAATTTCATGCATTGTGACATAGTCAATGGATAAGAAATCTGGGGCTGAAGAGGCTCAAGAGAGCTAAAATGCCCCCAAGTGCACATGGACATGCACTTCCCAGGTGAAATATGTGAAAGTATTTTATAAACTGCAAAGTCCATATATAATTCAAGTTCAAGATATATTTTTCAATAATTATCTACCTTCATATAAAACTGGCTTCAGGAGAAACAGACAGATTTTTTTTTTCCCGTTTGGATCAGCAATTCCCATTTGGAAGATGCTTTGCAGAGTTCTTCTGCACTCACCATAAAAATTCCTTGAACAGGATAAAACCACCTTGAAAAGTATAAAACAGGAATTTATACTTTGTGGACTGGGGTGTACAGGGGCAAAGTTAATATAATTTAAAAATCACAATATTCATCCATCTTTGAGGATAAATACCAATAATAATATAGCCCTTCCCTTTTGGTCCAGAATTTGGTCTGATCTCCCTATATTTCTGATTGTGATTCATTTATAAATGAATATTTCAAGTCAAGAGGTCAGACTGACTTAAAAAAGAGGAACAAAAATGAAAATTGCTTTATTTTCATGCTTAGAAAACACGGCAGTTCATATTAATAGCAGATTAATAATCTCATTCTGATATTTACAGGACTCTGTTTTCTTATCCTGTTAAAATGCTGCTGTTATAAACTATTTCTCTTTTTTGACAGCTTGAAAGCTACTGTATCCATTTAAAGAGTTGTAAGTCTCTCTAAGTTGAATTCCATGGTGATTATCATGATGCTGTTGTCATTGCCCAATATAAATCATATGGTCATAAATGAAAGCACATCATGACAGCCTCTGTATAGCGCAGTCTGTCTTTGGGAACTGTTACCACTTAGCTTGCAGGGAGGTTTATAATGATGCTTTACCAAAACACAGACCATGGTATTGTGAAGTGCTGCTGCGTCCTTTGGTACCTATTAGGGTGCAATTTGAATACCAGGCAGACCTCACAAGTACCTGAAAATGTAGAGAACTCATATATATCAATCTTTATTTGAGGATAAATAAATAAGAACAGAAAAATTATTTGCAGCTGCTCTCTGCTTAGGCCTAGAGTTAATGGTGATACCGAAACATACTGGAAGTCAGAAAAAAAGCTTCCCAGAAGTTTTATTCTATTCTTCTGAAACCATCCTTCTTTCAAGTTTGCTTCCTTGCCTTGCTGCTCTCCACTTCTAGTCCTTTATCTGATAAGTGTCCTTCAATTCTCTCCCTTATTCCTTCATTTTTTCCTCTTAATTTTAGAACTAAAAGGTACGTGTGATGGAAGATTATGGAAGACATTGGAAAAGTCATGGAAAAGAATGAAAAGACAGAGTTCATACTTTGTAGCAGAGCCTGTGATAAATGATGTGCATTCATCATTTTATTTAATATCTAAATAAAACTGAGGGGATGATCAGTCTCATTGAAGAGGAAGCTAAGACCAAGAAAACTTAAATACTAATCTATGAACTAATATATGACAGTAAGTAATACATTTCAAACCCAAAGTCCATACACTTTTCTCTATGATATTTTTGTGCCAGATGATCCCTTAAGGATTTCTATTGGTGGAGGAAGGGGCCAAGCAAAACATCACATGACATTCACTGAAGAATATTTGTAGGGGAAAGGAAGCACTGATGAGGCCAGGGCAAACAAGCCACAGATACTGAAAATCCCCCGATGTTCCCATCTGTCTGTGGAGAGGCACATGAGGTCAGGAAATCTGCATCATATATAGTGTGGACTTTATTCCACTAGGGAGGCCCACGGATATCTCTTTTTATTCATATAAGAAAAGAACTTCATTAAGATGAGATACATAGGCTGTTTGGCCCAAGACTGTCCAGATTTTGAGTGTTAAATATTTACAAGCATTTTCTGGGATTATCAGTTGCCTGATATAAAAATTCTGAGAGTCTGGGAAATATTGGGGCCCATTCTTGGGTTGCAGAGGCCTACTCAGAGAAGTAGTCTTCAATTCCATTTTAAACTGAAATTGGGTGCTGCCGCCTACCCTATTTGAGAAAAGAAGAATCACCAGGACCAGCTAGTGTGTGGTCCAGGCAACCCAGAGTGAACTCCCAGTGTTGTTTTCATATGATGCTGGTTCTTAAATACCAGGCATGCAACCTAAAATATGGGCAATTAGCAAATGTCCTTTCCTTTCTAAGCATCAGACTCTGAAGTCTTTAAGATGCGTAACTGCTACATTCCTTTTGAAAGTTGCTGCTTGGTCATTAAGATGGTGCTAATGATAGAAAGTCATCAAATGACAGTTAAATATGGTTATGTGTAAAATTTCTATTTTTTAAGTGGTAAAAAAGTTTAAAAAGTTGGCTTTTGCTCCTTCTTTCCCGCTTACCACCCAAGTAAGAAAACTGAGGGTGAGAAGCATTATGCCTCTTGCCCTGGGGCTTCTGCAGCCAGATGTCAATGCCAAGATGAGCACTAGACTAGACTTCTCTAATTTTCCTTCTTGGTGCTTCTCTTCCTGCCAGGAATGTGACTAGAGTGTTAAACTTAAAAGCACTAACTTAGTGAGGAATTTAAACAGAAGTTCAAATATATCTGTAGCAGTTCTGATTTACAGTTTGTTGTTGGCAGTATGCGGATTTGGGGAATTAAGGGATTTGGCATGATACACACTTTGCCTCTTCTCACTGTAATTCGGCTTGATGCAACAAATATTTCTAAAGCACTTACCAACAAGGCAGTATGCTGAGTATGTTGGGAAATAGAGAGATAAGTAAAATAATTCTTACCATCCAGGAGCTTTACCTGGACGCACCTGTCTCATTTTATACCTTGTGCAGTATTGACTGCAAGATTATCAGTACAGGTGTATGCAGTTATCTTTGTAAGGTACTCAGAAGAACATTCTGAACCATTGGTAACTAATGCATGCTTTTCCATGGTGGTACTGATTTTAACAATAAAGACAAATTAAACAAAAAAGGAAATTAATATGTTTGCTTCAGCAAAGGAGTGTTACCTCTGTGTTTTCTGAAGAAAGGCTTCCAGTGGTTTACCGGTAGGCCCTGAGAATTTACCAGGTAGATACCTTATCTTTATGGCTGTTTCAATATACTTGTCATGAAATCCCCTTCTAGAAAGACTAGCCCTTGGAGAAACAAGTAACAAGTACTTCCCATTTGAAGGCTTTTCTGGTGGCAAGCCTACCCTGACTTTCTTTCTTTTTTTTTTTTTTTTTAAAACAGGGTCTTGCTCTGTGCCCAGGCTGGAGTGCAGTGGCACAATCTCGGCTCACAGCAACTTTTGCCTCCTGGATTCAAGCAATTCTCCTGCCTCAGCCTGCTGAGTAGCTGTGATTACAGGCATGCATCACCATGCCCAGCTAATTTTTGTGTTTTTGGTAGAGACAGGGTTTCACCATTTTGGCCAGGCTGGTCTCCAACTCCTGACCTCAAGTGATCCACCCGCCTCAGCCTCCCAAAGTGCTGGGATTACAGGCATAAGCCACCATGCCCAGCCCCCTATCCTGACTTTCTGAGTGAAATGCCTCCTCCTGAAAATACTGAAGGAAAGCAGCAATTATTTCATGATTATAATAATTACATTTGTAGCTACCCCTAAATCTCAAATGCATATTTTAGGCTGGAAAGCATTATGTGTCTTTTGATCTCACCTTAAGTATGACTTTGATTTTCAATCATTCATAAAACAGCAAATCTCAGAGCTATTTTGGGTCTTTCACATCTTAAAAGCGGTAACTTATTTATTTCTTCCTAACACAAATTAAGTGTTGCATCAAAGAGAAAAGTGAATAGAAAAGGAAAAGCTGTAAATTCAGAAATAAATGGGCCAAGAAATAAACATCAATGCATTGAGACACAAATCAGAAATACAGACATTTAATAAAACACACACAAAATGTTGTTAATTTCCAGTGCTTAAAAAACCCTCAGAGTGAGCTGGGCAACCTAATTGACTGTCACTGTAGGATGTGACATGGCTATCAAAAAGGTCAGTGTAATTTGAGTCTGGCTATGCAGAGTTATCATTTCCAGAAGAGGAGAGATAATGTTCCCTATGGTCTGGGCTTCACCCAGGAACTATTTACATGGCTATCAAGGTGGAATTGACCATAGACGCTAAGCCACCTTTGGAATCAAGCACAGATAGTTAGCGATGTGCAAGATGACTCCAAAGCTACACAGCAGCCCCAACCCAGTCAAGTGGCATTAGGTCCTCTGAGAGAGTTTGGTTATATACAGTGGCCCTAATTTAATTTGTCAGTTGCTTGTCTGCACATGAGAAGTTTCAGATCACAATTATTGAATTAACTTTCTAGTAAGCAGAAAAAGTTCCTTTGAGAGGTTTGAAAATCAATTTAGAATAAGAGATCTTGAATATTTCAGTTTATGGTGAGAACTCAGCTGGCTCTTGAGGTCTTTGTGGCAGGCAGGAGCTCTGCTCAAATTAGATCTTCAACTCCTTGAAATTCTGCTGAGTGCAAGGGTTGCAAAATTGTTAGGTATTAGGCTTATTTCCTGGGTGATGGGTTCAATTGTACTTCAAACCTCAGCATCATGCAATATACCCATGAACATGTACCCCCTGACTCTAAAATAAGAGTTGAAATTATTTAAAAGAATCTACTGAGTGGAAACTAAGGCATTATGGTTTCTTTTTAACATTTTATTTTAGATTTAGATTTACCAAAAAATTGCAAAAGTAATACAAAAAGTCCCCACAAACCCTGTACACAGTATCTCTTATTATTAACATCTTACATTAGTATGGTACATTTGCTAGCAGACCATTATTGATTCATTATTATTAACTAAAGCCCATCCTTTATTCAGATTTCCTTTACTTTTACCTAATATCTTTTCCCTGTTTCAAGATTCCATCTAGAATATTGCATCACATTTAGTTGATTGTAACAGTTTCTTAGACCTTTTTTGTTTTTGAGGAATTTGACTTTTTGCAAGGTCATGGCCAACCAACTGAAAGTGTCCTCAATAACCAAAGCTGGAAAAATTTGGGCAACAAAATAAAGTAATACTGGTTTATAACTCAAAATATAAAATAAATATTCATGAGTCCATATTGCCATAAATGAATGAATAATTGAAAGAATGAATGAATAAATAAAAACCAATCTCCCATGCAGAAGAATTTCAACTATTCTATGTAGACAATTCATCCTCAAGGAGGTGAAGCACATCTCTCTAATTTTTAAGTGTGGGTTGTACACAGAAAGTTCTTACCAAAGAGGACTGTATGGAGAAAGGAAGAAAGAGTAACTTTACAGTGAAGAAACTTGACAAACACTATCTTAGGCAAGTGTTCAGGGTTAACATCAACAGTGATAAATCACGTCGATAGTTTGTGCTCCTGATATGATATGCTGAAAATGGCAGTTTACCTCTGTGCTCTTCCTCCCAAAAACTCATAACTCAGGCTAATCAACATCTTATAAACCCCAACTGAGGGACATCTACTAAAGTCTCTTGCACAGTTGCCATGGAACAAAAGGAGAAAAGCAGTATTGGATTACCCCTCGGGATAAAAGGACAAGTCATGGGGATCCCTTTTCTCTTTCCCAGCTCTAACTTTCTCATCAGCACCTAGAAACTCAGAGAATAAAGTGACTCTAAAACCCAAGGAGACAATCCTTTTTTCTCTTTTCACCTCACTTTGGTAACTAAAGGGCGAATCCTGGGCGTGACAAGTCATCTAAAGAGCTTCAACCATGATGTTGCGACCCCCCGTGCTACACATACACCTGGTGGAGATGGGCAAGACAGCTACTGGTTCCTGCTATAACCAAGCTATTCAGCTTGGAGTAAAGTGACAAGAATGCTGACTGGTAGCAAGTAAATGGGATCCACACTCACAAAGGGAATTTAACATTATGAAAATGATCACTTTCCATTGAAGTCTAGAGCCTTATAGCTGAGCATATAATGCAAGATTACCTCAGCCATGTGGCTATATTTGAGTATGGAAGCATCCTAGGAAAACCTTGGATGTCATTTTTTTCCCTCAATATTTGATCAATATGAACTTGATTACATGGTACATACTCTCTAATGCCTGAGTATTCTCCAATTCTACTTTAATTCTGTTCATTGTTAGGAGTAGGTTCTTTATTCTTCCCCCAGGTTGTCACCACACTTGCAGGAACTCACTTTATATGATAAATTTGAAATATTCTTTATGAAAAGAGTGCGAAGCCTACCATTATTCTTCTCATAGAGCCCATTTATCAACCCTGCCCCACCCGCACATTTCCTATGCTGCTACTGAAAAGTTGTTTTGAACTCATAAGTCATGTATAATGCTAATAGAATTTTATTATCTAAATATAGTAAACAGACTGAATAATAAAAGTAAACTAAAATCATCTTAATACATTTCAATTTTCTGACAGAATATATATGTACATTTAACATTTGTAAATGTATTTTGTTCTACGTGTTGTGTATCATTAGATATCCATTATTCTGCTCTAAATGAGTATATCATTAATCACGTAAGGGACGTTAAGGATAAAAATTTCTGAGAATTTTTAATGTGTTTTTTGGGATTTTTTTCTATTTTTGCAGTATTTGGATATCTGATAGAATTAATTTATTTAGATACTATTGAGAATTTTACACTGCCGTCTTGTGATGTGAGCACTCACATAGGTGGAGACTTGGGAGAAGCAATTTGTCTAGCCCATCTAAATAACCTGACTACACTTTGCCAGGTCTTTTCAATGGCTTAGAGAAACTCATTTTAAAATTCTTATATTTAATGTCATGTTTCTCATTCTTTGTGGCTCATATTTCAAACTTCAGGTGAATCTAGGCTTCCTTTTGAACATGATGAAGTTTGTATTAGATGCATCACACTCCTCTATTTGGTGTAATGACAGTTGCTAATATTTATTGAGTGCTCACCACTTGCTAGGCACTGTTCTAAGTGCTTTTCATGTATTAACCCAAGTAATCCTGACACCAGTCTTAAGAGGTAGTTACCATTTTGCCTTTGTTTTGCCCAAAGTCACATAATTAATAAATGACCAAGCTGTAATTTAAACTCATTCAGGCTAGTTCCAGAGTCCATGAGGCTAACCAGTAAGCTATAATGGCCTCTCTTGCATAGTCTTCACCCCCTAGCATATACACACATATACATACAAACACTCGCCCCCACTGTCTCTCCAATGCCCCACAGGTACTCAGATGTATGGGCTTCCAACCATCTAGGGTCAACTTTCTGTAGAATATTGCCTTGGTTTTTGCTTTATACATGGGTTACCTTGGTGCTTCTGAACCTTGAAGTCTTGCAGACTTGAATAGATAGCCCTGTTGGGGGTTTTTGGTTCTTTGATGGAAGTCAGAGGATTATTTCTGTTTTGCCATAGTTTGCATTAGCAATTTGAGTTCTAATCTTAAAATATAAACCAAAGCTGATTTCACAATATAATCTTAAAAGAAGATATTTCTACATAGGAATGGCAAATTTTCTTTTTTTCTTATTTCCCAAGATCATACAAAATAAGAATGAGATAGAGTTAATTATAGCACAATGATACGGGATATGACTACTTAATTGCTGTTTGTAAGAAAAAAAATCATTCAAGTTCGCAGAATTATTAATTTTGCAACAAAATGTGGCAATAAAATTCCACATTTCATTGAAACTCTAGGCAACCCTAACAATCAATCAGTACTGGCTTTTCTGCTAGCTAACTGCACACAATTCAGGGAGCTGAGTGAGAAGCATGAAGTGTGTAAATTTTGTGGGGGGAGGCAGAAGGACAGGATAGCAATGCCCCTGCATGTTTTGTGGTGGTGGGATTTTACCTGTATCTATGTGTATGGGTGGGGGGTGAGGGGCGGGGCGGATAGAGGGTGGAAGGGTGCTGTGCCAAACAGAATAAAATGCTGTCCCTGACCCAAATAGATAATTTAGAAAATAAAAAATGTTTATGAACAAAATAATTTAGTGCTAAGTAGAAAATATTTTCTTGCATTTCAAAACATAGAGAATGTGCTAAGTATTAGAGAAATAAAAGAAGTTCTCCTAGAAACTACAGGATTTGAGCTAGAGCCTGACAGATTATTACTGAATTCTATGATTTTTTTCCCTAAACTCCACCCAAGTTATCTTAGTCCACTTGGACTGATGCAACAAAATATCATAAACTGGGCAGCTTATAAAACCAGAAACATATTTCTTACAATTCTGATGGCTGGGACGTCCAAGATCAGGGTGCCGGCATGGCAAGGTTCTAGTGAGGGCCCTTTTTAGCAACTTCTTGCTGTGATCTCATATGATAGGAAGAGGCAGACAGAATCCCTTTAGCCTATTTTATAAGGGCACTAATCCCATTCATAAGGGCTGTGCCTTCATAAACTAATCACCTCCCAAAGGATCCCATCTCCAAATACCATCACTTTGGGAAT
Source organism: Homo sapiens (assembly GCF_000001405.40). Classification (NCBI taxonomy): domain Eukaryota; kingdom Metazoa; phylum Chordata; class Mammalia; order Primates; family Hominidae; genus Homo; species Homo sapiens. The sequence goes on along the minus strand of NC_000007.14, from coordinate 124,416,364 downwards.
TAGGATTTTAACATATAAATTTTGAGAGGGGACAACATAACATTCAGATCGTAGCACCAGTACTCTCACTCCCTACCTTTTAAAGCATTTAAAAGGCAAATGACACAGTAGGATGAAAAATGTTCATGGTTCCCCAATACAAGAGAATGGTTTACCTGAAAGAGCTAACCTCTCAATGGCTCAAACATTGACTCTTGGGCATCAATTAATTATGCAAGTGTTATATTTTGGAGTGGCTTATCAAGAAAACTTCAGAAGAGATATTCAATAGGAACAACAGTCTTGTTCTTGTCAATGTCCTCTTCAGGAGAAATACTCAGCTGAATCATTTCTTCAGGTTACTCCATACATACCTTTAGTTGCAGATCCCCAAGCATGACCCTTCTGTTTTTTTGTTTGTTTATTTTAATGCCACTGACATTTTGGAGCATCATATAGATGCAGACATAAAAATTATAAGCAGGATATGTAAATATAAGTCTGGCTGGAGTCAGATTTAATGTTTTTGAAGTACCTCACTTTGCTCAGCATTTTGTTCTGCCAATCCAGTGCATTTTAATTCACTCAGGCTAGTCAAGATATATCAGATACCATCTAAATACTGGGGATATAAAGATAAATAGGAAGCATTCAATTAATGTCTGCTGAGTTAACGGTTTCTTGAATTTAGGCTTTTAGATGATGTCTTTTTGATCATTCCTCGAGGCTTTGAACACCTTGAGTATCCAGAAGAAAGTCGTCCTTGCTTCTAGCCACTTCTCATCCTTTATCCCAATTCTGGCAGGTACCTTAGCTGTGAGTCCTTCTACAGTTCTGAAAAGTTGAGGCGCTGCCTTGGTGTCAGTGTCTAATTCCTATTTGATAATCTGCCTGGTTCCCATAAAACTGAGAGTCCACCTCCATTTTACTAGTAATTTTGCTACATTTGCTAGACTTTGGAATTGCACTCTTGAACCTCAGCCTTGGGCCTAGATCTCAGAAATAGCAGATAGAGTTAATCTATGGCTGACCACTCTCCTAGACTCCAAAACAGCCTATGCTTCCAGATCTCTTGTGTCTGTGCTTTGCCTGCCTTTCTTTCTCCTGTAAATAATTACAGAACATCCTTAGTCAGGACAGCTGTCACCCCCTCTACAAGCCTGTCGTTGGCTCTCTCCTCTACATGAAAGTGGGTCAACTTTGACGCTTCCCACTAGAATACATCTCTGTGTGATTCAATTCTTGTTCATGTTATAATGTAGAAACTATTCCATCTAATAAGAAATTTAAATATTGGAGTTGTCTTCCTCTGTTTCGTATTTTATATTTTGAAAATATCAAATATTGAGAAAAAGAAAGCTAGGTTTTTCTGTCTTTATTTGTAGATTATATATAGGGTTTGATATTATTGACCTTTAATTACGTACATATATATATATATATATATATATGTATGTATGTATAGAGAGAGAGAGAGAGAGAGAGAGAGAGAAAGTGCTCATTGGAAAAACATTCTTGTTTTTAAAATGTAGGTGTTGTTTTGACTTTGGAATCAAACAGATCTGGATTTTCATCTCAATTGATACCAGGTCAAGTTCATGAGCCTCCTAGAGCTGCAATTTAATATAAAGACTATATGAAACATGCATATTTGGTGCATATGTAATACCTGTTTAATGACAGCTGTTATTTTGATCCCTAGCTATTCATCATGGTTACTATTCTCGAAAACATACTGATTAATATATATTTCAATGGAATATTGACATAACAAAAAATAATTTTATCAATTAAAGAACTCATATTTATCCATCATTTTCACCATATATTCCTTGCATTGGGTTTTTTCAGTGGGTCCCAATAGATTTGTGCTCTTATTATGAGATGTTTTGACTTTTTTCATTTCAGAGCATTGAAGACTGGATCTCTTCAATGTCATCTAAACAGAAAGATTACTTTTTATATAGGTGTAAAGGCATCTAGTGATCCTCTTAGTAAAAGATTTTAAGCATAGAACTTAGAGCCAGAAAGACCAATCAAAAAACCTGTTTGGGTCCTGATTCTGAAGCCTGTGTTCTGAGACACTATGATATTTTAGACAAGTTCATTCAAGTCTTTAAGCTTCAATTTTATCATCTAGAAACTAAAAACAATAGCAAATACCTTACAACATTTTTAGGAAACAGTCAAATAATACAACGTAGGTAAAGATACTTATAAATGGTAAATAAGTTAATAATGTACTACAATTAAACTTTCTTTTTTACTATCAAATATAAATCTAAAGAAAAATTATTTAAGATAGCCAAAAAAGTAAAACTGAGTCAATACAGAAAATAAAAAGGGAGAAATTTGCATCTGTCATTGATGGAAAATTGATACTTTGAAGGAAGAGACTTTCAAATTTTCAATACGATAGATGAGGGAATATTTTCTGGGAACTTGGGATCTTTGCTCTAGAAGTAGCTTCTGATGCTGGCAGAAACTCTGGTATGTGTGTAATGATGGATTGGGATGTCCTTAAACACACAGGGAGCCATGAGGACCTTATTCCCAATCCAGCCATTGCAAAATTAATGGAAAGGCATCTGTTTCTGTTCATTTTCCTTATACTGGATGATGAAATTAAATGAGCCATGCCTTTTTTCCACCCTGAGGATATTCACTACAAAGGAAGCATTTTATTCTTCTTACAACTTGTGGCAAGAATAATCAGCCTTCACTTTTCTGTTCCCTCAAACTTTAAATATTAATGTCTGTAGCTCTGATGTTCAAAAGGTAAGCTTCTTGTGGCCTCTCTGAATCCCTGTGGCTGCCAGCAACACAGGAAGCATCTCACAGTTCTGACCCATGGTGCTCACTGTGTGCTACAGGGACAGCAATGAATTACCAAAACCTGTCTCCTACTCTACCTGTGTACTGAAATATTACATATAAAAGAGTTCATTATAACTAAATGAACTGAGTAGATAGTGTCACATGATTAGGTTCGGCCAATTCAATGCAGGAAGAAGTGCTCTGGTCCAAAAATATGCTCACACAATCTCTCTCCCCTGTCGGCCTACTGGATGCAGACCTTGAGCAGAGGACCTTAGGACCCTAGGTGACAAGTAGGTGACAAAATGAAAGGAGTACAAGTTCCTGCATTGCCACTACGAAGGCTGCCTGTCAAACACCTGCATGAGACTATTATATGGATGAGAAACAAATCTCTGTGGTTTTATACCACTAGGTTTTGGTTTTGTTTGCTACAGCATTTAGTTGATCTTAATATATTCTCTCAAAGATAACATTTGCCATAAGGGTATTCCAGGTTTGACTAAAGCTTAGATAAAATATCTTAGGCTCATGCAGTGCATCAGTGGAAAGGGATTAATTTCAGTTAGTCAATAACTCCAGAAGTAAACTATATTTGTTAGGTACTTGCTACATGAAAAGCTTCCAAGAATTATCTCTGAACTGGCCAATGAGAAAAGATAAAGGTAGTCCAGGCAGACTTCGTATATTCAAAGAAGAAAGATGAATTAATAAAATAAAACAAGTAAAAATACACAATTGTATTAATAGTTTATACTCTGAATTTGATGAGTAATGGTCAGCAGTCAGTTTGGAGTGTCTACGTCAGGGCAAAACTGCTGGTAGGGTCGAGAAGTCTGTAAGTTAACTGAAAAGCAGATGAACACTCATACTGAAGAGGGTTTAAGTTGTGAGAAGAACGAAGAACGAGTTACAACTTTCTCAGTCCTAGAATACCTGACGTTAAAAAAAAAAAAAATGGAGTAACTCCAGAAAGAGAACATTCACAGGCAAGAGCTGCTTTTTTAGTGATAGTTTATAAATAGTCCTAGTATCTAAAGTAAAATAATTAGGAGTCTGCTTTTGCTTTCAGTTTCTAAAAAATTTTCGTTACTAAAAGTGCCAGAAAGTAGAATAGGATGAATACAGAGGAATGTGCATCAGCATCAACAATGTCCAAGAGGTATGTGTGATGAATTCATATCCACAGTCTTACAATGGAAGAAGGAGAGAAAGCTATAGTAATTAGACTGAATAGTGTATACACATATTTGATCTCAAATTGAAAGACTTATGTAGAGTTTTAAGTTCACCTGGAAAAGTAATATTTAAAATTGCCTCAACAAAAATGTGAGAATTGATGGTCAATGACAGAGAAGTTAAATAAGGGAAGCAATTCAGGAATGTCTAAGGGTTGTTCATCCAGGGGTTGGAAAGTTTGGTTTTGGAATCCACGTTCCTGGTGACCTTGATTTCCTTTGTGTAGCATATCTGCTGGAAAGTGACAGAGGACAGACGGCTGCTTTCAAAAAGAGTCTGAGACAGCTGGTGAGATCACTGAACCCGGCAGGCAGTAAGGGAGGAAGAGATGGTTCTTGACCCCGGCAGGGCGGAGGTCAGAGCTGCAGCACCAGAGCTCTCATGGGTAAGTCTGCGTGGTTCCAGAGTTCCACGCTTCACTCCCTTCTAAAGATGTTTTATGCAAAAATGAAAGCAAGCAAGACTTGAAGCCAAGTCCCTACATTAAAAAAAGCATTACTATTTAAAAACCTTTTCTTTAATATCACAGCTAGGTTGTTAGTTATGAAAAGCATATTCATCAAAGTTATAATGGCATCATTTATATATCCTTGCTCTCTGTGTTCTTTATAAAAGCTCCTATGTTACTATATTTTTTATCTAAAATGCTCTCTGCTCAGTAAGCAATGCCCTTAAATGGAATAAATTGTCCTATCCATTGAAATAGAAGTTATATTATTCAAAGAAAACTTTTAGAAAATGAAATCTTTAAGATTAATTTCATGTGCTATGATAAATTACATTACTCTTCTAAAGAGGTTTGGCTTTTCTGGTGGAGTTGGTTCCTCAGGAGTAACTATACAGTTTTTGCATATATCATCTTTATCATCTTGCATCTATAGAGCCATGCACCACATAACAAGGTTTTTGTCAAAGACAGATCACATGTTTGACAGTGGTCTCATAGATTATAATGGCACACATATAGAAACCTGATATATGGCACTTGATATTGGCGTTGCAGATTAAATAAAAGAATTGTTGATATTCAGTAATGGTGCTAGGACATTTGGTTTTCTATATAATAGATATAAATAAAAATATATATGCCATCTAACATTCTATAATGTTTGCATAATGAGCAAATCATTTAACAATGCAGTTCTCAGAATGTATCCCCCATTGTTAAGTGACACACAACTGTATGTGTATATATATGTACACACACACACACACACATATATATACATAGGGATGATGACAGTGTGGCCTGCTGACAATATAAAACAAGGCAAAAATGAAAACTTGTCGGAGTCATACAAAAGAATGCTCTAAAAAGTCTCCTTAATTTAAAGCATGCCCTAAATTCTCCTTTCATATTCAGAATTAATTTGTTTTGCTACTTCCACAATGGTACCATGGGTTGGAGTTCTACTGTATATGATTGTCAGTGGAGATGTAGAGATCATACTCCATTCATTTGTCAATTTCTATAGCTAATGTCCACAGTTCACTTCATTAGTATTCAGGAAGGCATATGTGAGAATCTGTGGTATCTGTTTTGAAAAAAATGGGTTCTTTTGCACATTCATCATAGTAGTAGGATATGATTTATTTTCTTTGACATTCATATCAATATATTACCAATTATTTTTGATTTACAATGTATACAAGTGACTTCCCAAGATTTGTGATAATTTTAATAGATTGAGAAGATACATTATTTGTTTTTAATAGTTTGTAGTTCTTGTTTTATTTCTAGAGGAGTTTATTCTGTCCTTTGAATAATATTGCAGGATCCCTATTCCTCTAGAATCTCTATAATAGATATATATTTGGATATTATTCAATCTAGTTCATACTTATATGCAATATGAACATATATGCAGAACAAACAGATACACAAGAGCTTAAACTTACAAAGCAGATTAAAATATGGGGTGAACTAAACTTACAGCACGCAACTCACATCTTCCCACTCTTTACGATTGGGTAGAACTCACCAATAAGACATTAATTAGCCCATATGTTAGTTACTTCAAAAATCCACTCAACTGCTTAGCAACACCCTATTTATAGGAAATGATAAGGATCATTTAATACTTGCAAATTGTCCTTAGCACAGAGGAATTAGAATGTAGACTCAACTGTGACACCTTGCTACAAAAGATGGGTCAGTTGCTGAGAGATTTATCATTCTGTCCTATCTCAGTATTTTCCAAGAGTAGGTAAAAAAAAAATCTATTTTTTAAATGATCTGACAGCAAACCCATGTAACTATGCTCAGAAAAGAATAAAATCCTACAGTTAAATTTCATGGAAAATGTGACTAGTTGAATTCCTGTGTGCCATTACTAAATTAATATAGACTGAAACAAAAAGAAAGACAAAACTGGCATTTCAGATACTGACATTGCTACTGTCTCTCTAAAGACAAGCATCTGTAAGTTAAAATGTAACCAGAAAACATCATAAAATTGCTTCTTTTTAAGAACTACTCTATCTTGCCAATAAAAACTGACAAACTTTTTTTTTAGAACAAGTATAAATTTAACATAAAGCATTTAAAAATTCAGAAAAGTTCTTAAGAACTGGCATCTTTGGATGATGTACTAGAATTTCTTATTCTTTCTCCTGTGCATTTCAATGAACTTCCTCATTGTCTTGAATACTTCCTAAAAGCACCTGCACAGCTCAAGTGGCACTAACAGTAAAGGAAACCTGAAGGAATGGGCACTTTCAGAGTGAGTGGATTTTTCCTGGATTTATGAAGTCTTTTGTAGAATTTTCCTCAGAATAACCAACTCAAGGAAAAAAAAATACATGTTAATACAATATTGACAGAGATAACATTAACTGAGAAATTCTATTAATTAAATCATCAAGAAATATGATTCCTTAGTTACTGTTACTGTTTTTTTTAACCTACCAGAAAAATTAAGTTCCTTCAATGTGAGGCTTATTTTTCTTTATTTTTAGATCTTCTGGAATGCAAACAGAATTCATTATTTAGGCCAGTGTCCAATATATATTGAACAAATTTCAGTATATTGAAATTTCACAATGTTTCCTGGATTTTGAAGAATTATACTATAAAGGCCATTTCAGTCAACACATCTATATAATAAAACTTCAGCTCAAAGTATCAAAAACAACTTATTTCATAATGTTTCATAATGCTAGTGTCTATTTTTCCTACTGAAGGAAATATATACAGATTTTGTTTTTTAGGAGGCAGAAATTTCCCCAAAAAGCAGCCCTCTTTGGGGTAACAGCGGCTTTCAAACTGTTACACAATCCCAGCATTCCTTGGAAGCATCTCAGGGGCTGATGGAGAAGGGACCAAAGACCCATACTTCTGCTTTAACCAGAAAAATGGCACTTTAATATATTTTCCATATAATATGATCTTGTTTAAAAACATGTGAAAATCTAGCCTAATTAGTCTGGGCAAAGAATTTATGTCTAAGATTTCCCCCAAACAAAGAATGTCATTAAAAAATGGGAAAATGATATGAACAGACATTTTTAAAATGAAGACATACAAATGGCCACCAAGGATATTCAAAAGTGCTCAACATCACTAATCATCAGATAAATACAAATTTAAAACCACAATGAGATAACATCTTACCCTAGTCAGAATGTCTGTTATTGAAAAGACAAAAAATAAAAGACTTTGGTGAGGATGTGGAGAAAAGGGAAATCTTACACGTTTTTGGTGAGAATGTAAATTAGTACAACCTCTATGGAAAACAGTATGGAGATTTCTAAACAAACTAAAAGTAGAACTACCATTTGATCCAGCAATCCCAGTACTGAATATCTACCCAAAGGAAAAGAAATCAATATATCACATAGACAAAAATTTGTTTCCTATCATATTGAGTGGGGGACTTTGGGGGGCAAGGTTAATAGAATAAATATAACATTAATGTGGAAGTTCATAGATTTATATATATATGATTTTATATAATTATTTTAAGTCCTTTGTGTTAAATATAGCAGTTATTCTCTTTTTATTAATGAAAAACAATGATTCCTAAAAGTTGATTATATTGTTTCAGGTTGTATAGTTAGTATTTTGTGAAGCAGAGACTCAAACTCCAAACCTCTTACTTTAGGTTCAGCGCTACTTTCATGTCATTGTAGTCTTAGTACCATTCTGGATGTAGACAAGGATATTACCAATTGAGCTCTGCAATCAAATTGTCACATGCTTTTTTCCATGAAGATGAAGCAACCCTCAGTATAAAATGGGTTTTTCACAGATTTTAGGTAGTGGTAAGTGGGATTACTCATGTAGGCTGTGTAGATCATGAGAAATTATGTTTCCTGACCTAATCACCATGATGAACTCACTTAGTCATGGCAAGACAATATCTAATTCAAGATATGGTAAACATACTCTAGCAAGTGTAACCATAAGTATGTTAAAATTTTAATTAGGCTTTTTTTCTTCTGTATTTTATGAGATCAAAACAGACAGGTGTGCTTATTTAACGTGGGAAATGTCCAGCACTGGAGATTTAAAAAAAAGCTCCTGTTAACAGTGATGGCTCATTTCCCAACTGTCATAAACTCCTAACCAAATTTAAAACATTCCCCTCATTAGCTCAGCCATCTCAGATAGTTAAAAATATATATTTGTTGTTGTTTTTGTTGCTATTGCTTTTGAAAAGCAATAACTATAAGTGGTTTTAATGCACTTGCTACATAAAGTTTCATCATTCAGGTTGAATCTTGTCATTAAAAGAGAGAAAATAAACACATGAATAGTCATTTCCCTTAAATTGCTATTATTTTTTCTCAGAAGAATTTAAGAAAATCAGTTCATTCAATTTGTATTATTATTATTAAGAAAACTAAGTTTCTCTGAGTCTTATGTACTAATTTAAGTTGACAATGTTTGAAAAAAGTGATAATAAATGTGGGGAAAATGGTTTTCTTTTAGAGAACTGTCATGAAAATATAAATGATAAATGAGGTAACAAGGAAACATTAATAAAAGGATAAGAGTTAGAAACACACAATTCTGTGTCAAATTACACTGCACTGGATAAACAAATTCAGTGAATCATGTTTTGACTGACAATGTACTTAACCAAAGGTAAAATGTGAAAACGAACAAAAGAAATATATCTCAAAGAGCTGAAAGGATTGGAGTGACAGTTGGGTAGATGAAATGTACCAGGAAGTGAAGCGATTGTATGTTTGAGCAAGTCATGTGTCAAATCTGCAAGGGAATGAATGTTATTCAGACTCTGAAAGATAAAGATAGAAATGTATTACCAAAAGAACAATACCCGAAATAAAACTGAAAGAGTTATCTGATTATTAAACAATTTAAAGGTGTGAAATTAGCACTGAAAGTCAGCTTTACAGGAAAGGATATTTGATAATGTCCACCAAAATGCATGAGCCCAATCTTATATGAAATTTAAGCAGTTATTGATGTTGAACCTATGTAAATTTGAGCCTAATAAAATGGATGGATGTTTATTTCCCAAAAAAATTTTAGCCTGCCAAAAATTCTGAAAAGATAACTGCAATTTTGCACCCAAAGAGAGTTGTGAACCATTTATTTGAAAACTTATTAAGTAAATAGGTTATGACTTAGTACTCAATGTCACATGTTGAGGTTGGCTGCTTGCAATACATTATAAGGAAGAATATTGCATCGAAACACATGAGAGTAAAATCGTTCTGAAATATCAAGTTTTTTTTATTGCACAAATTCCTCATATATTTGGTATTCCAGGGAAATAAAAGCTACATATTGCTTCATTAGCTGAGTTGAGCCACTCCATTGCTTTGGCAGTTAATAAATATGAACCATGTTCAACACCTTGAGAAGATGAAGACTATGATGAATATTTCATTTGTCTTAGGTTAGAGAGAAGATAATACCTTAAAATGAATGCAGCGATCCCAGCCTGATAATAACTCTGAACTCCATCAGAAAAAAATCCTATCATCATTTAATAATTGACTATATAAATTAGTGAAACTAGTAATCAAGAGATCAGGAAAAACTTGATCACACTGAGGAAAAGTCCACTTTAAATGTCTATCCCAACCAGAAAACTAGTATTTTTGAGCTCAGTTGCCTACTCTTCTGAAAATGTAGCTAGACTATAAACTCTTTCTTCCCAATCTACTATCCAGCAGTTGCCACAGCCAAAATCTTGGGTGTCATCTTGGACTCCTGTCCTCCTTAACATTTGCTAATTTTGGCCTCATCTGTCAACACTATCTCTCTCCTGAATTATTGTAACCACCCCTAACACTGATGTTTCTATCTCCTGCCTTGCCCTTGACCAATGACTGAATCACCCTGCCATGAAGGGGGATGACAGTTATTACACTGTTGTTTTTGCCTAGTACTTTGTCAGTTACTTGTGCTAGGCCATATGTGTTTGAGTAACAAGAATAATGTTATAAACACTATTAAATCCTAATACCTAGCACTTATTATGGATTGGTTCAATATTTTTAAATTAATTAATGAATAGATGGTTGGATGAATGCTTGGAAAAGTTCTATGCCTGTGAGAACAAAATTATAAATGATAGTTAGCAAAAGAAATATTACCTCTAGATATACACTTTTGGTGCATTATGAAGTAAAACTAATAAGGTCTGTAGAAATTATGAATTTCAAAAGATAAATAAATCCAAAGTGTTTTCTATTCTGAAGTTAGAATGTCACCATAGGGAAGGAGAAATAAAATGATTAATGTAGGATCTGAGAAAATGGATGGTGTACCCAAGCAAATAATCACAGATATAGATTGTACTGTCTCCATTTCCAGCTTGACAAGTGAGATGTACCACCTCATCATGGAATCCTTGGCAGGTACTGTTTTTAAAATCCTTCAGGCTTTAAAAAAAAATTTGTCCATCTTAACTGGCAGGCTATAAATAAATGTTGACATGGCATTACTGTGTTTCTGTTCCACTCCACCAATTTTTGGATTTTTTTTCTATATCCTGAGAAAGACAGTATAAAGTGGCAAAAAGAAGATTGGTTTAAAATTTCTTGGGAGCTCAGTTACTGATTGGGATGCTTGGCTGAAAAAGATTAGTGAAAACTGGAGTGACTTAGGACTCTCCTTAATTGCTTTATCAATAAAATTACAGCAGAGATGAGCTAGTCCTAAAACATTATGCTTCTTCGATGTGTTTCTTTAGATTTTATTAAGATTTGTCAAATCCTAGAAGTGAAGATGGTCCTTTATAATCTTCTAATGTCCAGTGAATTTTCAAATACTTTCAATCACATATTCTCTGGGGAGAAATTCAGCAAGAACTTTGTTCAAGGGGCCTGTTGAGTTGACCTCTATATATCTGAAAAGGATGAATGCCTGTGAGAGTACTATTTAAACATTACACCAACTGACAGGAATTACTAATTACTAATCCCATTTGACAGCACCTCAGAATATCATAATCCTTTCAACAATTGTACAATTTCTCAGTCAAACATAAGATTAATTTATTTTAGTTGTTAGATTATATGGTATTCTGATGGTTATAAAAACTAAAGATGTTAAGAAAAGAACAGATACAATTAGAGGATAAAAGAAAAAAGATCAAATAAAGATAGGTAGCTATAATCCCAAAAACGATCATGTATGATCTTGTTTACTGTAGGAGAACACTCACAGAAACTCATTAATAATAATTTTGATAAAATGAATTGGTCAGAGACTGTCTCTATGTCATTAAGTTAAGCAGGGTTTGAGAAGCATCAAATATTCAGTCGTGAGGCCATAGAGCTACTTTGTAGCAAATTGTTTGAATTAATTTTTATGTTTTACGTAGTCATTCAACCTATTTATAAATGCCAATATGAAAAAGAAGAAAAGGTTGATTATTTAATACATAATTCTCAAGAGCAATTTTGCTGTTAGAAGCTTAATATCAACTAATATCTAGACTTAAGAGATTCTTTAGCCACTTTTATAAAGAGTGTTTCGAAAACAAAGGTTCAATTTTCATCATTTTAAGACTTTCAAAGTCTGTGTAGATAGCAATGTAAAAAAACAAAGATCTTATTTATGCTACACATATTTTCAAGGAGCCATGGAGAATCCCCTATGTAGCTAGCTGCATGGATTTCACCAGCTGTTATGTGAAATTTCTTTCTCTAAAAAATGTACAAAGCTGAAAAGTAAATTCCATAGCATATCTTCTGAGCTTAAAGACAGTAGCATTCAAGTCTATTTTGTATAAGTTGTACTAGTGACTATTGGATAGAACATAAAACTACAGGGTGAATACAATGCTAGGGCTTTGGAACTTATCAAGTTATTGTTTGCATGAAGTCAGTAGCACAGAAATTTAAATAGCTCCAAAAGTACATGGGCAGAAATTATAATCGCCAAATAAAGAATTTGGTAAGCCCAAACAACTAAATCCTTCATAGATGATGGAGAAAATGTCTCCATGATCCTTTGAATGATGTGACATATTCCATTTTTTAATCTACCAATCTACATAGATTTATTGGCCATCTGTTATGTGCACAGCACTATGCTGTCTCTTTTTGTTTGTTCAGTGGGTGTTGTATTTTCAGCACATATTCTGAAGAGAGAATATAATTTCATAGCTCCATTTTCTCAGCTGCCAATTAGTCATATATAGGCTCCCATTTGCCATATCCCTGTGAAACAGGAACATCCTGTTTTAATTAAAAAATAATGTTACCAGTTGCTTGCTACCTCATTAACTACCCTCCTTTCAATGGAGATATTCTAATTCTAAATAACCTTTTCCTCACATTGAACAGAAATATGCCCCTTTAATATCATGCTGTCTTTGAACTGATCCCTAGAGCCAGAGATAACATCTAGTTTGCTAAAATATGACAGTTCCTTCCAATATTATGGAATACTTTTGTCACTTCCCTGACCAGTTTAGTATTCTGAACATTAAACAGACATGACTTCCAGATACTTTGAACCTCGAGTCAGCATTACTTTACCTCTTCACCTCCCAAAACACTGCCAAACTCCAGATGTAGCTAGAAAATTAGAGCAATAATTCATATATGGATCATCTGATGGCTGCTTGGGCTAGGACAGTATCAGAAAGGTGGCAAGAAGTATTTGGCTCCAAACATAATATAATAACAGAAGCCATGGGATGCCTTTCATAGGTGGGAGTGTGACGTATGAAAGAGTAAAATAAAGAATGACACTACTATTTTCCTGGATGACTAAGAGAATGGAACAACCACTACTGAGTCAGGAAAGATAATGAGAACTGCACGTTTGAGAATGAAGTAGGAGAATTTAGAAACTCAGTTTTAAAAATATTAACTTTGAGAAGCCTACTCAACATACAATCAGAGATGTTGGGTATGGCATTGAATGTATGTTTGGTATTTAGTGGTGAAAATTTTTTGATAAGACTAGAGAAATAATTTTGAGTCAATCACCCCAATAGATGATATTTTTGAGCCATGAAACTGACAAATATACTGAGTAAAGGGAGTTGACAAATTTTAAGTGTTTAAGTACATACGTAAGTAGTAAATTCATAGCAAAGTACACACATAAACAGTTATCTATGCTTATTGAAAAAAGAGACTTTGGTTATATTGATTCTGACTTGTAACAAATTCATTCATACTTACAGTCCAGATAAGCTCAGCTAACTCTATCATACCCAAATTTACCTTAACCTGCTTCTGAATTCATTTGGAACTGAAAATAATTTAGCTGCTCCTTAAAAAATAGAGCAGAATTTGGTTGTCCTGAGTACTCAAGGTAGTTGGATAGGGAAAACAATGGAATGCTCTTCATCTGGGAACATAATCTAAAAGAAGCCAAAAATAGTTTTGGGATCATAAATTATTGTATATTCAGGCCTTGAGATTTTAACAGTTAATGTTGCCACATTAAAGTGATCTGTTTTCTGTTACTTTACAAATAAGTACATTTAGCTGTTGTTATAAAGAAACAAGACAGGGAATTCGGAATGAAAGGTCAGGATAATAAATCTGCTTACACGAACCCAGTCTATCCCGGTACTATTGATTTTGTCGTCTGTATCTGCTCCAAACATTTCCTGTAACAACTTTAAAGCTCATCAATCAAAGTTACCCTATACATAAAACATGTACAAGCCAAAGTGAATAGGAAATCCTTACTCTTTTCAGAACTTACAGTCCTGCCTACTTAGCAGTATTTTGTAATTGGTGACATATTTCACATATGAGGGCTAGTACACGATCTGGAAAATGACTATTCTGAATCTGGTCATACAATTTTGATCATTGTGTCTTCAGTGCTGAGCTAGCTCTACCCATGAAATAACAGCATGAGCTATTTCCATGGATTCTATTAAAAATTAAATTACTAATGACCTTAAACCAAATCAGACAAGAAAAAACACAAAGATTTTAAGCAGAAAAGATTAATTAATTCAATTATATCACATTGAAAAAGCTTAAAGTAATATCATAAACAAAGCTAAAACTAGGTACTAAAGATATTTGAAAAATGTATAGCAGACAAAAACCAATATTGAGAACATACTTATAGTACTACATTATATATATATGAAAACAGTTCATAGTAAATGTATATAAACCGGAAATTCACATAAGATAATGCATGAATGGTCAATTAACAAATAGTAAGATGCTCAATTTCACTAATAATCAGGGAAATGCAAATTAAGAATGAGATACAATATCTTCCCAATAAAACTGGCAAATGTATTAGTTTAACAATCCCAAGTGTAGACAAAGTATTGGTAAATAGGTATTCTCAAACTTTGCTGGTTGGAGTAGAAATTGGTATTATCTCTTTTCACAGCAATTTAGCAGTAAATTTTCCAACAAGTAAAGTTGGAAATTTCCATACCCTACAACACATCATTTCTCTTCTAAGTATATCAGCCTTGAGAAACTTTTGAACATATGTTCAGGGAGACATATTCGCAAATATTCATCGTGGCATTTTTGGGATTTTAAAAACTAAAAGCGATCTACTTGTTATCAACAGATGAATGGGTAAATAAATTATGATGTATTTATATGATGGAATAGATATATCAAGTATAATGCTAACTGAAAAGAAGTTAGTTCTATGTTGGCAAGTAAAAATAATATAATTTTGATAATGTGATAAAAATGTATCACATTAAATTTTAAAACTCACAAAATAATATTATCTCCTTTCATGGACATATACCTATGTTAAAACATAAAAAATGTAAATACGAATAATAAATAAACTTCATGATAGTGATTGCCTCTAGAAAGGAAATAAGAGAAATGGGTCTGGCAAAATATAGATCAGAGTATTGCTGAGTTTTCTTAGTTAAAATATGATCAGAAGCAAATTCTATGAAATGCTAATATTATTAATTTCAGATGGTAGTATAGGCAAGTTTATCATATTCATACACTTTCTGAGTAGGTTGAAATTGTTCACAATTAAGTCTTTTCTTTACAAAGGAAATTATACTTATGTACTTCCATTAAATGTGAATTTAGGAATTAGTTATATTACACATACATTTATAACTATGTGTGTTTATAACAGTATTTAGCTCTGGTATTATTTATCCGTCTTAAAAAAGTTACAGCAGAACTATCCATTTACTGGTCATGTTTTAAAGCCAGTATCAAAAATTTCCAGCTGATATGCATTTTGCCTAAATTCTACGTGTTTCTGGTAACTTTGACCTGCCTCTGGCCTGCATGTCTTGTTTCGTAGCTCCGCACACTCACAGTACAATCCTTACCCCTCTCTGACATTCACAGCCTTTCTATCCCTCTCTGGGATTCTGGCCTAACCATCAGAACTTTGTCATCACTCCATTTATTCCTGTTTACTTTTTATTCTTTGACAGACCTAAGAGAGAAGGCAGATGCTCCCTGGCTGTCTCTTATAACTAGAAATCCATGCCCACAAACTTCTGCATATCTCATATTTAAACATAGGTCCCATCTCTTCCCAACTCTTAAAATCCATTCTGGACAAGAACCTCTAGAACTCAAAATTGGTTGTCAGCAAATTTCTCCATGTTCTCTACCAATTCTTTGCAAGTTCAATTCACCTTCTTTCTTTAATTGAAATCTGCCCCTCTCCTGGATATATGCATTCTTCTGTAACCTTTTCAAATGGTGGCTTTCTCACCCATGCCTTATTTGGCACGCCCTCCTTGCTTTTAATTTCTATCTCTAGACAGTTACTCCTCCCTCTTCCTGGAAATCCCCAGCATATGTGAAGCTCATGTTGCATAGTCTATTGTTCTTACCCTTCTCATTGCAGGTGTTTAGATGCCAGTGGGTGACTTCCCTCCATACCTTGGAGATTCTAGCTGTTGACTCACTGTCACTCAAAAAATTCTTCTTGTATCTTTCTTGATTAATTTAATATCCTCATGAATGGTTCTTTGAATCCTCTGCCCCCCTCAGTTTTTGGATTTATTACCTCCAATATCCTTGTTCTTCAGCAACTCCTGTACCCCTCCATAGCCTGATTTCCCATTTTCTCACCATCATCTCTTATTCTCTGACTTCAAAATATTTTACTCCTACCTGACTCTAACATCCATTGTTTCAATTCAACTATTTTCCCTATCCCTTACCATCTCCTATCTCTACTTCTCTCAATATCCACATAAGGTATTGGAATCTATCATAAAATTACTCCCCTGCTTATATCATCAAGCTTTTGTCCCTCTCTCTTTTCTTACAGAGTCATGTAGTGCACAACAATGTTTAGGTCAAAGACCAGTGATGACCAATACAATGGTAGCCCATAGATTATAAAAATTTATTTTTACTGTACCTTTTTGATGCTTAGATATATTTAGGTACACAAATACTTACCATTGTGTTACAATTGCCTACAGTATTCATTATAGTAACATGAAGTGGAGGCTGGCAGCCTAGGAGTAATAGACTATACCATATAGCATAGGTGTGTAGTAAGCTATACCATCTAGGTTTGTGTAAGTATACTTTATGATGTTTGCACAATGACCAAATGACCTAATGATACATTTCTCAGAGTATATCCCATTATCAAGCAGCACATGACTGTACATCTCTGGTAAAACTCCAAACTTGGTTAAATCTAACTTTCCACAGATTTTGCACATAGGCTGCTAGACTTTTCTGGGAAAAACAAATAACGAGGTTGTTTCCCACTTTGTATTGATGACCATTCATTTTAAGTGGCTCCATAGTGCTGACAAGGCATTTGTGGTAGGAAGAAAAATGGTCCCTCAAAGATATCTCTATACTTATCCCTGGAACCAGTAAATATATTGCCTTACAGGGCGAAAAGGACTTCACAGATGTGATTAAGGACCTTAAGGTAGGGAGATCATTTTGGATTACCTAGTTGTACTCAATCTAATCCATCAGTTCTTAAAAATGAAAGAGAAAGGAAGAAGAGTGGGTCAGAGAGATGTGATCTGAAAACTTGACCCCACCCACCATTGTTGGCTTTGAAGATGGAGGAAGAGGGCCAGGCACAAAGAAATGCAGGTGACCTCTAGGAGATTGAAAAGACAGGGAAAGGGAATTTACACTAAAACCTTCAGAAAGAAAACCAGCTCTGCTAGCACCTTGATCTTAACCAAGTGAGACCTGTGTTGAACTTCTGGCCTACATAGAACTGTAAGATAATAAATTTGTGTTGTTTTAAGCCACTAAGTTTATGGTAATTTTTAATGACAGTAATAGAAAATGAATACAGTATCATATAAGATTTCCCTTTTCCATTTATTTTCCCACGTTTCTTTTTTTTCTTTTTTTTTTTCCTTCCCTTCGTTCCCTTCCTTCCTTCTTTCTTTCTTTTCTTTCTCTTTCTTTCTTTTCTTTCTTTTTCTCTTTCTTCTCTTTCTTTTTTTGACAGAGTCTTGCTCTGTCACCCAGGCTGGAGTGCAGTGGTGCTATCTTGGCTCACTGCAACCTCCACTTTCCGGGTTCAAGAGATTCTCTTTTCTCCTGCCTGAGCCTCCCGAGTAACTGGGATTACAGGTGCGCACCACCATGCCCAGCTAATTTTTGTATTTTTAGTAGAGATGGGGTTTTGCCATGTTGGCCAAGCTGGTCTTGAACTCCTGGCCTCATGGGATCCGCCCGCCTCGGCCTCCCAAAGTGCTGGGATTACAGACGTGAGTCACTGCACCTGGTCTATTTTCCACACTTCTTTCTTTCTTTTTTTTCTTTTTTTTTTTTTTTTTGAGACGGAGTCTCGCTCTGTCGCGCAGGCTGGAATGCAGTGGCGCGATCTCGGCTCACTGCAAGCTCCGCCTCTTGGGTTCACGCCATTCTCCTGCCTCAGCCTCCCGAGTAGATGCGACTACAGGCGCCCGCCACCACACCCAGCTAATTGTTTGCATTTTTAGTACAGAAGGGGTTTCACTGTGTTAGCCAGGATGGTCTATTTTCCCAGATTTCTAAGCTGTCTTCTTCAAATTTTAATCTTCCATGTACTCACAAAAATTAAAAATTTTAAATTAAAAAAAGAAAAAAACCTTTAATCTTCTGCCTTCATAGTCATGCCAGCAAGGAGTCTACTTCCTGCGTCAGTGAGAATTAAAAAGAAAGAAGAGAGAAGTTCCTCATGCTCCCACAACCACATGTACCAATCTATCTGCCTATGCACCTGAATACCTGACATTCTCTCCTGTTACTATAAATAAATTGTGATATTACTTAAGGATATTACTCCAGCAATTGCCCTCTCCCCTAAAGGAAACAGTTTTTCCTACTAGACCATTAGAAAAGAAAGATATAATTCCAGTTATTTAAAAAAAAAGTCTCCTCATCACACATTCCTTTAAAGTTCACAAGCACTCACTGTGAAAAAAAAGAAGTTCCCTTTCTCATTGGCTCTTCTTCTCAGTTCCTTTGTAAATTCCTTCTGACCGCTCAGACCACTGACTTTAGAATGCCCCAAGTAGGTTTTCTCGGACCTCATTCCTTTTGTAATTGCATTCACTTTCTAGGATCTCATCCTGTCACGTGATTTGATGTATCATCTGTAAGTGACAACTACTCACCGTCAAACTCAATCCCATATCTCTCTCCTAAAGTGAAATTAATAATACTAACTCCTTCCTCAGAATTTCCTTGTGTGTATCTAATTGGCTTCTCAAACATAACTGATCTGGAATTGACTTCAATTTCCCATTTTCCCCAAACCTGCTCCTTCCTCAGCCTTACTTATTTTACAAATGGCAACTTCGTTTCTCCGTTGTTCATACCAAATAACTTGGATTATCCTTGACTTCTTTCTTTCATATGCAATCCATTAGCAAATGCTGTCAGCTGGCTCTAGCTCTTTCTTCTAAATGTATCTAAAACCTGATTCCTTCTCACTCACCCTTCCATTCTCCCTTATTCATTCAACCTCCATTTAACTCCTAGATTATTGCAACGATCTTGCAATTAATCTCACTTTTTCTGCCTTATCCATCTAAAGTCAGCTGTTTCTACAACCAACACATTTCACTTTTAAAACCTAAATCTGATAAGATTCCTCTGCTCATAAACCTTCAGTAGCCTATCTCACTCCCAGCAAAAGCTAAAATTCTTACAATAACATACAGGGTTTAGCGTAATCTTCCCCTACATTACCGTTCTCACCTCCTATGATTCTTCCTCTGGTTCAGTTGGTCTATATACACTGGGCTCCTTGCTGTCTTTCATACACCTAAGCATTCTCTCACCTTGTGGCCTCTGCATTTGTTCTCCTCACCTTCTGAAACTTTTCTCCTGACATCAGCATGGCTCACTCCCTTATTTACTTCAGGTTCCCTGTTTACCTACATAAAATAACCACTCTTCTCCCCACCTACCAGCCCTCCCCATTTCCTGTATCCTGCTTTATACTTCTCCATAGGACTAATCATTATCTGACAAACTAGATATTCACTTGTCTGTTTAATTATGGTTTGCCTCCAACACAAGGCAATATGCTCTTTGAGAGAAGAGACTTTTTCTCTTTTGATTATTCCTATATTCTTAGCATTCAGAAAAGTGCTTGGAAAATAGCAGCGCTCAATAATTTTTTGAATGAATGAATAAGTAATATTCCCTTTCAACGGTGCATATTCTCTTTGCAAAATGTATTAACAATTATTGTGTATTCAGGAACATTGACAACACCAAGAGGATGTCTATTTCTCAAGTAATGGCTTTCAAAATTTGGGAGTAGGTGGTGAGAAAGGGTGTGATACCATCCTTACACTGAAACTTCTATTCAGCTTGTATATATTCACAAACAACCAAAAACTATCAAAATCTCTTTGAGCCTTCCTCTTTGAATATTGAGAAAAGTCTTAGACTTGCTATTAATATTTCACAAGCCAGATGGCATTAGCAAAATGATGGTTGCTCTGGACCAAATTGTGTCTCCCCCAAAACTCAGATGTTGAAGCCTTAACCCTCAATATGACGGTATTTGGATGTGGGCCCTTTGGGAGATAATTAAGGTTGAATGAGGTAATGAGAATAGGGCTGTCATGATAGGATTAGTGGCTTATGAAGAAAAAGAAGGAGTAGAAGGAAGAATTGGAGTAGGAGAAGATATTTCTCTGCCTTGCAAGGACACGGCAAAAAGGCAGAAATATATAAGCCAGAAAAGAGAGGCAGGAACAGAATTGGCCAGCACCTTGATCTTGGACTTCCCAACCTCCAGAACTGTGAGAAATAAAGGTCTGTTATTTAAGCCACCCAGTCTATGGTATTAACATTTTGTTACAGCAACCCAAGCAGCCTAATACAATGATCATGGCTAACTACTGGGTTGTTAAAGGGTTGCCATGTAACAATAGTTTAAAGACAGCCAGGCAGAAAAACATAGTTTTAATCTTGTCCTTACCATATCTTAATAATTCATAGATTGAGTAATTCTGGATTAGATTATTATACATTTGGATATTCATTGTACACTTTATATATTTTATTATCAGCTGAATAAAAGTGCTTGTCCTAACCTTAGGCATTATTTTGCATAAGCCTCTAGATACATATTCACACAGAAGGACTAGATGCAGAGACTATAGTATTGACTATTTCTATTTTGCTGTTCCGAAATAAGCAAAATGCCATTCATTGATTTTACTGAAAATTTCTTGGTCCCAGATGTCATTAATCTTGTACTTCCTAATACTTTCTCCTAAGCTAATGCTGGTTTTCACTGAATTAGTATTGTATAAATATCTGTTGAATAATGGACAAATGAATGGATCACATGAAAACAAAAGATTTACTTTTTGTAACTATTTTTTAAAATATAATACACATCTTTTTATCATTATATAATCTCTGTTTCCATAATGTAAAATACATAATTAGTGGTTTTTTTTTAAAAAATCTCATCTAGTTCATTAAAGGGAAATATTTCCTGTTCCAGTAATTTTTTAATGTCATTCACTCACAAAAGCTCCCACTGGGATTTGGGTAACATACCATAATTTAGAATAAAATAGGACAGAACAAAATGAAAGCCTTCTTTGTAAAATTTGCTTTTTACTTTGTAAAAATTGCTTTGTTTAACCTTCTGATGAATCACAAATATTAATCTCATGCTAGAGAAGAAGAAATTGAGGCTTTGAGGAAGTAACTTGCCCCAAATGGTAAGAAAGAGTATCCAAATTAAGGATCATCTGACTTCATTTTCCTTTCACAACAGCAAGCTGCCTCCCAGGCCTTACTTCTCTCCTTTTCTGACATAGATACAAATATAGATACGTATGAAGTCTCTTCCAGAATTTTCCTCAGATAGGGAGGAGAGGAAAGTTATGCTCAAACATATCTTCTCCTGGAAATATCTCTAATTTAATCCACATGATCTTATTTTAGTTTCCATTTAAAATAAGCTTCACTATTTCTGAGCTGAATTTTCACTCTATTCCACAATATTGTCACATATCCATCCATGTTTTACTTGGTTCCAAGTTCCTCATTGACGTGGTCTCCTCACATTTTAAACTTTAAAACACAATATATATTCCATATATGTGGAATATATGTGATATATATTATACAATATATGTTAATTACATATATATGTAATTATTTCTTTCTGATTAAAAGAAAACATGTTCCTTAAAGATAAAGAAAAGCACAATCAGAAAAACTAAATTCACTTGTCATCCAACTACCCAGAAATAAACAGTATCAACATTTTGGTGTTTTCAGTCTCATATTCTATACATATATTTGCACATTAATATACACTTTTATTTCCAAAATTGTTTCATAGTTTCATACTCTATGTATTTTATATCTGTCTCTATATTTGATTATGTCATGCTATTAAATTCATCTTGTCATCTTATTTAATGGTCCATCTGTACGAATGAAGGAGATAAATCTGGTGTCTCTATGCATCTGTGTTTTTATGTGTCTGTGAATATGCATGTGTGTATATATGTGTGTATGCATGTGTGCATATGTTTGTGTATGTGCAGCAGTGTGCTGGAACTGGCTTGTGCCAGTGAGAACTGTGTGAGAACTACTTGTGAGTATTTTTTTCCTTAATTCACTTTCAATTAAGTCATGTGGGTAGTTTGAAAACCACGGTGGGAAATAGCCACAACTGGAAAATATGCAGTTGCTATAAATCAGGGGTTTTAAGTTCCTTAAATTCCAGAGAATCACCTTTTCAGCACACAGCTAGGTTTGAGTGTGAAGGGTATGCTAACATAATAAAATAAAAGAAGATTCCTATACTTTCATGTTCTGGAAACGTATACATGGCACATACATTATCTATTGCCTGATACTGAGAAACAGGACCTCTTATACATTGCTGATGGTAATGTAAAATGGTACACCCACTCTAAAAAACAATATAACACTTTTAAAGTAAACATTCACTTAACATTTGACTCGGCAATTGTACCCTTGGGATTTTTTTTCCAGAGAAATGGAGACATATTTCTGTATAAAAACTTATATATAAATGTGAGCGTCAGCTTTAGTCATAATAGCTTCAAACTGTAAACAACTGTAATATCCTAGTAAGTGGTTAAGGAACCTGTAGTGCATCCATATCATGGACTACTACTCCGCAATAAGAAGGAATGAGTTATTGTTGCACACAATAACTTGGCTGAATTTCAAGAGAATTATTCTGAGTGAAAATAGTCCCAAAAGTTCACTTAATTTTGATTCTCATTATATGGCATTCTTGAAATAACAGGGTTGTAGAGATGGAGAACAGATTAATGGTTGTGAGGGGTTAGGGATGAGCTAGAGAAAGAGGTAAGAATGAGTATAAAGAGACAGCATGAAGGAGCCTCTGGTGATGGAATGATTCTGGATTTTCTCTATGGTAGTGGTAACATGGGTCTACACATGCAAGAAAATTGCATAGAACAAACTAATACATGTAAAACTGGTTAAATTTTAACAAGATATGTGGAATGTATCAACATCATTTTCCTAGTAGTTATATAAGATGTTACTATAAGGGAAACTGAGTCAAGAGTAAATAGGACCATCCTGTATATCTTTTTTATTATTTGTTGTAGAACTATAATTTTTCAAAATAAAGAGTTTTTTTAAAAAGGAAACCTGCTGTATTTACAGAGATTTTGTATGCATTTGTTTGCTAATAGGGTTATTTTGCTAAGATTGCCATAAGAAAATACCATAGTCTTGGCAGCTTAAGCAACAGAATTTTATTTTCTCGCAGCTTTGGAGACTGGAATTCCAAGATCAAGGTGCTAGTACGTTTGATTTCTTCTGAGGCTTCTCTTCTTGGCTTGCAGCTAGTCACCTTCTTGTTGTGTCTTCATATGATCTTCTTCTGTGTGCTTCTGGTGTCTTTCCGAGCACCCAGATTTTCCCCTGTATATGAGAACACCATTAAAATTAAATTAGGGCCCACCTTCATTGCCTCATTTTCACTTAATTGCCTCTTTAAAGGCCCTGTTCCCAGTAATATCACATTCTGAAGTACTGAAGGTTAGTGTTTCAGCACGTTAACTTTGGGGAGAAGAGACACAGTTTGGCCCACACTACTAAAAAACCATAGAGAAATAGATTCCCTATTTCTCACAATAGATTCACAAAAGATGAATGTCTTATATTGTCATCAAATGTCAGTTTGAATCTGGAGCAACACTGGAGGCTGGGCCTGGAGATTAAGCCATTTATGGTCAGTGGTTTTTCTCTTTTTTCTTTTTTTTTTCTTTTTTGCTTGTGTGTTGCTCAGAAGAAAAATCCTAAAGTTACCTCCTTAAAAAATAATTCATATTGATGCTATTTTTCTGTTCTACTCAATGAGACAACTAACCCAAGATTATAGGTGAAAGTCTGGCCAGTGTTGGGGTGATGCCTTTCTTGTAGCCATCCACTCTTATCAGGAAAATTGCCCACTCACCCAAGAATTCATGGTTTTCTGGATAATCTCATGGAAGTGTATGGGAGCCCACAACCCAGATGTTTGATGCTCACTGTCTCCTTTGTTACTATTGCAGATTCCAGTGAGAAACCACTTTCATGTACGTGTTCCTTCTTTGAGTTATTAAAACATCATTTTATTTTTCTTTTCAACAGTATGCTTTGTCTTACATGTCATGTTGAAAGAGGAAAAATGGATGCTCCCTGATATTTTTAAGTAAATAAAATTTGTGGCCTGGCTTTAGCTTGCATCTCTTTCAGCTGCGTTTTGTTAAAATTCTCTTCTCAGGAATTGATGGGCACAATCTCAGTTCAGACCTCTTTCATTTGAGAATGCATCATTTGTTTGCCTTCAGCATTTGTTCTTAGAACTGTTTCTCCAAGAATGACATGGACGCAGTTAGATCCCCATAATCCTAATCCTAATCCCACGATTTCTACACACTTGCTTTCCAGGCAACACACATACATATGTGTGTGTGTGTATGTGTCTGTGTGAGTACATATGTATATATGTACATATATCTACAAAAGTAAGAAAGGGGAAAAGGCAAACATTATTTTGACCACCTTACAGATCTGTACTTTATCTCCCAACATCTAAAATTGTATATTTATCAGAATATCTGTAGCCAAAAGATATTCCTTGAAATATCAGGTCATGCAGTTTCCTCAAAGCTTCATAGCTCTCCATTCAGCAAACATGTTGAGTGTTTACTGTATGTCTGTCATTTTCTTGGTATGGACAGATGCTGACCATAAGAATAAAAACATTTTTGACATCCTTTGTCCAAAATATAGCTGGTGAATCTTGTATTCAATGACATGGTTTATAGTTAGAAAAGATAATTGTTAAGCATTTAAGAAACAGCTTAATTGAAAAATTATTTTGGCTTATCTTCACCTAGTTTTAATATCAGTGAAAGACATCTCTCTTTTTCTGTGCACTGTGATTTACATATACACATGCGCACATAATATGGTATTTATCTTGCTTCTTCTGTGAAGAAATGTAAACAACACCATTCTCAGCTTAAGTTTTCCAGCCATTTAACTTGATGGTCATTCCATGTTGAAGAAACACCAAGCATGCCAAATTTAATGTTTTGACAGAAATACAACATTTGCCATTTGTTGGTGTGATCATCTATCTGAAATTTGAAGTATCTTTTCTACATATAAAGAAATTATGTAAGCATCATCAACATTATAGTAGGGATACATACATACATAAATGGCCTGTGATCTAGAACATACAGTGTTCCATTCTTACTCCATTTCTGATTCTCTGAAAACCTGCATTTGTTGTGGCTTATAACTATTGCAACAAATTAAAACCCACACTAAACAATAGATTCACAAGAGATGAATGTCTTATATTGTCATCAAATGTTAGTTTGAATCTGGAGCAACACTAGAGGCTGTGCCTGGAGATTAAGCCATTTGTGCTCAGTGATTCATTGTTCTTGTCTAAGAAACAATGACATATTGAAAAATGAACTGATTCTCTCTCTCTCTGTTTCTTTGATTCGTTGTACTAGCATTTTGTCTCTCCTTCATATTTAATTAGTTACATTGCAAGAAGCAGAGAATGAACTTGATTCTTCTAGCAATTTTGTTCTATTTGTCAGTCTACTTAGTGTGTATTTAAAAGATATAGATTCCAGTATAAGAATCATCTCAAAACCATTTAGCATTTAATCAGTTTATCAAATACATATCAAATACTTTTTCTAACTGCAAAATATGTACAGATCGGGCCAAACTGACTCTGGAAAAAGGAAATAGAAACAAATTATTTTTTAATAAATGAAAAGATAAAGAATTTGTGTTTTAGAATATTTCATACAGTATTTTTCCATAACATTATACTTAAGAATTTAAAAAATAATGTTGATGTTTTTAATAAATACTTTAAAAAGAACAATTTAAAAGATAATTAAATCTCTTCACAAAAAAATGTATCGTTTAGAAGTGTCTTTAAGACCACAACTTAATGAAAAATAATATAGCAATAATATTTTATATTCACTAGCACTTGTCAAATTTTAAAACATATTTATAATCATTTCCATTCAAGTAGAAGACAGTCATTGCACCCTACAATTTTCAAAAAAATTAAGTGTGTGGTTTCTCAACATCATATGCAATTTAAATTCAACCTAATGACATCAACCAGAAAAAAAAAAAATGTCCGTCTGATTTTCCTTCATATCTTCTTCACTATTGAGCAAGAACCATCATATTCTTTAACACTGGCAATATTTCAGACTCACTGAAGTAGAAAAAACTAAAAGCAAAGTTACTAATAACCCATAAATGCATCGGTTAATACTGGTTTATCGATCCTTATTTTAAAGAGAACCCTAAAATTCTGAAAGGACATTCCTTACCTACCATTTCACCTTTAGGTCCTAAACTCCAAACATCACTGCTACCAAGTCAGATGGAATAACTGGATTTAGATGGTAGTTTCTTTTTTCTGGAATATGGATTTAAAATACTGTATTAGAGATTATTTTAAGGGTAACGTCATAATGCTATATGTTGCTTAAATGTTTGTGTGTTTTATTTAGGAAGTTTACTGTTGAAATGAATACAGTATATGTAGTTCACACTGGAACCAACCAAATGCATTAACACAATGCATTATACCATAAAATCCTTGTGTTTTATTAAATATACACTTGAGCACATATTTCACATATTGTCAGTGTAGCCCAAATGTCTGCCAGTTGGTGCAGTTGCTAAATGTAAAGCTTATCTATTTGATCTCTAAATTTGTTTAATAATTAAAGATTATGTTTTGTTCATTTTATAACAAGGATAGACTATGAAATAAATTGTTTGTAATTTTGTAAAACCTAAACATCATTGCTTATAAAAATAATTCACTCTTGACTAGGTGATCCTAGTTTGTACTCTTCTAATATATCAGCAATTGTTTTATTAATGACTCACGTTTAGAGTCCTTACAGAGCATTTAACTTAGCTTTCTTGAACTGGGGTTAAAAATCAACCATCCCTTGCTATTTATAAATTCCACTTGTGAGAGGAGACACATCCAGGAAGTCTGAGGAGTGGCCAAGGACATTAAATATCATCACATATATGCTTAGTGTTGGTATATATTAGACAGTGAATATGTATTAGTTCTCCTTCATTCTTGGACCTAAGTGTTTACTGGTGAAAACATCACAACACTCTCCTAAGTTTAATTTATATCCGCACCATTTTACAGACTAGGATACAAACAACCAATTTTGGAAGTCGATATAAACGCTAGATACAGAAAAATAAAAACCTCGCGTTTCTAGCTCTCCAAGTGTTATCTTGCCATCAGGTAGCCTTAGGTTTTTTGGTTTTGATTTGTGTACTTTTGTGTCTTCACATGTGAAGCAAGTTATTTGTTGAACTTCTACTTACAAGATAATTTTGATGAAAGGATTTATTTAATCAATGGTCTTATAATCCACAAAGAACAAGGCGAAGCTGGACATTCAGGTTCAGGATGCTGGTATTATTTCATCTCCCTTCTCCCTTCATCACACATGGGTGCATACACAATAGAATGAATTAACCAATATTCCCAGGTAATAATTTTAGGTATTTTCTGATCAAATGTAGTATACACATATTCAATTCTGATTACTAAATATCTTCCTTATAAAACCATTAACTTTTTCTTGTATGTAAACAATAGTGAACAAAAGTAAACTTTCTCAGGGGAATTATTGTAATGATTTGTAACTAGTTATGTATCTAAGTATAATCTTGGGCATAATTTTTACTGATCACAAAGTAAAACATGTTTTTTTATTAAAAGACATTAGTTTTAAGAGAAGTTTTAGGTTCACAGCAAAATTAAGAGGAAGACATAGAGATTTCCCACATATTGCCTACCCCACATATGCGCAGCCTCCCCTCTTAACAACAACCCCCATTAAGAGTGGTATGTAGGAGACTCCATCTCAAAAAAAAAAAAAAAAAAGAGTGGTATATTTGTTACAATCAACAAACCTACACTGATATTTCATAATCACCTGAAGTCCATAGTTTACATAGGGCTGACTATTGATCTTGTACCGTTCATGGGTTTGGGCAAATGTATAATGACATGTATCCAGCAATACAGTATCTTATAAAACAGTTTCCTTGCCCTGGAACTCCACTGTGTTTCATCTATTTATCGCTTCCTCCTCCCATACCCTGGCAACCACTGCTTCCCAAGGCTATAAACCTCCCTGTGCAGTGGATCCCTCTGTGTGGATGTAAGTTTTCAACTCCTTTGGGTAAATACAAAGGAGTTCAATTGCTGGGTTATATAACATGATTTTTTTTAAACCAAATAGTCTATGGTTTCAGA
This sequence comes from Homo sapiens, assembly GCF_000001405.40. Taxonomy (NCBI): domain Eukaryota; kingdom Metazoa; phylum Chordata; class Mammalia; order Primates; family Hominidae; genus Homo; species Homo sapiens. The sequence continues at coordinate 124,387,587 of NC_000007.14, read as the reverse complement.
AATTTTCTGTTTCATAAAAAAATTTGGTTCAGAAAAATAATACTGTATTTTATGTATATACCTGTTTTAAGAACTGATATCACAAATATGCATCATATGTGATTTAATGTCCTGGTTTGTGACGGTCTTTAATTAGTTAACTGATTTTTAAATAAATTTGAAAGCCCTTTTTGATAGTTATGGAATTCAATAATGCTTACACTTTAATAAAAACAGAATTAAATCTCATTTTAAATAGAATGACAAACCCCAATAGCTTAATGAAAACTTGGATGCAAGTTTTAGCCTTCTGGTGGAATTCTGCCAGCAAAGCTTTCACTAGATAACAATCACTGTAATTATAATAGCAACTGACAATGGCTTAAACATGACCCACACACATCCTTCTAAAATCACAAAGCTCTTAAACGATAACATGGTCAATGACAGGGTTACGGGCACGATTGTAAAAAGCCAGGGCGACAAGAAAGGGAAAAGCAGGTGGCTCATACAAAGAAGACCACCAAACCTGCTGGGATAATTTAGATAATTAATTTTGTCCTTGAACTGAAAACATTCTTTTACATCTGATGTATTTTCCACTCTTTTTAATTTTACTTATAATTTTAGAAAACTTGAGTGATATAACTGATTTGAAATGACGCATAAGTGGTGTTTTGATGTGGCCCCTTCCTTTATATTCCTTCAGTTTATATTATTAAAAACTAGCAATCAACTGAAATATTTTAAAAGAAATTTTACAATTCCAGTAGTAGATGCTCTATTAAACTAATGTATAGATGTAGTTATTTTTCTTACTAAATTTAAATCATATTCACTATATATATACATGTGTACACATGTATATAGTATGTGTATATGTGTGCATGGCATGTATCATACACATGTATACACTCATACATGTGTATATAGTATGTGTATATGTGCGCATGACATGTATCTTACACATGTATACACTCATGCATGTACGTAAATACATATACATGTATACACATATACATAACATAAATACATATATATGTATTGAGTGTAACCAAACATCTATGTTGCTTGGGAATTTGAATAAGTATGGAGAGTGAATAATTGGACATAAAAAATGTAAATTAATGGAAACACAAATGTTGACTACACAAAGTCCAAGGTAAGAATTTCAGCAGGTGAGCTGTTTAGGTGTTTGTAAGTTGTCCAAGACGACAAATTGAATCATTGGTGTTTCTGGGAGGAAACATAGCTTTTTGCTGTGGTATAGAATAATGTTCTGAATTTGTCATTTAATAATCAGATAATACTTGCTAAAAATCCTATGTTCAAATATTTCTATAAAATAGGAAACTAGAGTGAAAAAGTCAAGAATGGAAGCAATGCCCACAGTTAAGCAGTTAAATCACTCAAAAGGTCTAGTTAGTATGATCAAGACCCTGCTTTTTTAGTATGTCTTATTAAAATAAATGAAAAACATCAAAGTAAAGGAAAAATCAACTTTATACAAAGGAGAAATAATTGAATTCTACCTACTCTTTAGACCTTAGTAATTGAAACATTGCTTCACTTTCTAACTTGGATAACCTCATTAACTCTTTTCTACCTTATGTCTTTTCATGTTCCATGAGCTCTTCGTCAAATACAATCCTATCTTTTCTGGCATTCTATAGTTTTCAACATAATTTTTAAATCGCCACATAAAAATGCCTTCCCAATTAATTTTGCCCCATTCTGATGTCTCACTTAATTCAGCATTTACATTCCATGTTACTTTACATATACTAATGTGTTTTTAAATTGTTCTTAATTAGAAAATCTACTAAATCACTAAAGAATTATTTTTTATTATTTACTATTTAAAACACACATGCTTATTAATAATTTGTATCAGTTTGTTTTCACGCTGCTGATAAAAACATACCTGAAACTGGGAACAAAAAGTTTAATTGGACTTACAGTTCCACATGGCTGGGGGCCTCAGAATCATGGCAGGAGGTGAAAGGCAATTCTTACATGGCGACAGCAAGGGAAAATGAGGAAGAAGCAAAAGCAGAAACCCCTGATAAACCGATCAGATCTCGTAAGACTTATTCACTATAACGAGAATAGCACAGGAAAGACTGGCCCCCATGATTCAATTACCTCCCCCGGGTCCCTCCCACAACATGTGGGAATTCTGGGAGATACAACTATAGTTGAGATTTGGGTGAGACGCAGTCAAAGCATATCATAATTATTTAGTATTATAAAACAAAGGCATTGCATCTAAAAATGAGTTAATTTTTCTTTCTGCTAGAAATGTTAGAATAAATTCTATCTTAACAGCGACACAATTTTGATGATCAGCTTTTCTAGAATTTAAGGATAATTATTTCTAACATAGAAGTACTTCTTGAAAGAACAGAACCAATTTTGAAAACTAGGTTTAAACATACTAAACTTGGCGGTTAAATTTTTTTTCTGGAAACATCTCAAACTGCTTCTATTAGTATCAATATGTTTATATATGTTTGCAAGTAAAGCCAAAGTTAGACCTTATAGTAGTCTTCTCAACTAAGATGTCAAGAACATCATTAGCTAAAAGATAGTCTGTTCAATAAATGATGCTGGGAAAGCTGGATATTTATATGCAGAAGAATGAGACTAGACCACGATCTCTCACCATACACAAAAATCAAATCAAAATGGATTAAAGACCTAAATCTAAGACCTCAAACTATAAAATTACTACAAGAAAACATTGAGAAAATTCTCCAGGACACTGGAGTGGGCAAATATTTCTACTACTGCAATTTCTTTTGGCATCTTTGTCATGAAATCTTTGCTTGTGCCTATGTCCTGAATGGTATTGCCTAGGTTGTCTTCCAGGGTCTTTACAGTTTTGGGTTTTACATTTAAGTCTTTAATCCATCTTGAGTTGATTTTTGTATATAGTGTAAGGAAGCGGTCCACTTTCAATCTTCTGCATATGACTAGCCAGTTATCACAGCACCATTTATTGAATAAGGAATCATTTCCTCATTGCTTGTTTTTGTCAGGTTTGTTGAAGATCAGATGGTTGTAGGTGTGTGGCCTCATTTCTGGGTCCTTTATTCTATTCCATTGTTCTATGTGTCTGTTCTTGTACCAGTACCATGCTGAATGGGCAAAAGCTGGAAGCATTCCCCTTAAAAGCTGGCACAAGAAGAGGATGTTGAATTTCATCAACATCCCTTCACAATAAAAATACTTTTTCAAGCATTTTGTTGCCTTCATTCTGTGGATAATGATGTATCACCTTCACTATTTGTGTATGTTGAATCATGCTTGCATTTCAGGAGCAAATCCCACTTGGTTATGATGAATGATCTTTTTATTGTTGAATTTGGTTTGCTAGTATTTTTCTGAGTATTTTTGCATCAATGTTCATCAAATATAGTGGCCTTTTTTTTTGTATTTTTGATGTGTCTGTCTCATTTTAGTATCTGGGTAATACTGGCCTCATAGAATGAGTTTGGAAGTATTCCTTCCTTCCCTGTTTTTCAGAACAGTTTCAGTAGGATCGATATTAGTTTTTTAAATTTTTGATGAAATTCAGCAGTGAAGCCATCAGGTCCTGAGCTTTTCTTTGCTGGAAGACTTTTTATTTGATCTCATTACTTGCTATTGGTCTATTCAAGTTTTGAAATTATTCATGGTTCAATGTTTGTAGGTTGTATATGTCTGAGAATTTATCCATTTCCTCTAGATTTTCCAATTTCTTGGCATGTAGTTGTTCATAGTAGCCTCTAATGATCCTTTGGATTTCTGCAGTATTTGTTGTAATGTCTCTTTTTTCATCTCTCGTTTCATTTACTTGGGTCTTCTTTTTTTTTTTCTTAGTTAAGTCTGGCTAAATGTCAATTTTGTTGATGTTTTCAGAAAACAAACTTTTCATGTCATTAATCTTTTGTATTGTTCTCTTCATTTCAATTTTATTTATTTCTACTCTGATCTTTATTATTTCTTTTTTTCTACTAACTTTGGGTTGATTTATTTGCTCTTGCTTTTCTAGTTCTTTAAGATGCATCATTAGGTTGTTTATTTTTAGTACAACTTTTTCTACTTTTTAAATGTAGGTTCTTATACCTATAATTTTTCCTATTAATAACTGCTTCTGCTGTATTACATTGGTTGTGGTATGTTCTGTCCATTGTTTTGTTCCACAAAATTTTTTAATTTCTCCCTTTTTCTCTTCATTGACTCATCAGTCATTCAGGAGCATATTTATAATTTCCATGTGTTTGTATCATTTCCAAAATTCCTCTTGTTATTGATTTCTACTTTTATTTTACTGTAGTTAGAGAACATATTTAATATAATTTATTTTGAGCTTTTTCAGACATGTTTTGTGGCATAATATATGGTCTATTATTGAGAACGATCTATGTGCTTAGGAGAAGAATGTGCATTCTGCAGCTGTTGAATGAAATGTTCTGTAAATATCTGTTAGGTCCATTTAGTCTATGGGCCAGATTAAGTCCAATTTTTTTTGGTTGATTTTCTGTCTGGATGATCTGCCCAATGCTGAAAGTGGAGTGTTGAAATCTCCAGCTATTATTGGAGTCTGTCTCTTTAGTCCTAGTAATATTTGCTTATGTATCTAGGGGCTTTAGTGTGGGGTGCATATATATTTACAGTTGTCATATCCTCTTGCTGAATTGACCCCTTTATCATTACATAATGGCCATCTTTGTCTCTTTTTATAGTTTTCATTTTGAAATCTATTTTGGCTGATATAAATATAGCTATTCCTGCATCTATGTCTGTCTTCATAGGTGAAGTGTTTTTCTTGCAGGCAACAGATCACTGGGTCTTGTAATTTTAGCAATTCAGTCACTCTGTCTTTTCACTGGAGTGTTCAGTTCATTTACATTCAATGTTATTGCTGATACGTAAGGACTTACTCCTACCATTTTGTAATTTGTTTTCTGGTTGCTTTGTTGTCTTCTTTCTTTTCTTCCTTCCTATCTTCCTTTCAGAGAAGGTGATTTTCTCTTGTGGTATGTTTTCATTTCTTGCTTTTTATTTTCTCTGTATCTGTCATAAGTTATTTTGATTTCAGATTGCCATGAGGCTTGCAAACAATATCTTATAACCCATTATTTTAAGCTGATGATAATTTAGCATTGATTGCATAAACAAACAAACAAAGAGAAAACTAATAAAAATTTTATGTTTTAAAATCGTTCCCCTGCTTTTTAACTTTTTTCTATTTATACTTTATTATACTCTCTATATCTCAAAAATTTGTTGTAGTCATTATTTTTATCAGTTCACCTTTCAGTCTTCCTACTCAAAATATATGAGTAGTTCACAAACCACAATTATGGTGTTATCATATTCTGTGTTTTTCTGTGTACTTGCTCTTACCAGTGAGTACTGTACTTTCTGATGAGTTCTAGCCGCTTATTAACATCCTTTGCTTTCAGATTGAAGTGGTCCCTTTAGCATTTCTTGTAGGACAGTTCTGGTGTTGATAAAATCCGTCAGCTTTTGTTTGTCTAGAAAAATATTTATTTTTTTCTTTATGTTTGAAGGATATTTTTGCTGGATATGCTATTCTAGGGTAAACGTTTTTCTTTTTTTTTCCTTCAGCACTTTAAATATGTCATGCCATTCTCTCCTGACCTGTAAGGTTACTGCTGAGAAGTCTACCGTCAGACATATTGGAGCTCCATTTGGTGTAATTTATTTATTTTCTCTTGCTGCTTTTAGGATTCTTTCTTTGTCCTTGAATTTTGAGAGATCATTTAATGTCTTGAGGTAGTCTTATCTGGATTAAATCCACTTGGTGTTCTATAACCT